>NC_000007.14:138756779-139381779 GCF_000001405.40 Homo sapiens | reverse complement strand
ACAAGGCAAAACCCCGTCTCTACTAAAAATACAAAATTAGGCAGGCATGGTGGCGTGTGTCTGTAATCTCAGCTACTTGGGAGGCTGGGGTAGGAAAATCACTTGAACCCGGGAGTGGGAGGTTGCAGTGAGCCGAGATCAAACCATTGCACTCCAGCCTGGGCAACAGAGCGAGACTCTGTCTCAAAAAAAGAAAAAAAAAATTAGCCGAGCCTAGTGGCGCACATTTGTAATCCCAGCTACTCGGGAGGCTGAGGCGGGAGACTTGCTTGATCCCAGGAGGCAGAGGTTGCAGTGAGCCGAGATGGCACCACTGCACTCCAGCCTGGCCAAGAGTGTGACCCTGTCTCAATGAAATAAAATAAAATAAAATAAAATAAAATAAAATAAAAAATAAAATAAAAATAAAATAAAATAAAATAAAATATGTAAAATTTGAGTTGAAATAGAACGAACTAGCCTACTCCTAAATCCTTAGTGCATGAGCTGCCTCCAAGGATGTTTCAGAAACATGTGAAAGTCACTGCCCTGGATAACTGAATTACCTAAAAAACTGACAAAAAATTGTTTTAAGTATTTCTAGATTTAAGATTCCTAAATGGTATAGAATACTGTGGTTTTTTTTTATTGAGACATTTAACAGCACAATTTCTCTAAGCCTTAGTTTTTCTGAACTGTAAAATGATGACTTTACACTAGAAGATATGAGGGCCTATCAACAGTAAAGTTACGCTATGATGAGGGCTATCATAAAATTAGTGGTGCTGATTTCTGAATTTTGAACACACATACTATGAGAGTATACATTTGCCATGTCCTAAGATCTTAATTTCAAGTTTCTGTTAACATCTTTGCTTTATATTTAAAGTCTACTATAAATTATTAGTCATGTATCTTTTTTCCCGATCACTAGGAACTAGATGGAAATATTTTTTAAAGCATGTCAATTTCTTTATCTTTCCTCAGGGAAGATACGTACCAGAAGAAATGTGTTGAGGAAAAAAATGACAGCTTGGTTTAGGTTTTTTTGTTTTGCCTAAATCTGAAAGGGCATACTGCCTACAGTGAGTTTAGCAGGGAGAAAGTGGGCCAAAATGAGGAAAAGAGAGAGACTACAATATGAATATATTCTAGAAGAATAGAAAAATAATCCAAGCTTCTTATTTTATTATTATTTTTTTAAACGGTGTCTCGCTCTTTTGCTCAGGCTGGAGTGCAGTGGCACAATCTCAGCTCACTGCAACCTCCACCTCCAGGGTTTGAGCGATTCTCCTGCCTCAGCCTCCCGAGCAGCTGGAATCACAGGCACCTGCCACCATGCCCGGCTACTTTTTTTGTATTTTTAGCAGAGACAGGATTTCAACATGTTGGCCAGGCTGGTCTCGAACTCCTGACCTTGGATGATCCCCCATCCCCCCTCGGCCTCCCAAAGTGCTGGGATTATAGGCATGAGCCACTGAGCCTAGCCGCAAGCTTTTGAAGTATAGTAACTTTCTGAGATAAAGAAAATATTCATATTTCTTATAAAAATCATTAAACGTATAATTATTTTGATCCTCTGTTCTGTTTTACCTCCTCTGATTAATTTATTAATTTATTTTGAGACAGAGTCTTGCTCTGTCACCCAGACTGGAGTGCAGTGGTGTGATCTCGGCTCACTGCAACCTTTACCTCCAGGGTTCAAGTATTTCTCCTGCCTCAGCTTCCCGAGTAGCTGGGATTACAGGTGCGGGCCACTACGCCCGGCTAATTTTTTGTATTTTCAGTAGAGATGGGGTTTCACCATGTTGGTTGGCCAGGCTGGTCTCAAACTCCTGACCTCAAGTGATCGGCCTCCCAAACTGCTGGGATTACAGGCGTGAACCACCACGCCCAGCCCTGATTAATTTATTATTTTAAGAATTAGTTATGCCAGACCAGGCACAGTGGCTCAGGCCTATCATTGCAGCACTTTAGGAGGCCGAGGCAGGCAGATCAACTGAGGTCAGGAGTTCAAAACCAGCCTGGCCAACAAGATGAAACCCTGTCTCTACTAAAAATGCAAAAATTAGCTGGGTGTAGTGGTGCATGCCTGTAATCCCAGCTACTCGGGAGGCTGAGGCAGAATCACTTGAACCTGGAGGCGGAGGTTGCAGTGAGCCGAGATCATGCCACTGCACTCCACCCGGGCCAACAGAGCGAGTATCTGTCTCAAAAAAAAAAAAAAAAAAAAAAAAAAAAAAAAAAAAAAGCATTAGTTATACTAGAATAATGAAAGGTAAAATGTTGTAAGTGCATTTTCATGAAACTCAATTGCAAAAAATTCCAAACTAACTTGTCAATTATGAAGAGAATATTTAGAAATCACACTCTCCATCTCTAAGTGCTTGATATAAAGTTCCAACCTCTTTATAATGAGAAAAAAAAAAAGGCAGGAAATGCATTTCTGGATACTTTTTTCCTTTGTGACAGAGTCTTACTATGTTGTCCCGGCTACCTTTGAAATCCTGAGTTCAGGCAACCTTCCCACCTCAGCCTCCAAAGTAGCTGGGGCTATAAGTATGTACAACCATGCCTGGCTTTTCTGTATTCTTTTTCTAAATAACCTAAAATACTGGTAAATCATATTCTGCTGCAAGTGACAGATCTTAGGCACACCTAATCACACCTGTAATTCCAGCACTTTGGGAGGCTGAGGCGAACAGATCAAGAGGTCAAGAGTTCAAGACCAGCCCGACCAACATGGTGAAACCCCGTCTCTACTAAAAATACAAACTAAAGGGCAACCTTTAGTCATACAATCTTTAGGTACACAACAAAGAAAAAGCATCATAAAATCAACAGTTAAGGCCAGGCACAGTGGCTCCTGCCTGTAGTCCTAGTGCTTTGGAAGGCTGAAGTAGGAGGATTACTTGAGTTGTGAACCTTTCAGAATTTAAGCAGAGTTTTGAGGACCACGTAAAGGACGTTGTGAGACTCCGAAAGTGTCATACAATGGTGTCCTTAAGGACCTGAAAAACTTAACAGTTCACCCTATGTACAAATAGCTTATAATTACAGAGCTATGGCTTCTTAGCAGTCAATCCCTAAAGAACAAATGCTTTTTGGGACAGAGTGTGATAGTTTACACCTCTTTATGTTCAAGATGCCTATTTCTTTTCTGATGTTAAATGAAGAATGAAAAACACTGAATTGTAACTGTTGATTTTTCTTTTTTCTTTTTTTTGAGGCAGGGTCTCACTCTGTTGCCCAGGGTAGAGTACACTGGTGTGATCACAGCTCACTTGAAGTCTTGAATTCCTGAGCTCAAGCATTCCTCCTGTCTTAGCCTCCCAGGCAGTTAGGACTTCAGGAAATACCACCATGCCAGGCTAATTTTTTTTTTAATTCTTTTTGTAGAGATGGGGTTTCACTATGTTGACCAGGCTAGTCTCAAACTCCTGGCCTCAAGTGGTTTTGTTAATGTTGTTCTCAAAATTTATCTCAAGTAGTAATTTAGCCATTAAATAAAAATTAAAAGTAAATTTTTTAAATTAAATAAAGTTAAATTTTATACAATATTAAACATGGAGAATCACAGTATACTATAGACAATGATAGATTTCATAGATTTCAGATGCAGCATAGCACACGGTATAAAATAATTACGAAAATGTTAGAAAGTAGATAAAGGAGTTTATTATGGCCAGGTGCAGTGGGTCACGCTTGTAATCCCAGTACTTTGGGAGGCTGAGGCAGGAGGATCACTTGAAGCCAAGAGTTTGAGACAAGCCTGGGTAACATGGTGAGACCTAGTCTCTACAAAAAATACAAAAATTAGCCGAGCATGGTGGTGTGTGCCTGTAGCTCCACCTACTTGGGAGGTTGAGGTGGGAGAAACTCTTGAGCCCGGGAGGTGGAGGCTGCAGTGGGCAGTGTTCACAGCCTGGCTGACAGAGCAAGACTCTTGTCTCAAAAAAAAAAAAAAAAAAAAAAGCCAGGCGCGGTAGCTCATGCCTGTAATTCCAGCACTTTGGGAGGCTGAGGTGGACAAATCAAGAGGTCAGGAGTTCAAGACCAGCCTGACCGACATGGTGAAACCCCGTCTCTACTAAAAATACAAAAATTAGGGCCGGGCACGGTGGCTCATGCCTGTAATCCCAGTACTTTGGGAGGCCAAGGCGGGTGGATCACGAGGTCAGAAGTTCGAGACCAGCCTGGCCAACATGACGAAACTTCATCTCTACTAAAAATACAAAAATTAGTTGGGCATGGTGGTGGGCACCTGTAATCCCAGCTAGTTGGGAGGCTGAGGCAGGAGAATCGCTTGAACCCAGGAGGCAGAGGCTGCAATAAGCCAAGATCATGCCACCGCACTCCAGCTTGGGTGACAAGAAGAGCAAGACTCCGTCTCAAAATAAATAAATAAATAAAAATAAACACACAAAAATTAGCCGGGCATGGTGGCACGCGCCTGTGATTCCAGCTACACCGGAGGCTGAGGCAGGAGAATCGCTTGAAGCCAGGCAGTGGAGGTAGCAGTGAGCTGAGATTGCGCCACTGCACGCCAAGCCTGGGTGACAGAGCAAGACTCTGTATCAGAAAAAATAAATAAATAAATAAAGAGTTTAGAGTTTATTATATTTATTATCTGTCACAGTCCTTCCAAATTCCTGTGCTCAGAAACTGGATTTCTTGCTTTGTAGTATTATACTTTAAAATAAACTTAGGCTCTTTTTTCCCCGTTAACATAATATAGTTTCAACTGTCTTTCCTCCTGGAAAAAGTCAAAGGTGTTTCCTGTTGCATATGCCTTGATACATCTCTCTTTGGGGCATGTCCTTAATTTTAACTCTTCCTATCAAAGAAGAAACCACTCATTTGGCTGAGAAACTCATTGCTTCTGAAAAGGCAAGTCAGAAATCTTTCTTCATTTCAGTCATTTCTGGCAAATGAGAACTAAAGCCAGCTCGAGGTTTAGCCCCTACTAGCTCCCCACCAGCATCAGATGCAACTATGAAGGGAAGCTACTTGTAATCATTTCAACCAAATCCAAAATTCAGAGAATCAAATTCTCTGTTCCACATTCCAACAGGTCCATCATCATGCAGTTTATCTTCCAAATTAAAACGATGATACTCTAAGATCAACATCTCTGCAGACATAGAATCTAAATTGAGCTTTACATTATTAGCAGGAGCAATATTTTAAGTGACAATACTCCCAAATTAAGCTGTGTGGATATAAGTATTTACTAATATATTTCCCCACTGATTCCACAAATGTGTACAAATCTTAACAAAAATGTATACCGTACTAGATAAAAGTCTACTCTGTTTAACAGTAAAAGGAACTTTAAAAATAAATTATTTTATTTCTGAACTAAAAGTACAAATGCTATATAACTACTTCTGTATTCCAAATAAAACATGCTTTTAAAAAACTGCTCTGAAGAATGGAAAAAATTATAAAACAAAACGTATCAACCACTTTTGTGAGGAAACCCATTACTGAAGATTTAAGTAATCATCCTGAATAAACAAACAATAAAGGATGCAAATCTCCCCTCACAAGTCAATTCTTTTGACACAGAATTAAGACTTTATCAAGTAGTTCATTACTGCAGCATATCAGTAATCTAACAATACATTTAGTAAATACATACAGTTCCAGAAAGGACATCATGAGGACAACAGTTGAGAAGGTGACTCTTGCATACTCTGTCATCACTGAATTTGATTCGTTGACGAGTTGTATCTCCTGTAATATAGAAGAGTTAATAACATTCAAGGTTAGACAACTGGAAAGTATTTTCTGAGAGCCCTACTATTACTAGCTTTTTATGTGTGGCTATATACACACATTATAAATCAGCTCAAGAGGGATTAGTTTTTATATACATCCTATAGAAAAACTATTTTAGACAACATGCAGTTGCAGTAAGTGTACTGCATACATAATTCAAATAGTCAAAGTGAGAAAGCAATGCATTCTGTTAAATAGAGTACTTCAGAAAAGCATAGGATTTTAGAGCAGGAATGGACTTTAAAGATTATCGAGTCCAACTCCTTCATATTGCAGATGAGAAAACTGAGGCCCCGAGAGGTTAAGCAACTTGCAGACCCACTAAGAGAGTTTATACTGGTATACAATGTTCCCTTCTTGACACTAAGCATTGATATATTTTTATTTACAGTAATTGAAAAACATAAAAAATAATCTTGCAAACATTGCATACACACTGCGAATCCCCACTGAACCCCAGACGCCATTTCTTCCACTATTTTGTTCCAGCTGAAGTGTCTCCCTTTTGCTGCTGGGAGGAGTTAGAGAGGGTAGAATAACGCGTTTAAGAGCGTACAAACCTGGAAGAAGGACTTACACACCAGTCAAACAAAGGCACATTGCCTAATGAAACGTTAACTTTAATGCGTCCAAAGGTTCCATACCTCCAAGTTTTATGTAGTCTGAGCTTTTTCATACTGCCAAACTGGGTATATTTAAATTCATTCTGTCTTCATATAACACAATACACCTACCTCCTAAGCAACAGAAGCATCCAACCTGCTTATCAAATATGGCTATCTACTCAAAACGTTAAAGAATCTAAGAAAAAGAAAGGTAACTAGCTCCAATAACAAAATATAGATGTTAGTTAAAATTTTTTTGCTTAGAATCTCTTTGGAAAAACAAAAGAAAAAACTCATTAGGATGTTTCCTCTTTCTATATAGAATGATAAGCCCTAAGAAATGTAGGTGTTTTATTTTAGCCTTAAACTGATATATTATCGATGAATGAAAACCTACTGGTGAATTACTGAAGCAAGAACTATTGGTGCCAAAAGAGATATAAATACCTCTGTATTTCACATGATATGCCTGGAGCACTCCAAAAACTTTCGTGTAGGATGTGATTCAATCACTTAGTTTCTGTATTTTCACATGTAAATAACAAAAAAGATTAAAACTTTACCCCTTCATATGGTCATATACTAAAGAGCTTAACTTAAATTCAACTAAACACTATCATTTTTAGATGGGGTAAGATTTTGTTCAAATTGTTTTAACGTGGTTAAAGATATTTTTAAAACATTCTAATTTGCAACCAGGGTATATAAAATTTTAACAACAGTAATTTATAGTTAAAATGATAGCTTCAGAGCAGTTCAACAATAGGTTTTCTAGAAGCTCGTCTCTAGTAGGTTATTTTTGACACAATTTGGAATATTCAGTTTAGTGTTTACGCCTGCTACTATAATAAAAGTTATTTTGATGGTCCTTTTTCCTTTTAAACACAACTGCTTTTGTTCCACATTCATTAACACATCTGAAAAGTTAGCGATAACTCACGGCTTGGCGAATGCGGGGCCTTTCTGACACTCCCTTGCAGATTGAGGTAGGCAGGCATAGATACATTGAACCTTTACAAATAAAACAAGGGGCCAGATTGTTCATTTTGTATAGAATAAACTCTGCCAGCAATTTCAATACAGCATCTAGAAGTACATGTTGACTGTAAAGATTCTTTTATATAAAAACAAAAGTGAACAAAATCAGGGTGTTTCATTTTTTTAAATACTGACTTAACAAGTATAACCCCAGATAATTGTATGACTGACTACAGGTAAAAGTCCAAAGCTGGAGCTCTGGACAATGTCTTTGAGCCAAGTGGGGTTTTAAAAAATTATTTCTTTAAAAAGTATGTTTCATCAAGACTTTGGTGAGGACCTCAAGCTCATGTTAGAATGGTGCTATGATAAACTCATATCAGAATGTCAATGCTATTTAATTAGAAGCTTTTTGCTTCCTACCATTTAAGAAAAAAATTTCATTTTAAATCTGTACCCTAATTATATTAAGCAATTTTAAAATGATAAAATTTTAAAGTTGAAACAAAAACAAAACAAAACAAAAAAATCCCTTATGTATCTAATAAGTCTTCCTGCTAAAAGTATCTAAATGTTTTGGTAATGGCAACAGCAGAATCATTTCAGTGCTTTGTTAAACTAATGGCTCAGGCCTTAGAATAAAATCAGTATTCATGGAGTTTTACTAATCAAACATTTCATCAGGCAGAGTAACTGATTTGTGCTTAACAACTTATATTCAAATATTAAGTTATTGTGCCCTGAAGACACAGCTATCAGTTAAAATATGAACAAATTCCTAATAGGAATATAGCAAACCAGGCAGTATCCCTGGTGAGCTTTTTTGTGTTTTTTAAAATTTTTATGGATACATAATAGTTGTACATATTTTCCCTGGTGAGCTTTTAAGATCAGAATCTGTTTCTATAAATGCCAAAAAACATTTTAAAATAACTCCTCACCGCAAATGAATGGGTGCTCCATAAATATTTGATAACCGTAGCAAACTCAACAAATACAGCTATCAAATAGCAGCCATTATAGAAATCTTTAAAACAATGAAATAATAAAACGCTTAATAATTTGAGATACAGAAATACCTTGAGAGAGAATAGCAACTGACTGTTTATTGATATTTTTAAAGTTCTGCCTTGGGGACTTTAAGGTTTACATTTTAAAACAATCTGGCTGCATAACCATGCAGTACTTAACAAATTTATTTGGGCTTATTCCATGGCAGTACAATTCAGCTAAACCAACAATAATTTTTAAAAGAAAAATGCTGGTAATTTGGTTTCTGTCAAGATATCTGGCCCAAACCATGTTTTTCATAAGAAACTAGGTAAAACAGCACCTATTTTATAAAAAGAAGAAAGAACTGCAAATAGGAACCAAATCACCTTATAATACAAGAAATTATTTTCAATTTAATGTGTTTTATCTTTGGGTTTTGTGGGCATAAAGTCATATAAAAATAACCTATTATGGGGGAAAAAGTATCCTGTCACAATGACATTGGATCCAAATCACAGAATCAAACCTATTAGTGACAACATCTGCTGTGCTAGGCAATGGAATTACAAAGGGGCATATAAGACAAGCTCTCTCCCCTCAAGGAGCCAATGATTTTGCTAAAGAAATAGGACATATTAATTTTTTTAATTTTTTAAATTTTTTTGTAGAGACAGGGTCTCACTATGTTGCCAAGGCTGATCTCCAACTCCTGGCCTCAAATGACCCTCCCACCTCGGCCTCCCAACATGCTGGGATTATAGGCAGGAGCCACTGCACCCGGCCGAGGATATATTAATGGAGTAATAAGTTATAATACAAGATAACATGATCCAAGTATCAAATGTGTGTTTCAATTAGGTAGTACTTCAGGAATTCTTAGACTAAAATTACCACCAAGAATGGAAATATTGGAAAAAGCTTCATGCAATAAGTAGCCAAAATTTGAAGGAAAGACAGGACTTAGATCAAAGTAAAGTAGAAAAAAAAGCACTACAACCTGGAGTAATAGCTTTGACAAAGCTTATAAGAGCAAGAAGGTTTGGGGGAACAGTAAGTAAACCATATCTGGCTTTGGCAAATGGCTTCATGTAGAATTGCAGAGTTGGGAGCAAAACAATACTTTTTGAGTAACATTTGATTTCTTACATTTTTCATTTTTTAATCCAAATTTTTAGTGTATAAAGTAAAAAAAAAAAATTAAAATAATGGAACAGAGATCAGGCGAAGTTACTTCTGTCAACAACAAAAAATATCCCACCTATAAAAACATGGAGATCTCTCTGTCCTATAACCTCTACAATAGTTATTCAGGCCTTGTACTTAACTACACAGCCAAGTTTTTAGAATTAGAAACTTGATTTAGAACTCTAGCAAGTGAGGTGTTTTTCATTTTAATAGAAACATCAACTTTTCTATTAATTCCTATTTCTACCAAATTCTCTACCAAGCAACAACTCTCTTTCCTCCCTCTTTTGTTCAACACCTTCATGAGTTTCATGAATTATAACCTTTGAGAACACCTGAGTCACAAGTATACAATAAAAATGAGGATGCATATTATTCATCTCCAGGTCTGTCACCAATGTATCAGAGCCTAAGGCAGTCAGTTCCACCAGGGAATATAGACAGGTCACTTTAAAAAGAGGCCTCCTCTCTAAATTTTACTCAAATACTGCTATTCTCAAAATCCCCTTCCATATATCAGGAGGGAAAAAATAAGCCCACTGTCATTCCCAACACTGCCATTCTATGGTCCTGCCTTTTCTGAAACTTATATTAACACTTAAATTTTATTAGTAACATTACAACCTTAGCCTAGGTAGTATCTGACATGATTTTATACTTTGCATGCTATCTTCCCAATATCCGCCCCCTCCCCCCAGTACTACCCACCCTCTCCCTCCCATACAAACAAGAAACCAAATCAACTTTCATAGATTTAGGTGCTATTTTAAAAACATCAAAATTTTACTTTACCCATTCTCTCCGATGCTCCCTGTATTTTTTTAAGCTGTGAGTGGATGACCATGCTATGTGATCAACAACTGTGAAGGCTAAGCAAAAGTGAACTGAGTTTAGTATTGTAATTTCAAAAGAACCTTAAAGTTTGTAATATTTGACATATTTAATGGTATGCAGAATCCTATTTCACTGTACATTATCAGGCATTCATGGCAAGCAATTTACAAAAACAATCAGTATTTTGTACAGAATTAGCTTAGAGCTTAGCTTAGGGAAAACAAGGAGGGAGGAGAATGCAACAGCATACAAAGCAATGGAGACACTCCCATGTCTACAAATGGGGGCAGGGGAAGGGAAGCCCTCCCACATTCTCTAGGGTGGCAACTGAAGCCCTCCCCACAGGTATACTAGTTAAGGGTCACGTGTCACAGTGGGCTTGGGACAGGACAGTTTCCTTCCCTCTGAAATAAGATCCATAACCCCTCAGTGAAAGGAAAGCTAGAGCTAGAGAGGTGTACAACCAAAAGCTTAAAGCTTGTTTTCCTGACCCCTTGAATCCCTAAATGCAGAGAAACGTTCCTCCCTCTTTTTCCCTCCATTTCTTCCAACATAAGCTGCTGAGTTCACGTAATAATGTGGGAACTGTATAAAGATCCATGGCCAATTTCTAGTCTAGTCCAGGGCAGGAAGAGATCTAAAGCAGTGCACAAGTAAAACCTTGTGTCACTGGGCACAGTGGCTCATGCCTGTAATCCCAGCACTTTGGGTGGGCAAGGCAGGCAGATCACCTGCGGTCAGGAGTTCAAGGCCAGCCTGGCTAACATGGTGAAACCCCATCACTACTAAAAATATAAAAATTAGCTGGGTGTAGTGGCACAGGTCTGTAATATCAGCTACAGAGGCTGGGGTGGGAGAATCGCTTGAACCTGGGAGTTGGAGGTTGCAGTGAGCTGAGATAGCACCACTGCACTCCAGCCTGGCTCACAGAGCAAGACTCTGTCTCAAACCAAACAAACAAAAAACCCTTGTGTCTTCATGTGGAATCAAAGTAAAAGCGATGATTACTGCTGCACAGTAACTCTTATACTAAGGAGCCAATCTGATCATTTTTACATCTTCCTCAAACTTTCTCACCCACTCTACCAACTTCTCCCACCTACCTTTGTTGTTCCTTTAGAATTCAGCTTAAAATCCACCTATACAAATCCTTTTGTAATTAACCTTTTAAAAAAACATTACTCCCTTGCTACATGTTCCCCTGTTAATATATACACTCAGTTTAACCCACTGTATATTTAAACCATCCAAAGTATAGGGTTCATTTTACAAAAGGACTCATCACCATGTCTTAACATAATAATACAGATGCTTTGAAAACATTTAATATGTCTTGATCTATGTAAAACTTTCCAGGCATATATTTATTACATAAGGAAAGGGAAGAAAGAGTACTATGCCAAAGATGGCAACGGGAAAAAACAATTATGACAGTCTGCCTTCCAAATGTGACATCAAGTCGTTCCTAATAAAACAAAGCAGCTTTCCTTTCCTCCAGAAAATGTAAACACAAGGGTGCTATACAGCTCAGAAAAGCTATCCTTCTTAATCTTCTGGTTCATATGGTCCCATAAGTTTATAATCAGAAATAGGTACCAGTATCACCCCCCACCATAATCCCCATGACAAGCCAAACATTTTTAAAATGTGATGCCCACTGTAGAAGAAATCTCCAGAACAAGTTCATTCTTGCTGGATATGATCAAAGATTAATGTTTTTAAAATGTTAAAAATCTGGCCCACTTGTCTGTGAAAATCCATATCACAAGATTATAAGAATGAAACTGGGGAACAGCCTTGTTAGTAGAAGAAAAACCTTGTAGGATCTTTTGAAGCTAACCAGAATGGTGATGATGAAAATGTGAGAACAGGAATACTAAAGAATCTCCATTCCAAGGCTCTATTCCATGCCCTGCACCTATCTTCTCTCATTATATTAATACAAGCAAAGGGTCTTGGTAGCTGGCAGGGACCAATGCTATCATGTTTTGGGGGGTATGTGCTTTAGGAAATCTATCAGCCTATTCCTCTTCTTAAATTTACAAGAGACATCAGAAAAGCCTGAATAGTTACTTTAACATTAAGTCCTAAAATAGGTTATATAGAATTTATTTTAAGATATATGGCATAAAAAGTTACAGCCTGCTAAATTTTATATTTTGATACTTACTTGCAGAGCTGTAATTCTGACATAGTAACAATTGCACTCTGGATAGCCGGTGCCTTCTATCATCCAGAACTTTCTATATACAAAATTAGAAGTAACGAAAGCTATCTTTGGCTATCAAGCAATAGCTGAAAATAATCAAAGAAAAAGTAACTGGCTGATTTATCTATTAAAAAAGACAAGTTCTCATCAGCTGGTGATAGCTACAGAAGCCAACTAGAGCCTCCCCAAATCCAAAGGAAAAGAAATAAAAAAGAAAAAAAAAGATGAAAATATCAAGGGACAGAGGTGATAGACAACCCAATGATAAAGGAAGAAGTTAAAATGAAAAACAGATCACCATGAAGGAGACGTGAGCCTTAAAACTAAACAACACAGCAGAAATACTGCCTCACAGTGAATATGCAACAAATTTACAAAAAGGGTTGCCTCTGGGGAAAGGACTGAGACGGTGAAGGGGACCACAAAAGACTTTATTTGTAATGCTTTATGCACTTTTTACTTTTTTTTTTTTTTTGAGACGGTGTCTCACTCTGTCGCCCAGGCTGGAGTGCATTGGCACCATGTGGGCTCACAGCAACCTCCGTCTCCTGGGTTCAAACAATTCTCCAACCTCAGCCTCCCGGGTGGCTGGGATTACAGGCACCCACCACCACATCTGGCTAATTTTTATATTTTTAGTAGAGACAGGTTTCACCATGTTGGCCAGGCTGGTCTTGAACTCCTGACCTCAGGTGATCCACCCACCTTGGCCTCCCAAAGTGCTGGGATTACAGGCGTGAGCCACAGTGCCCGGCCTCTTTATCCATTTTTTAAAATTTGACAGAAATATACGAAATAACATTTGTTCAATCATACAGATGCTTGTTTGACCTCTGTACTTTTTAAAACATTTTTTTAAATGCAGACACCTATAATCACTATCACAGAACTTATTACTTAAAAATAAACATTCAAGTGTAATTCTTCATTCCCATTAGATTTTTGGTCAAAAGATGACAGAAGCAAATTATGTCTATAATCTCTAAGAAAAGGAAATAAAGATATAACTAAAGCAACTCTGCAACCTGGGTATCAATCTATTGCTATAAATAATTACTATACCCTAAAGCACATCAACCAATAAATATACAGAACACCATGTGCAGGGAAGCACTCCCTCTAACACAATGGAGTAAATTAAATTGTAACAGGAAGTTTTCAAAATATTTATACATGGTGTCCAGACTCACGTGAATCGACTGCTTAGTCCTAGCAACATGCCCTGCCGCTCTGCTCCCGTCCATAATGCAGGCTCACAGCCACTTTCCCTAGCATTTCTATCAGGCCTCTCTTTGATAAGCAGCTTTTCCCACAGCCAGGTACCTCTTCACATTCCCACTGTGGAACCAGTTGGTGAAATCCTGCAGAAACACTGACCCCCGTGGACCAAAGCACTAACGGAGAGGTGAGAAATTGAGCTAAATGAGGTAATTTCATCCTGGAGGTCTTGATGGACCTCTCTAGGGATCTCCTAGATCTCTCTGTCTCACAGGCTTGTATTTCTGTCCAGTCATTTCTGCTTACAGGCTTAGGTATATATATAGTTCAAACAGCTTTCCTTTCACATGAATACTCCCTGGAACAGTAATTTCCAAAGTATGAGATTTGCACAAAAGATGACTTTAGGTGTTACATGATTTTGCCAACAAGACATTTTAAATACCACTCAGTAAGGAAATTATTAATCACAATTAAGTCAAGAAAAAAAGTTCCCATTTTGCAACAGTACTTGTTTAATAAATTTAACAACTTCTAATTTTTAGCACAGGAACCCTAAGTGACAAGAGTCTAGTTACATAATACACCATTTTGTTTTCATTGTATTTATTTTTATGGTGGTATAAACTTTCATTTTAAAATTAACTTAAAATTTTTAGAAAGTGAGTTGACATAAAGGAAAATATTAAATAAACAGAAAACAGTAAATAATAATAAAGGCAAGGCCAGGCATGGTGGTTCACGCCTGTAATACCAGCACTTTGGGAGGCCAAGGCAGGTAGATCACTTGAGGTCAGGAGTTTGAGACCAGCCTGGCCAACATGGCAAAACCTCATCTCTACTAAAAATACAAAAATTAGCAGGGCATGACAGTGCATGCCTGTCATCTCAGCCACTCGGGAAGCTAGGGTAATCGCCTGAACTCGAGAGGCGGAGGTTGCAGTGAGCCAAGATCAGGCCACTGCATTTCACGCCTGGGAGACAGAGACTCTGTCTCCAAAAAATAAAAAATAAAAATAAATAATAATAAAGGCAATAAGTGTGACAAACATTTGGGAAACACTGATCTAGAAGAGGGTTTCTCAAACTTTTAATGTGTATCAGAATCACCTGGAAGGTTTCTAAAAACATGGATTGCTGGGGCCCATATCCAGAATTTCTGACTCAGTAGGTGGGTCCAAGAATTTATATTTCTAACAATACGACGTGATGCTGAGGTGATGCTGAATTGCTGCTCCAAGGACCACACTTGGTTTAGAATAACTAAACCAGAATGGTGATCAACAAGCTTTTGTTAGAGTCAAATGGTAAATGTTTTCGGTTTGCGGGCCATATGACTCTGTTGCAACCATTCAGCTCTGCTGTCGTAAGCCAAAGCAGCCATAGACATCATGTATATGAATCGGCATGGATGTGTTCCAATAAAACTTTATTTACCAAAAGCAGGAGGCCATAGTGCCAGTCCCTGATCTAAAACATACCTTCAAGTAACTTTAACTATTAAACTATTAAAGTTACTTTAAGAGAAAAGTCTACCATTTAAACTAATACTAGAGCACAGTACAGAACAGAACAGCCAGGTATATTATAGATACTATCCAATAATTATCAGTTAACTCTAAAAGAGAAAACTGGGGTCTGCAGAAATCTAAGGTATTAAGATTAAAAACAAAAACCATTTACCATATTCAGGAGACAAGATTCAGCAAGGGCAGCTGGTTAAATTCCTTTCATGTTGAGTCAAATAAGTCAAACATCAGTTGTACATGGTTCACAACTATACTGGAACATATGGGTCAATACTGAGTGCTTTTTGGAAAGAAGTTTTAAAGATTCTTTTCTATGCTAATAGCAAAATATGACATTTATTCAGCTGAATGGACTTCATGTTACTTTCTGACGGCTTTGACTTCTCAAAGTCCTAAGTTATTCAGTTCAAACAAAAACATGGAGCTGCAGATGATTTCAGAGTTTTCACAAATTAATTTCTCTATATCCTCAATAATCTTGCAAAACTGAACAACTGACCTATTTTGGCCCTGCCTTCCAATATCTATTCTAGCAGCTGCTAGTGCATGAGAACCTAAACAAAAAGGAAACAGAATAGCTTTTCTGCAAGTTTTGAATTCACAAGATTCCCTCTTCACTCCCTCATTCTTTTTCCAGTAAGATGTTCCAACTTCCTTCACCTTCTTATAGTTTCTTAGTAGATTAAGTTATGCCAAACTGCTTGTTTCCTCAAGAACTCTACATACTAACAGCAGTAGGCTTTAAGAATTCAGTCCTTTTCAAGCACCTTTCTGGAATTCCATCTTTGGGGAGTATCTGCCTCATTTAACTAGTCTTGCCCACTTATTGACCTTTAGTTTTAAACCATCTGCCTGTCTTCTCAACCCTCCTGCTTGCTGAACTCACAGCAACTTTAAGCTTCAATGCTTTGTATGAACCACCTGTTACTGAAGAGTACCTGATTCACTAAACCTGACCTTGATCCATGACACCTCATGGCCATTGAATTCCTACTACCCATCTTGAACACGTTGAACACTACCATCTATCCTTATATGACAACATCCAACCTAAACGAAAATAAAAGAATTTACTTGCTCCTTATAGAACTGATGCAGAAATAGACAAAATGATTTTTCTTTGTTTTGCTTATATTTACCTGAAGTAAAAGAATGTCTCAGAAGCATATGCTTACTTGAGGAGAACTAAACAACTGTAGAGAATCCAGGAACGATGCAATGTTATATGAAGTGATACTTTTATTGTTTTCTGGGCTGCTGTGTAGATAGAAATATTATTCAGAGTTCAAAATGCAAAATGAGGAAAACTTTTCTTTTTTCATTGATTCACTATGCAGGTGCTTTCAGTGTTTTGGATATGCCTGAAACTCTGATAAAGTTAAATAGTTAACTGAAACGCAGAGAAACTACTGTTTAATCCTATAAAACTCCTTATATTAAAGAATTTACAAGCTCTAGACTAAGAAATATCCTGTTATTATTTAAAAAATGTCTGCGTATACATTAAAGGCTCCGCCTCCTTCACTTAAAATGAACAATCCAAGTGGAATAAAAGAATGGCTCACAACTGACCAAGAAATGAATATGGTTCATTATGTTAATGAGAAAAAATTAAGAGAAAATGTTTTCAATGTTGATGAAAAGTCAAGGAACACAGATTACAGTAAAGATGATTTTATAAATAAAATCCATTAAAGAACGCACTACTTCAAACTTTGATTCAGTAATTTTGCAGAAAGGCAGAAATGTCATACTATCTTACAGATTACACGGTTATGTACTACTAACCTTACATTAGCAACAAGTAAATGGCTTTCTTAACAGTATTTTCCTGGGTATGAGGATGAGTATCCTTTCAGTTTTATATCCCACAAACTATAACTACTGTACAACTGATCAGCAAAAATATTATGATTAATATGTTAACTGAGGAAGTATATCCTACAATTTAGAAAGATTAACATTTAAAATAGTTAAAATTATTGAAAGTTTTAACTTGCCCGAAACAGTCCCTAACCATAAGGGACAATTAATGATGCTATAAAATTCTATCTAACATTCCTAGTCTACTTGTTGTTTTGGAGGGCAGGCTGCCATTCCTGCCTATTTTAATCTTTCGAAGGTGGTCTCTGCTCCCATTTAAAGGTATAAGCAATTAAGAGATACAGAACCCTCAGAACTACCTTCTATAACTTACCTAATTTCTAAGCTTAAAATGTAATCTAGGCTGGGCATGGTGGATCACCCGAGGTCAGGAGTTCGAGACCATCCTGGCCAACATGGAGAAACCCCATCTCTACTAAAAATACAAAAATTAGCCAGACGTAGTGGCAGCCACCTGTAATCCCAGCTACTCGGGAGGCTGAGGCAGGAGAATCACTCGAACCCAGGAGGTGGAGGTTGTAGCAGTGAGCCGAGATCGTGCCACTGCACTCCAGCCTGGGCAACAGAGACCCTGTCTCAAAAAAAAAAAAAAAAAAAAAAAAAAAGGATGTAATCTAAATCCACACCCTCAATTTTATTTAATTCTTATTGCTTGCATCTTCCCAGACTTTCCTGGGATCAAGACTAGAGACTTATGACCAAACTGTGTTTGTTGGCAAAGGGGCTTTAGCTAAGGAACATCCTTGCAATTAATCCAACTGAGCAAAAATCACAGTCTGTGTGAGGGTACTGGGTTCTTCCAACTGTCACACAGACAATTCTCAAACTGTTTCTTGGATTTTCCTGTGCAACTCCTCCCTGCTTTCAAATAGAATGAATATGTTCAGGGAAAACAAATTATCCCTCTCCCCTCTGCTAACAACTAAAACAGAAAGATATTTATAAAACGTAATGAATCATAAACAAGATAAAATAAACTAGTAATTACTATCTACTTATAGCTCCTTTCTAAAAAAACTTAAAATATATTTATTTTTCAACATTTCTGAGTATAACATAGGAAATTATTTGGTTTCCCATATAACAAATTACAGATTTAACTTGAGGCAAAAAAGGTTAAGTGACTTACCCAAGGTTACAATTAGAGGTACAGCTGGGGCTAGAAACCAGGTCTCCTGAGTCTCAGCCCAGTGCTCTTTTCCTTAGCCCATGATGCCTTATCAGAAAAATCCAAATACAGTCAGACCCCCAGTTATATGGGTATGAGTTACACTGATTCACATATACAAACTTTATATAGTGTGACCAATGTTTCAACTCACGCGGTACCCTGCTTCCATTTATGCAGTATGCCAGGCATCGGCACGATTTTCAGTGGCACACAGGCGGTTGCCACCACCAGGGCCCTAGGCAAAATTGCAAAGAAGGCAGAGTTTGTCTTTGGCCCTCCCACCTCCCTTATGCATTTCTCTCCCACCTCCTGGCAGTCCCCCTGCCCAGCCTCCCGGCACCATCATGCTGCCCTCAGATTGTCTAAAGCCCCCAACTTCCACCACTCACCCAGGAATGTCCTTTCTTGAAGTGCCCAGTGATCCAAAATTACCTCTCCATTTCCCTGCTAACAAAATTCCTACTCCTAAGGATTCCAGTGAAGTTTAGGTAATCTAAATGATTAACTACTTTATGTAATTCAAGTTAAGGTATATTTAACTAACAGACTTAAATCTCCAATGAATTTTAAAAGGAACTAATTAAAAACTGTCAGGAAGGGGAGGGGGAAGAAACCTTGAGGGGGTGAGGAGGTAATGTTTTCCCAAAGCCCCAGGACTCTGTGCCACTTCAGATTCCTTCACAGACAGGACACTAAGAGTGGAGGGGGTCACTGCCACCTTGAACCCCACTTCCAAAAAAGAGAGTCGCTGCTTTATAGTCTCTGGAATTAAAAAAAAAAAAAAAAAAGGACAGAGTTGCCTTAAATACCCTCCTACCTACCTTTTCCATCTCTCTCCCACCTCCTGGATACCCATTTCCACCTCTTAGTGCCAAAGACACCCAACAGCGTTCCCATAGGCTGTTTGTGTGTCCAATACAAGGGTTCCCATTAAATGGTTTCAAATTACATGGTGTTATTCAGGGGACGTTTCCATGTTCCCCTATCCCTGGGTAACTTGAAGTTGACTGTATGCTAAAAAAGAACAATCCTAATTATTAAAAGTCCTGAATCATAAAATGATATATATAAACTCATTAAATGGTAAGAAAAAAAAGAATGTTCTGATTATTTTGCATATATAGAATTAATTTTGATATCTAAAAAAAACTCCACTCAATTATTTTTCCTTGAAAGTAGTATATTTTTTACTTCTAACCCAATACAGCAGTGAAAATCCAGTCATTTCAGCTAAACAATACTGTGGACTCGTAAATATGAGTTCGATCATAAATCCTCTAAGTCTGAAGGTTAAAAAAAAAAATCCAGTAACAGACACATAAAAAAATACACAAAGTGGATTTTAAGAAATCCATGTTTCTGCTGACTACACACACAGAAATATATATATTTAAATTTAGCTTTGCAATACTAGACGGGCTGCCTAATTCAGAAACTTATCAGGAGATGGTTTACCTTGATCCAACTACCCTCCCAGTAAAACTAAGAAATCCAATCCATGAAGAAGATCCCAAAAATGGTATCCATCAAGGATTAAAAGGATCATGTAAAGCACGTCTTAAATAACTTAATTTTATTACACAGATTAGTTATTCTGTTAGCTAGGATCCAATGAAACCCGTTCCCAATACCCTCTCTCATGTTGGAAAAGGAGGAATGTTAAGACATGCTGCAGTGATAAAGTAACCATTCTTATCTAAACGTGAGAAATGATAACAGTTAAAAGTTTCTCCAGTGGCATTTTAAGTTAATGTTAACTTTCCATACAAAACTCATTTCCTTCCCAATCTTTCCTCTCTACACAACCACAAGTAGGTTTGCCATCTACACCTATTTGTCTATATATTCTACAAATAAAAGTTCCCAATATGGGTTTTTATTAAAACTGAAAATGTGAACACTGAAAAGCCACTCTACGCACTGCTGAAAGATTTGAATGCAATAAAATTTTTAAAATTTACTCATATTTTGCTGTAAAGCACTCATGTAAATTAAAAGAGTAACTTAAAAACTAAATTTAAGACGTGCCTTTTCTCTTAAATCAATACACTTAAATAACTTCTCAAGAAAAAAAGCATTTCCTTAGTGGCTAAGAAACTATCTGCCTAAAGAAGCAACACATAAAAACTACCAAGGATTTTGCTGTGTTAAGAAAGTAATGAACTAGACCTTTCCTACATATTTGAATGTATTTAAGTTGAATTTGAGAGTACATTACTAATTAACATCACCAAAAAAGCAACAGCATTTCATCATTTTATTTAGAAATTCTCTTTATGACAAAGGATAATCCAGCAATTAAGGGCTCTCTATACAGATTCTAAACTAAACGCCTGAAAGGATCTTTGTTCTCCTCTATTCTACTTCACTGGGTACCAAATTTTCAAAATCGTTCTGTTAGGGACATGCAACATTTGTCAATATTTACTGAACAAAGCCTCTATTAAATTGTCTAACAAAATGGAGGTCTCTCGGAAAAACAGGCCATAACATGTTCCTTCTCACAAAATGGGGCCAAACACACCCACTTAAGAAACCATGGTTTGGGTCAGATTTTCCATAAAAATGGTTGTTTCTGTGGGGCTCGAGGGTGCATCTCTGAGACTGGGTTAGTAATAAAGGTTTCCTCCTGACCCAGGAAGAGGAGGGGGAAGCTTCTCTCTAGGTACTCTGGAGGACGGCGGCGAGGGATGATCCCAAAGCTCTGGGTTAAGGAATTATATCGGGGGTGGAGGCCTTAGCTTTCCGCAGGTACCTAACCAGCGACAAAACGGGCCCCCCAACTACGCAACAGAGACGCGGGCTCTCCCGTCTCAGCCAAGTCAACATTAAAAGCACAAACTCTCCTTTCTGCCTCCAGGCCCCGCCTCACCCCATTGGCAGCAGTTCCCGCCAATCCGCATGGTCACCGCCCCCCCTGCCCGCCTGCCGAGCCCTGATTGGATGGGACGGGGGACGGGGACCTCGTGTTACCAATCTGGGAGCCCCTTACTCAGCCACACGCGCGCGCCCAGGTGCGCCCTCGGAACCCCTTCCCTTCGCCGTCCCCGTCCCCTCCCCCACCCCCAGGGCCCTGGCAGAGACTTACCGTCCCGGGAGGTGCCCATCAACTGGTCCAGCATCGCGCGCATCTGGGCCTGCGCCGACATGGCGGCGGCGTAGCGGGCGGACGGGCGGGGGTGGGGCGCAGACCGGGCCCTTTTGGGCTGGGGGATAAGGGGAAGGGATGGGGGAAGGTGCGCTGCTGTCTCGGTGGCCGCCGCCGCCTCGAGGCGTGCGGAAAGGGAGCCGGAGGGGTTGCGGGAAGAGTCCGGACTGCGCTCCTCACGACGACGTGTACGTGGAAGACGACAGCCCCCGACAGCGACCCTCGTGCCCTCACTCTCCGTCCGGTTCTTGGGACAGAAGCGACACGGGCCAAGCAAGCTCTCGCCTTCAACACCGCCACCCGCCAGAAGCCGTCAACCCCCCCTCAAGCTCTGACGCCGCTCGCCGCCACCGTCGCCACGACGGGAGCGCGCACGCTCCTCGCGCTCAGTCGTTTCCCGCGGGGGCTCCACCAACTGGCGTCCAGCTGTATCACTCCGCCCGCCCCGCCCGAGTGGAGTTCCACCCTAACGGCTCTGGGCGCGTGCACGCGCGCTCCTCCCGCCCCTTTACCCCGGATCTCGCGATACTCTGGTTCCTTAACTGACTGTGCAAGCCGGATCCGCCCCGAGGCGCCAAACCTTACATTACATTCCCTCCCGGCTGTAGGGCTGGCGGCTAAGGCTGCGCTGCCCGCGGTGATGGCGATTCAGACCCAAATTAGCAAAATGCGCTAGAGGTTAGCCTGGGCGGAAAGTAAGTAGAGACCATGCCCATCGTCGACCGGACTGCGGTCAGCCTCCTTGGCGTCTGAGGTGGGCGTGCTCGGGGCGAACGCCCGCCCCGAGTGGCGTGGACGCGTCCTGGTTCTCGTGCGCCTTTCCCGGCCGGGAGCAGGCCTGTCTCGCCGCCGCCGGGGCCGCGTTCCTTCCGCTGCGTGGGGCTTTAAGGCTCCTCGGCTGGGAAGTGTCAACTTCAGGAGAAAGCGCCCGAAAGCAGTACCCTAGGAAACAGGCGCGCCGACCCATTCGGATTCATCTTTACCTACAAGGTCGCGGGCGGCTTAGTCTGAATGTGAAACCATAAAAACTCAGCGTATTCTCAGCTACTGGGGAGGCGATCTCGGGGAGCAGGGAGCCAGCGGCGCTGGCCGCAGGGAAGCCTGGATTCTGAAGCCCGGCCCGTGACTGGGGCCTTGGCTTCAGTTCTACCCCTCGTAGGGCTGGTGGAGGTGGTCACACGTCTGCTATGGCGTGGCTGTTAGAACAAACTGGAATAAAATACTTAGCCCTGAGCCTTTCCCTGGTGTTTCTAAAAACTGTTTTAGTAAAATATTAATTCCTTGCCGGGCGCGGTGGCTCACGCCTGTAAACCCCGCACTTTGGGAGGCCAAGGGAGGTGGATTGCCTGAGGTCAGGAGTTCAAGATCAGCCTGGCCAACATGGTGAAACCCTGTCTCTACTAAAAATATAAAAATTAGCCGGGCGTGATGGCGGGCGCCTCCCCAGCTACTCGGGAGGCTGAGGCAGGAGAATCGTTTGAACCCGGGAGACGGAGGTTGCAGTGAGTCGAGATGACGCCACTGCGCTGCAACCTGCGCGACAGAGCGAGACTTCTAAAAAAAAAAATTCCTTAAGTAAGACATAGGTCAGTGTGCAGGAAGAAAGGTTGCTTAAAAAGAAATCTAAAACTGTAAGAAAAATGAATGAGTTAATAAAACCAAATGTTTAAGAAGACAGGCACTTTCTAGATACTTTGAAAGGACATAATAGAGATTTGTGTTCCATTAACACTGTATATTCATCGCCTAAAAAGAAATTTAAAACTGTAAGAAGAATGAGTTAATAAAATCAAATGTTTAAGAAGACAGGCACTTCCTGGATACTTTGAAAGGAAATAATAGAGATTTGTGTTCCATTAACACTGTATACTCATCGCCTTGGAACTGTTATTAGCAGATCAATAAAAAACATGAATAGTAGTAATAGTCCCAAAATTCCTTTAAATGTATATTGCGGCTGGGAGGGATGGCTCATGCCTGTAATCCCAGTACTTTGGGAGGCAGAGGCGGGCGGATCACCTTGAGGTCAGGAGTTCGAGACCAGCCTGACCAACATGGTGAAATTCCATCTCTACTAAAAATACAAAAATTAGCCGGGCATGGATGCGCGTGCCTGTAATCCCAGCTACTCGGAGGCTGAGGCAGGAGAATCACTTGAACCCGGGAAGTGGAGGTTGCAGTAAGCCGAGATTATGCCACTGCACTCCAGGCTGGGTACAAAGCAAGACTCTATCTCAAAAATAAATGCGTATTGGGCCAATGAAAATTTTTGAGGTCGGACGCAGTGGCTCACACCTGGAATCCCAGCACTTTGGGAGGCCGAGGCGGGCGAATCACGAGGTCGGGAGTTTGAGACCAGCCTGCCAACATGGTGAAACCCTGTCTCTACTAAAAATAGAAAAAATGAGCTGGGCGTGGTGGCGCATGCCTGTAGTCCCAGCTACACCGGAGGCTGAGGCAGGAGAACCGCTTGAACCCAAGAGGCGGAGGTTGCAGTGAGCCGAGATCGCGCCATTGCACTCCAGCCCTGGTGAGTGTGAGACTCCATCTCAAAAAAAAAAAAAAAATTATTTTGAATCAAGTTATCTTTAGTAATACACAAAATAGCTTCTCTTCAGTTATTCAGAGAACTCTGAATTCCAAACTCCAAATACTAGGATATCCTTTGGGAACTGATTTATAATAATAGAAAAATGTGCAAATTAATATGTCTTTGAGGGATACACTATTATGTACACAATGTGATCTGACCCTGAAAAACAGTGTATTTAAAGAAATACACTAAAACCAATAATTATGTTTTGTTGAAGAGATTTGAGTTCTTTTTTTTATTTTAGATGTCTTATAAACAGCATATAATTGGGGCTTAAAAATAGTCTATACAATACATAATGATCAAAATTGAGGAGTGAAATTGAGGAGTGAATTAAGTGATGTTCACTCTTGGAAGCATTGATGATTTATATTCATGTAATTACTCCTGTGTTTGGGTTTAAAACTCTTATTTTTGCCTATTTGTCTCATCTATTTCATGTTTTTCTCTCCTTTCCTGCCTGATTTTTAATCATTCCAATTTCTTCCACTCTAGTAGTGTGGAAGTTTCATTTTATTATATTTTTATTCTTTCAGTGATTACCCTAGAAGTTATAATGTGTATCCTTAAGGTATCAAAGTCTAATTTAATCAATACCTTTATACTCCCCTCCCCCAAGAGAGGTAATACAAGGAACCTAGAACACTAACTCCATTTACTCTCATCCCAAGTTATATGCTCTTGTTACCAGGTCTTTTAGTTCTCTTATTTTTTAAAACCAAGTTTTATATAATCAATGTTCTTTATTTACCACTTATTTTGCTCTTCATTCCTTCGGAAATCTCTGCCTGTCCATCTGGGATCATTTCCTTTTTGTCTGAAGTTTATCCTTTAGCACAGGAGTCAGCAAGCTACGGTCCACAGGCCAAATGCAGCCCACGGCCTATTTTTGTGAATAAAGTTTCACAAAAATTCGAATACTGCCAGGCTCGTTCATTTACATATTGTTGTGGTTGCTTTTGCCCCACAATAGAGTTGGGTGGTTTGTGAGGGATCCCATACTGTGTGGCCTACAACACTCAAATATTTACTATCTGACTTTTTTTTTTTTTTTAACGCAGGTTTTCACCATGTTGGCCAGGCTGGTCTCAAACTCCTGACCTTAAGTGATCCACCTGCCTCGGCCTCCCAAAGTGCTGAGATTACCAGGGTGAGCCACTGTGCCCAGCCTGACTATGAAGTTTGCCTACCTTGCTTCAGGGTTTGTTTTTGTGTTGGTCGGCTAGTTGGGGGAACGCTCCCATTTTGTTTATCTAAAAAGATCTTTATTTTGCTTTAAATTCTAAATGGATATTTTTATTAGCTAAATCCTAGGTTGGAGGTTCCTTTTTTTTTTTTTTTTTTTTTTTTTTTTTGAGATAGGGTCTTGCTCTGTCACCCAGGCTGGAGTGCAGTGGCGAGATCTCGCCTTGGCTCACTGCAGCCTTGGCTTCCCGGGCTCAAGTGATCCTCCCACCTCAGCCTCTCAAGTAGCTGGGACTGCAGGTATGCACCACCACACTGAGCTAATTTTTAAAATTTTTCTTGTAGAGACAAGGTCTCCCTATGTTGCCCAGGCTGGTCTCAAACTCCTGGGCTCAAGCAATCTGCCCACCTCAGCCTCCTGAAGTGCTGGAATTACAGGTGTGAGCCACCACGCCCAGTGGTTATTTTCTTTGGGCACATACATTCTACCTAACCTTTTACCTTCCACTGCTCCTAAGAAGTCAGTTCTGTTTTTCACTCTTTTAAAGATAGCTGGCTACTTTATCATGCCATTATGGACTCATTGAACAATGAGTTTTCATTCATTCGTTCATTGAGAATCCATTAACTAACATCTTTTGTCAATTTAGGAAATTCTTAGCTCTTACCTCCTCAGATATTGCCCCTCTCATCAACTTCTGGACATTTAAATACATGCATATTAGATAGTTTTCACTGTATCCTATCTCTTTACTCTCAGTCTTGCACTTTTTACCTTGGTCTTTCAAAGCCGATGCCTTTTTCTGACAAATTTTATAGTTCATTAATGTCACTATGGAGCTGTATCTAATTTGTTGTTAAATCCATCAGTTGAATTTTCAGTTGTAGAATTTGTATTAGGTTCTTTATCAAACCTATAATGTCATTTTATAGTTCCTGGTTCCCTGATGAAATTTCCAAGCTTGGCTGCTTCTTTGACCTTAGTGAACAATTGTTGTGTAATCTGAGTTGGCCAATTATAGTATCTTAAGGTTTTTTGTGGTCTGTTGCTCATGTTGGTTCTCACATATGAAGTCTTTTCTTGTGTGCCTGGTTTTCTTTGTGTGCTAAACATGTATTTGTAAAAAAAAAAAAATGTATAGAAATAATATAAGCCCTAAGTATAGGATATAATCCTGTCTTCCTCCAGAGAGGATTTTTATTTTCCTTTTTAGGTAACTGAAGAGATTACTAGTCAGGAACCACCATAATACAGGTTCAAGGCCTCATTTTCTCTTGACCAACAAACAACAAAAATCTGGGCGGAAAGTCTGGCAAGGAGGCTGGGTGGGCACCATGGCTCACACCTGTAATCCCCACACTTTGGGAGATCTACGCAGGAGAATCACTTGAGGCCAGGAGTTTGAGACCAGCCTGGGCAACATGGAGAAACCCTGTCTCTACAAAAAGTACAAAAATAAAAATTAGCAGAGCATGTTGTGCGCCAGTAATCCCAGCTACTCAGAAGCCTGAGGCAAGAGGCTCTCTTGAGCCCCATGTGGTCAAGACTGCAATCAGCCATGACCTTACTACTGCACTCCAACCTGGACAACAGAGCAAGACCCTGTCTCAAAAAAAAAAAAAAAGTCCAGCAAGAATTTTTGTTTTATTTACTTCCAATTCACTTTTGGGATTGAATTTCAGGGTCCTAGCTTAAAGTGGGTGTGATTTATTAGAGTCCCTACCTTTGTGAGCCAAAACTTTTTTTCTCTCAGTCCTATAGCTCACTCAAAGTGCAGCTCAGTTTCAATACTGAAGCTATTTCTACCAAATTGACAAATGCTGGCAGGGTATAGTGGCTCATGCCTATAATCCCAGCACTTTGGGAGGCCAAGGCCAGTGGATAACTTGAGGTGAGGAGTTCGAGACCAGCCTGGCCAACATGGCAAAACCCCATCTCTACTAAAAATAAAAAAATTAGCCAGTTGTGGTGGCACGTGCCTGTAATCCCAGCTACTCCGGAGGCTGAGGCAGGGGAATCGCTTGAACCCGGAAGGCGGAGGTTGCAATGAGCCAAGATCGTGCCACTGCACTCCAGCCTGGGTGACAGAGAGAGACTCTGCTTCAAAAATAAATAAATTGACAAATGCCATCATGCCAGCAATGTGTCTTTGTGTGCTACGCTACTTGTCTTGGTTGTCTTCTCCTATGTTCTGACCCAGCATTTCACCACTAGTTTTATTAGCTCTTTAATGATTTCAAGAATTTAAAAAAATTTTGACTTTTGTTCCAATTGTCTTCAACAGAAGGGTCACTCCAAATTACCTAGACTGCCATTAACAGAATTGGAAGTTTGTTCTCCTGTTTGTAAATTTTTTCAATTTTTTTTTTTCTGAGACCGAGTCTCTATTGCCCAGGCTGGAGTGCAGTGGCGTGATCTCGGCTCACTGCAACCCCTGCCTGCCAGGTTCAAGTAATTCTCCTGCCTCAGCCTCCTGAGTAGCTGGGATTACAAGTGCCAGCCACCAAGCCCAGCTAATTTTTTGTATTTTTAGTAGAGACGGGGTTTCGCCATGTTGCCCAGGCTGGTTTTGAACTCCCAAGCTCAGGCAATCCGCCTGCCTCGACCTCTCAAAGTGCTGGGATTACAGGCGTGAGCCACCGTGCCTGGCCTTCAATTTTTTTTTGTTTCTTTGTTTTTTTTGGGTTTTTTTGAGATGGAGTCTTGCTCTGTCACCAGGCTGGAGTGCAGTGGCGCAATCTAGGCTCACTGCAACCTCCACCTCCCGGATTCAAGTGATTCTCCTGCCTCGGCCTTCTGAGTAGCTGGGACTACAGGAGCCTGCCACCACGCCCGGCTAATTTTTGTATTTTTAGTAGAGATGGGGTTTCACCATGTTGGCCAGGATGGCCTCCGACTGCGTGATCCACCCGCCTTGGCCTCCCAAAGCAAAAATTTTAAGTGTAGTAACCATGTATTCATCTTAGCATCTGAAAAAAAAAATCTCTGTATGTCTATGTCTACATTTTAGCAATGATAACCATTCCTCTTCCAGGAACAAGGTCTCAGAGGGTAACAAAATAATATAAAGTAGGATTAAACTATACATTTAAAACTAGGTAATTAAAACAGAATAGGTACAAGTAACATGTTTTGCTAGCTGTCCAGAACAGACAACCCTTCAATTTATTGTAATTTATGAACTAAATATGGTAAATAAAGGCTATATCATACAAATTAATATTGCGGTTTTACTTGGGGCATCGGTACATACAATCAAATTTTATAAACATGGTGCCTATTAATTTTTGGGACAGTCTTGCTCTGTCACCCAGGCTGAAGTACAGTGGCGGGATCTTGGCTCACTGCAACCTCTGCCTCCCAGGTTTAAGCGATTCTCTGCCTCAGCCTCCCAAGTAGGTGGGATTACAGGTACCTGGCACCAAGCCCAGCTAATTTTTGTATTTTTAGTAAAGACAGAGTTTCACCATGCTGGCCAGGCTGGTCTCGAACTCCTGACCTCAGGTGATCTGCCTGCCTCAGCCTCCCAAAGTGCTGGGATTGCAAGCATGAGCCACCGTGCCCGGCCGGTGCCTATTAATGTAGATTTTAAAATTCAAATTTTTTGAAAATTACTATCTTTTAGTTGGATAAATTAAAACTTACTTTACAGACTGCCTTGGATTAGCCTGCCTTTAGTTCAGAGCAACACAGATTTCTTTTCCCACCACATAATCCTAGTATGTGAACATCTTGTTCTTATCACATGTTCATATTTGTATCTCTAACACTTAACCAGACAAGGAACTCAATACTTTATAGCCAGAAACATCCTCAGTTCTAGTGAAAATGTATTAATATCTGAAGTTTGTGGAGAGGAGAAATGACAAGAGCCAAACCTAAACCAAAAGAACTAGTTAATTGGTTTATTCAAGACAGGGGAATTAAAATCAGTAAGCATATAAACTATATTGCTTGAAAGAAACTTTTTAAAATAATTTATATCTTTGAGATGGGGTCTTGCTCTGTCACCCGGGTGAATGCAGTGGCGCAAACATGGCTCACTGCTGCAGTCTCAACCTCCCAGGCTCAAGGGATCCTTCTACCTCAGTGTCCTGAGCAGCTAGGATTACAGGCAGGTGCCACCATGCCCAGCTAATTTTTTTATTTTTATTTTTGTAGAGAAGGTGTCTCCTTATGTTGCCCAGGCTGGTCACAAACTCCTGGCCCCAAGCCATCCTCCTGCCTCAGCCTCCCACAGTGCTGGGATTAAAGGTGTGGACCACCATGCCTGGCTTTTCTTCTTTTTTAGAGATGGTCTTTCTCTGTCGCCCAGGCTGGAGAGCAGTGGCTATGATCATAGCTCACTGCAGCCTCTAATTCCTGGGCTCAAGTGATCTTCCTACCTCGGCCTCCTGAGTAGCTGGGACTATGGGGGCATGCCACCACACCTGGCTAATTTTTACATTTTTTTTAGAGACAGGGTCTCATTATGTTGCTCAGGCTGGTCTCAAACTTCTGGCCTCAAGCAGTCCTCCCATCCAGGCCTCCCACTGTGCTGGGATTACAAACAGGAGCCACCTCCCCACATGTTTAAGAGTGAAAAGGTAAGGGTAGCTAAGGCAGTATCACCCATGTAGTAGGCATTCATACATCCTTGTTGAAGAAAAGAAAGTGAAATTTAACCTGAAATCCTGAAGAATGAATAGGAAAGAGCTATTGAAGGGGAGTATGATTGGAAGAAGAGCTTTCCCTGTATGAGGAACAGCAAAATGTTGAAATCAAGACCATGGCTCCCAATAACTGAATTTCTGTATTCAGTTCTAGCTGGACTGTCAAACACAGAGAATAGAGATGAAGCTGAAGAGGTCTGGCAAGGGCCAGGCCCTGGAGGTTCTTGTTAAAGTCTTTCTTTGAAGGGTTCTGAGTAGAATGACAAGAACAGATCTGTGTTGCATAGGGGAAAATGGACTTGAAGAGAGCATAATTGGAGGTAAAAGGGACCAATTAGGGAGGGCAGTGGTTAAGGGAAGAGATGTAAGAGGTCTACACTAGGATAGCAGCAATAAAAATTGAAGGGCTTATTAGGAGGTAAAATCTGATTTAGTGATTGTTTAACTGAAGATATGAAGGAGAGAAAGCAGTAAAGAATAACTTAGATTTCTGGCTTCAGGGACTGAGTGAAAGTGTCATTGAACTGATAGGGAATACCAGGAGAGATTTGTAGGGGAAGATGAGGAGGTTCCATTTCGCACACATTGAATTTGAGATAACTGAGTTATCTAAGTGGTGTCATCCTCCAGGCCGTTGGACATACAGGTCTTCAGCATGCCAGAGGAGCCTGAACTGGAGTTATCAAGCATTTTGAGAATAATTGAAGTCATGAAAGTGGAGGTGATCACTCAGGGGAAACCATGTAGGGTGTGACATAAGGACCTTGGTCTGGACCCTGAGGAATACCCAACATGTAAGGGATACACAGAACATGAAACTGAAAAATGACTAGAGTAAGAAAAAAACAGAAGAATGTGGGCCAGGCGCAGTGGCTCACACCTGTAATCTCAGCACTTTGGGAGGCCAAGGCGGGCAAATCACGAGGTCAGTAGTCGGAGACCAGCCTGGCCAACATGGTGAAACCCCATCTCTACTAAAAATACAAAATTAGCCAGGCGTTGTGGCGGGCGCCTGTTAATCCCAGCTACTCAGGAGGCTGAGGCAGGAGAATCACTTGAACCCAGAAGGCAGAGGTTGCAGTGAGCCAAGATCGCACCACTGCACTCCAGCCTGGCAACTGGGCGAGACTCCATCTCAAAAAAAAAAAAAGAAGAATGTGGTGTCATCAAAGCCAAGGGAAAAGCAGGGAATTGCCCATAGTGTCAAATGCTCCCTAGACAACAAACGAGATAAAAAATAACTAAGATCCACTGGGTTTGGTGTCCTGAAGGTCATCTGTACCTCTGGGTTGCAGTTTTGGTGGTAGTAGAGGGGCGGAAACCAGACTGCAGTGCATTGAGGATGAGTAAGTGGTGAAAAATGCAGAAAATGGATACATAACAACAACATGGATTACTAACAAGATAAGGTGGCTGGGTGCAGTGGCTCACACCTGTAATCCTAGCACTTTGGGAGGTCGAGGCGGGTGGATCATGAGGTCAGGAGATGGAGACCATCCTGGCTAACACGGTGAAACCCCGTCTCTACTAAAAATACAAAAAATTAGCCGGGCGTGGTGGCGGGCGCCTGTAGTCCCAGCTACTCAGGAGGCTGAGGCAGGAGAATGGCGTGAACCCGGGAGGCGGAGCTTGCAGTGAGCAGAGATCGCGCCACTGCACTCCAGCCTGGGCCACAGAGCGAGACTCCGTCTCAAAAAAAAAAAGATAAGGTTAAGGCTCAAAATCAGTATGCTCAACAAAAGAAGCTGCCTCAAAAGACTGCATACTGTATAGCTGCATTTAGATAAAATACTGGAAAAGCCAAATCTATAGTGACAACAAGCAGGTCAGTGGTTGCCGAGACCAGGTGTGGGGAAGGAGAATTGACTGCAAAGGGGCACAAGATAACCTTTTGGGGTGATGGAAATGTTACATAGCTTTACTGGGATATTTATGACACAGGTGTATTCATTTGTCAAAATTCATTGACCTGTACACCTAAAATGAGTATATTTATTATATGTAAATTTACCTTGATACAACTTATTTTAGAAGTTTCAAAAATACAGCAAGTGAATATAATTCATTCAAGTCTTTGAATACGTTAATTCATTTGTGAAGAGGAACAGCGGGTAGTAGCTGTAAAAGCATTTGAGATAGAGGCAGAGTAGTTTTTAGAAGGAAAAGTCTTAAGCATATTTAAGTACTATTAAAGGAAAATCCGGTGGGGGGGGGGGGAGCAGTTGACATTAAAGGAGGTAAGCAAGAGACAGCAAAATGAAGTAAATCACTTATCACTAGTGCTTTATCACTTATCACTAGACTAGTAACCAAAACCTCAGGATTCTCAGGCTGGGACCTTCCAATTTAGAGTTTACTGCCAATATAGTTTGTGTTCTAGAATCAATTCTTTCTAACACCGACTTCAGCTGATTATTGATGGTGCGACTATGAATAGGAGGTACAGGTTGGTTATATGTGAACAGAAATGGCCTGAGTAAATTATTTAAACCTTAATAACATAATACGCATACACTTCTGAAGACTGATGGCAGTAGGGCTTAGAAAAGGGTTCATGATAAAAGGAATGAGAATAAAGTAAAAAGATAAAAACAAACAGTAAGATTTTCTCTTTGTTGAACACTCATTATGCACCATGCAAGTGTCTGATTTTTTTGTTTGCTTGTTGGTTTGTTTCCGAGACACAGTCTTGCTCTGTTGCCCAGGCTGGAATGCAGTGGCGCCATCTCAGCTCACTGCAACCTCCGCCTCCCGGGTTCAAACAATTCTTGTGCCTCAGCCTCCAAAGTAGCTGGGATTACTTGCGTGTGTCTGGCTAGTTTTTTGCATTTTTAGTACAAACGGGGTTTCACTATGTTGGCCAGGATGGTCTCAATCTCCTGACCTCAAGTGATCTACCTGCCTCAGCCTCCCAAAGTGCTGGGATTACAGGCGTGAGCCACCATGCCCAGCCCTAAGTGTTTTATATAAACATTATTCTCAATTATTACAACAACCTTGTTGGCCTTCCCATTTAATATAAGGAGGAAAAAGCACAGGTCAACTAACCTGCCCAAGATCACAAATCTGGTAAATTATACAAGTAGAATCATAATATAAATATTTTTTTTTTTTGAGACGGAGTCTCGCTCTGTCACCAGGCTTGAGTGCAGTTGTGTGATCTTGGCTCACTGCAACCTCCACCTCCCGGGTTCAAGCGATTCTCCTGTCTCTGCCTCCAGAGTAGCTGGGACTACAGGCACACACCACTAAGTCCAGCTAATTTTTGTACTTTTAGTAGAGACGGGGTTTCACCATGTTGGCCAGGATGGTCTCAATCTCTCGACCTTGTGATCCACCTGCCTCGGCCGCTCAAAGTGCTGGGATTACAGGCATGAGCCACCGTGCCCGGCCTAAATATTTATTTTTTAACAATCTAAATCTATATGACTTCAAAACTGTAATATTTCTTACCATTAGACAATTCTGCCTCAAATCTCTTCTTGAAAAATAATGGCCAGACATGGTGGCTCATGCCTATAATCCCAGCACTTTGGGAGTCCTAGGTGGGAGGATCACTTGAGCCCACGAGTTCAAGACCAACCTGGGCAACACAGTGAGACCCCCATCTCTATTAAAAAAAAAAGGAAAAACATTATATATTATTGTATATAATATTGTATATTATAATGTACATATTATTGTATATATTCAATATGGTAACAACAAAGGAAATCAAAACATTAACCTATCCTCACCCTTTTGCTTTCTTCACTCTTACCAAAGTAAAATATCAGTATTAATAACAAACCTGCATCCATGAAATAAAACAGAGAACAAATAAACATATGTCAGCTGGGCATGGTGGCTCACACCTGTAATCCCTACATTTTGAGAGGCCCAGGCGGGCGATCACTTGAGGTCAGGAGTTCGAGACCAGCCTGGCCAACATGGTGAAACCCCATCTCTACTAAAAATACAAAAATGAGCCGGGTGTGGTGGCAAATGCCTGCAGTCCCAGCCACTCAGGAGGCTAAAGCAGAAGAATCACTTGAACCTGGGAGACAGAGATTGCATTACTCCACTGTATTCCAGCCTGGGCAACAGAGTGAGACCTTGTCTCAAAACAAAACAAAAAAGGTATGTTAAACATTTCTTTTTTTTATACATTCAGTCGAATAAATGCTTGTTTGACCTATTAATACTATTATTTTAATGTTAACCTCTTAGAAGAGATGGTGTTTTGAATGGCCTTTTTTTTTTTTGAGACGGAGTTTCACTCTTGTTGCCCAGGCTGGAGTGCAATGGTGCAATCTCGGCTCACTGCAACCTCCGTCTCCTGGGTTCAAGCGATTCTCCTGCCTCAGCCTCCTGAGTAGCTGGGATTACAGGCATGCGCCACCATGCCCAGCTAATTCTGTATTTTTAGTAGAGATGAGGTTTCTCCATGTTGGTCAGGCTGGTCTGGAACTCCCAACCTCAGGTGATCCGCCCACATCAGCTTCCCAAAGTCCTGGGATTACAGGTGTGAGCCACCACACCCGGCTTGAACTGCTTTATGAATAGTTCTGTTGAGGTTGTACCTCTCCTAGTGGAGCTAAGTTATGTATTCAAAAACATTTAATACATGCAATGTGTAAGTCACTGTGGAAGGTGCTTTGGAAACTGCAAAGATGAATGAGACATAGTCCCCGAGAAAAGAGGTTATCTACCTACCAGAAGAAACTGACATATACCATAAAGGAGCCAAAGGTAAATAAGTGTTGGCAATTCACAGAAAGAGAACGATTTTTGAGGAAATAAGGATATAAGAAGCAAATAGACCCTTTAGGAGACTATTTTATTGGTTCAGCCAAAAGATTCTCAGTGCTTGAACTAGGACAGAGGCAGTGGAGACAGACGAGGAGAAGGTTATTAGAGCTACTGCAGAAGCTGAAATTGCTAAATAATTGTGAAAAATAAGGAGAGAGGAATACCAAATGAAGCCCAAGTTTCTGTCTTGGTTAGCAAGTGCATGGTGGAGCTATTTGCCCAGATAGGGAGTTCAAGAGAAGGAACAATTTGACAAGATTAGGAGACAGAAAGAGATGTCTATGTACTCATCCATCCCTCTCTGTGGGTTATAGCTGAGCTGTGGCCATGTTCCTCAGCCTAAGGGCCTGCATTGGTCAGGCCTAGGGAGGTTAGAACTCTCTAGTAGAGAGTCTCTCGTAACCTATTCTGGTTCAGGGGCTGCCCAGTTAAAAATAAAATATAAAAAGACCTCTCTACTATTGAGAACCCCTAAGAGCTTCACCATCTCAACCTTAATTCGCCCACATCTTTATGTATCCCTTTAACTCTCCTCAATGTCCCTATTTGAGTGTGCCACCTATTTCCTGCCAGGACTGTAACACATCAAATTTATGTATTTTTAAATGAGATATGTATGTATAATTGTATATGTGTAGGAAATATCTGGAAAGATGCACATCAAACTGTTAGTAATAGTGACCACCTGGTAATGGGGACAAGGGAAAAGGACAAAGGAAAAGAGGGTTTCTTTTATTTTATGTTTATAACATTTGAATTCCTTAAACAAAAGGCTTATACTAATTTTTTTTTTTTTTTTGAGACAGAGTTTTGCTCTTGTTGCCCAGGCTGGAGTGAGTGCCATGGCGCGATCTCAGCTCATCGCAACCTCCACCTCCCGGGTTCAAGCGATTCTCCTGTCCCAGCCTCCTGAGTAGCTGGGATTACAGGCATGTGCCACCACGCCTGGCTAATTTTGTATTTTTAGTAGAGACGGGGTTTTTCCATGTTGGTCAGGCTGGTCGCGAACTCCCAACCTCAGGTGATCCGCCTGCCTTGGCCTCCCAAAGTGCTGGGATTACAGGCGTGAGCCACCGTGCCTGGCTAAGGCTTGTACTACTTTTAAAATAAAATATAAAAAAATTTTTTTAAGTAGAAAAACAACATCAGTCTAGTGCAAAAAGTTCAGTAAATTCACTGAGAGTAAAGATGAAATGTCCAGTTAATTCCCCTAAGAACTAGTAAACAAAATTACAGAGAAAAACCTTAAACTTAAAAAAAATTTAATGATAAATACATATTGATAGAAATTATTCAATTCTCCTATGAATGCAGCATCCAAGGATATTCTCCATGTTCATGGCTCCCAGCCCTTCCCTCCAGGCTGATGGGGCAACTTGAGACCCACCAAGCCAGCAGACTCCTCCACCGAGCGCTCACCCTTGCCATGAAATTCCTGATGTAGGGCCACATGTTTCCGGATGCTACGCAGGAGGCAGAGATAGGTGGCAGCTTGGAAATGAAGCTCATGTTGGGCTCTGCACAACTTTTCACTGGTGACCTAGAGAAGCAGCAAGTCAGAAATTCTTAACCCAGCTAGAGATACAGGTCCACAGAGAAAGATTTAATAAATAAGCATTCACTAGAGTGAAAGTAAATTGCACAGAGGAAATACAGACATGTATGTATATACATGTATACTTAATACATCTATAGAGGCACTCTATAGTTATTAGTAAAGCTGACCTCTAGTTCGGATTTTTAAAAGGAGTTGCATTGAATGTCCCTGTATTCAGTCAGTACTGCAAGAAGTCATCTAGTTTCAATTCCTTAATTTTACAGATGAGGAAACTAAAGTCCAGAGATGCTCAGAGGTTGGTTAATGGTAGATATGGAAATTATAATTAGGTCACTCATCATTAATGTCACCTAAAGAATATTATGTAGAACTTTCTCCCTTTCAAGCAAATAAAGGACTGCTTTATTTATATTTCTGTGACTTTGATTAATGTGGCATATACCTTTCATTACAATGAAAATTGAAAACTTGGCCGGGCGCGGTGGCTCACACCTGTAATCCCAGCACTTTGGGAGGCCGAGGCGGGCAGATCACAAGGTCAGGGGATCGAGACCATCCTGGCTAACACGGTGAAACCCTGTCTCTGCTAAAAATCCAAAAAAAAAAAAAAAAATTAGCCGGGTGTGGTGGCGGGTGCCTGTAGTACCAACTACTCAGGAGGCTGAGGCGGGAGAATGGCGTGAACCCAGGAGGCGGAGCTTGCAGTGAGCCAAGATCGGGCCACTGCACTCCAGTCTGGGTAACAGAAGGAGACTCCATCTCAACAAAAAAAAAAAAAAAAAAAAAAGAAAGAAAATTGAAAACTTTTGTCTGAAAAATGATAGCTTTGTGCTAAATAGTAACAAATGAAGGTTTCATGTATAAAACTAGTATGCTTATGTTCATATTACTTATTACAATTGGCCCTCCATATCCATGGGTTCTGCATCTTTGGATTCAATCAACTTGTGATAAAAAATACTCAGAAAAAAATAAAAGGATTATCATGTCTTACCAAACATATGTTTTGTCATTATTCCCTAAACAATGTAGTATAACAACGATTTACATAGCATTTACACCGCATAAGGTATTATAATCTAGAGATGACAAAGTATACAGGAGGATGTGCATAGGTTATATTGCAAATACTACAGCATTTTATGTCAGGGACTTGAGCATCCATGGATTTTGGTATTCCTGAGTGGGGGTGGGGGGTGTCCTGGAACCAGTCCCCACAGTTACTGAGGAATGGCTATTCTCGCTCTTACAATTTGCTTATCCATCTTGAAAACTCTGGACTCATGACTTTAAGAAGCTAGAAATTCCATATCCATTCCAAAGTCCCCAAATGATTCCAAACCTTTTTTCTTCATCATACTTAACTTTTGAGATTCACTGCACCCTCTTTAACTAGTTCTGTATTCAAGGCTGTGAGAAAGGGGCAGGAAAGGTGAGATGGGGATGTGTGCATAGCTCTGAGGGACTAAAGGAGCCATGTCCAAATGTGGATAAATCTGGGCACCACTGCCTACATAATACGCCCCCCACCAACTCTTTTTTTTTTTTTTTTTTTTGGGGACAGGGTCTCACTTTGTTGCCCAGGCTGGAGTGCAATAGCGTGAACATGGCTGCTGATCTCCCCAGCTCAAGTGATCCTCCTGCCTCAGCCCCGCAAGTAGCTGGGACTACAGACGCACACCACCATATCCGGCTAATTTTTGTATTTTTTATACAAACAGGGTTTCACCATGTTGCCCAGGCTGGTCGTGAACTCCTGGGCACAAGCGATCCACCTGCCGCCTCCTCCCAGAGTGCTGGGATTACAGGTGTGAGCCACCGCTCCTGGCCTAATCCCCTTTCTCTATTTGAATATCTAGTGTTAGAATCTGAAAACTAGAATGTGTGTGGCTTCTTGGTTTTTGAGACAGGGTCTCGCTCCGTGGCCTATGCTGGAGAGCAGTGGTATGAACATGGCTCACTGCAGCCTTGATCGACTTCTTGGGCTCAAGTGATCCTCTCACCTCAGCTTCCCAATTAGCTGGAACTAGAGGATGGGCCATCACGCCTGGATAATTTTCAAATTTTTTGGAGAGGAAGTCTCACTACACTATGTTGCCCATGCTGTTAGAATGTGGGTTTTAGGATCTGCAGATCATGTTGAAAGCAACATTCATTAGCTGCTTAAAAACAGAATTAATCTGCTTTAATACAAATTTAACTTTTTAGTAATTTAAATTTTATGAGAAATCAACACCAATGTCAAGCATTAACAAATCATAGCATCCACTTCTATTAATATATAAGCCCAAATTTGTGGAATTTGACATGGGAATTCTAGGTTAATGTAGGATAGAATACTGCTCTTGATTCGGTTGAGCCTGAATCATGAGGACAAAAGGGTCAGCAATAGACAGGAAACAGTAAATAGATCACAAGAACCCAAAAGAGATCAAATGAAATAGAACACTGTATTTTCCCTGTGGAGAAAGGGTAGGTTTCTCCCTAATAGAATCCCTTCTCCGGAGGGAAAGGATAGAGAAAATGGGATGGTTATTCAGTTAGCTGTGAGCCTGAAGGAAACAGAAACCATTTCCCCTATGCTCAAGTGCATTCCAGAGTGGTATTTCCAGAATGTACCATGAATTTCAGAACCATTACCAAGTCTCTCTCAAGGGTAATAATGTTATCCCCATAAGGTACAACTATAATCATGTCACCTCCTTAAAAATCTTAGAATGGGGCCAGGTTTGATAGTTCACGCCTGTAATTACAACACTTTGGGAGGCCGAGGCAGGCGGATCACCTGAGGTCAGGAGTTCAAGACCAGCCTGACCAACATGGAGAAACCCCGTCTCCACTAAAAATACAAAATTAGCCGGGCGTGGTGTCGCATGTCGCCTGCCTGTACTACTCGGGAGGCTGAGGCAGGAGAATCGCTTGAACCTGGGAGGTGATCACAATCTTAGAATGGCTTCCCATTACACTTACAATAAAGTTTAAGTTCCTGTTCGGCCTACCACTTCATCTACCTCCACTTCACCCACCACACCTTAGGGCTAAACCACTCTCAACTGGCAATTTTTCTCCCCTTGGGCTTTCAATTGTGTAGCTTTTAAACCTGGACCCTAACCCCAATTTACTTGCTAACTCCAAATTAGCCTTCAGGTCCCTGATTAATTTCCTCCGGAAAACCTTCCCTAACTACCCCTTCTTTATACCCCAGCCCCTGTTGTCTACACCTTGAGCACTTATTTATCCTCAGTACTTTACTGTATGGCTCCTTAGGTGGGCAGCAAGTGTCTTAAGGACAGGACACATGTGCATCTGATTCTTCCTGTTTAGACCAGGTTCCTAGCACAGACCCTAACGTTGCCACCTTTTAAAAACTAGGTGAATTTGAGTTCTAAGATTTTACATTCTGACGTCCGTGGCTCAGAAATTCGACAGTTGATCGTTCTCCCTTTCCCCACATTGCTCAAGGGCAGCAAGTTTCCTTCCCTAAAGCCCAGTTGTTCTTTTCCGCCTCAAAAAGAAATGCTTCTTAGAATAACTTTTCTAGGGGACGGGTGAGGAAATTGTTGGCCAGATGCTGTGGCTTTAAGTCTAGCAACAGTACACCCTTCAACTCCATCTTCATTGTTTTATCCCCAGCATTGAATCCTCCATTCCACTTTCCTGACTGCCCTCCGCAGAGGCAACAGACCAGCCAATGAAATCCTTCGGGACGGGTCCGCCCCTCTGCAGGACAGGCTGACGTCCCCAGAGCGACTCTGCGCCCCCCCCCGCTGGTCCTTTGGTCCCCGAGTTTATGCCAGAGCATGGAGCCTAGGGCCTGGGTTGGTTTGGTCAGAACCAGGGCTCCGTGGGAGGGTTGGCCTCAGAAATGCAGGAATTAAACACCGTGCTCCCCACCCTAGCCCAGACCCGGCTCTTCCTCCCTCCCCAGCACGTAGAGCACCCGGGACATGGCTCCCGTACCCGATGTGCACGGAAAGCCTTCACAAGGTACCGATAGGCCGCGGTGTCGCGATAGGGTCGGCCGGTGGCCGCGCTCAGGTAGCGCAACTCCCGCAGAAGTCCTCGAAAAGTGTGCGACGGGGACCCTAAGGCCGCCATTGTCCTGTCCTTCTCCGAGCGTGGTGCCCAACGGCGTCCTACGACCCTGAAAACCCCTCCTCCGGCCCAGGCGCCTAATGGTACGGTCGGACAGACTACCGACTCCCCCTATCGACTGACGAGCAGTGGAACCGCTCACTTGTCCGTTGACCGAACCTTATTAATCGAAGGCCCAGGGGCGCCGTAACAAAATCAAACGAAACCCGACTGTTAACTGAAGGTACCAGGACCTCTAACCCAGAACAAGGGTTTGGGGAAACAGGGGCTTTTCTTCACTGCGTCATTGAAGATGCCCGTTAGCCGACCAACCGCTGAGTCTCAGGAGAAGCGGGCCCGGCGGGGGGTGTGGGTGTGGATTTGATATGGAACACGCTGAGAAGACATTTTTAAATGATTTATAAAAGGGATATCAAAATTCAACGTATTGACGTCTCCCCAAATCCCAGGGGACCTGCGGCTCAGACAAAGGACATGGGTGTGTGCAGATTCTCGAAAATTGCAGCCCACCAGCTAGTAAAAACACACACACACTTCCCATTTAAAAAAAAAAAAAGTAAAGTTGGCATATTTCGCTTTGTTTAGAAAGGGGAAAAAAGGACAAAAGTCACAGGCCACCCCAGATGGGACTCGAACCCACAATCCCTGGCTTAGGAGGCCAATGCCTTATCCATTAGGCCACTGGGGCTTCTGCAAACGACGCGCTCACACAACATATTCAACTATTTTCCTCTTTGGTACGTCATCGTCACTTCATTTTCGCCTTACCCTATCCCACGAAACCACACCTAGCGCCCACGTGAGGGGTGACGTATGCTGGGAGTTGTAGTTAGAGAACAAAAGTCCACATCACCGCGCCAAAGGCTTTACCCTCGAAACTGCACCGATGCTCCGGACGTTGAACGGGCGCGCGCACGCTTCTGCGTACGCGCTTGCCTGCGCAATAGTCTCCGCGCCTGCGCCGTAGTCCCCGCGCCTGCGCAAAAGCGGGCATGCGCCGTCGCGGAGCACAGCGCGCTGGGCAAATTGGCCGGATCTTCGAGACTCGCCCTCTGAACGTCAGCTCTGGTGGGTTTTTACCGGAAGCAGCCGGACCTTTTCCGGTGTTGCGAATTTCCAGGAGGAGCTTTGCTCCAGCGGCCGTTAGATGGCGCCTGCCGCGGTCAATTTCTGCTTCCGGTTGAAGCGTTGAGGCCATTTCCGCAGGCCGGGCGTGGTGGCGCACGCCTGTAATACCAGTACTTTGGGAGGCCGAGGCGGGCGGATCATCTTAGGTCGGGGGTTTGAAACCAGCCTGACCAACACAGAGAAACCCTGTCTCTACTAAAAATACAGAATTAGCCGGGCGTGGTGGCGCATGCCTGTAATCCCAGCTACTCCGGAGGCTGAGGCAGGAGAATTGCTTGAACCCTGGAGTCGGAGGTTGTAGTGAGCCGAGATCGCGCCATTGCTCTCTAGCCTGGGCAACAGGAGCGAAACTCCATCTCAAAAAAAAAAAGAAACATGTGCCGTGTCCTTTGAATTGGTGCGTCAGCGATAAACATGGGACAGCGGGGAAGTAATAGTACATTGATTAGGAATTAATTTTAAAAATTAGCAGTTCATTTTTTGGTTCTGTTCCTAATTGTATAACGAACAAATCACTTCGGAGTCCCAGTAAACTTACCCTTATAGTATCACAGGGGCTTCCCATTGTCCCTAAGATAAAGCTCAGACGACATAAATTGATCCTCGCTTGTACCTTAATCTTCATCTCTCACTTTTCGCTTATCACCCTCTGCTCCAGGTATCTCCACTTTCATTGTCTCTTCCCCACCACACACCTTACCTGATATTCCCTCTGCCTGAAACTTAACCATTTGTATTAATATGCCTCTTTACCCTTTGGGCTTCAGCTTACTCCAGAAGTCTAGGTTAGACGCTTCTCCAGGCCCTTGAAGTCAATACGGCAAGGTGAAAATTATTCATTTCACCTCCTCTGGTCCCCTGTTGCTCCCTTTATTTACTCATCGTAAATAACTCTTAATGTAGGTACATGGCCACTACTCCATACTGTAGTTGTCAGTCTCTTCCATCAGACTGGGAAATTGTTCAGCTCCGAAAGCCCTGTGCCTAACAGAAAAGCCTGTTTCTTCACCAGGCTTATTCCTTGGTAGCATAGTCATAACAGCTTAGTCTGAAGCTCCTAAAGGGATTGGCACTGTCTGGCCCCAGTGGCTAGGAGACATAAGCTACTGAGCAGGAATGACAAACAAATGGAACATCAATTGTTCATTAATGAGTAAAGCTGGCTTGGTTGGAAACCTGGTGAACTGGACAGCAACTAGCCCACCTGTCCAGGGGGCAGCCATTACTCACCTCCACTGATTGTTGCCATTTTAGGAAAGCAAATCCTTTAAAAACCTTTTTTTTTTTCAGGAAACTCTGGAAATCTGTTTTAATGCTATAGATTTCCTTCTAAATATTGGCCACTAATGAATACTTTAAAAGTACTGCATGCCAAACAGCCCACAGACTTCTAGTCTGTAAAGAAAGAAGAAAAAAAGGGCGATAGGATTTGAAGTTAAGAAAAGGTAAAAAACATGTGGCGTGCCTAGTTCGTGGGAAAAAAAGCTGGTTTGATGATCCTGCCTTTTTATTTTTTCTTTTTAGAAAAATTTTTACAACTATATTGTCTTTTTAAGTTTTTAAATGATTTTTTTCTTTCCTATCATCTCCTTAGCCTGATACCCTGCCTTATCTTTAGGAAAAAAATGCTCCTGATAATAAATACAAAATATAATAAACTCATTTGTATTAACATGTGAGATTCTGTTCAAAACCCAGCCTCATTATAGGTCACTCTTCAGCACCCTCAGCTGATTACCACACTGGCTAAATTAAGGAACTTACACATCTTAAACAGCCTTCTCAAGATTACCATTTTAAATGTTCCCCACTCTTGGCCGGGTGCTGTGGCTCACGCCTGTAATCCCAGCACTTTGGGAGGCTCAAGGGGGGGCGGATCACTTGAGGCCAGGAGTTCAAGACCAGCCTGGCCAACGTGGCAAAAACACATTCTCCACTAAAAATACAAAAATTAGCTGGGTGTGGCGGTGCGTGCTTGTAGTCCCAGCTACTCTGGAAGCTGAGGCAGGAGAATTGCTTGAACCCAGGAGGCAGAGGTTGCACTCCAGCCTAGGTGACACAGCGAGTGCGAGCCTGTCTAAAAAAAAAAGTTCCCCACTCGTACGTATTTCCAGATACTGAGGGTTTTCGGATACTACTTTTTGGCTAGACACACCAACTAATTATTTAACCGAGTGTACAGTGATAGAATTAAATCTCCCAGGAGCCTGGCAACAAAGCAAGACTCTGTCTCTATAAAAAAAATCGATGTATATATGGTGGTGCGTGACCGTAGTTCTAGCTATGCAGTAGTTTGAGGATCACTTAGCCCAGAAGTTCAAGGCTGCATTGAGCTATTATCTCTCCACTGCATGGCACCCTAGGTGACACCAAGACACTGTCTCTAAAATAATAATAATTGTTGGGAGCAGTGGCCCACGCCTGTAATCCCAGCACTTTGAGAGGCTGAGGCAGATGGATTGCTTGAGCTCAGAAGTTTGAGACCAGCCTGGGCAACAGCGAAAACCCACTTCTACAAAAAAAATTTTAAACTTAGCTAGGTATGGTGGTGTGTGCCTGTATTCCCAGCTACTTGGGAGGCTGAGGTGGGAGGATCGCTTGAGCCTGTGGTGAGCCTTGATCACGCTACTACACTCCAGCGTGGGTATCAGAGTGAGACCCTGTCTCAAAAAAAATTTTTTTTCTTTTTGTGAAGGTGTTTCTGTTTTGTTTTGTTTTGTTTTTGAGATGGAGTCTCACTCTGTTGCTCAGGCTGGAGTGCAGTGGCAAGATCTCAGCTCACTGCAACCTCTGCCTCCCGGGTTCAAGTGATTCTCCTGCCTTAGCCTCCCGAGTAGCTGGGACTATAGGCGCATGCCATCATGCCCAGCTAATTTTGTTTGTTTGTTTTGAGACGGAGTCTTGCTCTGTCACCCAGGCTGGAGTGCAGTGGCGCAATGTTGGCTCACTGCAAGCTCCGCCTCCCGGGTTCACGTCATTCTCCTGCCTCAGCCTCCTGAGTAGCTGGGACTATAGGCACCCGCCACTAAGCCCAGCTAATTTTTTGTATTTTTAGTAGAGACGGGGTTTCACCATGTTAGCCAGGATGGTAATTTTGTATTTTTAATAGAGATGGGGTTTCACTATGTTGGCCACGCTGGTCTCGAACTCCTGACCTCAAGTGATACACCCGCCTTGGCCTCCCAAAGTGCTAGGATTACAGGCGTGAGCCATCACACCAGACATTTTTTTTCTTTTTGAAGTGGTTTATTTAATTAATTAATTTATTTTTGAGACAGAGTCTTGCTCTGTCACCCAGGTTGGAGTGCAGTGGCGCGATCTCAGCTCACTGCAATCTCCACCTCCCAGGTTCAAGCGATTCCCCTGCCTCAGCCTCCGGAGTAGCTGGGATTACAGGCGTGCACCACCACATCAGACTAATTTTTTGTATTTTCAGTAAAGATGGGGTTTCACCATTTTGGCCCGGCTGGTCTCAAACTCTTGACCTTAAGTGATCTGCCTGCCTTGGCTTCCCAAAGTGCTGGGATTACAGGCATGAGCCCCTGCGCCCAGCCAGAAGGTTTTAAAAGAGTAAAAACATTAAAACACAATAAAATAATTATTCAAACTAATGAATTAATTAAATTAAATTAAAACTATCACCCAGAGAGTTTGGTACCTATCTGGGTCATTATGATGATGTAATATAGCTCCCGTGTGGAGCTATGGTCTTTGGTCTTTGGGGCTGGCCCTGGAATAGCTGATCTCCACGACAGAACCTGCAAAGTGCTGTTAGCTTTGTTTGGAGATGGCCCACCATTATGGAATATGTCGTACCTGAGTGATGATATCTTGAGGCAGCTGTCTCAGTTGCCATCATTTTTCCAGTAATTGTCAAATAGAGATAGATCACATAGAACCTCCAAGGAGGACAGTTTTCCTGAGACTCTTAGAAACCTAAACAATTGGCCAGGCGCAGTGGCTTACGCCTGTAATCCCAACACTTGGGAGGCCGAGGCAGGCGGATCACCTGAGGTCAGGAGTTCGGGACTAGCGAGACTGACATGGAGAAACCCTGTCTCTACTAAAAAAATACAAAATTAGCTGGGTGTGGTGGTGCATGACTGTAATCCCAGCTACTTGGGAGGCTGAGGTAGGAGAATCGCTTGAACCCAGGGGGTGGAGGTTGCGGTGAGCCGAGATGGTGCCGTTGCACTCCAGCCTGGGCAACAAGAGAGAAACTCTGTCTCAAAAAAAAAAAAAAAAAAAAAAAAGGAAACCTAAACAGTTTATTTATTTAGTTCTTATTTGCTATGCTGTTTGTAATAAAAAGACTTGAGGAAAAGTATATAATTTACTGAGGTGAAACCTGACTATCAGGTTGTATGCACCTAGCATGATGACTTTAATGACAATCATTTGGTACAGTCACAATTCTGAATTGATTCAGATGACATAGAAGTGACCTTGGAATTCATTTAGATGCTACTTTTATTTTATGTGAGAAATTTCAAGCTCAGTGAATTACACAAATTCATTCTGCTAGTGATTTTTTAGTGCATTTTTGTTGTTATGGCATGTGACTTAAGATATTATGGAAGCCAGGTGCAGTGGCTCACGCCTGTAATCCCTGCTCTTTGGAAGGCTGAGGCGGGTGGATCACCTGAGGTCAAGAGTTCGAGACCAGTCCGGCCAGCATGATGAAACCCCATCTCTACTAAAAATACAAAAAATTAGCCGGGCATGGTGGCAGGCACCTGTAATCCCAGCTACTCAGGAGGCTGAGGCAGGAGAATCACTTGAACCCGGGAGGCGGAGGTTGCAGTGAGCTGAGATAGTGCCACTGCACCCCAGCCTGAGTAATAAGAGCAAAACTCCATCTAAAAAAAAAAAAAAAGAAAAGAAAAGAAAAAATGTCATTATGGCATATGATGAGTGTAGGAATGGTCTGCCACGGCATCTTGGCAACCATGCACGTCTCCATGTAGGTCATGTATATTGCAGTCAGGCACCCCCAAAATCTATTTCCCCACTTTTCAGTAGAATGCCCTGTGATTGCTCCTGATGCAAAAGGCAATATGCCCGGTAAGGAGCTACTGTAAGGCAGTTTCTGATCCCTATTTTTTGGGAGACTGCTACAAGGCCATTTCTCATCAACTTGTCTAATTTCAGTTGAGCACGGAACTTTCCACTTTATTCTAACTTATGGTACAGCTGCAGACTTCTGTGTAAGTCTGTAAAACACCTTGGCTGTAGTTTGGATTTGGCTCCATGGCAGAGCAGTCCACCACTTGCGCTATCTTCATCATCATGAGCTATGATTCATCATCATCCTGCTGGGCTGGGGACATGGGAGCAGACACCATCTTGCTTTTGCTGTCTGTGTAAATAATAAACTATCTGAACCCATTGGACTCATTGTCTCCTTCTTGACTGGTTCTGTGGAAGTTTGGCAAGTCAGCCTAGAAACTACTGCAGTGTTAGGCACTGAGCTGTTGCTTAGGGACTGCTTGACCACTTGAAAATGAGGTTGAATATAAAAGAAATGACACCACATTTGGAGTCACCCTCGATGTGTGAATAATAGACTCATTAAAATGTCCATCAACAGGGACGAATAAATAAAATGCAGCTTATCAGTACAGTGGAATACTACTCAGCAATAAAAAGGGACAAACTACTGGTGCATGTGATAACATGGGTGAATCTAAAGTCATTATCCTGAGCAAAACCAGACACAAAGCCTACATACTATATGATCCATTTATATAAAATCCAACTCAATCTATAGTGACAAAAATCTCATTTGGGGTAGTGGTTTCAGTTATATCAAAAACCATTAAATTGTACACTTTAGTGAGACATGGTGGCTCACTTCTGTAATCCCAGCACTTTGGGAGGCCGAGGCAGGAGGATCACTTGAGGTCAGGAGTTCAAAACCAGCCTGGCCAACATGGTGAAACCCCGTCTCTACTAAAAATACAAAAATTAGCCGGGCTTGCTGGTGCATACCTATGATCCCAGCTACTTGGGAGGCTGAGACACAAAAATCGCTTGAACCCAGGAGGCAGAGGTTGCAGTGAGCCAAGATTGCACTCCAGCCTGGGTGACAGAGCAAGACTCTGTCTCAAAAACAAAACAAACAAACAAAAAAAGACTGGAAGCGGTGGCTCACGCCTGTAATCCCAGCACTTTGGGAGGCCAAGGCAGGTGGATCTGGAGTTTGAGACCAGGCTGGCCAACATTGTGAAACCCCATCTCTACTAAAAATACAAAACTTTGCCAGGTGTGGTGGTGGACACCTGTAATCCCAGCTACTCAGGAGGCTGAGGCAGGAGAATCGCTTGAACTGGGAGACAGAGGTTACAGCGAGCCAAGATCACACCATTGCATTCTAGCCTGGGTGACAAGAGTGAAACTCCATCTCAAAAAAAAAAAAAAAAATTGTATATTTAAGCAGATGAAGTCAGGTCAGAAAGCTCTGTGTATATATCAGTTGTCTTCTCTTTCTGAACTGATTTCTTTTTTTTTTTTTTTTTTTTTTTGAGAGAGTCTCACTCTGTTGCCCAGGCTGGAGTGCAATGGCGCGATCTCGGCTCCTGCAACCTCCGCCTCCTGGGTTCAAGCGATTCTCCTGTCTCAGCCTCCCAAGTAGCTGGGATTACAGGCATGCGCCACCAGGCCCAGCTAATTTCTGTATTTTTAGTAGAGATGGGGCTTCATCATGTTGGTCAGGCTGGTCTCGAACTCCTGACCTCGTGATCCGCCCACCTCAGCCTCCCAGAGTGCTGGGATTACAGGCTTGAGCCTTACAGGCGTGAGCCACCGCGCCCGGCTTCTGAACTGATTTCTTATATGTATTAATTAAAGGCTAAACTGCTGTAAGAAAGAGACCTCAAACACAGTAGCTTAAATTAAAAATTAAATAAAAAATATTTCTCTTGCATAATAGTCTAGAAGTGGTCATTCCAGGTTAGTAGGGCAGCTCTGCTCTAAAAAGTCATCTAGGGACTGAGCTTCCTTTTGTAGCCGTGGGACAAGCTCAAGCTGATTAACCATTACTTAAGTTGTGAGAGGTGACACAGAGCCAAAATTGTCCAGGCATGTGAAACAGAAAGGGCTGTAACCTCCTAATTGTTACTACCACCAGCCTGGCAGACCAGCTACATTGGCATCACCTGGGACTAGATGGCCAGGCCATAAAGGCTGGACCCACCCACAGACTGGGGAGACAAGTTTGACCGCTGCCTCCCTCCTATCTCCTTGCCAGTTGACTTGTGATAATAAAGCTTTTTTTCCCCTCAAAAGCCACTGGCATAATATTAGCTTCTATGCAGCATTCCCCAGCACATTATCAGCTTTTTCAAACAATTGTACTTTCACTCTGTGCCTATTCAGTAGTTCCCCCTTATCTGAGGGCTGTACGTTCCAAGACCGTCAGTGGATGCCTGAAACTGCAGATAGTACTGAATCCTATATAGACTGTTTTTTCCTATACACGCATACCTATGGCAAGGTTTAATTTATAAATTAGGTACAGTAAGAGACTAATGACTAATAAAATAGAATAATTATAACAGTATACTATAATAAAGCTTATGTGAATGTGGTCTCTCAAAACATCTAACTACTGTACTCACCTATTTTCAGACATCAGTTGATAGCAGGTAACAAAATGGAAGGTGAAACCTCAGTGAAGGATATACTGTATTCCATTCGATTCACTTTTCTTTTTTCTTTTTTTTTGAGACAGAGTCTCAGTCTGTCACCCAGGCGGGAGTGCTGTGGTACCATCTTGGCTCACTGCAACCTCTGCCTCCCGGGTTCAACAAGCAATTCTCCTGCCTCAGTCTCCTGAGTAGCTGGGATTACAGGCGCATGCCACTGCACCCAGCTAAATTTTATATTTTTTGGTAGAGAAGGTATTTCGCCATGTTGGCCAGTGAGGTCTCAAACTCCTAACCTCAAGTGATTCACCCACCTTGGCCTCCCAAAGTGCTGGGTTTACAGTCATGAGCCACCGTGTCCGGCAGATCCACTTTTTATTTATTTATTTATTTATTTATTTATTTATTTATTTATTTATTTATTTATTTTGAGACGGAGTCTCACTCTGTTGCCCAGGCTAGACTGCAGTGGTGCGATCTCGGCTCACTGCAAGCTCTGCCTCCCGGGTTCACGCCGTTCTCCTGCCTCAGCCTCCCGAGTAGCTGGGACTACAGGTGCCCGCCACCACACCCGGCTAATTTTTTTGTATTTTTTGTAGAGACGGGGTTTCACCGTGTTAGCCAGGATGGTCTCGATCTCCTGACCTCGTGATCTGCCCGCCTGGGTCTCCCAAAAAGTGCTGGGATTACAGGCGTGAGCCACCGTGCCCGGCCAATTTCTGTATTTTTAGTAGAGATGGGGTTTCACCGTGTTAGCCAGGATGGTCTCGATCTCCTGAACTCATGATCCTCCCGCCTCGGCCTCCCAAAGTGCTGGGTTTACAGGCGTGAGCCACCGTGCCCGGCCAATTTCTGTATTTTTAGTAGAGATGGGGTTTCACCGTGTTAGCCAGGATGGTCTCGATCTCCTGACCTCATGATCTTCCCGCCTCGGCCTCCCAAAGTGCTGGGTTTACAGGCGTGAGCCACCGTGCCCGGCCCAGATCCACTTTTCAACACAGTAGCTCACTGACAAAAAATCCTCTCATCCTCTCTCCACAACCCTCCTAATTGCCTGCCCTGGTTTCAGTAGAGGGGAAATACTTTCTCTTCCTGAAAGCCATGCCTCTGTTGGGAGAGGAGAGAGGTTATGATTGAGTCAATCTGCAATGGCCAATGATCGAATCAGTCAGGGCTACATATGACGGTGTATGAAACTGCCACTAAAATTTCTCCACAACAGGGTTTTGGGAGCTTCTGGGTTGGTAATGCATTGAGGTGCTAGGAGGATGGTATACCCAGAGAGGGCATGGAAGCTCCACTTTTCCCGTTCCCATACTTTGCTCTATTTATTTCTTCCATTCAGCTGTTCCTAAGTTGTATCCTTTATAATAACCTGACGATAGTAAGTAATGCACTTTCCTGGGTCCTGTGAGTCATTCTAGCAAATTATCAAATCTGGGAGGATTGTGGGAACCCCTGAATTTATAGTTATGTCAGACAGAAGTGTGGGTAACCTGGGGACCCAATACTGGAGACTGGCCCAGGTCGTGTAAGTGAAGGCAGTCTTGTGGGACTGAATGCTTAAAGCTGTGAGTCTTATAGTAACTCTGGGTAGTTACTGTCAAAATGGAATTGAATGGTAGGATTCTCGGTTGGTGTCTGGAGAGTTGGAGAATAGGTTGGTGTCAGGAAGGGAAAAAAACAACTACCCTCATTTGGTGTTGAAGAGGTGTGAGAAAAAACCCAACAGTGGTATTGTAAAAGGGTGCAACCACTATGGAAAACTGTATGGCAGTTCTTCAAAAAATTAAAAATAGAACTACCATAAGATTCAACAGCCCCACCTCTGGGTATATATCCAAAAGAATTCAAAGTAGAAACTCAAACAGATATTTGTACACCCACATTCATGGCGGCATTATTCACAAGAGCCAAGAGGTGGAAACAACCCACGTGTCCATCAGTGGATGAATGGATAAATAAAATGTGGTCTATTCATATCATGCAATATTATTCAGCCTTACAGAGGAAGGAAATCCTGTCACATGACAAACAACATGGACTAACCTTGAAGACATTACACTAAGTGACATAAGCCAGTCACAGAAGGACAAATACTACATGATTTCACTTATATGAAGTATCTACAGTTGTCAGAGTCATAGATAAAGAAAGTTGAATGGTGGTTACCAGGAGCTGGAAGTAAGAGGCAAAAAGGAGTTATTTAATGAGTACACAGTTTCAGTTCTACAAGATCTGGAGATCTAGTTCACAACAATGAAAACATACTTAACACTTAAAACAGTTATGATAAATGTTATGAATTTCTCATACACTTAAAAATTGAAAAATTTCTCTGTCACTTAAAAAAACTGATTTTGTTTGGTTTTTGGCCTCTATAGATACCCCAAACTTGCATTAATTGAGGTCATCTAAGGTGATGTACATTTGAAGCAAATAGTTCTTTTTCCAAGTAAAGTAATTGAGGGGGCACCCTATAATATGACAGGTGTTGTAAGGGCTTCACTACAAGAAAACTCTTTTCTGGGGATTTTCTTAGGGGGAGATGGGAACTTCAGGCTCATATGGTACCTTGCCCAGAGTGCACAGCTTGTGGGCCTTGTGGAGCCAGCATGAGAACGCAGGACTATCTGACCCCAAAGCTAGAGTTCTTAGTCATTGCACCTTGGTACCTTTGCAGCCATGGCCACAGCTATTTGTTGAATTAATTGAACAGGAGTTGGGAGAATGCTTTTCTGCTTTTCTTTTCCAGTTATGTTAGTGGCCCCAGTCCTCTGATCACATTCTCAGTTTGTTGGTGCTAAATCCTGGTCTGGGGGCAGCCAACTAGCCTAGAGCAGAGTTGGATTCCAAAGAAGGGTTTGGCCCTCATTTTGAATACCTGTACAAGCAGAAACATACTGGGACAAGACGTTCCAAGGCATCCTGGAGCTCCTACATCCATCACCCACGTAAGAATGCTCTCACGCCAGTTCCTATGGGTTTGGAGCTATGATAACTAAAAACTCCTATGGCTTAGAATGGAACAACCTTCTCTCCTCTGTAGTGGATTACTTCTGTTTCAGTGGGAATGAAAGTGTCAGGCCAGTGGGGCTCAATACTGAATATACATTAGAATTACCCAGGGAGACTTTCAAAAACACCAGTGGCTGGGACCCACCCCCAGAAATTCTGATTCACAAGTTGGGCTAGGGTCCAAGCAACAGTAATTTTTTTTTTAAGCTTAATGTGTAGCTGGGGTCAAGAACTGCTGTCTCAGCAGATAAGCAACTGGAACAGTGGTTGACTGGGGGAATCACAAGAGTATCCGATTTCTCCTTGACCCTTCTTGTCAGGGTCCAAATTGTTCAGAGACATCTCTAAGGCAAGGCCCCTGTAAGAAAAGAAGAAACAAGTCTTATTTTTGAAAAAAAAAAAAAAAAAATCTTTTGCTCACAGCAACTGGCCATACTGACCTCTAAATCATTCCCTGGCTTTATTTCACACGAATTTCTGTCCTTGGCCTTGAAGTTTATAATTAAAAAAAAAATAGAGATTGGATCTTGCTATGTTTCCCAGGTTGGTCTCAAATGCCTGGGCTCAAGTGATCCTCCCATCTCAGCCTCCCAAAATGCTGGGATTACAGGTGTGAGCCATCTCAGCCTGCCTGAAGTTCATGATTTTTAAATTGCTGCTAAAAACCTCTGCATTTGAGTTTAATCTTTAGTTTCTACTGATGGGTTTCTAATTTCTTTTCCTTTTTTTTTTTTTTCTTGAGACAGGGTCTCAGTCTGTTGTGGAGTGCAGTGGTATGATCATAGCTCACTGCAGCCTCAACCTCCCCAGCTCAAGCAATCCTCCTGCCTCAGCCTCCTGAATAGCTGGGACTACAGGCATGTGCCACCATACCTGACTATCTGATTTCTGATTTAACATGTTTTTGTGAGTTTCATAATGCTGATGCTGGTTCATCTCTGGTGTGAGTCATGATTCATCCTAATTTTCCCTGGACTCTTTCCCAGTACAAGCTAGATGACCTATGTCTCAGCTCCATCATCTTCCATGTGAGCCAGGATGCAACTGCTCAGAGTAAGGACTTCTCACTCTAGCAGCTCTTCTGTCCGAGGTCCCTGTCAGGGTTTGGCTCTAGCTGTGGCCCCTGATATGGTTTGGCTCTGTGTCCCCACCAAAATCTCATGTCAAATGGTAATCCCCACATGTCAAGGGAGGGGCCTCGTGGAAGGTGATTGGATCATGGGGGTGGATCTCCCCCTTGCTATTCGCACGACAGTGAGTGAGTTCTCACAAGAGCTGATGGTTTAAAAGTGTGGCACTTTCCCCTCCACTCTCTCCCCTGCCACCATGTAAGATATGCCTTGCTTCTTCTTCACCTTCCATCATGATTGTAAGTTTCCTGAGGCCTCCCCAGCCATGTGGAACTGTGAATCAATTAAAGCTCTATTCTTTATAAATTACCCAGTCTCAGGTAGTTCTTTATAGCAGTGTGAAAATAGACTAATACAGCCCTTTTTGATATAATCTTTCAAACCCTAGCTGGAATCCTGACACTTTCAGAGTCAACAGAAGAGGAAACTATATAACTTAAGGAGAATGAATTAATCTGTCCCACTCACATTCATGTTTATTTTATCAACCTCTAGTTCACAAGTATATGGTTTTAAAGGGCAAATACACAGGAGGGATTAGGGAGAATTCTATCAGTTATTCTCCTTGTGATAGAAATTTAAGCAGTTTTCTGAGATGCAGCAGATTTTAGCCAGCCCTGAAGAAGCGGGATAATCTTCTGGAAATAGGTCTTCAATAACTGTTGTGGTAAGGGGTGATACGAATTCTGGACTTACTGAACTGCCACAAGACTCTTATCTTCCATTCTATGCTATTAGTTCATTAAGGCAGAGTGCTATGGTTTGAATGTATTCCCCAAAGTTCATATGTTGGAAACTAGGTTCCCAGTGCAAGTGTTGGGAGGTGAGGCCTAATAGGTGATTAGGTCACGAGGGCAGAGTGCATTAATATTGTTATTGCAGAGTGCTCGTGGTCACTAGAGTGGGCTTGTTATAAAAGTGAGTTTGGGCCCCTTTTGCTTTCTTGCCCTTCTGCCTTCTGACACAACACAAAGGCCCTCACCAGATGCCAGCACCTTGATATTGGACTTCCGAGCCTCCAGAATTATGAGAAATAAATTTCTTTTCTTTATAAATTACCTAGTCTGCGGTATTCTGTGATAGTAACACAAAATAGACTAATACACAGAGTAAATAATAAAATGTTGGCTCTGGGCTGGGTGCAGTGGCTCACGCCTGTAGTCCCAGCACTTTGGGAGGCTGAGGCTGGCAGATCACCTGATGTCGGGAGCTCGAGACCAGCCTGACCAACATGGAGAAACCCTGTCTCTACTGAAAATACAAAATTAGCTGGGTGTGGTGGCACATGCCTGTAATCCTAGCTACTCAGGAGGCTGAGGCAGGATAATCGCTTGAACCCGGGAGGCGGAGGTTGCGGTGAGCTGAGATCGCGCCATTGCATTCCAGCCTGGGCAACAAGAGTGAAACTCTGTCTCAAAAAAAATAAACAAATAAAATAAAAAGAAAAGAAGAAGAAAATACTTTCATTAAAAGGATGCGGGGTGCCTCTCACAATTTTCTGGTAAGGCTAGAGACCAGGCTTGGGAGTGACACAGCCAACAACCTCACCCAAATCCTGCCACAGATCTGGTTCAGTGAAAACAATCCCAGGCACAGTCACCACAGTTTGCAGTGGTGACACAGTGGCCCTGGGCTGGACCCAGACACCTGCACCAAAGCTGCTGCTACAGCACACTGGCAGTGGCTGGCTTCTCTGCTCCCATATGTGCCAGGATGAGTCTAAGTCATTATCTGGGTCATGTTCTCAAGTGAGTGGTTCTAATTGGCATGGCCTGGGTGATGTGCCCATGTCTTGGCTTCAAGGAAGCCTGGGAAAGCAAATATTTTATCATTCAATGAATTTTAATGCACACCTGCTATGAGTTAGGCACTCTTCTAGGTGCTAAGGAAATCAGAGCAAGCAAAATAGGTAAAAGTTCCTATACTCACAAAGCTTCTGTTCGAGAGGTGGGCAGATAATGATAAATAACAAGCAAAACAAAGTTTGTCAAAGGGTGATGTGTTCTATGGGGAAAAATAAAGCCAGGGCTGGGGACTGGACCTGCTGCTTTGTAATGTGTTCTGGAGGTCCTTCCTCAGAAGGTGATATTTGAGCTGAGAGGCAAATGATAGGAGGGTTCTGCCATTTTCAACGTGTGTGTGTGTACATATGCTGAATGGGGCAATGCCCATTTTTTGTTTGTTTGTTTGTTTGTTTGTTTGTTTGTTTTGAGACAGAGTCTTGCTCTGTTGCCCACGCTGGAGTGCAGGGGCACAATCTTGGCTCACTGCAACCTCTGCCTCCTGGGTTCAAGCGATTCTCCTGCCTCAGCCTCCCAAGTAACTGGGACTACAGGTACACACCACCACGCCTGGTTAATTTTTGTAATTTTAGTAGAGATGGGGTTTCTCCATGTTGACCAGGCTGGTCATCGAACTGGCTAATTTTTGTACTTTTAGTAGAGATGGGGTTTCTCCATGTTGACCAGGCTGGTCTCAAACCCCTGGCCTCAAGTGATCCATCCCCCTTGGCCTCCCAAAGTGCTGGGATTACAGGCGTGAGCCACCGCCCGGTGCAATGCCCATGTTTTTAACTAAAGAAACCCTACCTCCACTCCCCAGCCATTGTCAGGTCACCTCCATCCTGTCCTTCAATCTTTATGTGAAGGTAAAGGAGCTCTGGGACAACAGTTTACTATGCCCAGCGAAACTGTGGGGACAGACTCCGAGGGCCCAATCTTTACTCTTCAACTACAGCAAGGACTGGCAACCTGGATGTGCTACCATAACTGGGGGGAGATTTTGGTGGGCAAGTGCCAAGACTGATGAAAATGAGTATACATCAGAGTATACATGCGTGTGCATGCACTTCTGTCGAGTGTGATGCTATAGATGTTGTGTCTGAAAGCAGTGATTTCGGCCGGGCATGGTGGCTCATGCCTCAAATCCCAGCACTTTGGGAGGCCGAGGCAGGTGGATCACTTGAGGTCAAGGGTTCGAGACTAGCCTGGCCAACATGGTGAAACCCTTTCTCTATTAAAAATACAAAACATTAGCTGAGCGTGGTAGTGGGCACCTGTAATCCCAGCTACTCAGGAGGCTGAGGCAGGAGAATCACTTGAACCCGGGAGGCGGAGGTTGCAGTAAGCCAAGATCGCACCATTGCACTCCAGCCTGAGTGACAGAGCAAGACTCTGTCTCAAAAAAAAAAAAAAAAAAAAAAAAGCAGTGATTTCTAAACTTTTTTATATTATGTACTCATATCAGTAAAAGTCTTGTTCCTCCCCTGTAATCCTTTGTATTTATTTTTAAATTATATACATTTACTATGGAAGCATTATAAAACATGAAAAAATAGAAATGTTTTAAAAATGAAACACATATTTTGAAAATACTTTTATCAACATTTTAAAAAGTCCTAATTTCTCTCAGTAAAGAAAGATTATGATTGTGTATTTTATTGACAACACGTAATTCAGTATGTTTCGTTGTTCTGAAAAATCTTATTTTTTTTTTTGAGATGGAGTCTTGCTCTGTTGCCCAGGCTAGAGTCCAGTGGCGCAATCTCGGCTCACTGCAACCTCTGCCTCCAGGTTCAAGCCATTCTCCTGCCTCAGCCTCCCAAGTAGCTGGCATTACAGGCGTCCACCACTGCACCGGGCTAATTTTTGTATGTTTAGTAGAGACGGGGTTTCGCCATATTGGCCAGGCTGGTTTCGAACTTCTGACCTGAGGAGATCTGCCCGCCTCAGCCTCCCGAAGTGCTGGGATTATAGGCGTGAGCCACCGCGCCCGGCCATATTCTGAAAAATCTTTAGCACGTTATTTCAGGCAACAAAATTGCACAGTGATAAACATTTCTAAACATTCATTTTTCAAATTTCTCTCTTCATAGCATAAGTTTCTTTTTCTTTTTTTTTTTTTTTTTTTTGAGATGGAGTCTCCCTCTGTCTCCCAGGCTGGAGTGCTGTGGCGCGATCTCGGCTCACTGCAAGCTCCGCCTTCTGGCTTCACGCCATTCTCCTGCCTCAGCCTCCCGAGTAGCTGGGACTACAGGGGCCTGCCACTGCGCCCAGCTATTTTTTGTATTTTTAGTAGAGACGGGGTTTCACCGTGGTCTCGATCTCCTGAACTCATGATCCTCCCGCCTCGGCCTCCCAAAGTGCTGGGATTACAGGCGTGAGCCACCACGCCCAGCCAAGTTTCTTTTAAAATTGGCAGTTAATGTCTCATTAAAGCTTAAAAACAATTTTAACTTAAAGAGACCCATTAAGGATCTCCATTTTTTTCAAAATATCAGCTAGGCATCCATATTAGTCAGGGTTCAGCAAGAAAAAGAGAACCACTGTAGGCCTTTCAAGCGGACAGGAATTGAGTGCAGGGTATTTAAATGCTTATGACATCATAAGAATGGCAGCGGGAATTAGGAGCTAGGGGAAGTCTGCTACCACACAGTACTTCAGAGTACAGGAGGTTGGTTGCTGCTGTCACCCAGGTCAGAAAAATGCAGGAAACCCCTGTTGATGGCAGAGGCCCCAAAGCACTGAGATGGGGCTAATGGATCACTTGGAGGCTACTGTGGGATTTTAGGTCTACCATGGCCTCCAAAATAATAATACCGCTTTTTCCTTGCATCTACGAAAACTTGCATGAGTACAAAAAAAATCACATCCATTCGAGACCAGCCTGGCCAACATGGTGAAACCCCAACTCTACCAAAAATACCAAAATTAGCCGGGCTTGGTGGCGGGCGCCTGTAATCCCAGCTACTCAGGAGGCTGAGGCAAGGGAATTGCTTGAACCCGGGAGGTGGAGGTTGCAGTGAGCCAAGATCGCGCCACTGAACTCCAGTCTGTGTGGTAAGAGTGAGACTCCGTCTCAAAAATAATAATAATAATAATAATAATAATAATAATAATAATAATAATAATCAGGTCCAGAAGCTTGCAGGCAAGAGAAATTGAGAAATGCATTTTCCATAATTCTAGTCCCTGTAATACGGAGAGCAGCATACAAAAATTTGGGAACGAAGCCTGATTGCCAAAAATATGCTGTGAACCTCAGGGCAGCACACTCCTGACAGCCTCTTGTCATCAAAGGAGAGGTCAGCATATGAGAAATGCTTGAGTCTTTTGTAAAAGAAAACTAGGTGTTTAATTTTGACATTTGATACTCAGCTGATTTTTGTATTTTTTGGTAGAGACGAGGTTTCACCATGTTGGCCAGGCTGATCTCGAACTCCTGACCTCAAGTGATCTGCCCACCTTGGCCTCCTAAAGTGCTGGGATTACAGGTATGAACCACTGCACCCGGCCAACAATTCTTGTATATGAGAGTTTCATGGCTTCTTTCCATTACATAGTAGTTTCTGTTATTTGAAGGTCTTGCTTTTCATCAAGTTAACCCACTGATGACATCCTGCAGCATGGAAACTGCAGTGCATGATAATACTCAGTATATCATGAAACTCAAAACAGACAAGCTGGACCTGCTGGATGCAAGGAGAGAGTGAGTGATTCCTTCTCGTCACTGCCACTCGTCAGCTTCCTGGGTGACTTCTTTCTGTCCTGTGTGAAACTGGGGGTGGTTTACGCAGCCTTTCCAGGACACAGAAGGACAATTTTCCTCTTTGGTTTTTTAAAAAAGTCCAGCCTGGCGTGGTGGCCCAAGCCTGTAATCCCAGCACTTTGGGAAGCCAAGGCGGGCAGATCATGAGGTCAGGAGATCGAGACTGAGACCATCCTGGTCAACATGGTGACACCCCGTCTCTAATAAAAATACAAAAATTTGCTGGGTGTGGTGGGATGCCACTGCACTCCAGCCTGGTGACAGAGTGAGGCTCTGTCTCAAAAAAAAAAAAAAAAAAAAAGTCCAGATGGTATAACATGAAAACTCCAAAGTTCCAATGAAACGTCTCCCCATTGCTGGCTTAGATTGCCCCGGCCTGGAAGTGGGCCAAGAGGGCCAGGGGACATGGCCCACCTGTTTCCCTGACCTGACCTTCTACACTCCCATGCAGCCTTTTGCTGAAGGAGCTAAGGTATGAACAAAAAGCAACTTTGCTTTCTCAGGAGTGTCCCTACAAATCAGTTGTAATGATACGTTCTTTCCTAGGCCTGGATGACATTTATAGCTTTTCCAGGCTCTTTTGGGTAACAAACAGGTTAAAGAGTTTTTTTGTTTGTTTGTTTATTTTACTTAAAAAATAGTCTCCGCTGTGCATGGTGGCTCATGCCTGTAATCCCAGCACTTTGGGAGGCCGAGGTGGGCGGATCACCTGAGGTCAGGAGTTCGAGACCAGCCTGGCCAACAGGGTGAAACCCCATCTCTACTAAAAATACACAAATTAGCCAGGTGTAGTGGCACGTGTCTATAGTCCCAGCTACTCCGAAGGCTGAGGCAAGAGTATCACTTGAACCTGGGAGGCAGAGGTTGCAGTGAGCTGAGATTGTGCCACTGCACTCCAGCCTGGGTGACACAAGATTCTGTCTCAAAAAAAAAAAAGTCTCTTTTTCTAGTTATTAGTCTTATCCAGTGTCATCTCAAAACTTCAAATGTCATTGACTTGAAACCCTCTCTCCTCCTCCAGCCTGGAGTCCGTGGGGTCACGGTCAGTGTCATTTCTCTTTCTCATACTGCCTCCTCCGGCCTTGCTGGCTGCTGTCCCTGGCCTGCTGCTGTCCTGGGGAAGCAGGGGAAGGAAGGTCAGGTTTCACTCCATGAGTTGAGTCTGGGAGTGACAGATTCCAAATGGTGCTTCTTTTCTCCTAGGTGTTTTCTCGTGCGTTCTGGAGAGTCTCCACCCCCAGGCCACCTGCTGTCCCCCAGAGGCTACACCTTCTCCAGCTGGACACTAGGGTACCTGCCCAGCCGCTTAGGCTCCAGAAGTCCTCCCCTCTATTGAGGTTATCCCATCCCTCCGGTGTTCCCTTTGGCTGGAACAAGGCTGTCTCCCTTTCTAGAGAACCACGGCAGGCCTACAGGAACTCTGAGAGTGCAAACCATGCCAAAGGCAGCCATCTCCAGGGGCTAGCCACCAACATGGAGTCAAATCCCAGTCCACGTGTCCCTCAAACTCCAGAAGACATGTCACACTTTCCGAAATGGTCCTCTTGAAGTGCTCCCTTATTTGGCATGAGCTGAAGATGGGGCACCCACCCCCTCCTGCCTGGGAAGAAGGGCAACGTCCAGCACACAGACAGTTGCTCCAAAGCAATCCTCTCACATTCCGCCACGGCCAGGACGTGGATGCCAAGCTAATCCTTCCCAATGTGGAGCTAACAGTTTTACAATCTCAGCATGAGCTGTGAAGGTGATCTAGCTCCTCCTGCCTTTAGAATGTGGAAGTACTTGGCACCTAATGTTTTGTTCTCAGCCTTTGGGGCCTCTGGTGAAACTGACACAGAAAGAGTCCCATTTTAGTAAAAGAAGTTATCATTATAAAAAGTAACCCCTTCCTCACGCCAGGATACCTGATGCACTGCAGGTGTCTCATGACAGCCTGACTTAGGAAGCGGGCTGTGTGAAGGTATAGCTAATATAGAATTTTTACATATTTATATATTTCGTCCTTATATTAATATGACTTTTTATACAAAATATATAGAGAATGGTTTGTTTTTTTTTTTTTTGAGACGGAGTCTCACTCTGTCGCCCAAGCTGGAGTGCAGTGGCATGATCTTGGCTCACTGCAACCTCCGCCTCCCGGTTCAAGCGATTCTCCTGCCTCAGCCTCCTGAGTAGCTGGGATTACAGGCACCCGCTACCATGTCTGGCTAATTTTTGTATTTTTAGTAGAGACGGGTTTCACCATGTTGGCAAGGCTGGTCTTGAACGTCTGACCGCAAGTGATCTGCCTGCCTTGGCCTCCCAAAGTGTTGGGATTACAGGCATGAGCCACTGCAACTACAATCCCAGCACTTTGCCAGAATTTTTGTTTTTGACGTTATGGATAATTAGATGTGCAGATAAATCTCTGTCAATATAGGCTACCTTAAAGTGTTGGGTGAAATTTTGTTTTGTTTTTGAGACAGAGTCTCTCTCTGTCACCCAGGCTGGAGTGCAGTATCGTGATCTCAGCTCACTGCAAACTCTGCCTCCCAGTTCAAGCGATTCTCCTGCCTCAGCCTCCTGAGTAGCTGGGATTACAGGTGCCTGCCACCACGCCGGGCTAATTTTTGTATTCTTAGTAGAGACGGGGTTTCACCATGTTGGCCAGGCTGGTCTCAAACTCCTGACCTCAGGTGATCCGCCCGCCTTGGTCTCACAAAGTGCTGGGATTACAGGCATGAGCCATCACGTCTGGTCAGAATTTTTGTTTTTGAAATTATGGATAATTAGATGTGCAGAGAAATCTCTGTCAATAGAGACTACTTTGAGTGTTGGGTGAAATTTCTCTCTTTTTTTTTTTTGAGACGGAGTCTCGCTCTGTCACCCAGGCTGGAGTGCAGTGGCACGATCTCGGCTCACTGCAAGCTCTGCCTCCTGGGTTCACGCCATTCTCCTGCCTTGGCCTCCGGAGTAGCTGGGACTACAGGCACCCGCCACCACACTCAGCTAATTTTTTGTATTTTTAGTAGAGACGGGGTTTCACCATGTTAGCCAGGATGGTCGCCATCTCCTGACCTTGTGATACGCCCACCTCGGCCTCCCAAAGTGCTGTGATTACAGGCATGGACCACCACACCCGCCTGAGTGTTGGGTGAAATTTTAATAAATACACAAAAAATACTTTAAAGCATGACTGAGCTAACAGGGAAGTAAAGGAGACCAGAATAACTGGAGGTCAGAAGGAGGAGGACCCAGAAAGAGAGCAGGAACGTGTTGTTTGCCCTGAGGGCCTATGCTAATCCCTGGTGGCCTAGAGGCTGGAATTTTTATCATTTTTGATTTTTTAGAGATGGAGTGTCTGCTATGTTGCCCAGGCTGGACTTGAACTCCTGGGCTCAAGCAATCCTCTTGCATCAGCCTCTCAAGTAGCTGGGACCACAGGTGAGCATCTGCACAACTGGCTTTAGAGTCTGGATTTTTAATTTGCCTCAGGCAGCCAAAAGGAAAGAAGGCCCCAGACAGGCACGGTGGGGTGGCAGATCAAGACTCTTGTGGACCGGGTGCGGTGGCTCATGCCTGTAATCCCAGCACTTCGGGAAGCCCAGGATGGTAGATTGCTGGAGGTCAGGAGTTCGAGATCAGCCTGGCCAACATGGCGAAACCCTGTCTCTACTAAAAATACAAAAATTAGCCAGGCATGGTGGTGCCCACCTGTAATCCCAGCTACTCGGGAAGCTGAGGCAGGAAAATCGCTTGAACCCGGGAGGCAAGAGGTTTCAGTGAGCCAAGATCGCACCTCTGCACTGCAGCCTGGGCAACAGAGCAACACTCCATCTCAAAAAACAAAAAACAAAACAAAACAAAACAACAACAACAAAAGACTCTTGCATAATGCTGGGGCCCCAAAGACAGGGAATTGCTGAGAATGAAAAACGCAACCCTGACCTTGCTGAGAAAAGGCTTTTCTGTCTCGACTGCAGTGTTGGGTGGGAGGCAGGGTGGAGAACCACCCCCGCAAGAGTCCTTAGCCACCAGCCGGAGAACCACCCACAGGAGTCCTTAACCACTAGCCCTTACCACGCGCATGAATTTGTGGCTGAAATCCATCCTAACTTCGAGGCCCAGAAATCCTAAGCTGAGAATTAATTTGAAGCGGTCAGTCTTGGGTTGGTAATGTCCCTAGGAACCTGGCAGAAGCAAATCAAGTCCTCTCTAGAAGAAGGATTTCTTTAAATCCTTCTTCTTTAAATCCAGGCCTCAAATTTAAAAAAAAATTAGCTGGGTATGGTGGCACGCACCTGTAGTCCCAACTATTTGGGAGACTGAGGTGGGAGGATCACTTGAGACAAGGAGGTCAGGTAAGGAATGATCACAACACTGCATTCTGGCCTGGGCATACAGTGAAACCCTGTCTTAAAAAACAAACAAACAAATAAAATAGCCAGGCCTCAAAGAATGTCCATAAAGTTCTGAAGTGCAGGGATATATCATACAAAAATCACTAAACACACAGAGAAATAAGCCACCATGAGCAAGTTAGTAAAAAACCGTAAACTGCAGAATCAGACCCACAGTTTTAAGTTCAGGTCTGACTCAGGTGCCTGGAAGTTTGCTCTGGGAAAGGCTGCTGGTGCTCCCAGCCCACTTGCAAAAGCACAGGTTAGGGGCTGGAACTTGCCCATGCCCCTGACTATATGTCACCAGCTAAGGAAGCTGATAAGCTCAGGGAAAAACAAGCTCGGAGGTTAATGTCACCAGGTATTTTAAGAGTACAATCACATCAAAAGAGACAAACTGTCCTACACAAACCGGAATGGAACAAGACAGATCAGGACTCTAAAATAAGCACAACAAAGATCCTCAGAGAGATAAGAGGATGATAATGAGGAACAAGCAGTGGCACAGAATCCAGTGGAAACACTGATATGAAGTTGGTGACAAACTCAGGAAAGTGGATAAAAACAATAATAGTTGGGCTGCGTGCGGTGGCTCATGCCTGTAATCCCAGCACTTTGGGAGGCCAAGGCGGGTGGGTCACCTGAGGTCAGGAGTTTGAGACTAGCCTGGCCAACATGTTGAGACCCCATCTCTACTAAAAATGCAAAAATTACCTGGGCATGGTGGCGGGCACTTATGATCCCGGCTACTTGGGAGGCTGAGGCAGGAGAATCGCTTGAACCCGGGAGGTGGAGGTTGCAGTGAGCCAAGACTGTGCCACTGCACTCCAGCCTGGACAACAGAGTGACACTCTGTCTCAAAAAAGAAAAAAAAACCAAAACAACAAGAATAGCTGAAAAATGAATAATGATCTAAATCAGCTGAAGAAATTTTCCTAGAAGGTACCGAAAAGTAATAAGGAGATGGAAAATACCAAAGAACGTTTAAGAGATATGGAAAATATTAGTGTCAATATCTGCCTAATACGAGTTTCAGAAAAAGAGAAAATGGATGTAAGTAAGAGAACGTATTAAAAAATTGTAAGTGTGTGTGTTTCTTGTTGGGAGCCAAAAAAAAAGAAAAAACGTGAAGTTTTAAAGATTAATCTTGAGACCAGCCTGGGCAATGTTGTGAGACCCTGTCTCTAAAAAAAATTAAAAACTAGCTGGGCGTGGTGGTATGCACCATATAGTTCCAACTACTTGGGAGGCTGAGGTGGGAGGACTGGTTGAGCCTGGGAGGTTGAGGCTGCAGTGAGCCGTGCACTCCAGCTTGGGTGGCAGAGCAAGACTCTATCTCAAATAATAATAATACAGATTAATGATAAAAAGACCGCAATGCAAAGGTCTTGTGGAACATCAAACAGAATAGAGAAGGAAAAACCTAAACTTTGAAATATTGTAATGAAATTTAGGAACATTGGCCTGTAGTCCTAGCTACTCTAGAGGCTGAGGTGGGAGAATTGCTTGAACCCAGGAGGCGGAGGTTGCAGTGAGCTGAGACCACACCATTGCACTCCAGCCTGGGTGACAGAGTAAGACTCCATTTCAAGAAAAAAAAAAGAAATTTAGGAACATCGAAGACCAAAAAAAAGAAAAAAAAATTCAAAAATCTTATAGAAAGAAGGAATATAGTTCACAAAAGAATAAAAATTGGATTGGCATTAATCTTCCTAACAGAAAAATTGGAGACAAAAAAGCAATGAAATTATATATATATACACACACACACACATACATAATTTTTTATTTTTTGAGACAGAGTTTCACTCTTGTCGTCCAGGCTGGAGTGCAGTGGCGTGATTCTCTGCTCACTGCAACCTCTGCCTCCTGGGTTCAAGTGATTCTCTAGCCTCAGTCTCCCGAGTAACTGAGATTACAGGCCCCTGCCACCATGCCCAGCTAAGTTTTGTATTTGTAGTAGAGACAGGTTTTCACCGTGTTGGCCAAGCTGATCTGCCCGCCTTGGCCTCCCAAAGTGCTGGGATTACAGGCGTGAGCCACCGTGCACGGCCATGAAATTATATTTCTAAGTGATGAAGGAAAAGAACCTAGAAAATTACATCCCACTAAACTATTATTTAAATGTGAAGAAGCAAAGATGATACGATACTTTCAGACATACAAAGTTCTAACAAGTTTAAAACCAGCACAAAAGCCTCTTTGAAAACTCTCCTGGAATAAGTACTTTTATACTTAATATAAGTATATTATACTTAAAATACTAAGAACTTACTAAGCACATGAAAAGATGTTCAATACTATTAGTTATTACAAAAATTCAAATCAAAAGAATAACAAGATACCACTTATACCTACTAGGAGATGACAGCCATAATTTAAAAAATGAAAAATGACAAATGCTGATGAGAATGTAGAAGAACTGGAACCCCTTTTTTTTTTTTTTTTTTTTTTTTTTTTTTGAGACGAAGTCTCGCTCTTGTTGCCCAGGCTGGAGTGCAACAGCGCGATCTCAGCTCACTGCAACCTCTGCCTCCCAGGTTCAAGCGATTCTCCTGCCTCAGCCTCCCCAGTAGCTGGGATTACAGGCGCCTGCCACCACGCCCGGCTAATTTTTGTGTTTTTAGTAGAGATGGGGTTTCACCATGTTGGCCAGGCTGGTCTCGAACTCCTGACCTCAGGTGATCCGCCTGCCTCTGCCCCCCAAAGTGCTGAGATTACAGGTGTGAGCCACCATGCCCAGCCTGAGCCTCCATGCCTGGCCGGAACTGGAACTCTTATGCATTGCTGGTGGGTATGTAAAATGGTTCAGCTACTATGGAAAAGAGTTTGGTAGTTCCTCAAATGAAATGTAGTTAGCATAAAATCCAGCAATTCCACTCCCAGGTCTGTACCTAAGAGGACTGAAAACATACATCCACACAAAAACTTGTGCACAAGTGTTAATAGGAGCATTATTCATAATTGCTAAAAAGTGGAAACAGTCCAAGTGTCTATCACCCGATGAATGGGTAAACTGTGACATATCCATACAATGAGATATTATTTGGGGTATAGATATCTGGATATTAAATTTAATACTAGACAGGGAAAATGTCACAAAGAAAAATGAGGGACATCATATTGGTAAAAGAACATTATATCAGTGCTTGCTTCAGCGGCACATATACTAAAACTGGAATGATACAGAGATTAGCACCACCCCTGCGCAAAGATGATACACAAAATTGTGCAGCGTTCTATATTTTTTAAAAAATATTATATCTCCCGGGCGCGGTGGCTCACGCCTGTAATCCCAGCACTTTGGGAGGCAGAGGCGGGTGGATCACGAGGTCAGGAGATCGAGACCATCCTGGCTAACACAGTGAAACCCCGTCTCTACTAAAAATACAAAAAATTAGCCGGGCGTGGTGGTGGGCAACTGTACTCCCAGGTACTCAGGAGGCTGAGGCAGGAGATTGGCGTGAACCCGGGAGGCGGAGCTTGCAGTGAGCCGAGATTGTGCCACTGCACTCCAGCATGGGCGACAGAGCGAGATTCCATCTCAAATAATAATAATAATATTATTATTATTATTATATCAAAAAGATATAACCATAATGAACATATATGCATCCAAAAACATTCACGGTTCTTTGAAAAGTTATTGAGAAGGAAGAATGGCAAGACTGATTAAGAGTCAGATGATGCATCGAAACAAGGCACAGCATGAAAACAGAAGCAAACACACTGGAGGTTACAATCAATTAAAAATTGGCCGGGCACCGTGGCTCACGCCTGTAATCCCAGCACTTTGGGAGGTCAGGTGGGCAGATCCCCTGAAGTCAGGAGTTCATGACCATCCTGGCCAACATGGTGAGACCCTGTCTCTACTAAAAATACAAAAATTAGCTGGGTGTGGTGGTGCATTCCTATAATTCCAGCTACTTGGGAGGCTGAGGCAGGACACTAGCTTGAACCGGGGAGACAGAGGTTGCAGTGAGCCGAGATCAGACCATAGCAGTCCAGCCTGGGCGACACAGCAAGACTCCGTCTAAAAAAATAAATAAATAAGTAATCCTACAAATACACTTCTTTTTTTGAGATGGAGTTTCTCTTTGTCGCCCAGGCTGGAGTACAGTGGCACGATAGCAGCTCACTGCAACCTCTCTCTGCCTCCCGGGTTCAAGCGATTCTCCTGCCTCAGACTCCCCAGTGGCTGGGACTACAGGAGCCCATATCCACACCCAGCTAATTTTTGTATTTTTAGTAGAGATGGGGTTTCACCATATTGGCCAGGCTAGTCTTGAACTCCTGACCTTGTGATCCGCCTGCCTTGGCCTCCCAAAGTGCTGGGATTACAGGCGTGAACCACTGCACCCAGCCACAAATAAACTTCTAAAAGAGTTTCTGGGCCAGGTGCGGTGACTCACGCCTGTAATCCCAGCACTTTGGGAGGCTGAGGCAGGCGGATCACCTGAAGTCAGGAGTTCAAGGCCAGCCTGACCAACATGGTGAAACCCCATCTCTACTAAAAATACAAAATTAGCCAGGCATGGTGGCACACGCCTGTAATCCCAGCTACTTGGGAGGCTGAGGCAAGAGAATCACTTGAACCCAGGAGGCGGAGGTTGCAATGAGCTGAGATTGCGCCACTGCACTCCAGCCTGGGCAACAAGAGCAAAACTCTGTCTCAAAAAAAAAAAAAAAATTCTGTCATTGTTGATCATATATAGGTATTATGGGAAAAGCACTTGATCTAATTCAGCGCATGCATATAATCAACCTTCCCAGAAAATTAGGAATAGAACTTTCTTAAGTTCATAAAAACTATATACCAAAAATCTAGAATAACACCATCCTTAATGGAGAAGACTTAGATCAATAAGGAACAAAGATTTTAATGTTCCCATTAAAATATGGAACAAAGATGCCACGTTCCCCATTACTGTTTAGCATAGTATTAAAGGACCAGTCTAATGCTCTAAGACGTAAAATGTGAAATTGAAAGAGGAGATAAAACTGTCATTATTTGTACATTATATGATCACTTCCATTGAAAAGCTAGTAAAATAATCAGATGAATTATTAGAATAACAGTTTAGCAAAATTGCTCGATATAAAATCAACTTTAAAGGATCAATAGCATTCCTTAGTACCAACAATAAATCAGAAAACAAAGAATAAGATACAATTCATGGAAGCAACAGCTATAAAATACCTCGAAATTAATATATAAACAAGACCTTCATAGAGAAGTTTTAAAAGCTTTATTGGAAGACACAAAAAAAATCTGTAACTTAAAGATTCTATTATTCTTCTTAAACCACTATATAGGCCCCAAAGAATGTGAATTTAATGCAAATTCAATCCTAATCAATATTTCAACTGGATTTTAAATGGAAGTGGAAAATTTTATTCTAAAATTTCTATGGAAGAATAAAAATCCATAATTAGCTGGGCCAACATAGAGTAACAAAGACGGGGACTCTCTTTACTAGATACTAAGGCATATTTTTAAGTCTATGGTAATAGAAAACAGTAAGATACTGGTGTGGAAATAAAAAGAACAATGGAACAGAGCCCAAAAATAGATCTTTCCATATATGAGAACTGGATATATGATAAAAATGGTACCACAAATTAATGGGAGAAATATTGATCTGTTAGGTGGTATTGGGAAAACTGCTTCACTAAATACAGAAAAATAAAGCTGGATCCCTACATTACACAGTATACAAAGGTGGATGCCAGATGGATTGTAAATGAAAAGGTGAAGGCAAAACTATAAAGCTCATAGGAGAAAATGCTGGAGGATATCTTTGTGGTGTAGGGCTAGGGAAATATTTCATAAGTAAACTGCCCAAAACACAAACATAAGACAAAAAGTAGATTAATTAAAAAGGATTTCGTTCAATAAAGGATGTCACAGACAAAGTTAAAAGACAGGTAACAGACAAAAGTAACTGACACATCTAAAACTGGTAAGAGATTAATGTCCACAACAAGAAACCAAAATGCAATTGCACGATGAGCAAAGATCAACACGCAGTTGACAGAAGGGAAGACTAACTATCACCTTGTTTTTGGTAATAAGGAATTGAAGATAACCTAGTTACCCACTGTGAGGGGAACAGGTATGTATAATGTGGTGCGTGCACACTAGGGAATCCGTGTAGCAGTAAGAAGCAACACCCTAAATGTACGCATAGCAACGTGGATGTATCTAAGTAAGTAGAAAACAGTAAACATGGCTACCACAGTACTATTGGTATGAATTAAAATTGTATACACACGACACAACACTACTTACTTCGAAGAATGCCTGCGAAACAAGGGGCACATATCAAAAAAGTTAGAGTGGTGCCTGTGGGACAGAGCAGAGTGGGGACTAAGGAAGAGGAGAAACTTCATGGATAATGAAGTGAGGGAATGAGTTCTCCAGCTGACTGATGACAATGTGCTATGAATCAAGGCATATGATTGACGCATTACTTTGCATTTGAGTACAAAGTAAGAAATTATCCACAGCACATACTCGCATGTAGTTTGAAACTACAGCAGGCATTTGACTATAGAAAGAGAGACTGAGGCTGTCACGGACTCCCTGCGGAGCCAGGCCCTTGGAATGGCAGAGTGGAGACAGAGCTGGATCTTGGTGACGTGGAATCACTCCATGACGCTACATCTAAACCAAATATCTGTAAGACCACTCAGATGAACCAGATTCCCTTGACTTTTTCAGCCAGGGGTTTCTGATACCTGTGATGAAAGAATTTTAACTGCTATCTATCTATGCCTGTACTTTAAGCAATAACTACACCAGATTTTTAAACAACACTATGGCTTCACTTCTATACTTTTGGGAAATTAGGGGAGCAAGACGAAGCATACATTTAAGAAGTAAAAAGACAGAGGAGAGACAGAATAATAGTAGCCACCATTTATAAGCTCTTATTATGTGCTAGGCACTGTGCTAGGTGCTTTCCATACCTTGTCTCTAATCCGACCAATACACCCGCCTGGGGTCTCACCCCTGTGCAGATGAGGAAATGGGCTTGAAAGGGAAAGCGTCTTGTCTAGAGTGACACAGCTTCACAGTGGGGTCTTGTGAACCCGTCTGTCTGCTGTCAACCTGTTCTTCACACCACGCCACCCTACTAGAAAAGATGATGGGGAAATGAAGAAGGGACAAACACAGAGACAACAGAGACACAGAAGAGGCAAATACACAGAGGGAGAAAAAACAAACTACGCCTAGGCACATATGGAGGCCCGATGTTTTCTGAAGAACGGACACCCATGACACGTCAGAGTATGCCTGCCTGAGAAGAGACTGTCATTGTCCTTTAAAAGGTGTACGATCTCATGATTAACCCAACCCTTACCAAATTCAAAGGCATCTCTTCTGCCCGTTCCCAATTATCAAAACCTTAAATAAAAGACTGATTTTCTCAAGTATTTCTCAAAGCTTTGTATGTATAGGAAGCAGTGGTACACATTTCAGACAGACTCAAATCTAGTTAGATCATTTATTGTCCATGGCAAAGCAAACTTTTGACTGTTTGCAATATATACAGATGGCAAATATATAAACGATATTGTGGTTTACCTCTGATAGTAACCTAAGCACCCATCAATAAGTGATATCACAACTATAGAATACTATGAAGCTGTTCAAAGAACCAGACAGACCTCTATGTGCTGATGTGAAATAACCTCCAAGATAACTGAAAAATGCTAGATACAGTGTATACGTATGCTAAGTTTATTTATTTATTTATTTTTGAGACGGCGTCTCACTCTGTCGCCCAGGCTGGAGTGCAGTAGCACGATCTCGGCTCACTGCAACCTCTGCCTCCTAGGTGCAAGCGATTCTCCTGCCTTAGCCTCCTGAGTAGCTGGGATTACAGACATGAGTCACCATGCCCAGCTGATTTTTTTGTATTTTTGGTAGAGACGGGGTTTCACCATGTTGGCCAGGTTAGTTTCTAACTCCTGACCTCAAGTGATCCGCCTCCCTTGGCCTCCCAAAGTACTGGGATTACAGGCATGACCACTGTGCCTAGCCAGGTATGCTAAGTTTATATTACAAACTCAGATACGTATCACTGCTTATAACTGGAGAAATTGATAGGTGGTTGCTCTGGGGAAGGAAGATGGGATTGTGGGTAAGATTTGCTTTGCACGCATTAGATCCCCATGTACTTTGTACTTTTTTCCCCTACCAAATATAACTTTTTTTTTTTTTTAAAGACACAGGGTCTTGCTCTGTTGCCCAGGATAGATTACTGCAACCTCAACCTCCTGGGCTCAAGTGATCCTCCCACTTCAGCCTCCCAAAGCAAAACAAATCTTTATTTTTAAATCAAGCAGTTTATTGTGTTTTCCCTCCAAGCCAAATCCAATGTTAGGATCTACTAAGGTCTGAGTGGAAGAAATACATTCCTTTCTTTCCCCTTCTTCCAGTGATGAGACAGGGAGAGGCCCCTTCCCATTTCTTTCTCCCTCTTTTCAACCAAAAAGTCACCTATTTGTTACACAAAACAACTTACTTACTCATGTTATCCAGGTTCATTGAAAATATATTTAAGTAAAAGGAAAAATAAGAAAAAGTACTGATACCACCACTCTACATTTTGGGGTGTTATGTTCTTTTGTATATTTTCTAATGCATGTATGTACACACATATGTATTTACACTTACAATCACCCAGGATGGAGTGCAGTGGCGCGATCTTGGCTCACTGCAACCTCCGCCTCCTGGGCTCAAGTGATTCTTGTGTCTCAGCCTCCCGAATAGCTGGGATTACAGGTGTTTGCCACCATGCCCAGCTAATTTTGTATTTTTAGTAGAAGACGGGGTTTCTCCATGTTGGTCAGGCTGATCTCAAATTCCCGACCTCAGGTGATCCACCGGCCTTGGCCACCTTTTAAAATTTAATGTTAATTGGAATTACATGAAAAAAGTGACCCATGCCAAATACTCTAGGTAAAATATGTTTTAAAAAAAAATTTAACAATGACACCTTTATATGTTAACATACAAGATGGTGAAAACACAGTTAAGTATAGTTAAATTACATAACCACAGGGTTTTCTCGTTTTGGCAAAAATCATCTTGAGGAGTACTGCTGACAACAACACACTTTTGCAAAACTGTCCTTAAATGTTAGCTAAAGGCACTTACAGTCCCCCTCATCCCCTAATGTATGAGGTCCATGTCTTTTTTAACTTCTTAGTTCTTTTCATCTTCATGACAACACACTGAAAATACACTTAAAAGGAAAAAATAAAAAGCACTCATACCATCACTCTATTTTGGGGTGTTATGTCCTTTTTGATATTTTTTCCTACAACCCCATTTCAGCAAGAACCTTTTTGATATTTTCTATGCAGATCACACGTACACTTATATTCACTTTCTCTGACAAGTTGCTTTCTCTCTCTTCATCGTTCTCCCACCCCTTACCTGAATTTCTTTTTTTTGTTGTTGAGACGGAGTCTCGCTCTGTCACCAGGCTGGAGTGCAGTGGTGCAATCTCGGCTCACTGGTTCTGACTCCCTGGTTTAAGCGATTCTCCTGTCTCAGCTTCCCGAGTAGCTGGGATTACAGGCACATGCCACCATGCCCAGCTAATTTTTGTATTTTCAGCAGAGACGGGGTTGCACCATGTTGGCCAGGATGGTCTCAATCTCCTGACCTCGTGATCCGCCCGCCTCTGCCTCCCAAAGTGCTGGGATTACAGGCGTGAGCCACCACGCCCGGCCTCTTACCTGAATTTCTAAGGTTGAATTATTTTTGTATGATTCCCACATCTACATTTCAAGTCCTGACCGTAGTAGCACCATCAAATACACACATACCCTATTACCCAAAAAACCTAGAGTGAGTCACAATCAAGGACTCCCACGCTCTGCCTTCCTCTACTTGTCCAAACATGCCCCTCACAGCAAATGCTCCACCTTCCTGATTTGGCCAAATTCCACCAGTTCTTGGAGGCCCACCTCAAGTGCCATCCACTGCACTGAGTCTTCCCACATTACTCCAGTCCCGTTTCTTCCCCACTGTGAACTCAAATGTCAGGTAGCAATGGAACACAAATGGACCAAAATGTAGCTTTGTGACAGATTTTGAACCATTATCTTTTAACTTATCATGTGACTGCAAATTGTGAGTATACTGGGAGGCAGGAGACTGGGTCCTTTACTTCTTGTACCCTATAAACCTAGCACAGTGTGATATGGACAGCAGATACTCCCCAACAGCTGAGAGTGTGATGTTAGAACCCAAGGTAACTCAATAACACAACAGACACGAGGATAGTATGTACATTCCTCTTTATTTAATACAACAACAAACACGTAACATATACAAAAAGAAAAAACACTCATTAAAAGGCCCTGTCACAAAGGATAGACAGGAAACATCTACACTGAATCAAATAAGGCTCTTGCTTCAAAAACAGGGGTTTGCTAGCTACACCTGGAATATGAGCAAGGCTGTTGCAAAAAAATTAAAAAAAAAAAAAAAACACAAAAATCCCTGCACTGAAGGAGTATATTCATGGGGGTAATTTACTAAATTCACAGGTCCATATTTAGGAATGTTTATGCCCTCTCACATATCCAAAATTCATCAGGGTTTTATGAAATGTGTGATTTTTTTTTGGTTAAAAAAATTTACCTGCCCTTCTTTTTTCTTAGGAAGGAGTGATAAGAGCTTTCTAAAAACTAGAGACAAGCAAACCATCCAAAGTGTGAAATGTTTTACCATTAAAGTTCAAAGGGCACGTAGAACTGAGAATGCAAAGGCAAGATGGCAGTGGGAAGAAGAACGTGACTTCTGCGTCATTTCCTGGTAGCTAGCGTTTAGTTAACCAAATGGAAATACCTCGGCTCAGTGCAGGGTTCAGTAGCAGCAGTTTGTCCATATTCCTGCTCCGATTTGAGCTGGAAATTAAACAAGCACCAGTTCATCTCAAAAGAGCCTTATACAAACACACACGCACACATACCCGCACCCATTCACATGTCATCACCACCCCCTTTTATTTAAATTTATTTTTTTTTTTTTTTACTAAAATACAAAAAAGGGAGACAGGTATATTTACAAAAATCCATGGCTGGTACAGTACATAATTTTTAAGACACACTAAATGCTACAATCTTTCAGGTCCTGAGATTATTACAAACATCAACTCAAAGCTTGTGTTCAGGTCCAGTTTTTAAAGGAGGAAAAAAAAATCCCAAAATATTAAGTCACACACTTATTTGAAATACAGTATATCCCTTCAAGTTAGCAAAAACACACCTCCCTATAAGCAAATGCAATACAGTAATTCTTGTCTTTCACCTAGAGGACCATCAACTCTTTAGGCTCCTTCAAGATTGGTTTTGAAACATGTTGGCATCTATGTCAAGTGTGGAGGTGGCTAATGTATGAGGAAGATGTAACTGGAGGGAAGTTCCTCTGCAGAGTGAACATTCACTGTATAAATACATCCTGTTTTTCCTTGGGCTACCAAACAAGTCTTTCCCTTATCAAAATTCACACCGAAGTATGTGTTTACCCAGACTAAAAATCAGAATCATTATTTCCAATCAGTTATAGCAAATAGGTCTGGAGTTCGGTAATCATTTTTACAACTGCAAATGAACTTTCTTGCTTGTAATAAAAGAGAGAAAACATCCATTACTTAGTTACCTTGGTAGACTTGGATTAATATATTATTTGGGGCACAAAATTTTCACCAGCTGGAGATCTATTTTCTTCTTTTAAGTTTGAGGGTGTTTAACAAGTGAAATCCAAGGGCAAGCCCCAGATTTACATACTCTCTGAAAGACCAATTTGGTATTTTTGATACTTTCTGAAATAAAGTAAGTTTTCAATGACAATCAACAAAAGGGCAGTGCAAAGCTTGAATCTTTTCTCTGGAGGCTTGCCATGGATCACAGGAAATACTTGTAGGCTGGGAACCTACCTCTAATGGGGAAAGGCCCATTGATTATCTGAAGGTCTCAGAAGGTATATGTAACTAATTACAAAGGCATAGCCAAGACTCAAAAATAGGTGACCAAAGTTGGCCAACTTTCCAATTAACTATGTATAACAGTAATACTTTTGTCAACTGAGAATAAGTTCTTTTTAATTCCTCTAGACAATATTGGGGTAACCCTTGGTAATTTTGCAGGTATAGTAAAGAAAACCCAATTTTCTGACAGAGGGCACACTAACCCTACAAACAGCAGGGATAAGCAAAAAAGGAGGAAAGCTTATGGCTGCAAGCACAGCAAACACAAGATAGTTAAGATCTGACAATTTAAGGGCAGGTTGCCACACAGAAAAACATGTCAACTGGCTGGTCTTGGTTGATACTCCTAAATGTGCTTTGAGGGCAGACGGTGTTGTTAACTTCAAAAACAGAAGTATTTCCATGTTATCTTGGGTAATAGTTATCTTGTTTGTATTTATTAGGTTTCCATTAGTGCTCTGTTATAAAATATTTAAAACACAGATTTACAATAAAATCATTATATTATTATTAGCAAAGTGGGAACAAATAATGTGTAGAAAATTTTGTGAGGAACAAACATAAAATTTGATTCATATGGCCTGTTTGCAAAAGTAGGCTTATTTCAGGGGGAGTATGAAAATAAGCAAGGCAGACTATTATGAGAAATAGCCTCTAATGAAGATCTCCATCTCTTTAGAATAACCTTGAAAAGTAACAAGAGGAAGTCATGAAATGCCGCATTATACAGTAGCAAAATCTATTTTTTAATACAAAGGAGAAGAGGAAAAAAAAGAACACCTCTAGTCCCAGTGATGACCACTGATGACTGTAAGTCCTAGACACAGAGACCCTAATAATACTACTGCGATTCTGAAAAGCATTCCTGACTTGTTTAACAGTTTGGAAAAGTGTCCGAAGTTTAAGTACTAACGCACTATGAAATGGAGATACACAGGAAAGACTGAAAAGTAGAACTATCACAATATAAGGAAATTAAAGATCACAAGTAGCTACTTTCAAGCAAGTGGTACTTTGAGAGTCTATGAGAAAAATAAAATTTAATATCACATTATTCAAAGGCAGTCTGATTAAAATCCTGAGAGTCCCTGCCTGAATCCTCTGCTGGGATGTAAAGTCTTCTAAAGCAGGCCTGCACAGGGCTTTACTTCTCAGTTCTATGGGGACACAGGATAGGTTGCCAGAGTGAGTGAGAAGAGGATGTAAAAGACAATTTAACCTTTCCTCCCCAGACTCCTAATATACAATTCATATTCTAGTGTAGCAATATGATTAAGAGCTCTGAATAAAGAATGAAGACTAAAGGAAACCAAGAAAGAAGAATTCAACATTAATATTCAAAGCTATTTTTAATTAGAGTTTGATCACCCATTCAGCTCTATAAACCTGAACATTGTGTCATATAATCTAAAACTCTCAGAATTGAACACTGGGATGATTTTATCATTAACAACCCAAAGACATTCCATGATACTAACTACAGCTTTGCACCAGTGAAAGCATCTGTAGATAGTTTTTGAATACAGAGTTCACATTTTACGATAGATGAACACACAAAGTATCTCTATTTTATGCTTCTGTTAATTTTCCCTAGAAGAACAAACACACATTCAACAAAAACCCTTATGCCTTATTTCTTTGGGTCTTAACATTTGTTATCTGAGAATGGAAAAGACAGGGACATGTGAAAAAAAAAAGGAGTATGTTTATCTGCATAGTTGATATTTAGAGGCTACTAAGGCCTTATCTGGAAAAAGCAACAAAAATCCAAAAAGTGACTTACAGACACACACACACACACACACACACACACACACACCCTATCATTAGAGATTCAGTGGACCTTAGCCAATTCTGGAAATTAACCAGATGCTTTGTCTGCTTGGACCTGGTGCTTTCTACTAACTCACTTGAACCTGGTAACACTGGTTCCTCATCCCCAACATTTTGCTTTCCTGACCCTGAATATGTGCTACAATTTAAATTTACACACACACTCCAACAATCGTTGCTCAGCATTTAGCCCCAACTAAAACTGCAGCATCCATTTTTCTTTTCCTGTTGCTATTATTTTAAACGATAACGGGAAAATTCTATGTAGTAGTACTACTTAATATACAGGGATGGAAGGTGGGATAAAATGATCTTCGTCTCCTCCTGGGAGCTGGGGAAAACATGTTTCCTTCTACCCTGACCTTCCCCACCCCGACCCAGTTAGAAAGTGAATCCTGCCTTCCGTCTCCCATTTTCTTACAACCTGAGCAGCTGATGGCTCCACCTCTTTCATGGGTTGAAGAAGCATGAATTACAAAGGTGCAATGGCTACAAGAGTATCCAGCTGACTGTGTGTAGTGCTCACCCCTTCAGTGCAGAGCTGGATACACCTACAGTTAATGGAATTAGTACACAATCTCTGATTTGCAAGAATGAGACATCATACTCATTCTTAGAAAGTTAAAAAGCTTAGCTATCCGTCCTCAAACAAGCAATAAAAGGAAATTAGACTGAGAAGATGGAAAAGTGAGACAGTTAAAACTTCCAGGATCATTTATCAACTCCAATAACCAAGCATCATAACTTTATCTAACTTTAGCTCCACAACCTTGACGAAAAATCACAGTAACACCGTAAAAGGCTAAAAAAAACTACTTAAACTTAGTGTTATTTCTCTCCCTTGTTAACCTGAAACTAAACATTTTATCCCACCTCAAAGATAATGTTTAAATAACAAATATGTATCTAAATTAAAATTCCAGTGATTTTTTTAAATTTAAAAACCATAGGGTGCTTTTTATACTCATTATAAGGAAAACATTTTTTAGCCTCTGCAGGAAGATGATAATACTATTTTTAATTATATAGGACATTTTACAAAAACTCAAAATATTTTTGAAATAGTAAAGTCTCTGATATCCCTGGGAGGTAGGTGAATATGATTATACCCAATTGTCTAATGGGTAATCTGAGGCACGAAGGTTAAACAATATTCCCCCTAGACATAGTCATTCAAGAATAACACTCGTGAATTCCAACTGCCTGGTAAGTTCTGCTATCAGGTAACACTACCAGGAGCTTCTGCTTTCTCCTTTTAAGCCACTAGTCTCTTCTTCTTCCCAATTAGAATGTATTGAAAGGGGGGCACTTACTAGGTATATTTGTACTGGGTCTGAGGGATGGTTCAACTTGGTCTCCCTTAACATGTCACATCTATTTGTTTTCAACAAAAAATCGATGAATCTTAGATACTGAAAATTATGTTATTTTGCTCAAGGGAGAAATCTAAATAACCATAAAATCAGATTAAGCCAAATGTAATTATCTAGCAAATAAAAAGCAAATGGAAAATCTCTCAAGAATGCTATAGATTATATGTTTTCCTCAGCATCTGAAGTCTTTCTACTTCTGAGTTTATTAACCTTTTAACAGATAGATATGCAGCTATATGATTTCTTCAAAAATCATTTTCCAGAAGAAAATATGATACATTTTTCATGTTGACAGTTGCTAACCTGCTTCTAAACTTAGACACCAAACTGCGGTTCTAACGCTAGCCTTGTCACATGTTTAGTCTAGCGCACCTTACCAATGTGACTTGCAAGGTACTCTTGTTATTCCAATGCTGTCTCCTATATTACTTATGCCAAGTTTAAAGAGCACAGAAAAGTGGGTTATATCCAAGAATAGTCAATGATTCACTAAGTTTATTTTACTTGTAGTAACTGACGTGTGTGTGTGTGTGTGTGTGTGTGTTGTTATTGTTAACTTCTACAAGCAGATATTCAAAGGGCGAAGGTGGCCTCTTGTGAAAAGATACTTTTCTATACTTTTATTTTCTTTTTTTGAGACGGAGTCTTGCTCTGTCGCCCAGGCTGGAGTGCAGTGGCGCGATCTCAGCTCACTGCAACTTCCGCCTCCCGGGTTTATGTCATTCTCCTGCCTCAGCCTCCCAAGTAGCTGGGACTACAGGCGCCTGCCACCACGCCTGGCTAATTTTTTGTATTTTTAGTAGAGACGGGGTTTCACCATATTAGCCAGGATGGTCTCGATCTCCTGACCTCGTGATCCACCTGCCTCAGCCTCCCAAAGAGCTGGGATTACAGGCGTGAGCCACCGCACCCGGCCGAAAAGATACTTTTCTAATCCACCCACTTTAATCAACTAAAAGCAATGGAATAAACAAGGCAGAAGTTTTGCAAACATGGAAAGGGGAGTGTTTGGAAAGGATGCAATGGTACAGCAGCTCCTAGTTTTATATATATGTAATGTATGTATCTTACACATATATCCATATACATAGAAAGCAAAGGAAGAGGGTTACACAGCATGACATGATGTTGACAAGTGTGAGATTCTTCCTCCTGAATCCCCTGACTTATCAGTCTGTACTTTAAGATAATGTGACAACAGTTTCAAAAGAGAGGAAAAAAGAAAGAAAAAAGGCACTTAACAAAGACAAAGGCCTGAATTGAGCATGTTTTAGAGGAGTAATATAAGCATTTTACCAGAGCTAAGAAATGATTTACAAAGAGTTAAACTTTTCCCCTTAAAATTTTATAAAATAAAATTGCATAACATGTTGTGATCATTTATCTACTACTGCACTTTTCTTCTGCTTCATTATTACAAACACAAAAGCCCCCTCAAAAGCAAAAAACAACAATCATACATGCACAATAGAAAGTAAAAGTGCCTCTTTTGAGAACATTAGGTCAGCAGAATTACAGTGCTGAAGCACAGGAAAGTTCTCAAGTTTGGCCTGATTATAGATTTTTCTCATTCTTCTATTTCCAACTTTAAAAAAAAACAAAAACAGAAACAAAACAAAAAACAAACAAAAAAAAAGCAAACAAATTCCAAACCTAAATAATAAAAACAACAAAGGGACCAGTGTGCTTTTACGGTACACTCCTAAAATAAAGTATCCTAATTCTATACATGAGTCAAACTAGAGGACAAAACATCCTAGAAATAAAGAACTGTAAATTAAAGTCAACCAATACAGGCAAAGTTCATTTTACAAATGTAGCAGCAAATATGATAGATCACTGGAGTTCTAAGAGATGATCCCAAAGGACGCAGAGTTCTCATAACCAATGGCAGTTTGAACAACAGCAGAATTTTCGTTTCAGAAAATGTCTTGAACCAAGTATAGGTGGAAAGGGGTGTGGGAGAGGGCAACCAGAGGACAAAGACTAGATTAGAGGTGCCTGCCCTTTCCAACCCTGGGTAGTAAACAATTTAGATCTGCTTTGGGAAAAAAATATCCTGGGTTAAAAATCATGTCCAATAAGTTGTTTTCAACCAGGTGTCAAACCCACAGTATTCCAACACATATGTGCCCGGTTCTTCCCCTTACCTTCCTGATTCAATAAACCCTATTCAATGTCCATGATATGAAAAATGTAATTTGGGCTAACAACATCCATCAGAGGGGGGGTGGGCACAAAAGAATGCACTATCACCATCTTCTAATTTCCGCAAAGTATCAGAATTTTATGACTACAGATTAGCCTCATTTCCTTTCCCAAAACCTTTTTCTTCAGGCTGTTTTAAAATCACGATTTCATTTACCCTCTGACCTCAAAAGCATACAAGAATTATAATTGAATTATAATGGAAATTATTGCTTGCATTTATTCTGGATGCTCTGAATGAGCTTGACACTTTGCTCCCAGTCTCCAACTGAGGCTCAGCACAGCTATCTCCGAGGACAACCCTGCTGACTGTTATTGCTTGTGAATACTGAGGATTAACTTGTATGTACAGTAACAGCTTATATATCAGTGAAGGCAATTTAAAATATAAAACAGTTGAAAACAAACAGCTTAATCTTCCTGAATCAAGAATCCCAAGGAGTGGGATATAATCATGTGTGCTGATTATTTTTGCATTTGGATGTTGCTAATGCTCTTCAGAAATACACGTTGCTCTATAGATATCCTTTCCAATGACTCACCATTTTAAAAAATAACATAATTTGATTTTTAAGTGCAAAAATACAGTATGAGTCACAAGTCTCTGTGCTAAAAAATAACCAATTTATATGTTTGTTTTTAGTAATAAAAACGGTAAAGACAGGTGACCATAAAGTATGGGCACCTTTTTCAATGTTATGATCTAGGAAAGAAATAGATTACTATTTACATGTAGAAACTCTCTGATCATACTTTATCTATACAGAAATACAACGATGTTTGACTGATTCATACAACATAAAAGGGGGGTCCTGACTGAAATGAATGTAAGTCGTCAGTGCAGGTGGGGGTTTAAGGTAGGGATCTGACAGTAGTCCTCAAGGAATCAAGACTAAAGAGAACACAGAAGAATCTCCACATTGTATTCTTGGAGCCAAGGGCCTTCAGATATTTTTACTGGTTAGTATAAAATGTTACAGGGAAAAGAACTGATTATCTTGTTCTTTTCTAATGATGACAGTCACCAGGGATCTTCATATGGCATGATTCAGAATTGATGGTTTTAAGAAATTCAAATGATTTTTTGACTCAAACTAGTCATTTATATGAATGTATGTGTGTATGTATATATACATACAGACAAACATATATACAAGTATTCAGGAAGAGAAATTAATACGCACTTCGACTTCTCTTGTGGTATGAGAAGTAAAACAAAGGCTACCTTCCCAAAGGAAAATCCCATCACTTCCCCTAGTATGAAGCAAAGACCTTTTTATTCATATTTCGTAAAAGCAAGAGGTCCACTACATTTGAAAAAATTAAAAAAATTGGGCAAGCTTCCTTAATTGAAACCAAGCAAATCTTCATCAAACATACTGAATTCAAGTCAAACCTCTCTGCAACATCCTCCCAGTATCCTTCCAAAATATCTACTGGGGTTCATACTACATCCATATTTGTTTTATTGATAAACTAAATTCTTAGAGTCAAGAAATTATATCAGTGATTCCTTTGAAATAATCCTTTCCCTTTACTGTAACAAGTTCTTGGAACTAAAGTTTTCAGTTATTTATTAACTTTTTCGCTATGAAGCAAGCCAATGTGACTTTGAAGTCAAAATATAGGCATACAGATCTGAACCGATCTGTGGTTATTTATTCACAGTCCTGTAGGGTATCTGGGACTTTTGTGTATAAAAGAAAAAAGGGCCTGGTTAATACTCTTAATTGAGTAAATCTAATGGTATAGGGTAATGTATAATAAACACATATGCAATAAATCTTGTCACTACCAGTCTATTTTTTTTAGGTTAGTGTCATTATAAATGGATGAAGCTTATACCATTTAGAGTTTACACCATTCTCTGATATAGTATGAAAATATTCAGAAGCTTAAAAAACTAGAATAATGCGGCAAAAAAACCCATCAAATCAAATGTATCCAAGGAGAACCATAAATTTTTCCCTTAACATCCTTTGTTGAATATGCTATTTGCATAAGGAAGCTATAATAACTAAGGAGTCTTATTTTCTGCAGATTTACTCACATACCAATACACTGAGTAAATAGTGAAGCTTTAGGATCTCAAATGCTCCAAACAATTTCACTACACTGGATACAGGGAGTAAAAATATGTCGTGATTGTGATCCTAATGTGATTCCTCCCTTTAAAATACCATCTTAAAAATTCAAAAACTATATTCATGCCATTTGAATGACCAATGAAGAAACATAGTGTACACTTCTACCTGTTTATACCAATAGCTAATAATCACCTGAAGGACCACTAGCTAAAAGAACAGAAGGAGAAGTTGTGAAGTTAGATGAACTGGGGAAACTTAGAGTTTATGTTGCTGCAAGGGCTAAAAGCAGCAAAGCAATAACCCTGTAAAGATCCCCATTTCTCAGGAGAAAAATGTGAACACAGTCACATTTTAACATCAAGAATGGAAATAAGAATTAACCAGTCAATACTAGATGCACAAATCACCTGAAGAAAAGAGTTAAGTACCTGCTTCTGAACGGAAGATGAAATTGACCCTTTTACAAAAAGGGGACATCTAGGTTTCATCTCTTAAGAGCAACAGGCTCAACTTCCTGATTTTTAAAAATCTAGATGATTTAATAATATATATCACTGTGCTAAAATAACTTTCCTGAAGGATCTTTAGTCCACTGATTGAGGGAAGTTGCTACACACTGGAGGAGATTCAAGTTTGTTCAGGATTTTCGAGGGTGTGCTATGCAGCTACTGTCTATCGGAGATAGAATCATTATTATTTCTTTTTGTGGCAAATCTGCTACACAGTCCATTCAAATAGACATGATCATTATTCCTGACAAACTGGCCTAATTCCAGTTTTTAATGCCTTTTATTACCAATTATGTCTGTAAGTGTTCAGATCCAACCCCCAGGATGGATGGAGTTTACCCAAATTCTCTTCACTTCCTTCTTCCTCCCCCGGGAAAAATCAAATTTGTATTTCTGTGGGTTTGACAACTGAGTCTCTTTCAAGTCTGTTAATACGGTAACTCTGTCATTCTTTAGAAGAGACCAAAGGTCACTAACTTTGCACAAAAGCATTTCTTCCTCCTGCACCTGGCTTTGCTCAAGTAATGTTTTCTTTTCTTTTTCCTCCTCACCACAGTGCTTGGGACGAGAGAATGTAAACATCGACAGAAACAGCAGCCCTATGACCACATAAGTACTTTCCCATCAGGTAGATTCCATCAGTCAACTAAACATTTCGTCTCCTTTGCTTGCTGGGCAGTCACTGAGATTTCCGTGGTAATTTAGTGTCCCCTTTACTTTGGCCTCCATCTGAGAAAAAGAGACGTTAAATTGGTATGGGTCCATATGTTACAAAAACCAGCTAACAAAAACAAAGCAAAAACAACAATTAACTTTTATCTTTTGTGGATGACATCTCTGAAAAGATATCACTTTTAATATCTTGCATGCCATATAGCATTATAGAGGTTGATAAAACATCATGGAGATAAAAACTCAACAACAATGATCCTCTTCTCTCAAATGACTGTGGTTTTCAGTGTTTTTTAAATATGATTTCAACAAGTATTTATCATTTACGTCCCAGCCAATTGTGTCAAATGCTGTGAGAGGGTTATAAAGGAACCAGAAGACACAATTCCTACCTCCGAGGGACCCACTACATCTTTCAACTCCTTTGGAAGACAGGTCAATTTCATTTTTTTTTTTTTGTAAGTGAAATAAAATTTCTTGCCAGGACACAGCATTTCATAATTCCTGATTATTTGTGTAAACAAACGTAGCAAACTTTTCATCTGTAGTGAAAAACATCCAGCTGAGTGTGTGCTCATTCTAACCTAGCTTTAAGTGACAGGAAAGTCTGCTACTGGGACAAGGCTCTTTCCTTTTTTTTTTTTTTTTTTGAGACGGAGTCTCGCTCTGTCGCCCAGGCTGGAGTGCAATGGCGCGATCTCAGCTCACTGCAACCTCTGCCTCCCAGGTTCAAGCAATTCTCCTGTCTCAGCCTCCCGAGTAGCTGGGATTACAGGCGCACACCACCATGCCCGGCTAATTTTTGTATTTTTAGTAGAGACAGGGTTTCACCATGTTGGTCAGGGTGGTCTCAAACTCCTGACCTCATGATCCACCCTGCCTCAACCTCCCAAAGTGCTGGGATTACAGGCATGAGCCACCACGCCTGGCTCTTTCTTTTTTTAAGAGAGAGTCTTGCTATGTTTTCCAGGCTGGAGTACACTGGCTATGCACAGGTGCGATCATAGCACACTATAGCCTCAAATTCCTGGGCTCAAGAGACCCTCCTGCCTTAGCCTTCTAAGTAGTGGGACTACAGGTGTGTGCCACCACACCAGCTCAAAATAATTTCTATTTTTACATACTGCTGTTTAAATGCTTGCAGAAAAAATGTTGATTACTTCATTTAAGCCTCAACTAAATTACCTACAAAAACTGGACAGGAGGAGAGGAAAGGGGGATACCAGGGCAAGGGTAAGGCCCAATGACTTGGAAAGCCAACAGAATATGGAGAAAGTCTCCAACAGGTCATGGCCTTAGCAAGAAAAATGAGGCCTCAAAGACAACCCATGCCTGACAGCAAAGGACAGGAGAAGGAAACCTTTTACTCTGAGGGAAGAGGCATGAATAGCAGAAATACACAGGTGAAAAGGAACAAATTTGACCAGGGTTTGGCAAACTACAGCCCATAGGCCAAATCTGATTCCCTGCCTGCTTTTGCACATGAAGTTTTATTTACAGTCATACTCATGTGTTTAAATACTCCTTATGGCTGTTTTTCACTACAATGGTCAGTTGAGTAGTGGTGACAGAGACCATATGACCTGCAAAGCCTAACATATTTACTATTTGGCCCTTTATAGAAAAATTTTACTGACCTTTGTTTTAGACTAAATAAAATTAATCAACATTAACTGAGCTCTTACTATGCACCAGGTGCCAAGCTAGAAGCTTTAAATCAATTATTTTTTATTAGATTCTCATATGAAGTCATTAAAAAACATTTGTTGTCTCCAGTTTACAAGCAAGAGAAAGTGATGGTCAAACAAGCCTACTCAAACTGGCAGTTCTGGAATTCAAAAATCCAAGTCTGATCCTCAAGTTCAGTGACTTACACTTTAAAATGTTTCTTAAAGGAAAAATTTTAAACTTTTTTTTTTGGGGGGGACAGACTCTCACTCTGTCACCCAGACTGGAGTGCGGTGGCACAATCAGAGCTCACTGCAGCCTCAACCTCCCAGGTGTAGGTGATCCTCCCACCTCAGCCTCCTGGGTAGCTGGGACTACAGGTGCACAGCACCATGTCCAGAAAATTTTCTGTATTTTTTGTAGAGATAGTGTTTCACCATGTTGACCAGGTTGGTCTCGAACTCCTGGACTCAAGCCATCCGCCTGCCTTGGCCTCCCAAAATGCTGGGATTACAGGCATGAGCTACCATGCCTGGTTGAAAAATTTTAAACTTTTTAACTTTAGTTATTTGGAAAATACTGACAGTCATATTTCCTTTCTCCCCTCGGAATAGCAGTGCTGCACAGATAAATTTGATAGTTCGTGTAAGAGCGAACACTGGGGTCTTTTTGAGCCACAAGAATCCTGCTTGTTTAATTCCTTGCAGGTGGCCACATTCATGCCAATCTGCCCATGAGTACACTACCCTCAGCTGGATTCATTATACCAAGCAGCTGTCTACACCCAGGGGGGGACATGCTTTAGTCACAGGGAAATTCTCTTTAGATATTTAAACTAGTCAGAGTTCAGGAAGATCGGGATTGCTGACATTTGTGCCACGACTCTGTGTTACCCATTTTACACAACTGTGGTTTTATACTCATTCTCAAGGTTAAGACTGAGACAGCTCACCACTTAGGTCTTTCAGAGGATTAATGGCAATCTGTTGCCTCAAGATTGCCCCTCAGTTCCCATCTCTGCACTGTGGTTAATGGTAAACTGGTTCAAAGGTCATTTTTAATGCAGTGGCCAAAAAAAAAAAAAAAAGTGAGGCCTAGTCAACTTCCAAAGTTAAGAGGGCAGCTAAGCAGTTATTTCTGCTCAAAAGATCCTGAAAATGGGCTTCAGAATAATATCAGTGTCTATGGAGGTAGACTGCTGGGGAAAACGAGAAGCTGGAGCCCAGTGTGTTATGCACATTGCCTAATCTGACTGCCTAATGTCAGATTTCAGAGCGATCTGGCTGCCTACAAGGACATAATGCATACAGCTTGGATCATATTAATTTTTTTTTTGAGACGGAGTCTTACTCTGTTGCACAGGCTGGAGTGCAGTGGCGTGATCTCGGCTCACCGCAACCTCCACCTCCTGGGTTCAAGCAAATCTTCTGCCCCAGCCTCCCAAGTAGCTGGGACTACAGGCATGCGCCATCAGGCCTGGCTAACTTTTGTATTTTTAATAGAGACGGGGTTTCACCATATTGGCCAGGCTGGTCTCAAACTCCCAACCTCAGGTGACCTGCCCACCCTGGCCTCCCAAAGTGCTGGGATTACAGGAGTGAGCCACTGTGCCTGGCAGGATCATATTAATTTCATCTCCGCTAAAATGCCAAGACATTTAATCACTAAGAATACAGGCCATGGAGTCAGACTTCCTGGGTTTGTATCTCAGATCAAGCATTTGTTATCTGGGCAAGTTGTGTATTATCTTGGGCAAGTTGCTTAGCTCTCTGATTCAGTTTCGTGATTGGTAAAATGGAGATCGTCATCTATCATTCAGGGGCTTGCTGTAAGGATTAAGTTAGCTAATCCACGTAAGCTGTCACAAGACTGGGGCATTTAGTAAGCTTTCAATAAATGTAAACTACTATCATTACTGTACATAACTTTTAACTATCTTATGAATCCTCTGATTAGTCGTCATTTCCACATAATAAACACCTTCAAAAAGGCTCTTTTTATATGTTACAGATCTCATCTACCTATTTCCTTCCTCTTAAAAGGAATCTGTTGCTAATGAGGAATGAGGATTCAGTCTATGAAAATTTGCATTTTCCAACCTTTGTCATTCCATTCACATTGTTTTCAGAAAAGTATAATCCATATCTATAAGCCTATACAAATAAGAAAGAGATGAAGGAGGTGGCGTTCTCACCGTGAAATGCTTGCTGTAAGTGTGCAGGCAGAGGTGAGTGGGAAAGCGTTGCTGCATGCTGAGCTCCTCCTGGCTGTAAACCCTTTAGTAAATCTGAGAGGAAAACAGACTTGTCAGTCATCTTTAAATCCAGATTTGAGCCCTTTTAGTTCAAAAATGAAAACTGATTTATGTAATGCAGGCACAGCACCTGACTTCGAAGGCCTTCTAAAACTAGAGCACGTTTTTGAAAATTTACTTATGTTAATGTATGTGTATGCACATAACCCAACACAACTGACTTCCTCTTAAAAATTTCATTAAGATGGAAATGTGGTATAGATAGCTTAAAAACTGTATATAAAACCCCAGTGTCCAATAATTTGACTTACTATATATAAACTGCATTTCTTAAAAAAAAAAAAAAAAACTATAATCTTCATTAACTCCAACTGGACTACTCTTAATTAGAATAAATTTGTGAGGTTTCCTGTTCTGTCAAGCTAGACAGCCCAACCAAATAGAAGAGCCCCACTTACTCTGAGTTAGGCTATGGTGGAAAGCGGCTGAGGTAGATCCCGAGGTGGTTGTCACTCCAGCTGTGTCCGTTCCAAAGCCAAATATCTCCAAGGGAAACTGGAAGGGCATGGTCACTGGAACAAGGCCACCCAGCATCCCAAAAGGAGTCACATTTTGATTTGTTACAGACAAAGGTGATGTCATGAGAGTCAGAGGTGAGGCATTAGCCAATAATGATGCTCCTGCTGTGGACTGTGCAGAAACCAGGGGTCAAAATACATAAGAAATAAAGCAACCCAAATTGATTTATTTTCTATAATATCCTCACAGATGCAAGACTGTGCCTTACATCTGCTCTGACAGAAACGTTGTGAGACAGGCTCTTCATTACCACGGTAGGTTCCTTAGACGCTGTTATTTTAGTGGCACTTACATGAACACCCACGCACTCTCTCAATCTACTAATTCCCAACCTTCCACTCGCACTCCTCCACTTTTGCCTCCTAGCCCAAACACCTGAACCATGAGTAAGTAATTCCATGCAATTTCAGCTCGGTCTCTGAAAATACTCACTTTACTATTTGTCTCATCATCTTTCCTGCAGCGGCTGCTGCAGACTGCTGCTTTCAGGGTCCTTCTTGGTATCCTTTACTGTCATCACATCAGCTTAGAGAGACGAGGCCAAGGTGTTCTTCCTCGCCATGAGCCTCACCTGCCCTTCTCCAAAGCTAACCACTTGACTTACACCATGAATTCTCACCGTGTAGAACTTTCCTGTATAAATATCTAGTACTGCACCTTTTCCATGTTTCCTCTGCCTTCTCATATACAGAAACTTATTATTTTTTTATAACCACACTGTTATTCTAGCTCTTCCCCAACTCCTAGCAACTATCTAATTTGTCTTCCTTTTATTATCAAACAGAATGACAGACTTCAGTTTCCTTAGTTCTAGTCTCTAACTCCTGAAAGCGGGTTTTCACCTTATTACTTTTCTGAAATTACACTCCTTGAGGTAAAAGACAAATTGGACAGTGTTTTCACACTCCCCTACCTGGGCTTTGATGCCATGTTTACGAATAAAAACACTGAAATCAGAGATACGCTAACATATTTGGACTGCAGGGAGGACTTTAAAAAAATAAATAAGAAATATGCCAACATGGATGGGCTTTCACAGAGAACTTACTTAAATATATTCCCCCTGCCCAAACTCCGCCCCCTTTTTTTTGAGACAGGGTCTCCTGTTGCCCACGCTGGAGTGCAGTGGTGCAATCACAGCTAACTGCCATCTCAACCTCCTGGAGGCTCAAGTGATCCTCTCACCTCAGCCTCCCGAGTAGCTAAGACTACAGGCACATGCCACTATACCCGGCTAACATTTTTTGTATTTATTATAGAGATAGGGTTTCACCATGTTGCCCAGGCTAGGCTCGAACTTCTGGGCTCAAACCATCTCCTCACTGCGTTGGCCTCCCAAAGTGCTAGAATTATAGTGTGAGCCAGAATGCCTGGCAAATACATTCCTATAGCTAGTTTAATTCTTTGAACAATTTTCTACATGGCAATTAAATCATTTTTTTCCATTTTGACTTTTTTATTTAAAAAAAATTTATTATTATTTTTTTTAGAGACGGGGTTTCACTCTGTTACCCAGGCTAGAGAGCAGTGGAACAATTGTAGCTCATGGCAGACTCAAACTCCTGGGCTCAAGTGATCCTCCCACCTCAGCCTCCCAAGTAGCTGGGACTACAGACAGGCGTGTGCCACCAGACCCAGCTAACTTTTCAATATGTTTTTGTAGAGATGGGGTCTGTGTTGCTCAGGCTAGCCTCCAACTTCTGGGCTCCAGCGATCCTCACACCTAGGCCTTCCAAAGCACTGAGATTATAGGCATAAGCCACCATGCCTGGCCAACATTTTTCTTTTCCATGTGCACTTACTTATCAACAGAGTTGATACAAATTTTCTCATTATCATATATTATCTATTATAGTTTCTGTCATTCTGAGATTTCTTTTGTAGCCTTATTTTACCAAATCCAAATTTTCCTGGTCAAAACTTTAACAGTTCTAAATTTGTATTTTTTTTGTTTTCCATGTTTTTTTTTTTTTTTTTTTTTTGAGACAGAGTCTCACTCTGTTGCCCAGGCTGCAGTGTAGTGCTGCGATCTTGGCTCACTGCAACCTCCACCTCCTGGGTTCAAGCAATTCTCCTGCCTCAGCCTCCTGAGTAGCTGGGACTACAGGTGTGCACCACCACGCCCAGCTAATTTTTGTATTTTTAGTAGAGACGGGGTTTCACCATGTTGGCCAGGATGGTCTCAAACTCCTGTGCTCAAGTGATCCGCCTGCCTCAGCCTCCCAAAGTGCTGGGATTACATGCGTGAGCCACCGTGTCCATCTAAATCTAAATTTGATCAGGAAAATGGAATTTGTTGACTATTTTAAAAATAACTAATGAATGTTAGCTCTTTCCAGTTTTATTACATGTATCAATGAGCATTATTAATTAAGGACTGATTATTTTAAAAATCTTTGTCCTTTTGCTTCTGGTGGGGTACTTCTTAAGTTAATGTATAAGAAAAATGCAGACAATCTTTCCACACACACATGCCACATAACATTACATATATTTATACACTTAAGAGGCTACACCACTGCTCAACAAACAAATGAAGAATATCCGCAAGCAGCCTTCTTCCTGGTTCTTTAACTGCCTCCCTCCCCTGTTCTCCTTTATTTGTTAATAAAAATAACAAATTTTACAACTGAAATTTATATCCATAGTTCTGGCCTCTCATCTCAATTTCCATCCTGCATATCTGAGAGTTAAGAGAATAATTCCACTTGAATATCTAGCACCAACTTGACATATCCAAAGCTGAAATCATCTTCTCCAATGGGTTCCCCCATCTTCTGTCAACTGCTTTCATCAGGGAATTCCATTCTTTCCAGTCCCTTAGGCCTGAAACCTTAGTTTTCAGGCATTATAAAATGATAACATTATAGTCAACAAACCCATTCTTTCTTTTTTACCAAAATTTGCTCTTACACTTAAGTACAAATCTTCACCACTCCATGTTTGAACCTGACAGTTTTTCTTATTTGCCTGTCTTTTCCTGTACTGTGCCAACCACAATATATAAAATGGGTACATTTAGGAAAAAATTACCAAGTTAGAAATAATAGTATCTTAATGCAACTGGGAAAGAAAAGATCCTGCATCAACTTAAAAATTAACCAGAGTTGGCAAGGCACGGTGGCTCATGCCTGTAATCCCAGCACTTTGGGAGGCCAAGGTGGGCGGATCATGAGATCAGGAATTCGAAACCAGCCTGACCAACATGGTGGTCTCTACTAACCCCGGTCTCTACTAAAAATACAAAATTACAATAATTAATCCATTAATACAATACAAAAATTAGCCAGGTGTGGTGGCGCATGCCTGTAATCCCAGCTACTCAGGAGGCTGAGGCAGGAGAACCGCTTGAACCTGGGAGGCAGAGGTTGCAGTGAGCCGAGATTGTGCCACTGCACTCTAGCCTGGGCAACAGAGCAAGACTCTGTCTCGGAAAAAAAAAAAAATTTAACCAGAGTTGCTTCTTCTAATCATAATTCTACTGCAGTCTTGGGATGATAAAGAGTCTCCAAGGCTGTGTGCCCCAGTTGGAGTTCCCTAGTGAGGAACATTAAATACTGTTAATAAAAGGAATCTTTTAAAGCTTTTCTGAAGGAGTGTAATTGAAGCATTAAAATAGATGCAAAATGAGGGCCAGGTGCGATGGTTCACTCCTATTATCCCAGCACTTTGGGAGGCTGAGTTGGGTGAATCACCTGAGGCCAGGGGTTCAAGACCAGCCTGGCCAACATGGTGAAACACCGTCTCTACTAAAAATACAAAAATTAGCTGGGCATGGTGGCGTCTGCCTGTAATCCCAGGTACTTGGAGGCTGAGGCAGGAGAGCTGCTTGAACCCTAGAGGCGGAAGCTGCAGTGAGCCAAGATTGCACCACTGCACTCCAGCCTGGGCAACAGAGTGAGACCCTGTCTCAAAAAAAAAAAAAAAAGCAAAATGTAAATTAGGGAGGGCAATTTCCAAAATTAAATAACTCAAGTATAGCAAAAAAGTGATACTATGCCATAACTGTCTAACATTTTACACTTTCAAGTAACTTCTATATCCACTTTAATTTGTTTATAAATATAAATGGAAGCATCAGATAATCTAAATGTGACATGGGTATTTGCAAATCTCTCTATCCTAAAAGATGGAGACCTTTCAGCAGTGGGGTACTCCAATGTTGGTATCATCTGGGATCATGCACAAGAAGTCAGCATGAAGCAGGTAAATAGTTCCAGATTATGCCCCATAATCAAAAATACTTTCCGTGACCTCTACATTTTATTCCCAGGGGAAAAAACATTGAAGGGAATCCTTGCTCTTCCCGTAGTGGGCATTAATTTTTTTTTTTTTTTTTTTTGAGATGGCGTCTCCCTCTGTTGCCAGGCTGGACTGCAGTGGTGCAATCTCGGCTCACTGCAACCTCCAACTCCAGGATTCAAGTGATCCTCCTGCCTCAGCCTCTCAAGTAGCTGAGATTACAGGCACGTGCCACCATACCCAGCTAATTTTTGTATTTTTAGTAGAGATGGGGTTTCACCATGTTGGCCAGGATGACCTCAATCTCCTGACCTCGTGATCCGCTCACCTCGGCCTCCCAAAGTCCTGGGTTTACAGGCATGAGCCACCACGACCGGCCGCAATTAAATTTTTTTTTAAACCACATACTCTACTTTGGTGAGTGCACTGGTCCCCTATTCCCCACAACGCCCAGAGTAAACTTTTGAAATGCAAATCAGACCATATCAGTCCCCTGTTTAAGAACCTCCAATAGCTTCCCACTGCACAGAGAATAAAATCCAAAGTCCTTACTGTGGTCCACAAGGTCCTCCATGACATGGTTCTGGTCTCTCTCTGATCTCATCACCTACCACTCTCTCCCCATGGTCCAGCCATGCAGGCCTTCACTTCAGGCTCTTTTCCATCTCAGTGTCTTCATACAACTGTTCCCTCTGGCCTGAACTATTTTCCCCCTCTTCTCTACACATGGCTGGCTTCTGCTCATTCAATTCTCAAATCAAACATTACCTCCTCAAACCTTCTTAACCTTTTTTACGTTAGCAGCAATCACTTTTATCATATTATCCTACAATTTTTTCACAGCATTTACCACATTTTGAAAAAACTTGTATTTTTCCTTGTCTTCCTACCTAGACTATATGTGTGAGTATGCTGTTCATCCCTATATCCCCAGCACCTAGAAGAGTGCCTGGCACATAGTAAACACTCAATAAACATTTGCTTAATGAATGAATGATGTTTGGAATTATAAAGTGGCAAAGACAGGATTCACAGAAAATCAGTAAGTTGAAGGGTAAGAAAGAGGAGGAAACCCCTGTGTGGAAAGTTATTAAACAGAAAGCAAGCAGAGCTAACAACCTGAACCCAGAAGGAGTTTAACTTTTGCCATTTGTTAAAGGACCTGTCATTTTCACTCTGCAAATGAGCAGACACCCACAGATGCCTTTCAGACAGAAGGTGAATGCTTTACAGGCATAGATAGGAACTCTGTTTTCAGTGTTGGAGAGCTATAGACAGGTTCTAGAGGCCACAAGATAGCTGGTAAGACTTTATTGAGACGCTATGTTAAAACAAAAAGAACCTTACTTTCGCCAAAGGGTAGAAATGACCTTATTCAATTATTAATCTTTTCTTCAGTCAAACCAGTAAGACAGAAAAAAAAAAAAAAAAGATCAGATATGAAGGCAGGAACACTTCAGTCTCCAAATCATAAAGCCATTTGGGAGAGGAAGAAAACCAGGAGGGAGTAGTTAGTCTTCAGAAACTCATACTTTGCCAAGTAGCCTTCATGCTGACAAACCAATTATTTGTTAGACAGTATAGGGGTTCTTTTGCAATCAATAATGAAATACAGGAAGATCTCTGGGAACAAAATAGAACTGACAGACTGTAGAGATGACAAAGGATGAAGAAAGATTTAATCTTAAGTTCAAAGAAAATGAAGCAAATGAAAATAAAAATGAATTTTTAATTCCAGAAATAACTCCCCAATTTTTTATAAAATTGATAAAATCAAGACTTTTCCATTTATTATTATTTAAAAACAAAAAGAAGAAAATGCTGAGAGAGTTAAAAGTAGTTAACCCTAGGAGGAGGATACGGGGCAGGGAACTACCATTTATGCTATCTTTTCACTTATTCCTTTGATCAAATTAAGAATTAATTTTAAGAAGAGTAAACTATTTAATAAACAGTAATGCAGACTAACTCCAATCTTCCATATACCTTTTTTTTCATAAGGGAAGGCCTTTATTCATCCATCTCCATATACATTTTAACATATAATCCCTAGTATCAATGTTTTTATTATTTTATTTCTGATGAAAGTAAATGTATATACATAAAACATCAGTTAATCCTAGATTTCAATTAATGAATTACCAGTTAGCTGAATTTGTTCTTCATTAGAATTCTGGCATCCAGTCATTCCTATGCCTACATTAGTAGCAGAATGATGATTTGAATATACAATGTATATTGAATATCAACCCTTAGACTATATTGAACAGCAGGAAACCTTGACATACAGCAAGGGGAAACTCTTCTCATTACATGTTCCTGTTCCACATAAATAGGAGACAGTACAAAGAGCACTTCCTTAGACAACACAATTCCATAAATAAATAAAAGTTATGTTTTCAAAGAATATTTAAGAACCTAAGAACTTGCATATCATAAAATGGTATTTTTTTTTTGCCGGTTATAAAACGAAATATTATACAAAACACATTTTGTTGAAAAAAGTCTTAAAAAGTACCTACAAAGCATAAACAGTATTGGATTAATAGGTGATTTTTATTTTCTTTTTTCTAAATTTGCCTTCAATGAACATACATTACTTTCAGGGGAAAAAAGTTAAAGAAACTAAATCATTAACATAAAGGACAAATCTGAGAAAGTGTCAGAATACAAAGAAGTGGCATAGAGATGAAAACAATAACAGAAGATGATATGGAAGACAGAGAGATAAAATATAGGCCCGGCGCAGTGACTCATGCCTGTAATCCCAGGACTTTGGGAGGCGGAAGCGGGCAGATCACTTGAGGTTAGGAGTTTGAGACCAGCCCAGTCAACATGGTAAAACCCCATCTCTACTAAAAATATAAAAATTAGGCCAGGTGTGGTAGCTCACGCCTGTAAGCCCAGCACTTTGGGAGGCCGAGGTGGGCAGATCAACTGGGGTCAGGAGTTCAAGATCAGCCTGGCCAACATGGCAATACACTGTCTCTACTAAAAACACAAAAATTAGCTGGGCATTGTGGCCCATGCCTGTAATCCCAGCTATTCAGGAAGCTGAGGCAGGGAGAACTGCTTGAACCTGGGAGGTGGAGGTTGCAGTGAGCCGAGATCATGTCATTGCACTCCAGCCTGGCAACAGAGAAGACTCCGTCTCAAAAAAATAATAATAATAATAAATAAATATACAAAAATTAGCCAGGCATGGTGGCGGGTGCCTGTAATTCCAGCTACTCGGGAGCCTAAGGCAGGAGAATCTCCTGAACCCGAGAAGCGGAGGTTGCAGTGAGCCAAGATTGCGCCACTGCCCTCCAGCGTGGACGACAGAGCGAGACTCTGTCTTAGGGAAAAATAAAAAATATATATATAATAAAGAGTTCTCAAAAAACTTACGATAAATGGATCAGAAACAGTAATCAGACACATAATACAATAAAATATTCTTGATCTAAAATAAATAACCAGTTCTGAGATGGAAAGCTATTACTATGTTCTAGGTATACAATTAATGACAACTAGGCAGAGAAAACACATTAATGATAACGGAACAAAAAGAGAATGAGAAAGAGTCTGAGAATGGCCTCAGACTTCTCCATAATCCTAAATACTAAGCAAGAGTCAGTGGAGTAGTATTTACAAAATTGGGAGTGGAACAGTTAGTGCCCCAAGAAGGCTACGCCTACTCAAGTGTGACAGCACAGAAAGAAATTATCAGGTGTACATGAGCTAAGGTAAAATAGCATTTATGCTACCCTTTTTTTTTGAGATGAAGTTTCGCTCTGTCACCCAGGCTGGAGTGCAACTCCTGACCTCAAGTGATCCTCCTGCCTTGGCCTCCCAAAGTGCTGGTATTACAGACACGAGCCACCATGCCCGGCTACCCTTCTTGAAAAGATTGCTTGAGTGAGGCACTCAGCTAATTGAGAGGTAAGTTTAAACTAAAAATTCACGAACGGGAAAACTGTGGTATAAAAGGGCGACTGACACTAATTTGACATAGAAAATTATATATAACTACAAAATTAAGCAAAATAAAAATTTCGAGAAGATAAATGATTTAAAAAATAACATGAATGTATAAATTTGATTGAAAAATAAGAAAATTGGCAGGAGAAAAAGGGAAGGGAAGAGCTAAGCGAATGTTCGTTAAATTCCTAAGTTACTACTTTGTTCTGGACTTTGATAAGAGAGAAAGTTTGAAATAAGCCATTTTAGTTTTGTTTTGTCAAATAATTTTAAAGTTGATTTAGTGATGGTTGCTTGTAATGAAGACATCGTTCTGTCAGACAGCTGAATGCTGGTGCACCTTTGTTACTTAAAAAAAAAAAATCCATATCCCAACAAACACCTCAACTACAAGTGTGCCTGTCACTGTGATGTCAGCATCAGGAACATTCCATGGCTGCAGGCTGTAATAAGCCAATTGAGAACAATCCACATATCATAAAAAGCTTATTAAAGTTACCCACAAGAAAGACGACATTATACAATCTTATAGTTTATCACATGGACGTACAGAACATACATACCTGCACACTGGCTGTTACCACTGAAGACCCTGAGGCAGTGGATGGTCTATGTGGAGTAGACAATGGTTTGGTAGCACCCTGTGTTCCACTTCCTGTTCCCCCAGACAGACTAGTCCTATTAGCTCCGCTTGAGTTAAGGTTGCTACCTCTGCTGGCAGGTACATTCATTGCAATTCCACTCAAGCTGTTCTTCCCAACAGTTCCAGTGGATGATGAGTTTGTTAGCTTTGAGGGGGCCTGAAGATTTTTTGTAGGTGGAAGGCCTGAAGTGCGACTAGAGGGCAATAAATTCAAGGTGGGAGACTGTCTGCTGATGTTCATTCCACTGGGCTGTTTATGGACTGGGCTGTTAGTGCTGGAGTGGCTACCCTGGGCAACTAGTGCATTTGGACTGGAACTACTTGGGGATACAGTAGGCTTGGGAGTTGGGTTGGATTTAGAAATAAGTTTAGTTGATACTGAAGGCTTAGCTGACAGAGAGGGCTTGGGTGAGGCAGAAGGCTTAGGCGAGGGCAGGGGTTTAGGAGATGTGGCAGGCTTGGGAGATGCGGCAAGTTTTGGGGAGGCAGCCATCGAGAAGGGAGATTTGAAACCCTGCGTGGAGATCTGTGACACCATAGCCTTGGCTAAATAGTTACTGGAGGTAGTGGTGCTAGGTACTGTCCTAGAAACCAGGGGGTGGGACCCTTGAGAACCATTTCCAGGTGAGGGGGTAGATAAGGGAAGGCGGTACATAAGTGGCTTATCTGAAGTCTTAATAAGTGAGGAGGAACAGGAGAGTTGGGGATTATTACTTAACTTCACGACGGGGTTGGTCTGGGATTTACTGATGGTGGCCTGTAATGGAGACACATAGTTCTGCTGGACAGCTGAATGCTGGTGCACCTTTGTTACTTGTGTTAACGAAGAAGCATCTTGGGCCTCGGATGTTCCCAGAGCATGAGAAGAGGCAGCAATTTGGGCTTGGGAAGAAGAGGAGACATGGGTCTGTGAAGAGGAAGAAGTGTGAATCTGGCTTGACCTCTGAAGTCCTTGTTGAAGTAGCCTGGCTGGCAAAGGTTCTAAAGAAACTTTAGGGTTCTGAATGGAAGAACCAGCAATAAGGCCTGAAGAGATGCCAGTATGAGCTAAATCCTGGGGTTTCTTTGGTACTGGCCCTGTGTGACCAGCAATAAGACTTGAAGAATGTGTAGTCTGAGTAGAATCTAGTTTTTTGGGAGTAGCTAGTGGCAGCTTACTCATGATACTTGCTAATTTTTCTTCTCTCAGTCCTGGACGAGGCTTTGTGGTTGGCATGCTTATCCTTGAGCCAACTGGAGGGCCCTTGTTCCCATTGTTGATAACCGCTAAAGCTTCAGAAACAAGATCCAGTGAAGGTGAATGGAAAGAAAGGTCTTCATCTAGTGAGTCGTCGAGGCAGATGGTTTCTTGGGCTGGTGCAGAGCTAGAGCTAGCTGCAGCAATGGCAGCTGTGCTGGAGCTCGTTGGAGGACCGCTAACCGAAGCCACCAGGGATGTTGGAGTTTTCTGGTCCTTTTTTGGACTACACTCCTAATGTAAAGCATCATATGGAAAAAAATAGAAATGGTGAATAAAAAATTACAAAGTTAATTTTAAATAACTAAAAGATTCTCATGACAATTACAATTGTTTTTCTACTGGAAATCTTCAGAGACTATCAAAACAAAAATAATTTTTGAGATGACAGAGCTCCTGACTGAGCTGTCCTCACAAGACAAAGTATCTGATATATTGCACATAGCTGTCATACTTAACACCAAGTGGAAGGAACATTCATATACTAGTTACATTACTGATGAGCCTCCCCCACCTGCATTAGATCTTCAAATCCTGCTCCAAATCCATCTGTTCAGATTATTCTCTTTTTATTCCCCTGCACTCAGAATAAATTCTGCCTTTATATTAAGACTCTCCCCTTCTCGTCTGGGATGGTTTGCTAGGAGGCTGACCTTCACTTTCTGCTTCCATGCATTTCTGCCTCTTTGTATGCCCTGTCCTGCAGCTACCCTACAGCCAGTACATAGAAAAACTGGTACGTCAAAGTGGCAGACGATTCAATCCAAGCATAAATAAATTATGCTATTTATTATGGTGAATCTGTAATTTATTTGTAAATTACTCATTTGTCATTTATTCAATATATATCCACTAAGTGTCCGCTGTGAGCAGGGCTCTATGCTAAGAAAACAAGGGTATTAAGAATTACAACTCTGAATACCTAAGAGTTGTTAGAGTCTGTTTCTCAAATAATCAACCTTCTTAATATTTAAGAAAAAGAACTAGAGCACAGTTTATAATATTCAAAGAGCAAAATAATTTAAAAGCAACTATTTATTTTTAAAGATAAAAGTATTTGACTCATTTTATTTTTAAGACTGAGAAGCAAAAGCCTATTACATAAAAGTCGTATCAAAGTCTCTTCAATTAGTTTCTTAAACAAACCCAAACAAACCTAGAGTGTTATATTACATACTGATTGATACAACCATAGCACTTACCTTAAGCATAGTGGGGAAAGAATGGAGAGGAAGGGTCTTTACCATCACCTCCTAAGGTATTACATAAGCAAGCTGTTAAGAATACTGTTACACTCTAACTTCCTTAGTATTTTTTCTAAGCTTTTACTCTAAAACCCCTGATTAAAAACCTCACTACCAATTGGAAGTACAAGTGTAACTGCATTAAGGTCACAAATGTCTGCTAAGAAGAATGAGTAATGCAGATGAAACACATTTGTTTTGATATGCCATCCACTTACATGATTAGTGAAAATTCCATTATAAAAAGTACACAATAAAGGGTAGGAAATGTATCCCAATATTGGAAGTATTACTAGTATAAAACTGCTGTTTTAAAATAACTTTTTGATTAATTTTTATTTATAAAACCATTAAATCCACTCTAATAGAATACTGTGCAGATTTATACTGGCAGAGAAAATTGTTCAGGATATATAACTGAGTCAAAAAAGCAGGTTATCCCATTTATATAAAAGACTAAATAAATAGATAGCTGATTGGATAGATGGATGGATGTATGGATGGACGGACGAATGGAAGGGAGGGAGGGAGGAACAGAGTTTCAGAAGAAGGGAAGGAAGATGTGTCCTAGAAAGCTAAGAGCTTTTATTCTCTGACTGAGGAGAAATTTATAGATACTTTTACTTTCCTCCTTACTTTTCCGGGTTATTTGCATTTTCTTTTGTAGGCATTTCCTTATCTTATCTTTATAACTAGAAACACTATGGGGAGTTACAGTAGAAAAAAACCACATTAACAGTATAGCTTTTCCATTTTGGGAAAATGAAAAAGTAATTTAATCATAGAGAAGGAAACATACAAAAAAACTGATGACTCCCCCATATCATCCTAACACAACCAGTATCAGAATTTAATAAATTTCCTATCCTATTATTCTATTAATCATATGTTTGAATAGATGTATCAAAATGTAACCAATCCTTTATGGAGGGTACTAAGACTTTAGTATTCTAATAAAAATAAAGTCAAGTGTCAAAACAACATCTAAATTCAACAGATTTAATGAAAGATTGGCTCAATATTATTTGGATCAGAAGACAAAGTAGGCTATTAAGAAAAAGAGGACTACTGGCTGGGCATAGTGGCGCATGCCTGTAATCCCAACACTTTGGGAGGCCAAGGCGGGTGGATCACGAGGTCAGGAGTTAGAGAGCAGCCTGACCAACATGGTGAAACCCCGTCTCTGCTAAAAATATAAAAATTAGCCAGGCATGGTGGTGTGCGCCTGTAGTCCCAGCTACTCAGGAGGCTGAGGCAGGAGAATCGCTTGAACCTGTGAGGCAGAGGTTGCAGTGAGCCGAGATCGCACCACTGCACTCCAGCCTGGGTGATAGAGTGAGACTCTGTCTCCAAAAGAAAAACAAGAAAAAGAAAAAGAAGACTATTTACCCTGCATTTAAAGAGGCTCTAACACCAAAAAAGTCAGGAAGGCCACAGAATAATATATAATGACCATCTGGCCACAATCTTATAAGCAAAGAACCTCATCTATTAAAAACAACAACAACAACAAAAACCAAAGAGACAAAGGCTATGGAGCAAAGTGTAAAACCTAAAGAGTATGAGCTTTCATTAAAATTTTAATTTCAAATGATTATAGTTTTTACTTCTAGAGGTTATATTTTGATTCTCTTTCAAATCTACTTTGTCTATTTTGATAGGATATTTTTTATTCCCTTTTCTATTTCTCTAAATATTAAAAATTTTTCAGTCAAATTATTTTATGTACTAAATTCCATAAGTGCACTACTTGTCCGTCTTAGGGATCTAACTGCTGTTTATTGTTCCTACTGAATCTCACTCATAGTAACTTATTCTCTCATGTATTCTGTATTTCAGACTGCAAGCTCAGGTCTGCCATGGTTTATAGGAGGAATGCCTTTGAGGCCTCTGAAGAGGGCACGTTATACCAAAGAGAATTTGCTTTTGCCAGTGGCCCCGGGTCACTACTAATCCAGTAACCAAGCTACTTTTTCAGCTTGGCGTTTTCTCAGATTGTAGAGGTAGTGTAACTGAAACTCCTAAGCCAAGAAAATTTTTCAGCAAGGACATTCTTCCCCCAAACCAGAACCCAGTCCAAGACAGCCACTTAATGTCTCTGCTGGTTGCTGGATTTCTTTCTAGTCCTTTCTTTTACTAAAGATGTTATTGTTTGAAGGTCCAGCTTTACACAGATTTCATCCCAAGTTTTAACCTGTACAAGCCCAAGAAAACCCTAACTGCTATGCTCTGAGAAGAAACGTAAAAAGAAACCATAAAGTGATGGGTAGAAAGTGCCAAATGCCTCCAAGGGCAACCAAAGTGTAAGCGACAGATTAACACTGTCAGCTCCTTTTTTGTTTCTGGTCTTATGAATTTTTCTTACATATTTTTCAATCTCACCTATGCTATGAAAGAATATTTGTTGTATTTTACCTAGCATTTCCAAGTATTAATAAAGTTAAGCTTCACAATTGGTGTATGCATATTCCCCACTGCTACACAGGAATCTATTCTCCCAAATACAAAAGTACTAAGATTATTATGAAGTTGAAAACATCTATCTTATAGTGCCTACTGACCTCTGCTAAATACCATACATCTTTTTCATCTTAGGAATGTATTTCAACATTCACCAACTATAACTAATTAAATATTTTGTTTCAGTACTTACCTTTACTTTGGGTTTAGGTGCAGGAATCACCTTTTTCTTTGCCCTAAGATAAAAAGATTTTAAAAGGCTATTTCAGTAGCAGTTATATTGCTCATTAGAAAGTTATATAGCTTTGTAATTATGTGGTAAATAATTCCTTCTGCTATTTGGAAAGCTCTTTGAAGGAACCGTATTTAAGTGCTCAGTTTATACGAAGTATGTAGCAACATTTTCCCCAATTCAGATTAATTGAAAGGCCAAACAACTAGTAAAACATGAAATGTAGATAATACAATTTTTAAAAAATTAAATGTAAATAAACCATAAAATAGCCCCCCCAAAAAAAGAGCTTCAAGGAACCGCAGGCTCAAATTAAACCATGCCAAGAAGGTGTGAATGAGATTTAACTTAACCAAAACAAAAAAAACCCTGAGCTTTTAAAGAAAAATTTTTGTAATGTAAAAATTCAAATAAAAAATGTCAAAATGACAGGGAGAAAAAGGGCAAGAAAAATTACTATGGAATCTTGAAACTTTTGGAAAACTAAGAAAAAGTTTGAAGATGAAAAAAAAGAACAAGTTCCATAGTAAGTCAAAGTATTCAAATGTTTGTTGAATAATTAAATTGTTGACAAGCTAAAATACTTCACCTTGCCTATTTCACTTGGCTAAAATGTCATCAATTAGATTAACAAGAATCTTGATTAAAACTGTCAATTTACAACTTCATTTAGGCAACAGTAATTTTCTATGTTTTTTTTTTTTATGAAGGCCATTTAGGGAAACGACCTCTAGGCCCACTTATCCCATAGATTCCTACTTTCTGGTACAAAACAAAACACAAAGTTAAACAAAACACAAAGTTAATGATAATAATGAAGCTATTTAAAAAAAGGGAGAAGGAGGCTGGGTGCAGTGGCTCATGCCTGTAATGCTAGCACTTTGGGCTGAGGCAGGCGGATCACGTGAGGCCAGGAGTTTGAGACCAGCCTGGCCAACATGGTGAAACCCTGTCTCTACTAAAAATACAAACATTAGCCAGGCGTGGTGGCGCACGCCTGTAGTCCCAGCTACTCAGGAGGCTGAGGCAGGAGAATTGCCTGAACCTGGGAGATGGACGTTGCAGCGAGTTGAGATCGTGCCACTGAACTCCAGCCTGGGCGACAGAGCAAGACTCCATCTCAAAAAAAAAAAAAAAAAAGCCAGAGAGAGACAGAGAGGGAGACATCTTTTGTAAACACCTTTAGAATTAAAGGAATGCATTATTTGTACCTGAATTGTAATGTATATATGGCTTTAGAACTACAGTAGCCCCCCTTATCCACAGTTTTCAATTTCCACGGTTTCAGTTGCCTGTGGTCAACTGAGGTCTGAAAATATTAAATGGAAAATTCCAGAAATAGAGATAAACCACATTCACATAACTTTTATTATAGTATACTGTTAAACGGTTCTCTTTTATTATTGTTGTTAATCTCTTACTGTGCCTAATTTGTAAACTAAAATCTATTATAGGAATGTATGTATAGGAAAAAATAGTCTATGTAGGGTTCAGTACTGTCTGCAGTTTTGGCATCCACTGCAGGCATCTTGGAGTATATTGTCTGAGGATAAGGGGGACTACTGTATAGGGAAATTAAAGCCGAAAATACCACTGACACAAACATATACGTATGTACATAAAATTTATTTCAAAGACAACAAAAACTCTTGCAACAAAGTAAACCTGTAATATATGAAACCAAACAACTTAGAATTTATACTAAAAAAAACAGAACCAAAAACCACAACCAACTCAATGCATCTCTGATATACAGTTGACCCCTGAGGATGAAGACCTTTATGATGATTCACTTCAACCTAATGAATAGTAAATATAATTTCTCTTCCTTATGATTTTCTTAACATTTTCTTTTCTTTAGCTTACTTTATTGTAAGAATACAGTATACTGTACATAAAACATATAAAATGTGTTCATGAACTATTTATGTTATCAGTAAGGCTTCAGGTCAACAGTAGACTACTAGCAGTGAAGTTCTGGGAGAGCTGAAAGTTACACATGGATTTCTGACTGTGTGGGATGAGGGGGTGAAATCCCTAACTCCCGTGTTGTTCCAAGGGTCAACCGTAATAATGAACTGTCCTTCCTAAAAACTAAAAAATTCCTATATAACTGCATACAAGGAGAGTAGGAATTTTATAATGTTGCCCAAAAGATATTAAACAGACCTCTCAGCAGAATATTGAATTAGAGTGTTCAGTAAATTCTCAGTAACTTGCTAATTTTATATTTTAATAACCCCCCCCTTTTTTTTTTCTGGAAACAAGGTCTGTTCTGTCCCCCAGGCTGGAGGGCGGTGGCATGATCTCCACTTACTACAACCTCCGCCTCTCTGGCATAAGCCATCCTCCCACCTCAGCCTCCTGAGTAGCTGGGACTACAGGCACACACACCATGCCTGGCTAATTTTTATAGTTTTTGTAGAGATGGAGTTTCGCCATGTTGCCCGGGCCAGTCTCAAACTCCTGGGCTCAAGCGATCCACCCGCCTCAGCCTCCCAAAGTGCTGGGATTACAGGCGCGAGCCACTGTGCCTGGCTTTAATAACCGTTAATGCCACCCTTGCAGGCTACAGAGAAGTAGCCCTACGTTGTAGGGAAAAATGAAACTGTTCTGGAATTGACCAATATTCAACCAAAAAGGTGACCACAGAAAAAACTTGCCTTTTTGTTGTATGTGGAGGGGATAAAAGATCTTTCTCTAGTAATCACATCACTAAGGAAATACACGGTTTTGAACAGAAGACCTCAAGAATAGGTTAATTTTGTGGAATAAAACACTCTGCAGTGCAGCGAGGGTGGGTGTGCATATGGATCTGTCCTGGTAAACTCAGGACACAGAGGGCTGTAGATTACAAATGCAGATGGACATTAAGAGGTGGAGAAAAAGACTGGCAGGTAGAAGGCCCAGGAACAAAGGAAAATCCCTGAGCCTTCATGCTTCCCTACTACCAGAATCCCAGGCCATTATGTGTCACAGTGTGGATTTAGTAGGTGTTTAGAGAGTACCCTGACAATTATTTCAATAGATAAATGTGTTCTGAAGTCTAAATAGTCAATGGTCAAAATGATCTTTTTAAGTCCTATTCCAACTAGCATTTAATAAATGATACTTTTGTTCACTAAAGCACATAATGTGAATAAATGAAGCAATCTGGAGTCTGCATTTACTCACGGAGCAGAAGTAAGATGATTATGAACACTCCGGCTTTCCTTAAAAAGCATTCTGGAAAAATTTAAAGAACACAATTATTATTTTCTTTATAGCAGATAGTAACATAATTGTTTTATTTTTTAAAGTAATTTAATTTTCAGTAGACTATTACTGCTTATTTACCAAGTAAAAGTTATAATGGTACAGTATACTCAATAATCTATTTTATGGAGAGTTTTATTCATAGCTCACTATAACCTAGGCCTCCTGGGCTCAAATGGTCCTCCCAACTCAGCTTTCAAAGAAGCTGGAATTACAGGTGTGTGCCACCATGCCCAGCTAATTTTTAAAACTTTTTGCAGAGTCAGGGGTCTCACTATGCTGCCCAGGCTGGTCTTGAATCCCTGGCCTCAAGCAATCCTCTCACTGTGGCCCTTGGCCTCCTAAAGTGCTGAGATTATAGGGGTGAGCTACCACACCTGGCCAACAGATCTTTTCTGTTGATAGAAGATGGAGCAATTTAATTAAAATCATGGGTTGAACTAGCCAAGTTTATTAATTTTTACTTAACTCGTTTTTTTTTTTTGAGACAGAGTCTCGCTCTGTCACCCAGGCTGGAGTGCAGTGGCACGATCTCAGCTCACTGCAACCTCCGCCTCCCAGGTTCACGCCATTCTCCTGCCTCAGCCTCCCGAGTAGCTGGGACTACAGGTGCCCGCCACCATGCCCGGCTAATTTTTTCTATTTTTAGTAGAGACGGGGTTTCACCGTGTTAGCCAGGATGGTCTCAATCTCCTGACCTCGTGATCCACCCTCCTTGGCCTCCCAAAGTGCTGGGATTACAGGCGTGAGCCACCGTGCCCAGCGACTTTTTTTTTTTTTTTTTTTTTTGAGACAGAGTTTTGCTCTTGTTGCCCAGGTGGAGTGCAATGGTGCAATCTCGGCTCACTGTAACCTCTGCCTCCCGGGTTCAAGTGATTTTCCTGCCTCAGCCTCCTGGGTAGCTGGGATTACAGGTGCCCACCACCATGCCCAGCTAATTTTTGTATTTTTAGTAGATACAGGGTTTCACCATGCTGGCCAGGCTGGTCTTGAACTCCGGACCTCAGGTGATCCACCAGCCTCGGCCTCCCAAAGTGCTGCTATTACAGGTGTGAGCCACCGCAACGGGCCACATTCTTAACCCTTGAGACTTTAAACAGAGCGACTCTTTGTTTCTTGAGATATCTCTCTACACTGAATATTTTCTTATTTATTTACTTATTTTTTGAGACTGGTCTCAGATTCCTGGGGCTCAAAGTGATCCTCCCACCTTGGCCTTCCAAAGTGCTGAGATTACAGGTGTGAACCACTGCACCTGGCCTACACTGACTATTTTCTTTTTTCTTTTTCTTTTTTTTTTTTTTGAGACGGAGTTTCGCTCTTGTTGCCCAGGCTGGAGTGCAATGGTGCAATCTCGGCTCACCACAACCTCCACCTCTGGGGTTCAAGCGATTCTCCTGTCTCAGCCTCCCTAGTAGCTGGGATAACAGGCATGCGCCACCACGCCTGGCTAATTTTGTATTTTTAGTAGAGACAAGGTTTCTTCATGTTGGTCAGGCTGGTCTTGAACTCCCGACCTCAGGTGATCCACCTGCCTTGGCCTCCCAAAGTGCTGGGATTACAGGCATAAGCCACTGTGCCTGGCCTCTACACTGACTATTTTGAATAGAATCTAAGGCTGTGTCTCTTTTCCTATGCTCTAATCCCATATTAGGTTCCTCATCTTCATGTTACCCCTATAAAGCTCCTCTCCCAAACTTCATAACCATTTGGGAGTCTTCCCTCTTCTCTTTTTCTCTACTAGCAAATTTGGGTGTTAAAAAAAATGTTAAGTAAAATATCACCTTTACATCTATCTCTGTGTGCGCGACTGTTTTGTCATTTAAGTGCTTAAGGTTTTCAAAGCAAGGATCATCTGAGATGACTAGACAGCATGCTGAATATATTAGGTTCTTAGCAAAATCAATGTCACATATGTGTATGTGTATGTATATCTTTAATAACAGCAATAATAATAAAATAAAATAAAATCCAGTAAGTCACATTTCTTACCTTGCCTGCATCCAGCCCTTAGGCCACAGGGGCTTCACTTCTGTCTCCATAAAAGACTTAAGATAATCTTCAGCAGACTGGCTTTTATTTGGTTCTAACTCATAGCATCCCAATTTGATCTCAACAAGGTTACATAACAAAGTTCTAAACAGATTGAAAATTAAATTTGAAACTTTTTTTAGAAGAACATACATTTGGCAGCAATAATACAGATTATGTGAAAAATTCAGAAAATAACAAACAATTTCTAACATATATCATTCATTGCACCACAGTCAAACCTGCAATATGAAACAATTTCCTTTGATATCTTTAATCAAAGCACCAAAGATTGAAAGGGATGGTTCTCTACTTGGGGTATAGAAATACTATTGAGAAAGATGGCTAAAGAAGAAATATGTTGAAAGTACTTCACCTTCTGAAACCAGTATGACTTACACCATTATTAGATTAGTTTGTAAAAAGTATTACAGTGTATATGAAAATAAAAGCAATAATACTCTGAGGATATTAGAGCCCAATTAATCTTCTCTTGAATAATTTTTTCCTACACACTAATCTTTGGTTGCTTCCAATCTAGTTTTATATTTATTATAGATTTTTTTTTAATGAGGAATCTTACTTCTGCATTATATATTAAAAGTGAAAACTAATTAAATCTTACCTGATAGTGTCATCCCAGTGGAATTTCTTTCTTGGTCCTATGACACGTTTTCCTGGTTTCTCATCATCATCCTCTTCAGATCCATTTTTTTCTCGTTCTTCATCTGTCTGCAATCTAAAAATGAAAAACACTTTACAAAACAAACTTTTAACCCAACACTGCCTATATAATATGCTCCATAAATACTTGCTGAATTGCTTAATGGAATGTTAAAAGAGAGGGTAAAGACGGAATCTACCTTTCCACATAATACTTCAAATTTGAAAGGAGTTATAAAGTAGTTTGGTAAATAAGGACTTCAGATTATAATGTAAAGGCACCAACATTCACCTTTTAGGTCAGAAAACACTTGTGTTCAACCACAGTCAGTCAAGCTGGGGTTGTGAAATCTCTCACCAGTGTCAGCTCTTGCTTGATCACCTCCATACAATCAATCAACAGACACCTTTTGTCTCTGACTGCAAAGCAACTGAGTGCCATTTACAAAATACTCAATTATATCAAGTCAGCAGTATATGTGGATTTCTACTTGAGAATGAGGTCCACTTAACATCAGAACAGCTAAAAGTACTTCTCAAATGCACGTCCAGGTGCAGTGGCCCACGCCTGTAATCCCAGCACTTTGGGAGGCTGAGGCAGCTGGATCACCTGAGGTCAGGAGTTTGAGACCAGCCTGGTCAACATGGTGAAACCCTGTCTCTACTAAAAATACAAAAATTAGCCTGGTGTGGTGGCACGTGTCTGTAATCCCAGCTACTTGTGAGGCTGAGGCAGGAGAATGGCTTGAACCCGGGAGGCGGAGGTTGTACTGAGCCGAAATCGTACCATTCCACTCCAGCCTGGGCAACAGACTGAGATTCCGTCTCAAAATACATACATACATACATACATACATACATACATACATACATACATAACGTACATACACTTCTCAAATGCAAAAGCCAGTCCAAATAGAAGAGATACATACTTGGCACACTTAGCTTGACTACGAGCCTGGCAGTCCTCCTGGTATTTAAATAGCTGTTCAGGCATGACATTGCTAACAGCCAGTTTCAGTTTTTGCAGAGGTTCTCTTAAACGATCATCCTAAAAAGAAAAACATACTAGAAGTTTTTATCAGACATATTTACGAAATCTTGTAAGCAGGTCCTCAAAAGATAAAATTTATGTTTTAGATACCAATTATAGATTTGAAATATTAGCATATCTAAATATGGACATTTCTTCTACAGCACTGACTTTTCCTAAGACACACTGGATACAAAATTAGAATGACATATTCCAGTTAGCCAAGAAGAGTTCCAGTTTTTCCCTGTCGCCCAGCATAATTATTAATAGTGTTCCATTACACTCTTCAAAATGCCCCGTGAACACTTTCATACAGAAAACGGAAAACAAAATCATTGTATTCTACTTGTATAGACTACTACTGGTTAATTTCCATTGTGATGGGAAACCAGTACCCTAAGAATAGACACTGCTCTGGAACACGAAGACACGTGTTTGGTTTGGGTGACTACCAACCGGACGTTGGTATCCTGTTCTCTCAGTTATGGTTAGTAATTTTGACTTAGGCTGCAAGTAAAAATGCAAGGTCAAGGCCAAAGTGAAAGGAACCCAAAAACTCTTATTCATGTGCGTTTTCAGGGCAAAAAAGAAAGTAGGTTTGCATCTGACAGTTTTAATCAACCAATTTATTACTTTCATCTTACAAGCATCTTACAAGTATATATGTAACTACTTAAAACATACTTTTATCACCATCATAGGTGCAGAAATATTATAAGACTTTTCTTTACTGAAACAATTTTTTTTTTTTTTTTGGAGACAGAGTCTCGCTGTCACACAGGCTGGAGTGCAGTGGCACCATCTTGGCTCACTGCAACCTCCGCCTTCTGGGTTCAAGTGATTATCGTGCCTCAGCCACCCGAGTAGCTGGGACTACAGGTGTGTGCCACCACACCCAACAAATATTTCTATTTTTAGTAGGACAGGGTTTTGCCATGTTGGCCAGGCTGGTCTCGAACTCCTGGCCTCAAGTGATCTGCCTGCCTCGGCCTCCCAAAGTGCTCGGATTACAGGCGTGAGCCACTCAGCCAAAACAACTGTTTTTAAAATGTGATTTTTGGTAAAGAAAAAGATTTTTAAAACACAAATATTACAAATAAGCATATTAACCTATTCCATGAACACCAGTAAATATTACAGCACATATAACATAAAATCCCATGTTTAAAAATGTGTATATTAACCTATTCCACGAACACCAGTAAATAAATATTATAGCACATATGACAAAATCCTATGTTTAAAAATGTGAACATCTGGCCAGGCGCAGTGGCTCACGCCTGTAATCCCAGTACTTTAGGAGGCCAAGGCAGGCAGATCACCTGAGGTCGGGAGTTCGAGACCAGCCTGGAGAATGGAGAACCCTGTCTCTACCAACCCTGTCTCTACTAAACATGGAGAAATCCCGTCTCTACTAAAAATACAAAATTATCTGGGCGTGGTGGCACATGCCTGTAATCCCAGCTACTCAGGAGGCTGAGGCAGGATAGTCACTTGAACCCAGGAGGTGGAGGTTGTGGTGAGCCGAGATCGTGCCACTGCACTCCAGCCTGGGCAACAGGAGTGAAACTCTGTCTCAAAAAAAAAAAATTAAAAAGTGAACATCTGGTATCATGGTTCCTAGATGATTACTTTTGAAGAATTATTTAGCTTAGGCTACCTGCCTGGAAACAACCCAAATATCCATAAGTAGTAAAATGGACAAATTAATTGGGATATATTCACACAATGGAACACTGTGTACCCAGCAGTAAAAAATGAATGTGTTTCTGGCCAGGCACGGTGGCTCACGCCTGTAATCCTAGCACTTTGGGAGGCCAAGCTGGGCGGATCACCTGAGGTCAGGAGATCAAGACCCCAGCCTGGCCAACATGGAGAAACCCCATCTTTACTAAAATAGGAAACTAGCTGGGCATGATGGCGGGTGCCTGTAATCACAGCTACTCGGGAGGCTGAGACAGGAGAATTGCTTGAACCTGGGAGATGGTGGTTGCAGTGAGCTGAGATCGCGCCACTGCACTCCAGCCTGGGCTGAGCGAGACTCTGTCACAAAAAAAAAAAAAAAAAAAGTATTTCTGCTATATGTAGACATAAGATGAATCTCAGGTGCACAATATTGAGCATTACAAGCTGCAGAAGAAAGCAGACAGTATTTCTTTATATATATGAAGCTCAAAAATATGCAAAACTAAATATAATGTTTAGGGATACAAATATATGTGATAAAACCATATAAAGAAAAGTAAGGATAAGATATCTTTCTTCCATAGCCAAAGGGATATTAAATAACTTCAAACATGCCAGGGATTCAAGACCAGCCTCGGCAACACAGTGAGACCCTGTCCCTACAGAAAAAAATTAAAAAATGGCCAGGGTAATGATGCCAGCCTGCAGTCCTAGCTACTTGGGAGGCTGAGGTGGGAGGACTGCTCGAGCCCAGGAGGTTAAGGCTGCAGTGAGAGCCATGTTCACGCCACGGCACTCCAGCCTGGGCAACGGGGCAAGACCCCGTATCAAAAGGAAAAAAAAAAAGGTGAGTACTTATATTAAAAAATACTGTTTGTCAGAGCATACCTACTATATTAACTTACATCCAACAATCTATGCCGTAGAAAACATTTCTCATCTAAACTTAACAATTGTTGAAGACGCAATTATTTTTCAGGGGATCCAACATACTTTTAATAACCTCCTATGGTTATTAAATACATACAATATGACTATAAATCAATTAATGTGCAAAGGCCCCAAACAGAAACAAGTATCTTTACAGGTTATGAAACCCAAGATGTAGATATTATTGTTCTTCCTCTTACCTGGACATTGAGATGTAACTTCTTCAGACGTTTTACTAGTGTTTCTTTATTGCATGGCACAAAAGCTTCAAGGTGGGAGTAGACACCACTGCGAATGACAGGGCCTAGTTCTTGTAGCTGTAACTCAATGCTGGCCAAAAAAGTTAACAACAATGAACAGTATAGAATTTATTTTAGGTGGCATTGCACAGACAAGAAAGCAAAGCCAGTTCTTGTTCTCATTTTATCTTTTCATGATTTCCTAAACAGTATTCTTCATGGAAAAAATAAAAAAAAACCCATAGCAATAAACAGTTTATTTATTTATTTATTTAGAGACAGAGTTTTGTTCTTGTAGCCCAGGTTGGAGTGCAATGGTGCAGTCTCGGCTTACTGGAACCTCCACCTCCTGGGTTCAAGTGATTCTCCTACCTCAGCCTCCCAGGTAGCCAGGATTACAGGCACCCGCCACCATGCCCAGCTAAGTTTTTTGTATTTTTAGTAGAGATGGGGTTTCACCATGTTGGTCAGGCTGGTCTCGAACTCCTGACCTCAGATGATCCACCCGCCTTGGCCTTTGATCCCAAAGTGTGGGATTACAGGTGTGAGCCACTGCGCCCAGCCCCATACCAATAAATAGTAATGCTATAAAAGTATTCTATCAATCTAGTTTAAGAGTAGAACTTCAATAACCATGAACAAGCTGGAAATATTTTTTGGGTTACAGGGGCAAACTCTATGGTTTTGGGTAAAGCACAATAAATTTGTAATTAACCAAAAGCTCCTTTCCTCAAAGAGATATTATACTACCCCTCGGCCCACTGGCAATTGCCCGGCAGGTCAAGGCCAGTGAGCCATGAGCACATCACTGCTCCAGGCTGGGCAACAGAGTGACACCCTGTCTCAAAAGAGAAAAAAGAAAAAAACATTTATGAGCAACGTCTGCTCTAGGTAGTAGGCAAGGAAATCATCAGCATGTTGTATATTTATTGATCCGGGTCAAATTCAATCAGGAAAAAAAGGGGGGGTTCCCTATTCCAACAAATTGATCTCTTTTTTCCCTAGTATAAGGAAGCAATGGCAAGGCATCACCAATACAACTGGATAGCTTCATGGGAGTTCCTACTCTAAATAATCATGTTCCATATTCTCTTAGAAGGGCAACTCAATACAGAAAATAAGACATGTTTGTTTAGGAAAGCGGAAAAAGAGGCTGAGGGAATAAGAAAGTGACTAAAAGGGAAAAAAAAAATTCAACTCAGAACACTAGTACTTGTGAAACTGGAGGCATACCCTCTGTGAAATAAAAAGCAGATGGGCTCCAAAAAATGGGAAGATTCGTTTTAAGATAGACATGAGAGGAATAAACAGGAAAGCCTGTTAATGGAATGCTGATACTCTGCTTATCTGAGATGCTATGTCCCAAGGATGGTCTTTTGACTCTCCCCGGAGAGAAACAGTTGTTCCCTTTTACAGAAGAGCAAAATAAAAAAGAACAGCCTCAGTCACAAGAGAAGGACCTGATCACACTTCGGGTTCCCAGGTGGAAAGAAAAAGAAGAGTTGGTCAGATCCCTGACTATGGAATCTGGGACAGCTCTGACAAGTAATGGCTGCACTGTTCACTGAGTCCGGGGTTTTAAAGGGAGCTAGGTAAAAGGAGGTGGTGTAGATAGAAAGCAGTTGCCTGGCTGCCACGCAGAAAAGACTCCATCTGAAAATTCCTGGTTAAAGTAACTAGGAACAGAAATGAGAAACTCCTCTGCCACCATACTAGCGGCAGACTAAGTTATACATTTTCTGAGTCTATTTTTAAGCACTCCAAAATAATAGACAGTAATAAATTACAAACATTATCAGAAGCAATGATCAATCAGCCCTTCTTCACATCTCATGAGAAACTGTCTCCATTATGTATTTAAAAGATGGAAATCATAGTATTATAAATATTACTTTCCTTTTCCTTTTATTTCCCTTTTCCTTCTCTCTTTCTCTCTTTTTTTTTTTTTGGAGACAGAGTCTCACCCTATCACCCAGGTTGGGGTACAGTGGCATGAACACAGTTCACTGCAGGCTCAATCTCCCAGGCTTAATGAATCCTCCCAACTCAGCCTCCTGAGTAGCCGACATGATAGGTGTGCACTACCACACCTGGCTAATTTTTCTGTATATTTTATAGAAATGGAGTTTCACTATGTTCCCCAAGCTGATCTCAAATTCCTCAGCTCAAGTGATCCTCCCACCTTGGCCTCCCAAAGTGTTGGGATTACAGGCATGAGCCACCATGCCTGACCTTTCCCGTGTCTTTCTATAATACATGATGCTACTAAGCCACTAAGAATAAGCAAACATTATTTTCACCAGAGAGGGCTAAAATTTGCTATTTTCCTCATGATTACTTTTTTGCCCAGTTCTGCATCCAATTATATACCTGATTCTTGTAAACAATGGTTAAAATCTAAGTCAAGGACAAGGTTTATAAGTTCAGTTTATTTGACCACAACCTTAGAACCTACAGCTTCATTAGTATCAAACTCTGAGTGCAAAATTATTGCTAAGTTAAATATAAAATTTGCTAATTTAAATACAATCTATATTATATATCTACCTTCACCTTCTTATTCTCAATCTAACTGCTATCTCCTCTACATTATCTCTATCCTACCTCACAACCACAATTTCTTTATAAAACTGTACTTTCCATTTGACTATAAAAGTTTGTACAAATTATAATCAACCTCACTAGATATCAACGGAATTACTATTCCCCAGTGTAAGTAATAAAAGTAGATGGAAAATCATGCCAAATCTGTATATAAACGCTCTAACATTTCCCAGAAAGATACTTTCATATAAGGTGGTATGAAGTACGTTAAGTCTAGCTTAATATCCAACCTGCATAGTCGTCACTTGCTCTGGCAGTTGTAACTATTGGAAGCTTTGATTATCCTAAGTGGTCCAGGAAAACCAATATATACAGAAAGATAATTTTGCTGAGAAACAAATGTGAATCATACATGCTGTAAGGCTTAAGGGGAAGAACTCATGCCCAAGACTTGCCAACCACTCAGTATCTCAAAGGCCTATTACATTTTTTAATGTATCATTCTTAAGGTTTTTTTTTTTAAAGAAAATTACTTACTCCAGAAGAATATTATTCATATCCTGTGTAAAGAATTTTTTCCTTCCTTCTTCATCAAAAAGTTTGGCAGCCTAAAGAAACAAGAAAGATGATAATAAATCAAAATAGGCCATTACTCTATTTTGCATTCTTAGGACACGTGTTCAAAGGTTTTTTTCTTTTTTTTTTTTTTTTTTTGAGATAGGGCCTCTCTATGTTGCCCAGGTTGGTATCAAACTTCTGGGCTCAAGCAATCCTCCCACCTTACAGCTTCCCAAGTAGCTGGGATTACAGGTATGTACCACTGTGCCCTGCTGCAATAAACAATTACTTTGAGATGAACATCTAATGAAAAAAAAAAAAAGAATCTCCTAACAGTAGAACACCAAATGAGTTGTGATGAACAGAGAGGCAAAGCCATTTGAGAGATTCAAATTCAGCTGGGTATTGTGTAAGTTTCCTGCAGCTATTATAGCAAACTACCACAAACTTTTTGGCTTGAAAAAAGAGAAATTTATCCTTCCTCAGTCCAAAGTCCAAAGTCAATATCACCGGGCTGAAATGAAGGTGTCAGCAGGCCCATGGTCCCTCCAGAGGCTCTAGGGAAGACCTTGTTCCTTGCCTCTTCCAGCTTCTGGTGGCTGCCAGCATTCTTTGGACACAGCCGCAGCATTCCAACCTCAAATCCCTCTAGGCTCTCCCTTCACATTACCTTCTCCTGTGTGTGTAAAACACCTCCTTCTGCCTCCCTCTTCTAAGCATACAAGTGATTGCATTTATGGGCCATAGGCTAATCTAGGATAACAACCCCATCTCAAGATCCTTAACTTAATCACACACACACAGATTCCACCCTTCTTTTGCCATATAAAATAACATTCGCAGATTCCAAGGATTAGAATATGGATATCTTTTGTAAGGCTTAATACAGAAATTTCTTTTTTTTTGAGACGGAGTCTTACTCTGTCGCCCAGGCTGGAGTGCAGTGGCGCGATCTCGGCTTACTGCAATCTCCACCTCCCGGGTTTAGGTGATCCTCCTGCCTCAGCCTCCCAAGTAGCTGGGACTACAGGTGTGTGTCACCACGCCTGGCTAATTTTGTGTATTTTCAGTAGAGACGGGATTTCATCGTGTTAGCCAGGATGGTCTTGATCTCCTGCCTCAGCCTCCCAAAGTGCTGGGATTACAGGTGTGGGCCACTGCGCCCGGCCAATATTTTAAAAATCTGTAAAAGTTGTGATCCTAAGAACATGAAAAAACAAAAAAATCAATTCCCATCAAGATTAAGAGTCTTTAGAATCAAATACAAAGATATTTAGAAATAGTATAGGTCACAGTAGGGTAGCTACAGTTAAAAATAATTGATGGCACATTTCAAAATAGCTAGAAGACAATAATTCAAATGTTCCTGGTATAAAGATAAATATTTAAGGTGATGGCTAACCCAATTACCATGATTTGATCATATGAATGTATCAAATTATGACATGTACCCCAAAAATATCTACATCTTATATGTATTAATTAAAAAATAGTGTAGGCCAGGCATGGTGGCTCACACTTGTAATCCCAGCACTTTGGCAGGCCAAGCGGGTGGATCATGAGGTCAAGAGACCAAGACATCCTAACGAACATGGTGAAACCCCGTCTCTACTAAAAATACAAAAATTAGCTGGGTGTGGTGGCATGCACCTTCTAGTCCCAGCTACCTGGGAGGCTGAGGCAGGAGAATTGCTTGAACCCGGGAGGCGGAGGTTGCAGGGAGGTGGAGGTTGCAGTGAGCTGAGATTGTACCACTGCACTCCAACCTGGGGACAGAGCAAGACTCCATTTCAAAACAAACAAACAAAAATAGTGTAGGTCAAAAAAAAGAGGTCCAAATCGTGTGATCAACCCCCACATTGAAGTTGCAGACTTCTACGAGCAGACAAAAGAATCTGGTGTCATATCTAACTTGAATCCAAGAAGACAGACTCTATGACTCTGTCCTTTAAGGAGTCACTGACATCATAATTATTAATAGAGTTAGCTACATTCCATGAGGATCGCTGACCAGAATACAGTCAATGATCCAGCTGAAATGTGTGGCTGGAGGCAGTATATTTTGGGGGAAAAAAATAACCATAGATATAGTCAACAACAACAAAAAATCAGTAGAGTTGGTAATCTCTAAGAGGAAGTTAAAAAGCCAAACATGTAGTGAATAAGTAAAGTAATACGGAATTGATAGTACAACTGTTGAAATAAACGATTTTTTTAAAAGGTCACTTAACTGATGATTTGGTGAAGGCAAAAACAGTATTTTTTAAAAAGTAATGTGAATAATAAATTAGTACTATTTTTAGATTCAATAATCATCACAGGTCATAAAAAGTATCAAACTGCAAATTAAGTTATAATCTCTTCATGATGCATATAGTACTTACCAAAGCCTAATGTGAATAAAAAATAGATTTCCTTTGAGTAAAAACACCTAGAAGAATTTCTGATGGAATTTTAAACTTTATAACCTTAAGACTTTTTATATGACCTAGTTATAGAAAATTAGATTTAGTTATCCAGTAGTCACACATGTATATAAACAAAAATGTCATACAATACTTTTGGAACCTACTTTTGATGTATTAGCACGTATTCCTATTTTTTTTTTTTTTTTTTGAGATGGAGTCTTGCTTGGTTGCTCAGGCTGGAGTGCAGTGGCATGCTCACTGCAACCTCCACCTCCCGGGTTCAAGCAATTCTCCCACCTCAGCCTCCCAATTAGCTGGGATTACAGGCGCCTGCCACCACGCGGGGCTAATTTTTGTATTTTTAGTAGAGATGGGGTTTCACCATGTTGGCTAGGCTGGTCTCAAACTCCCGACCTCAGGTGATCCGCCCACCTCGGCCTCCCAAAGTGCTGGGATTACAGGTGTGAGCCACTGTGCCTGACCATTTTTATTTCATTTTTTAAAAATGCTGGCCTTTACCTACTATTGTGATTTCCAACCAACTGATAAGTCTCAATCCACAGTTTAAAAAACAAGATACTGTTCCCATATTTATTTACTAAAAAATAAGCTCCTTGAGGGTAGGGCTATAATTCACTTAACTTTGTATCCTTGGTATGCAATTTAGTACCTGGCATAAAGTAGGCAATTAAAGAGTGTTGAAATTTAGCATACACACCCTTCTTTCATATTTGATATATATACATATAATTTGTCTTCCTAAATTCACAAAATGAGGCAAATACTTCGGATGTCTTGTGTATTTTGATTATCCATAGGTTTATTAATTCTTGCTGTGATTTGCAAGGTAACAGAAAGGAGACAGAAAGAGATGTCTCATTTTCTATACACGTTACTGCCTACCATGTGTCTGACTTCATGCTCATCACCATGTTTAACCTTCGTAACAGCCAAAAAAGTTGGTGTTACAGTCCCTATCTTATAAATAAGGAACTAACACACAGGATTGGTTCCTGCTAAATAAACGATAGCTATTATGAATAATTACACCTTGAAAAACCTGAATTACATCATTAGCACTTTTTAAAACCTAAAAGAAACTAAGATTGTAGAGATGGGGCCACATGGAATAACAAAAAAACCTATGCCACCTACTCTGGAGTCAGGTGAATCCCGCTGTTTAATAATAAAAGAACCAACTCTATTGATGTTATCACTATAGTTATTTCTATTTATTTATTTGGGTTTTTTTTTTTTTTTTGAGATGGAGTCTTGCTCTGTCACCCAGGATGGAGTGCAGTGGCGCAATCTCGGCTCACTGTAACCTCTGCCTCCCAGGTTCAAGCAATTCTCCTGCCTCAGCCTCTGAGTAGCTGGGATTACAGGCACGCGCCACCACACCCACCTAATTTTTTTTTGTATTTTTAGTAGAGACAGGGTTTCACCATATTGACCAGGCTAGTCTCAAACTCCTGACCTCAAGTGGTTCACCCACCTTGGCTTCCCAAAGTGCTGGGATTACATGCATGTGCCACCATGCCCAGTCAGTTATTTCTATTTAAGAGAAAAGGTCTAGGCTGGGCGCAGTGGGTCACACCTGTAATCCCAGCACTTTGGGAGGTCAAAGCAGGCAGATCACTTGAGGTCAGGAATTCAAGACCAGCCTGGCCAACATAGGGAAACCCCATCTCTACTAAGCATACAAAAATTAGCCGGGGGAGATGGTGCGCACCTGTAATCCCAGATATTTGGGAGGCTGAGGCAAGAGAATCTCTTGAACCTAATAGGCAGAAGTTGCAGTGAGCAGAGCACGCCACTGCACTCCAGCCTGTGTGACGACGGAGCAAGGCTTTGTCTCAAAATAAATAAATAAATAAATAAATAAAATAAAACACCAGGTGCGGTGGCTCACGCCTGTAATCCCAGCACTTTGGGAGGCCAAGGCAGGCGGATCACAAGGTCAGGAGATTGAGACCATCCTGGCTAACACGGTGAAACCCCGTCTCTACTAAAAAAAAAAAAAAAAGAAAGAAAGAAAGAAAAAAGAAAGGTCTAAAAGGAAACATGGCAAATAAAAAGTTATAAAAATGTTCAGATTGTAGTTTATTATTTTTATCTTTAAAAAACAAAAGCAATTATACCAGTGTTATGTGGAAAATAAAAACAAACGAACAAAAGCATTAATTCTTATGTTTGTGCAGCAAATAAAAAGCAAGAGAATTATTACACTTACTACACGAAGGTCTTCGATACGTTTTTCAAGAAGTACAGGTAGACCCTCTGGGAGTGTAGGTACCACTTTGGGCATAACCTGAGAAGTGTAGGTTGGCTGGGTGGTGGTTCCATTTTCACCCCCCGACTCAGATAGGGGGCTACCATCAGAAGCAGCATCCAGTAATCTGTCGAAGTCAAAATCATCTAGCATCTCTAGGGCATTTTCAGCTTCCTGAAACAGCTCATGTTCATTTGTGCTAACAAAAATGGGAAGGTCTGGATCACCGCTGCTCAGATTTAAGTCCGGGACGTCATTCCCCAGTGCTGCAGCAGCACATGGGGGTTTATTCAGAGAAGGGGTTGACAAGGTCACTGGGACTTTGGGGTTAGACTCCTTCTTTAATGCATCCTTCTCTTTCTGGAATTTTCTAATCATGGCAGCTAGAGAAAGAGAATCTTTATAACGTTTCTTCTTTTTTTCAGACTTGTGTGAATTTAGAGCCACAACTCTGTGAAGACAAAAATGATCAGTTAGGCTATGTGTGATTTTAAACGTTAAAGTGTCACATAAATAAGCAGGCACAGAATTAAAATAATAATTTGACAGGTGACAGAGCAGTTTTCTTAATTTCTTATTAACTTATACTATTACAATAGCACCTTCTTCAGTATAATCTGGAATGTCACCCACGAAAGGCAAATAGGTAAATGGCCATTACAGTGAAGAAAATGGGGAAACAGCTCAGTTTAGCTATTACTTCCTCCTAGAAATCTTTTCTAAATCCTATGGCTTAAATGCTTCTATGTGCACTACAGAACCTAAAAGGTTATTAGCATCTTAAAGGCAGCCCCGTGTTTCAGTCACTGTTATACAACCCAAACCCTGTATCAGTGCCTGGTATACAGCAGGGTACTTAATAAATATTAGCTGAATAAATGAATAAGTTATAAAGTTGAAAAACAATACACTCAATAAAAGGGATTACTTATAGCCTACATTCCCAAAGAAGTCTACTTGTAAATAATGAAGATTTAAGACAACCATTAGTAATATACACATTTTTCCTCCTAATTTCTTAATGACTGTAATCCCAAGTTTTAGGAGGGGAGAAATACGCCCGACATCAATCTTATGGATATTGATAACCCAAAATTCAGATGCACCTCCACTGCTAAGTAGAGTAAGAAAATTCAGCCTCTCACAAGCGTCTTTCCCTTAGCTCTGTGAAAAAAGCCACAGAGAAGTCAAGGCAATTGGTAATGTTTGACTGCATTATACAAATATTTTATTCTTCTGATGTAAGGCTTCTGAGAAATTCTATTTGTTTTTTAGCAGCAATATCATTAATAATAGCTATATACTGGCTGTGTGCAGTGGCTCATGCCTGTAATCTCAGCACTTTCGGAGGCTGAGGCTGGTGAATCACTTGAGCCCAGGAGTTCGAGACCAGCCTAGATAACATGGCGAAACACCATCTGTACAAAAATATAAAAATTAGCCAGGCATAGTGGTACATGCCTATAGTCCCAGCTACTCAGGTAGCTGAGGCAGGAGGATCCCTTGATCCCAGGAGGTTGAGGCTGCAGTGAGCCATGATTGTGCCAGTGCACTCCAGCCTGGGTGACATAGCAAGACCCTATCTAAAAGAGAAAAAAAAAAAAGAATAGCTATGTAAAATCAATGAAAATTTTGGCTGGGTGCAGTGGCTCACATCTGTAATCCGAGCACTTTGGGAGGCTGAGGGAGGCAGAATACCTGAGGTCAGGAGTTTGAGACCAGCCTGGCCAACATGGTGAAACCCTCATGTTTCACTACTAAAATATTCTCTACTAAAAATACAAAAATTAGCCGGGTGTGATGACATACACCTGTAATCCCAGCTACTTGGGAGGCTGAGGCATAACAATCACTTGAACCCAGGAGATGGGAGTTGCAGTGAGCCTAGATTGTGGGACTGCACTTCAGCCTGGGTGATACAGTGAGACTCTGTCTCAAATCAATCAAATCAAAATTTTTAATATTAAAACAACCATAAATTGTTTACATATAGGCTACTGCCAATCCTCATTCCCCAGGCATCTAAACTTAGTTTTAGTACCAAAAGATTAGAACAGTTTTTTCAATGTTTATAATATCTTTTCAAACTGGTTCTTGTTGGTAAAAGTAGTAATGAGCATTTCACCTAAAACACTAGGAGTCTCTAAGATGACAAAGCCTTCTACTTAAGAACAAATACTACAATACTATTAAACATAAGTCACTAATATGTCAATAACGTACTAAATTAGACTCAGCTAGGTTGAATTAGTTAATGGTAAGTATATCTTTCTAAAGGGAGAGACAGTCAGACTGTGACGCCAGTTCCCTTCTTAGGTTTAATTTAACGTACCCCAGTTGTTTGGGAACTTTTTTCCTTGGCTTCTTCTCCTTTTCCCCTTCCTCTTTCCGCTTCCGCTTCTTCATCTCAATATCATCTTCTTTTATTTTGGGGACCTGCAAAATGATAAAAGAATGATCATTTATGTAAGTAACAATGCTTTACTCTTTGATGTTAGCAATCCAGCATCAGCAGTGGTTTTTCTCAAATGTCAGTGTGCATTACAATCGTTTGTTATAACTGCAGATCCTTGGGGTTCAAGAGCACTCTCACCTCCGGTTTCGATTCAGTTATCTGAGTTAGAACCTTATAATTTGCATTTTAAACAAGCATTCTGGTGATTCTGGTGTAAGTAAGTCTTTGGGCCACACTTCAAGAAACACTTATCCAAGGACACTATATCTTTCCCAAAGACAATGTATACAAATTCTATAGATTTTGTTAAAAATGACATCTTAGGAAAGGTAACAGCTATTAATATTAACCTATCCGAGAAATATAACCTTCTCCCAGAAACAGTAAATTATTAGCCCACATTTGTAGAGAGAAGTTTTTATAAGAAAATATAATTCTATGATGTAAATACCAATTTTCCAATATCTACATAATTTAATTTTAAAGCATGTAATTATATATTCATGACACAATGGTTTGTATTTTACTTTTCCTTACATTCACACGTGTGACACAAGTAACATTAAAAAAAATCCTATTAATTGAACATTCTCAGTACTGTTGCAATGTTTGATAAACTCACCTTGGGTGGCTTGTGCTTTTGGTTGTCTGTAATATCATCTTCTTCAGTATCTGAAGCTTGGCGAAACTGTAGAGTGCCAGTGTTGATATAAAAGCCTCCATATTTTGTTGTTAGAGAAGCGGGAACTAATTCATCATACTAGATTAAAAAACAAAAAAGTTTCCGCTATATCCTGTTGTCTTTAACTCTATAAATGTCAAAGAAATTCATCCACCATGGCAGCATCTCCCTTAAATCCTAACTGCAACACAGACTGCAATAAGGATGTTTGTAAAATAAATTTAGAAAAGGTTACTATCTGAAATAAAAATTAGTTCTGATAATTTGGTGTAAGAAAAAAACTTCTGAAATAATAAAGTATATTCTAAATATATCACCTGCTAAGAAAAATTTAAGGATCACTGCTACTATTCCTTTTTCTTCCTTCCCACTGCTACTATTCTTAATGACAAATGGTTCTGATGAGAAATCAAGTTTAAAAAGATGACCAAGTGTCCAGATAAGGAGTAAATTTCATTTCCTACCATAAGGAGATTTTATAAAGAATAACAAAACTGGCTGGGTGCGGTGGCTCACGCCTATAATCCCAGTTGGGAGGCTGAGGCGGGTGGATCACCTGGGGTCAGGAGTTCGAGACCAGCCTGGCCAACATGGTGAAATCCTGTCTCGACTGAAAATACCAAAAATTAGCTGGGCGTAGTAAGCCCAGCGACTCAGGAGGCTGAGACAGGAGAATCCCTTGAACCCAGGTGGTGGAGGTTGCAGTGAGCCAAGATTGCGTCATTGCACAAGAGTGAAACTCGGTCTAAAAAAACAAAAAACAGCAACAACATTCTGTTTAACAGAAACTATTTTTTCTGTCTTAGCCGTATGCTTTTAAGTGGAGAAAACTTTAAAAACATTTAATTTAGGCCGGGCATGGTGGCTCACGCCTATAATCTCAGCACTTTGGGAGGCCAAGGCAGGTGGATCATGAGGTCAGGAGTTCAAGACCAGCCTGGCCAACATAGTGAAACCCCATCTCTACTAAAAATACACACACAAAAAATTAGCCGGGCGTGGTGGGGTGGGTGCCTATAGTCCCAGCTACTTGGGAGGCTGAGGCAGGAGAATCGCTTGAACCTGGGAGGTGGAGGGTGCAGTGAGCCAAGATCATACCACTGCACTCCAGACTGGGTGACACAGCGAGACTCTGTCTCAAAAGAAAGAGAAAAAGAAAGAAAAATAGCAAATATATTTTAGAAAAAGAATAGCACATATTTTAAAAGAATTGAATAGCATAGAAAAACAACTGCCCAGTTCAGAAAGCACATACTTGAGGACCTAGAATGAGGAGGTACTTTGCTTGGAGCAAGGAACTCAATTTGTTTAAATCACACTTATGTTCCCAAAGGCTAGATCTCAAGGTTTATCATTACCTCACCTGATAAAGATGGCTAAAAAGCAAACACTAAGTGAAGGACAACTTAACCAAATGAAGGTGTTCAAAGTAGGAAAGAAAAAAGGAACTTATCTGATTGTAGAAAGATATCTGTTACCTGGGATCTCTAGACCTCTACTTCCGAGGTTCTTCACATCATCTAACTAGTCTTTAAGAAAGTCAGATTTTTAGGGAAACTTCATTGCCATGGGCAAGGAATATACATATCCTATTAGTTACTGTAAGAATATAAGGCTAAGTACAAAAGTTGTAATTTTAACCTGTATCTTTTTCAATTATATGGAGAATGGAAAAATGAAGAGGTTCCAGTTTAATCACACTGAATTAAAAAGAAATAAAATGATTGAAGAAAGGTAAAAGAAAAAAACTACTTTCTTATCGTTCTACTTGATACACTACTAGAAAGATCTACTACAAACATCTACACTATTATAAAGATCTTACAGAAAAGGGGCAGTACCATCTGCAAATAAGTGATATGAGGGGTGAGGGATTAAATGTGAAAAGACAGTAATAATTTCGAAAACTAACTGTGATAAGATAAAAACACCTGTACTCTTTGCCTACATTGTTTTGTACAATGCTTTATAATTTTCAATACTTCTTCATATAAATTATTTCATTTGGTCCTCATGATACCCTTGTGAGGTAAGAAAGGCAAATATTACTCCCACTTTAAAGATGAAAGCCAGGTAAGCACCTTACCAAAGCAATTCTATACATATGTTTATGGCAAAGTCAGTGGCTGCCTCCAACCCATCTAATTTATTGTAAAATAAATTTAGAAAAGGTTACTATCTGAAATAAAAATTAGTTCTGATAATTTGGTGTAAGAAAAAAACTTCTGAAATAATAAAGTAAATTCTAAATATATCACCTGCTAAGAAAAATTTAAGGATCACTGCTACTATTCCTTTTTCTTCCAAGCAGCTTCACGTGGGAGTGAAACATGTTCATCTCCAGGTATACAGGGCAATTCTGATGTGCTCAAAGTCTGTTTTCTTATGCAGTATTCTGCTGAGCTTTTCCTATCCGAACACTCTTCAGAGGAATACACTCTTTGTGAATATTTAGTTCAGTCATTTCAGTAGAATGTGTTAAGAGGTAACACACTGAACTTAAGAATCAAAAGGCCTGGATTTAGATTCTTTGCCTATGACTAGCTACTGTGACCCAGGGAAAATCACTTAACATCAAATTTGGAGGGTTATAAAACAGGGACAATATTACTTCACAAAGTTCTAGTGAAATTTAAAAGAGACTATCTAAATAAAAGTGTGTGAATCATGCCTGGTATCATTATTTATTAATAATAAACAAAACATTTTCTTTCAGCTCTTTTACAGTTTGGTAGCATAAATATGAGACTAAAAATAATCTTCAAAAGCATTTATTTTCAGGTATTTATTTTTAGTAATTCGTGCATGATTCAGAATATATTAAACAATATGCCAACACTGAAAGCTTACTGGCAATACAATAAATGAAAAGAACAAGAATCATTTGGTTCGACCATAGTTGTTTTATGTCTGAATTATCTCATTAAAAAAAAACAAATAATATGTCAAGGGCAAAGACACTAAGTTATTTTGTTAAGTCACGCAACCTGCATTTCAGTTCAATTTCTTCTTATAAAACAGGAACCTACCTTGTTCAGAAACTAGTTGTATGACTAAGCAATTCGTATCTACAAAATTTATCCTGACTTATTAAAACAGAAGTTTTCCACTTTTCTTCACCACAGCCCAAGTGGAAAATACATTACCCATCAAAATCTAGCACACACATACACACACAATAAAAACTGTATAGTCTACCAATGACGTACTAGTTCCTATTCTATTTGATTTCATTTTCTTTAAAAATACCAGTCATGCCCTTTAAGTTGATATATAAGCCAATTATGGGTTACAAAAGTCAGCATGAAAATATCCTAAATGCTATAAAAGGAGATATTAAAAATGCTATTTATAAAAGTTACATACTATATGATTTTCTCTATAAGACATTCTGGAAAAGGTAGAACTCTGAAGACAGTTAAGACCAGTAGGTGCCAGTGATTAGGAGGGAAGGAGGAATGAATAGGCAGAGCACAGAAGATTTTAAGGGAAGCAAAACTACACTTCTGTGTGATACTACCATGGTAGATACGTGTCATTATTCATTTGTCCAAACCCACAAAGTGTACAACCCCAAGAATGAACCCTAATGTGAACTATGGACTTCGGTGACAATGATGTGTCACAATGTCTGGGCTCATCAACTCTAACAAATGTCCTACTGTGGTACAGCATGCTGAGCGGGGGAAGGCAGTGTGTGCATGCGGGCAAGGTGTTCATGGAAACTCTGTACTTTCTGCTCAGTTTTGCTGTGACTCTAAAACTGCTCTAAGAAAAGAAAGTTTATTAATTTAAAAAAGCTATTTATGTAAGTGTGAGTACATGTGATGCCCATTTATATATGGCTAAGTTACTTCTTGGGTTATTTAGAATTCAAAATGTACACATAACACTTCTACTGATGCTTTGCACTTGCTTCATGTTTCTTCAGCTAGTTTACATTCATTACCTTATTTAAGGCTCAGTAATTCTGTGGGGTAAGCAAGTCATAGCAGAGAAAACCGGGTGGTGCTAAAAGACTTGCTCCTGGCTACACAGCAAATTAGAAACTGAATTAAGATTACAATCTAGACTTCTGCACCAAGTTACAAATCGAGGTCAAGACTCCGGAAAACATTCCATGCCCTGATTTATTGGTTGACAACCTTTTTTGTAAGACGAAGGCCATTTTACTCCAAAGGGCACTGGCAATATGTTACTTCTACAGACCAGACTGCCTAGTATGGTAAATAAGTTTATGTCGGGACAGCAGAATTTTTTTTTTGTTTTTTTTGAGACGGAGTCTCACTCTGTTGCCCAGGCTGGAGTACAGTGGCGCGATCTCGGCTCACTGCAAGCTCCGCCTCCCGGGTTCAAGCCATTCTCCTGCCTCAGCCTCCCGAGTAGCTGGGACTACAGGCGCCCGCCACCACGCCCGGCTAATTTTTTGTATTTTTAGTAGAGATGGGATTTCACTGTGTTAGCCAGGATGGTCTCGATCTCCTGACCTCGTGATCTGCCGGCCTCTGCCTCCCAAAGTGCTGGGATTACAGGCGTGAGCCACCGCACCCGGCCGTGACAGCAGAATTAACTTAGGAGTTTGACAGAATATCCAATGTGCCTCATGTTGAAGTCCTTACTGTCACTCTCCTACCTTTATATGTTCTGTCATCAACTTTATAAGCAAGCACTGTAGCAACAGGAAAAAAGACATAATATATAATTTGTGGGTAGTGTAATAGTCACCTAGTGTCACCTTCTGTATATGCTTAATTACTGCACATTGCAGAGGATATCATAATCCCAGGGATTAGATTACTCTAGTACATGGACAAGAATGGAAGAACATACACCTTCTCTACTGCAAAACATGACTTGTCTTTCATTTGTTATGTGATCAAGGGGCTGCTACAGTCCTTAAATGCTCTCCTAAATTCCTTTTCCTTTTGTAAGAAAAAGGGGATTCCAGGGGAAAAGCTGTAGGGCTCAATCAAAACAGACTGGTGATAAAGACTGGCACTCAATGTACCATCCTGGTAATAAGGCATGGCAGCAATAAAGAATTGAACAGATATTAGAGATGTCTGCCAGATTAATTTCAACCCAGTAGCACCAATCTTTAAGATTGCATGGTTCTTATCTTGGAAGTCATTTTGAAACACACCTGCCCAAGTTTGGGAATATCAATAAAAATCACGATGCAAATAAATGCCCTTTGACCAATAAATTCCACTGCTAGAAATTTAACCTACCCATATAAATGCACCCTCTAAATACCCTTCATACACAGTTACTTCAGTAGATAAATGCACCCAGATTTCATACACAGTTACTTCAGTAGATAAATGCACCCAGATGCTCCGTTATTTGTATGCACATAAAACCAGAAACAGTTTAGATGTACATCAAATGGGTGTAGATAAATACATTATGTAATTTAGGTATATTCACTAGCAGCCATTAAAAGGATTATATCCATGTACTAATATATAAGTATCACTGAAATTTCTGGACAACTACACAAGAAGATTTTTAGTATTTACCTCTCAGGACTGGGGCCTTTGGGTACTTTACCTTCTACATAACCACCTTGTACTTTATTGTTGTTTTACCATAAGCATATGTTAATCTTATAATTAAAAAAAAAGAACACTAAAATCTCTGTAGGCCTCACCTCCAGAAATCCTAATTCCTTAAGTCTGAGTTAAGACAAGTGTACTAATATTCTCACCCTTGATTGAGAACCACTAGCTTAACTTAATGTTTTTCAGCATTTGATTTTCCTTTTTCTCTTTTTTTTTAAGAAACTTATTTTTGTTCTGTTTGAGCAAGGGGTGAGGATGGAGTCAACGCTATAATTAGACTTCTGAAAATGAGCAACTACTAGAGAATCCCAAGAGATTCTTTCAGGAACTGGAAAGGAGCAGAGCATATGAAAATAAAGACATTGTACAGAGTCAGCAAACCATGAGATGCACTGGCCAAATCCAGCCCACCGGCTTGTTTTCAAACAGCTTGCAAGCTAGAAATGGATTTTACATTTTAAAAATTATTGGAAAAAAAATCAAAAGAAATTAATATTTCACAACACACGAAAAATTATATGAAATTTAAATTTCACAGACCATAGATAAAGTTTCATTGTAACGCAGCCATGCTAATTCTTTAGGTATTATCTATGGCTGCTCTCATGCTACAATGGCAAACTTGTGTAGTTGTGACAGAAACCACAGGGTTCACAAAGTCTAAAATACTATGTGGCCTTTTACAGAAAAAAGTTTGATAAAACTTGGTCTATTTTAACAATGTAATAACAATTCACCACAGACAAACCCAAAATTACAAAATTCTCAGTCTGCAGTATTCTTTAAAAAAAAAAAAAAGGGTAAAGAAATCTTTAAGTAGTGAACATGGCTTTAAAAAGCACAAATAAAAACATTCACTGCACTATTTAAGTTACTTTACCCTTGACTTCTACTATCCCATACAAACAATGAATTTGCTGCTATATTAAAGATACATTACTCACAGCCTCTGAGTTATCAATAAATGGATCTGTCTCATCATAGCCAAAGCCTATATCAATTAAATCTTGTAGCCGATCCTTCCGGTGTTTACGGGGTTTCCCACCCTGCAAAGAACAGATACATTAGACTGATTTGGTACTCATGCTGTTTCCATAAAGTTTAAAAAGACCTGTTAGAAGAATTCAAATAATTTTTGCAGATAGTCCCCCTCTCCAGGAGGTTTAAGTCCTCCCACACCTTGAATGCAAATTGCACTTAGTGACTTGTTCCAAAGAGTATAAAAAGGGGAGGGACAGAGTAACTTCATAGTAGAAAACCTGGCCAACACTACCTCTCTAGGTGACTACAGTCAACGTCAACAGGGATACATCATACTGACTGCATGTATCCATGATCTGTGATAAAAACTGCACTTCGTCACCTCTGTGATCTTCTCAGTAGCCTATAACCCCAGCCTAACCCTGAGAAAACCATCAGACAAAACCAAATTCATGGACATTCTATGAAATGAGTGACCACCTTCTTCAAAGTTGTCAAAAATTATCAAAAACAAGGAAAATGTGAAAAACTGCCACAGTATAGATGAACCTAAGGAGAAATAATGACTAAGTTTAATATGGTAACCTGGCTGATTCAGAAACTGAAAAAAGACACTAGGAGAAAACTAGTAAAATCCAAATAAAATGTGGAGTTGAATGGTAGTGTGCCAATGCTGGCTCCTTAGCTGTAACAAACATACAAATTGCAAGATGTCAACAACATTGCAAGATGTCAACAACAGGGGACAGTGGGTGAAGGCTGTATGGGAACTCTCTGTATTGTCTTTGCAACTTTCCTGTAAACTTAAAATTATGTTTTAAATTATTATTATTATTTTTTTAAAGATAGGGTCTTGCTCTATTGCCCAGGCTGCAGTGCAGTGGCATGATCATGGCTCACTGCATGTTTGTTTTTTGAGATAGGGTCTCACTCTGTCACCCAGGCTGGAGTGCAGTGGCATGATCATGGCTTCACTGCAGCCTCAACCTCCCGGGCTCAAGTGAACCTCCTGCCTCAGCCTCGTAAGTGGGACTACAGGTGCATGCCTCAAAGCCCGGCTAATTTTTAAATATTTTTGTAGAGACAGGGCCTCCCTATGTTGCCCAGGCTGTTCTTGAACTTCTGGGCTCAAGCAATCCTGCTGCCTCAGCCTCCCAAAGTGCTGGGATTATAGGTGTGAGCCACTGGGTCCAGCCTAAAAGTATTTGTTTTAATAATTAGAATTATACACACAGACATACAAGAAAATGAAAAATGAGTGCATGTAAAAACTGAAATGAGTACGTGAAATCTGAGTTAAGATCTATTATCTAGTTGACTGTATTATGCCAATGTCAATTTCCTAGTTTAGATAACTTCAGATATGTAAGATATTACTACTGGGGGAAGCTGGGTTCAACAGGCACATGGGATTTCTCTGTAGTATATTTGCAACTTTTTGTGAGTCTACAGTAGTTCTTCTTTTTTTTTTTTTGATACAGGGTCTGGGCCGGACGCAGTGCCTCATGCCAGTAATCCCAGCACTTTGGGAGGTCGAGGCAGGCGGATCACCTGAGGCCAGGAGTTCGAGACCAGCCTGGCCAAAATGACGGGAGGCCCATCTATACTAAAAATACAAAAATTAGTTGGGTGTGGTGGCATGCGTCTGTAGTCTCAGCTACTTGGGTGGCTGAGGCTCAAGAATCACTTGAACTGGGGAGGCGGACGTTGCAGTGAGCCGAGATGGTACCACTGCACTTCAGCCTGGACAACAAAGCGAGACTCTGTCTCCAAAAGAAAAAAAATGACACAAGGTCTGGCTCTGTAGCCCAGACTAGAGTGCCATGGTATGGTTATAGCTCACCTTGGAACACCTAGGCTCAAGCGATCCTCCCACCTCACACTCCCAAGTAGCCAGGACTACAGACACAAGCTATGGTACCCATCTTAAATTTTCTAAGCATCTTCTAAGACTTCCCTGTCCCATGATATTTTTTTTGGTAGGGGATGGGGGAAGCAGATGCTTAGAAAGAGAAGAGAAGGCCAGGTGCAGTAACTCATACCTGTAATTTCAGCACTTTGGGAGGCCAAGGCAGGAGGATTGCGAGAGCCCAGGAGTTTGAGACTAGCCTGGGCAACACAGTGAGACCTGTCTCAACAAATTTTTTTTTTTTAATTAGCCAGGCATGGTGGCATGTTGCCTGTGGTCCTTGCTACTTGAGAGGCTGAGGCAGGAGGAACCCAGGAGGTTGAGGCTACAGTGAGCCAAGTTCATGCCACTGCACTCCAACCTGGGTGACAGAGCGAGACCCTATCTCAAAAAACAAAAGCAAAAACAAAACCAAGAAAACAATTAGTGCAAAAGATTCTGCAAACCAACATGCCACCACTAAGCCACAGTGAGCCTTGTAGAGAGCATGAGATGCAAGATGTAAATCTCTAGTCATCTCATTTGGTTTCAGCTCTCAAACCGCATACCTCTCAATGAAAAGTGTGATTCTAATGGTTAAAGATGAGTAAGTTGTATGTAACATGGCCCTTAAATAAAAGCAAATTGCTTTGCTTTGTTTCAATGCAAAGATACAGTGATCTGTTCCAGTGCTTGAGGGAAAAAAGTTATGCCAGACTTACGAAAGACATCTCCAACATGGTGTCATCACTTTACAAGTAACTTGCAAAGGCAATTCTGACTAGCTGCTATGTCTATATTACATAGTGATGCTAAAAAAACCTAACTCCTACATAAGCTGTGACTCCATTGTACACTTTTCAGTGGACAAAACAACATGATTACTATACCATCATCACCAAGAAAGGTACTGTGGTGCGAAATGTAAGTAATGGTTCCCATATTTTTAGATTTTACAAGTTAGGTAAAAGTTTCAAGTACAATTCTAGGAACCAACATCTTGCTAAATAGGGCTACTGAGGGTATAATCCCAGAACAATGACAATCCTTCTCAAGAAATGCCAGTTGGCAACCTTAAACAACATGCATACATGCATACACACACACACACACACACACACAGATGTAATAAATATATACATATACACATATATACATACAACATACCCATGTGCTTAGATGCAAAATACATAATAGATTGTCCTTTATTTTTCCCATTTTGGCAGGTCTGCAGACTGAGACCTTTATATTATGTTATAGAATTATGGTGAGAATCAGCATTCAGGAAAAGGAAAGAGAGAGGTTGGTAGGAGGTAGTCTATTGAGAAGAAGTTACACACAAGCAGTTAAGGACATGAGGGATGATTTCACCCTAAACTGAGAGAGAGAGGAAGAGATCTAATAAATATATAAAAATCCACAGACAAAACTAATGAAGAGGACTAGTCCTGCCACATACGAAATATTTTTAAAGTTATGGGAGTTAAAATAGATGAGGTAGGAATATAAGAATAAAAAGATTAATGAACAGCATTGTTCAGAAACCTAACCTAGTATATAAGAATTAAAGATGAAAAAGGCAGCATTACAACTCAATGGAAAATGATCAATAAATGAGATTAAAGTAAGATATCAATTTCCTCTATCAAATTATAGAGGAATTTAATTTGAATTTGAAAATTCAAATTTTGAAAAGATTTTAAATTCTGAAAAGATGGAGAATAGGACTGCTCAAACACTGCTGATAAAGAATGTACCAATAAAACCCTTTTGGAAAGCAATCTGAAAGCATCTGCCATGAGACTTTGCAATACTCTTACATTTTCTTCTTCTGCCTCTTCCATGATTTCCAAATTTCCTATGAAGTATTACTGTTATAATAGAAATATGCTAAAATAATTTTTAAAACTCTTCATCTTATTTGACCCAATAATTCTACATAGCTTATTTCGAACCATTACTTAGAGTCAAAAATATCTGTTAAGAACTTATGCCATAGAAAGCAATATGTTAAGATATCAGAATTTAAGTATGAAATGTCCTTGTCTTCAAGTAACTTAAAACAAGATGATCTATTAAACAAACTTACTGAGCACTTACCATGTGCCAGCCTTCATGGATTTTATAGTTATACACAAGCAGTTAAGTACAGAGAGGGGAAGAGAAAGATTAAACAAATGACTACAGTAATTATAAATGGTAGAAAGGAAAAAGGTTGAAAGGAGACCTTTTCAACAGAGGACCTCATCAAGGTTTCTTCCTAAGATATTCATACCCAGACAAGGACAAGTGGAAGGCATCAGCACAAGGAAGTAACTGACAAGATCAGTGTTTAACAAAATCACTCTGACTACTAGTATGGGGAATTAACACAGTTGGGGAATAAAACAGCTAGAAAGAAAAAAAATGCTCAGATTTGCAAGAAATTCACAAGTTACTGGGGCATAAAATATATATTTAAATACCAAGCTACCATTCACTGAATGCTAACTTTGCATCAGATCCTATACTAAGTACAATCATCTATTATTTCACATTTGACAAATGGGGAAAACGAAGGCTAGGAAAGGACAAGTAACTTATCTAAGGTCACACAGAAAATAGGTGAGCCAATCTTCAAACTCATGACTGCCTAACTCCAACAGGCCATTCTTTTAAAAATTCTATATGAGAAGTTATAGAACCTATAGGGTCATTTTTTTAGTTGAAAACACCTTAAACTCTAATAAAGCAAAACTGAAATTAGTGTTTCCACTGTCATTTGTCTCTAAATTAGCTTCTCCCACTTGACATTCCAATTTTGTTCATCCTTACTATTTTTTCTGCCTTAAAACCATTATTGGCTAAAATTAAGAGTGATGACATCAAATGCTAACATGGACATGGAGCAATTGTTCTCTGATTCATCACTAGCAGGAATGCAAAATGATGTGGCTACTTTGGAAAATGGTTTGGTAGTTTTTTGTTTTTTTTTTTTCCTTTAAAGCTCTCTCTCAGCGAATCAGGTAGTTTCTTATTAAGCATACAGTTACCATTGGACCTAACAACCCCACTGTTACATGCACCCAAGAGAAATGAAAATGTGTATTCACACACAGACTTGCACTCTCACGTTTATAGCAACTTGACTCATGGCAGCCAAAAACTGGAAACAACCCAACGGTCATCATCTGGTGGACGGATAAACAACGGTGGAACATAATCCACAGTAGGAATACAGTGGATTACTGCTCGGCAATAAGAAGGGACACAGGCAATACATGGAGGAATTTCAAAAGTACTATGCTAAGTCAAAGTACCCAGACGCAGAAGACATGAGATTCCATTTACAGGAAACCCTAGAAAAGGCCAACAAACAAACATCAGAAAAGCCTAGAGTCACAGGAACCAGATCAGAGGATGCCAGAGGCTAAGTTTGGAGGGACAGATCTGTCTGTAAAGGGAATTTTCTGGGGTGATGCAATTGTTCCGTATCATGATTGTAGTAGTGGTTACAGGATTGCACGCATCTGTTAAAATCCATCAAACTGTACGCTTAAAACGGATGAATTATATTTATTTAAATTATACCTCAATAATGCTATTTCAAAAGTCTCTCATAATTTCTGCTTCCAAGTGTCTCTCCCCATAAATCTTTGTTGCCATGATTAACCATATCTACAGCTTCCTTTCCATTCTAACTGTCAATACTAGAATGCTGGCCTTTGTTTTTCACCTAAACATAATGAATGTCTTAATTAGCCTCTCTTCCCTCAAATTTTTTTTGAGACGGAGTCTCACTCTGTTGCCGCTCAGGCTGGAGTGCAGTGGTATGATCTCAGGTTACTGCAACCTCTGCCTCCCAGGTTCAAGTGATTCTCCTGCCTCAGCCTCCCGAGTAGCTGGGACTGCAGGTGCGCACTACCACACCCAGCTAATTTTTGTATTTTTAGTAGAGGCAGGGTTTCACCATGTTGGCCAGGCTGGTCTCGAACCCCTGACCTCAGGTGATCTGCTCGCCTTGGCCTCCTAAAGTGCTGGGATTACAGATGTGAGCCACCGCGCCTGGCCTCTTTCCTCAAATTTATCCTGCATAATTACCACCTAATTAATATTTGGAAAATACCCTATTATTTCCCCTGCTCAAAATGCTTCAAAAGCACTCCACCTATAAGAATTGAAAACCCTTAACATGGCACCAGTTAAATGCCTTGTACATGTTGACTCAAACCACCTTTCCAACTTTTTTCTTACAATTTTCCAACATGAACACTTCATCCATTCAAACTGTCTACCAACTCTCCCCCAAACACACCTTCTTACTGTTCCTTGTGCTTTCTCCCCATCTGGGATAGTCTCCTGCTACTCACTTAATCCTCCCAGCTTTCTCATATCAGCCTACATTTTCAATCTTTTCTCCAGGATGCTTTCTCATTAAAATCACAATGACGATCTTTTTTGATCTCCTAACATATTTTTTGTCTAGGCATAAATAGCTGCCTATGAGATTTACCTGGGAAAACTAAACAAACAGGTTCTGTTGTAATGGGCACAATCAGATATATGTAGAAGTGCAAACAATTTATGGGTAATTAGAGATTTAGGAACATCTATGTCTAGCCAAAGTGACTAGTTTGTTGCCACCAGAAACCATAATAGTTCTGAGTCCATAATCTAATCTAAGTAGTAAAATGATTAGTATTGTTAAATAAGTATAAATCTTATCAAGGGGAGCAAATAAAAGACTTAAAGCTTTATTTGATCATAATAGTATTAATCTGACCAAAATGCTTCCCCTCAAAATGATCTTACAGGTATAAGGTCTTCACAAAGCATATCAATTATAAAAGTGTAAATTATACAAACTATCACATATCCATTCAATGTTAATAGCCATTGAAGAATAATGTGGTAGGCTGGGCGAGGTGGCTCATGCCTATAATCCCAGCACTTTGGGAGGCTGAAGCAGGTTGATCGCTTGAGCCCAGGAGTTCAAGACCAGCCTGGGAAACATGGTGAAATCCTGTTTTTCAAAAAAAAAAAAAAAAAAAAAAAAGCTGGGCATGGTGATGCGTGCCTGTAGTCCCAGCTACTTGGGAGGCTGAGGTGGGAGGATCGCTTGAGCCCAGAAGGTCAAGGCTGCAGTGAGCTATGATCACATCACGGCACTCCAGTCTGGGTGATGAAGACCTTGTCTCCAAAATAAATAAATAAATTTTAAAAAATTGTGATAGAGAGTATTTATTAATATAGAAGGTAACAAGAAGAGTTTCCTAAATGTTATGTACAGCTCAGGCTATTCACGAAAAGGTGCTATCAATGTTCACTAAGCATTTGAAAAGGTCCTCAACTTAACTGGTTATTATGGAGACAATAGCTAAATAACAAGATATTGTTTCTTACACTATCATATGAACAGGATATTCTCATCTATGAAAAACAAAACATAGCAATATATATCTATAGATATGTATAAAATGCTCAAAGAATACACAACAAGCAGATAACCATGGTCATTACGACAGAGAAGGGATAGAACTGGAAGCAGTGGTGCAGGAAGACTTTGATGTAATATGTATTATTTGAATTTGTTTTTAATAAAAGGAACATATTCATGTATTGCTCAGGTGATCTAACTTTTTTTTTAAGAGATGGGGTCTTGCTATGTTGCCCAGGCTGGTCTTGAACTCCTAGGCTCAAGACATTTATCTTCTCTGCCTCAGCCTCCCAAGTAGCTGGGATCACAGGTGTGAGCCACCACACTAGGCTCTTAAAAAAATTTTTTTATAGTGTAAGAAAGTACAAACGTAATTGCACATGGATTTTTAAAACTCCTGAAAGGATACACTTTCAACTATCAAACTATTCACAGTGGTTCTGCCTGGCAGTGGACTTACAGGTGATTTGCTGATTTTTATTTTGATCTTTTCATTTATCTGTATTTATATATCCTCTTACAGTGAACAGTAACAAAAAAAAATCTTTGAAATATGTGACTGCCCACATACACATAGCTCTCTGGGGCAAGAAACTCACAGTGTCTCTAAGGAGTGACCTGGTTAGCTGGGAGTCAGGGGTAGGAAGGAGATTTACTTTCTATCATTAGCTTTTGTATCTTCCGAGTTTTATTAAGGACATGTACTACCCACTCAATAAATGTTATTTTATTAGGTTTGGCCCACCAAATGTTCACTACCAAAGTTTTGAACTCCTCCTCATTTGGCTCTACTTTCCAGTCCCACTGTGGGGAAAGAGTTTTGGAAAACGTGTATTTGACACACCCAAACCTGAGTAGCTCTTTCTTAACTCACTCTCCAACAACCAGAGTTCCAAAGGCATTGCTCCACTTATAAATAGATTTTTGCCAACTATAAGGCACAATCTCCAGTTCCCTCCTTCATCACAGAGGCCATTAGAGTAGTTTTCTAGGTACAGTTTGCTTTTCCTCACTTGTGGCCTTCCTGGAAAACTTCTAACCCTGACCTGCCTCCTGCCTTACCACCCCATATCTATTCTCCACCCTCCAGTTCCCTAACTGTGCTAAAATTCAATAATGTGTAAATTGTATAAGCTGGAACCAAACTTTTGGCAGTTGCCAGAAAGGTACATATAAATTAATTCACAAATATTAAAATTTAACCTAAAGAAACTCAAGTTACATTGGCAAAGGATTATACTATCTTCCCTACTAGAAAGACTTCTGTTGAATTACTCTCTTTTTCAGTACCCTTACTGCAACAGAATCAAAGTCTTACTTGATAAATTCTCTGAACCTCTGCAGTTGATATTACACAGTTTATAAATTAAGTAGATCTTATAAAAATCAAAACTTATTTTCCAAACAACAAGAACAAAAAAAAACCCTTGAATTTTGCTATATCTAAAGTGAAGAACTTTCTTCTTATCTACTGTTCTAGGTACTAGCTCCCTGTGACTCAGAAGAATATTCCTTACTGAGTCATTAGTACTTGCTTAACCTGACAATCAGTGTTTTAGGCCAATGCAGCCTCATTACAGTGTAACACTCAACTGGAAAACAAACAAACAAGATGTTCTTAGTACTAGACCCCCTGACCCCAAATTGCCTCCAGCTAATAGTAAACCAAACTAAAAACCAACATTCATTGATAACCTCTAGTAGACAGAGCAAGAATGACCCTGATTACTAAAAAACACACCAGTCCTATAAGTGAGAAGAAAACATCCTGTCGTCACAAGACTCCCTACTTGTCCCAGCCCTGCCACCTTATCTCTTTACATCTGTGCCCATTTCTTCAACCTACCAATAGAAAGGAGCTGAGTTTCAAGGCAGTGGAAATACAGCCAAGAGCTGACTACACAGCACAAAAATAGTATACACAACTTCTATAATCACCACATATGGATACCAGTCCTTCCTCCTAAATACCCTAAAACTGCTGATTCTCAATTGTTCCTAAGGCATTAAAGAAGGCTGAAGAGAATTTATTCAATTCAAAGAGGCCAAGGAATTAAAAGGGCATGTCACAGCAAGTGATCAGAATGGGTAACTGCAATAAAGAAATTATTATTTGAGCTAGGAATTCCTCCTTGCCCTTTAAGGCCCTCTCCCCTCCCCCAGTTTGCTTTAAAAGATTATTTTATGTTTTTATTGTACATGTAATATCATACTATTATTGGTCTACAAAACCCTAAATCCACTGGTATTTGTGTTTTGCAAGTAGAATTTACTTTGTGGTGGTGTCAACAAGTTTGCCCAAAGCTCTACATCGAGATGATCCTTAGGGACCAGACCTCACATAAGGCCAAAACAAACAGGTTAACCAGCCTATGAAGTTCCCAAGGAAGCTCTAACCCCTCAGCAAGTGTGGATGATCAACTAAAATAATATGAGTAATTGATATGATTCTTACAACTCCCAGAAACAGTACACAAATGCTTTCAAAACTAACTACTTGGTATCAGTTTCACATTTGAAGACAGTTTAAAACAATAATCTATAATTATTTTAAGACAAAATTATATTTCTTTCCACTTAGCCGAGTAGTATTTACTGTGAAGATGTTACTCATCAGAAATTAGTTATTCCAAGATACTGCCATTCTTTAAAACATTATCTGGAAAGACTCACTTTTACAAGTTATACAAAAGAAAATCAAGACTTTTTTTGGGGGGGGGAGCTGGATTCTCGCTCTTGTCGCCAGGCTGGAGTACAACGGCGTGATTTCGGCTCACTGCAATCTCTGCCTCCTGGGTTCAAGGGATTCTCCTGCCTCAGTCTCCCGAATATCTGGAATTATAGGTACCCACCACCATGCCCAGCTAATTTTTGTATTTTTAGTAGAGATAGAAAGGTTTCACCATGTTGGCCAGGCTGGCTGCACTCCTGACCTCAGGTGATCTGCCCACCTCAGCCTCCCAAAGTGCTGGGATTACAGGCACGGGCCGCTTCACCTAGCTGATTTTATTATTCTTATTCTTATTAGAGACAGGGTCTCAAGAAAATCAAGAGTATTTAGAAGAATAATTTGTCTTTGAGTGAAAACAGTGTTATTCCATTTGGTCAACTGTTTTATTTATAAGACTGCTCAGAATTACTTTTCTACTATCAAATCTACCCTTACCCTTCTTTTTAAAAGAAGTATGAAACTACTAGGGCTCTGAGAGCCCAAAACCACATAGAACTAAGTGTGAAAGATAGTATTCAAGGTCTATATAGCACAGTAAGCAGATTTTAAAGTTATAATGTGATTTCATGATTATTAATAAATGCCTGGCAGAATATATGTCTTCCTATTCAGAGAGTCATTCAGATTCAAAGAGTCTTAACTGAGCCCCTGCTAGGCACAAGGTATTGTGTTAGGTGCTTTCATTTAGATTAGTGAATTTATATCCAATTCTAGGACAGTATGATCTTTCAGAACGGCTGGGGTAATGGAGTGAGAAAAAAATCACTAAGAGAAATCTTCCAACAATTATAGGTTATCCTATGTCCTAGAAGGCTAAGATAACAAGTCTATACCCATCAAATTGAAGCATCCTACTCCTGAGTATAGAGTATAGGTGGCCTCATAAAAGGCATATATTACCTACAGACTATCTAAAAACTGAATTGGAAACCAAGATGTTTTGCCTAAACATTTTGGAGCCTTAACTGGGAATAAAGAGAGGCATGGGAGCCTCTTTTACCTGTATCCTGCCTCCTTTCTAACCATCAAGACGAATCTGGAGCCTATACGGTTGTAGAAATGTCAAAACTTGGACTTAGCTATTTAAAAAGATTTATGTACAACAACCAATTTAGTATAATCTAGGTAAAAATAGGTACTTAATAGTCATATTGACCTTTTCCCAAAAAACCATTTAGTAATTGATGCTGAATATGAACTGTCACATTACCTGAGCATAAGAACAACATAACAGGAAACAGAACATGGCCATAAAAATAGGACACAATGGAGGGGGGAACCCCATAAATTCAATGCAGGGTGCTCTTTTTACAATTTTATACTCCCTGTAATTTCTGATATCACTGATCTTCAACTGCTGCAACACCTGCCCCAAACACCAATAAAGATCATTGTAGTTTAAGAGAGAGATTTTGTGATAGCCTAGAGCTCTAGGCATATAACGCCCAGCAGGACAATGTATCTTCTCTCAGGTCACTTTTGGCCTGATGATTTTCTTAAAAGATTCCAAATAATTATTTAAAAAAAAAAATATATATATATATATATATATATATTTAGGCTGGGTACAGTGGCTCATATCTGTAAACTCAGCACTTTGGGAGGCTGAGGCAGGTGGATTGCTTAGGCTCATGAGTTTAAGACCAGCCTAGGCAACACAACAAGACCCTGTCTCTACCAAATAAATATATATATACATATACACACACACACAATACTCATAGATATAACACTTGGGCATGCTTTTTGGTTAATATACATACAATCTCTAATTAGAATGGAAATAAGACAGTAAGTCAGCAAAATAAAAATCCAGAGAAGAAATATAGCCCATTAATTTAGACTATAACAAGAGTAATATTTTATCACTGTAAACAAAATAACAAGGCTTAAATATATCTAAGTCAATTGAAACTCAATTTCACGCATCAAACAACTTCTTCAGAACGCTGATCTTTCTATGCCAGATACTATCCTAGGGTTGACTAAGAAGACTTAATGCTAACTTTAAGGTAGTGCGTCATATACTGAATCACTTTACTTATAGGATTATATATAGGAATTTTTCCATTTGCAAAGGGCAATTCTAAAATCCTTGATTTTGTAACCCACAGCAAAATAGACACTCTAGGCTGGGCGCAGTGGCTCACGCCTGTAATCCCAACATTTTGGGAGGCCAAGGCGGTGGATTACCTAAGATCAGGAGTTCGAGACCAGCCTGACCAACATGGTGAAACCCTATCTCTACTAAATACAAAAAATTAGCTGGGCATGGTGGTGCATGCCTGCAGTCCCAGCTACTTGGGAGGTTGAGGCAGGAGAACTGCTGGAACCTGGGAAGTGGAGGTTGCAGTGAGCCGAGATAGCGCCATTGCACTCCAGCCTGGGCAACAAGAGTGAAACTCTGCCTCAAAAAAAAAAAAAAAAAAAAAAAGACACTCTAATATAGTGATGGAGGGAGTAGAACTGGTAATTTAGTAATATATACTAAAATTATAAATGCATAAATCTTCCGACCTGAATCGTCTGATTCTAGGAATCTCTCCTAGAGATAAACTTGAAATTGTGTAAAATGCCATTTTACAGACTAATTTACTGCAGCACTATTAATAAGGGCAAATTTTTGAAAGCAACCTAAATCATTTGGGGACTGGTTACAGTGTGATAGTTCCATGCAATGAAACAGCATGCAGCCTTAAAAAAAAGGGAGAGAAAGCACTTTGTCCTGATATGACCCCCCCAAATATACTAAGATACAGTAAATAAAAAGCAAAGAGCTTAAGTGTGTACAATTCTATAATATGTATAAAAAGGGGGTGGGAAAGGAATAGATGTGTATGTATAGAGATGTATCTCTAGTACCACAGGAGTGTTACTTGCCTAGGAAGTGGGATTCCATGGGTGGGCAATACAATAAAAGGAAGATTTTTAATTTTTGAATTTTGAGCCACATAAGTGTACTAGTTGGTTAAAACATTAAGTGTAACCAATGTATAACTTGTATAAAAAACACAGTATTTTAGGATTTATACATGCTAGGATTTTAGGATTTATACATCCTATAGGATTTTACAATTTATACATCATGATACAATATAGTCTCAAAAGATTACACTGTAATTAAATACTACAATGCTATTCCTTCTATTTAAACACCCACCAGTCTATCCCTAAATTTATTATTATATAGTCACAGAATAGAGAACAATAGGGTCTCGGAAAAATCTGAACCTCTCAATTTATAGATAGGAAAACTGTACCCTTGGCCAGGCCCAATGGCTCACGCCTGTAATCCCAGCTCTTTGGGAGGCCAAGGTGGACAGATCAGTTGAGGTCAGGAGTTCGAGACCAGCCGGGCCAACATGGTGAAACCATCTCTACTAAAAATACAAAAATTAGCCAGGCATGGTGGTGCATGCCTGTAATCCCAGCTACTCAGGTGGCTGAGGCAGAAGAATTGCTTGAACCCAGGAGGTGGAGGTTACAGTGAGCCAAGATCACACCACTGCACTCCAGCCTGAGTGACAGAGACTCTGTCTTAGAAAAAAAGAGAGAAAAAGAAAACTGTGGCCCAAAGCTAAAAAACCTCACCAAAAGGACACAATTAGCAGATGGCAAAGTATGGCCTAGGACCTGATTCCAATTCCAATCTATTCTCATCTACTTCTTCTACCTTCAAATGGTTTCTTAATTACCACAAGGAGCCAGCACATATGGGTCAAGATCCCTGTTGTATCTTGAGGGTACAAGGCCCTCAATGACAAGGCCAATGTGAGCTGATATCCTTTCTCCTGTGGGATACTTTTCAATGCTCACAGAGGAATCAGAGGGGTAAGGTGTTGCTTCTCAACTGGGTTATGTTTTAGTAAAGTGCCAAGAGTACTCAAAGCCATAGTGTAAATGTGGGGTGAGGAGTGGGGCTTTCTACAAATTTAGTAATACTAGAAAATTTGAGAAAAATGTTAAGCAACTTAATCAGGTAATTAAAAATTGTTTTTGTATTCAAACAAACACCACTATATTGTGGCACTGAATATAAAATGTACATGAATATTTAGCATAAACCGGACACTTTCAAAGAAGTCTCATGCTGGTTCTGAGTCTGACGCAATGAGCTTAGAAGTACACACATTCACTCTCAAACTCTTAGGAGGCAGGAAGGTTTCAGAACTACTATACCAAAGGAATTAAAATAGCATTCTCGATGGTGGCGGAAAGGGAACAGAGTTAGAGCTACACAGACCTGGACCTGTAGCCTACTCTTGCCACTGTGTGACACTGTATCAGCTACTTAATCTTGAACTCAGAGCCTCAGTTTCCTCATCTGTAAAATATGGTCAATATTACTTAGCTTGTGGTTTTGTTACAAAGATTGGAGATAATATATGTAAAGCAAACCGCCCAGACTCTAGAAAGACTATAATAAATGATGGCTACTTGGCAGGATGGATCACTTGAGGTCAGGAGTTCACGACCAGCCTGGCCAACATGGTGAAACCCCGTCTCTACCAAAAATACAAAAAATTAGCTGGGTGTGGTGTTGCCCCTGTAGTCACAGCTACTTGGGAGGCTGAGGCATGAGAAAGGCTTGAACCTGGGAGGCGGAGGTTGCAGTGAGCCAACACTGCACCACGGCACTCCAACCTGGGCACCAGAGCGAGACCCTGTTTCCAAAATAAATAAATAAAAATAAAAATGAATGATGGCTACTTTAACTATCACAAGCCTGTTGGAATCTTTATTTGACTGTCTAACCATTCATTTGGTTTCCATTGGTGAGAACAAAGTAAGGCAGGCAACGGATATTTATAGGCCCTCCCAACCAGCCACAGAAAGCAAACAGGTCAATAGGATAAAATTACCTAAGTGATCAGTTTATTATACTCACATATTTCATTTCAAACTTCTTAGCCAACATTTCCACCTCTTGCCTCTCCTGATGTTCATCATTAAATGGGTCTTCTGTGTGAATGAGCTTCTTCTGATTCAAGGTGAATGGGAAAAGAAAGAGAAGTATCCATTAGTATTACAAATATTATTATTGTTTGTTTATTTATCATTATGTAACAACCACTTCAATTCTATTTCAATAAATGTGATCTGAAAGGAAATAAACTAGTGAGAATATATAACATGTTATATAATTAATTATATTATTACTCAGAGACTATATCTTAAATTTAACCAATACGAGACAACTTTTCCTAATACTAACAAGTAAGTCAGAAGTATTAAAACTAAAAAAAAAAAAGTTGGTTCATAGCAAAAAAAATTTACAGTTATAATGGACTCATATACATTTCACAGTGTTTTGATGAGTAAGAACTCAACAATCCAAATTGTCTTCACCTGCAAAATGATCACATGGTCACCTCATCCAAAATAACAAAGAAAAAAAATCCCCAGGAACACTAGCTAAATATGAAAATCTCACTTATAATTCTAGATTGATATCTTCACTAACAAAGATTAACTGCTTTGATCAGGAAATGCTTCTAAAAGGAGCTCTAGATTATTAATTAAAAGCAACACTTCAACCATCTGCCTGTGAGTTAACACTGAGTGTGTGTAGCGGCTAAGGCTTTCTGTTGAGGTCCAATATCAACAACCATTGTATCACCAATATTCTGTCAATGGATATCCATTCAGGGAATACACATTACTTTTAAACAAAGCTAGAAAAGAGAAATAGCTGCAAAAAGATTACATTACCATGCCTTTCTTCTAGTAGGGGAGAGTGAAAGTTTATTATAATACATGGTTTAACACACACACACACACAGAGCTAGAAGCTCACATTAACCATCTATTTAACAAAACAAACAAAAATAGCGATCACATCCTTAAGTCTTCTATTTTAGTATACAAACATATATATGGTTTTCAATGCACAAAAAAACCAAAACAAGGATAAAAATACTACTTTTATCCAATTTCAGACAACTGACTCAGGTAATTTAAAAAGGAAGGTATACTACAACTGAAATATTGATACAGATTCAATGGACCCTGAAGAGCAAGAAAAAATGCAGAAGGAAGATGTGCACACTTTGAAACTGAGACACTTCATCCTGGATATAAAGACTGAGACATGATCGGTCTAAAAAACATGATAGAAAAATGTGGACAGAATGAATACGAGACAATTCCTCACACTTGGGACATTAGAATAAAGGGATACTTCTTTAAAGGAGTTAACTTTAAAATCAATTTTTAAAATTATTGTAATAAGTAATAAATTTATAGAATAGTTCACCCCAACAGAAGCTACCAATGAAAGGCCAGGCGCAGTGGCTCACACCTGTAATCCCAGCACTTTGGGAGGCCAAGGTGGGTGGATCACCTGAGGTCAAGAGTTCAAGACCAGGCTAGCCAACATGGTGAAACCCCGTCTCTACCAAAAATACAAAAACTAGCTGGGTGTGGTGGCACACGCCTGTAGTCCCAGCTACTCGGGAGGCTGAGACAGGAGAATCGCTTGAACCTGGGAGGTGGAAGTTGCAAGTGAGCTGAGATGCTGAGATTGCGCCACTGCACTCCAACCTGGTTGAGACAGAGTGAGACTTCATCTCAAAAAAATAAATAAATAAAATAAAAATAAAAATTTACCAATGAAAAACATAAACATGATCCAAAAGGGAATAAACTAGTGAGAATAAACTAATAAGGAATCCTAGGCATGTCCAGGGTGTAGCCTTAACCAGAGGCTCAGGTTAAGGACAGTAAGCAATCGCCATGCCTATTACAAACTGCTCCCTCTTGCACTGTGAAGCCCAAATACTTACTATGGTATGACTCATTTTATATGTATAAATATAAACACATGGATCTATATTTTTAATAAGAATCACCTTATATGCCATTCTAAAATATTTTATGTATTTTATGTAGGTATCAAAAGTACAGCTCTTATTTTCTCTTGACAGCCTACAAAAACAAATTTAAGAAAATGGACTCACTTTTCTTTCACAGTTAAGAATAAACACCCTCCCCCAATCAAGATTAAGCTTTTTTGTTTTTTCAGGTGAAAAAAAATCTGAAAATTATCAACTACCCACATGCAAAACTGATGCAATAATTTTGTCCTTTGATCTTAACTCATCAACACCATTTTCAGGAGGTCTTTCACAAATTTCATCAAAAATACGCAAACAATGAAATACCATGGAATTCTCAAATAGTATAGTTACATTAACACACTTAATCACTTATTTTTCTTTTTACAGTAAATGTTCAATTAAGCATGTTCACAAATGGGTGTTCTGGTTAACTGATTTTTCTGGTTTACTAAGAGTTAAACCTTTTCTTGTGTATCAATCATTGCCAAAATTTATTTCTAAAATGCACTATTACCCTTTAGCCAGAAATGGTGACCAAATTAATCTTTCAGGATAGAGATGATTCCAATGCCAGTCATCATCCTAAACCATCTCAATCACAGCACTGTACTGCCTAGAGACAATAAGGTTAAAGGTTTAGCTAACCTGTGGTTTTGTTTTTCCTATTTTCCCAACATAAATTATTTAATTGTGCTTTCCTCATTAATACAAATAGAGCATAGAAAAATTTCTGATTATGTTCCAGTAAATCAGGGTTTTACTGTTCATTTAGTATTTAAGAAGGGAACTGATTTAAATGCACCCACATGAATGGTATCCATATGTAACACACCTTTTGTTGTTTGTTTTTTTTTAATAGCCCCACATCTACCAATTTCAGCATCTGGAGCTAAAATCTTATTTAGTGATAGATGGCTATTTCAAAAATGTGGAGCCCTTCCTTTTCTAATTCTTCTAATTTTGGGAACCACCAACTTTCCAGACCAATTCTAATGTTCGCATTTTGCTTTTTGATGGTCTCTCTTCTAGGATTTCCTTTCATGAAACCATGACAATTTTACTTAAACATATGTTTTCTATGCTTTCTTGCATAATAAGGATATACACTGGCAGCAATCACAGGAAAATGTGGCAAATCTTTGTTGCAAAGGTGATTATATACAATGGATTTTGTTTTGTTCAGAGGTATATGAAAAAAATAGAAGGTTGATATACGAGATAATTGGGCCAATAGACACCTATACTGTTAATAAGTATACAGAAAAATTAAATGGAATTTTTCCTCTTTCTCCTATTGCATGAAAGTAGTAGTTCTGGTGTTATCAAGTTAACAAAGCTAGGGTGTCAAACCTTTTTCTTTTTATAATTAAATGATACACATTATTAATTTGCCATCGTGTGAATATTACAGCATAAACAGAGACATAATAAAGGTCTTTGTATTTCTACTGCGACTTACATTTTACGTCATTTTGGCAGAATCCTCTAAACTATATGAGTTAATTTTAAGAAATTTTGTTTTACTAACAAATTGTATCACTATGGAAAGAAGTACTAATAAAATTACATACATTTGTAAAGTGAGGATAATAGTTTTTACCTCGTGGAGTTCTGTTGGACTACTAGAAAAACCATGTGCAGTGCTTAGAACTGTGTCTAGCACACAGTAAGAACCAGTAAATGTCGTTATTGCTATGTATTTTTATCCAAAGATAATGCTTTTCTCCTGTAATTTATGAAAATTACAAAAACTGCAAACCAACTTAGATTAGCAGCTCAAATACAATGTTTGAAAAATGCTCCAATCCAATATTTTTAATATTCTTTTGGGAAAAAAGTGACCTCAGATTTATAAAGAAGGGGCATTCAAGTGAGTCTGACGAGCAAAATGTTAGGTGGAAGTGACCAAAATGATCTCTACCTTTAAACAATTCATTTTGGTTGAAAACATTTTGTAATGATTTGACCACATAACATTTCTAAATAATGATCAAAACATTAGCTGGCCATGAAGTAAACAAAACCTAGTGAAATTGTTCAACATGATACTTTGTGACTAAGCAGTCAGTCATTTTGACCATAAAGGTAGTTGAAGATGAAAACAAAACAAGGGACTTCTGGAGTCCATTAGACTCAAGCTAAAGCAAAACCTAATAACGGGTATAATTGCTAAGCAACAGAGAAAACTGTTCTCTTTCCTTACTGTTAATCTATCATTTCCTTTTCTAACTTACTTCTGAAGATCCACCAACCCACAACAATAAAAATTACAATTACGAACATAACCCCTATCCTTTCTCCATTGTTCACCTCTTACATCAAAAGCATACCTATATATTTTCAATTATTTTAAAAAATTCAAAGCTGACATTTTTTTCATCATCCTCCGAAAATTACAAAGGCTGAATACAATATCCTTCTATAAACTAATGATAGTACACTTAAATAATATGACGGGTAGGTGTCAAATAAAACAGGAGACACCTTCCCATTCAATTACAATATGAACGAACTCCACAAAAAAGGAAAGCTAAAAAGGTTTTCCAATACCAACACGAGAGAAAAATTAGTAACCAGATTAACTAACCCACTTCTCCATTCCTAAAGTGGGATCCTTAGTCTCTGAAAACCTTTAATTATTCTTAAATTCCCTTCGATTAAGAAAAATATCACAGGCACGCAAGCACACCTCAGCAGCCACGGCGCCCAGCAAAACAAACAGTGATGAGGATGAGGATGATACGAGAGGGGTTACACAATCTCTGCTTCAGACTGGGGGGCGTGTCCCCCAAGGTTTTCTCTTCCTTTCTACTGGAACGACAGCTGTAGCGCCACAGGGAGAACCCAGCCACACGGCCTGCAGGGCCCCAGGATTTTGTGTGGGGAGCAGAAAGGAAAGAAGGAAAATCTGAGGTTCCGAAAGGTGCACAAGAAAACGAGCTCGGCGCGGCGTTGGGAGCGAGTGCCGGGGGTTTGGGGATTCGGCGCAGCCGGGTGAGAGCCTCGGCCACCCTGGGGAGTGGAGAAAGCAGCGCTCACCGCCCCGTCCACCCGCTCGGCCCCGGCCCCCCGCACCCCACCCTCGGGGCGACCCGGACGCGCTCGGTGGGCGTCCCAAGGTGCAAACCAGCTGGGGAAGGCGGCGGGTCCTGAGGCTCCCGGGGTCTGGGGCAGGAGGGAAGAATCTTCTGTACCCGTTGTTCTCCGCACAGCAGCAGCTCCGGGTAACTGAACTCCACGCAGCTCTCGTCGGTGGGGTCCTTAAGCACCAGCTCCAGGCGCACCGTCTCCCTCGGCGGCCGCGGCGGCTGCTCAGCCCGGGAAGCCGACTCCCGCGGCGGGGGCGGCTGCAAGGGCAGCGGCGGGAACGGCGGCGGCGGCTCGGGCCGCGGGGGCTCCCGCTGCAGCGACATGGGCGGCTCGGCGCGGCTGACCTCGCGCTGGGGGAGCGGCTTCTCCCGCGACGGGGGCTGCGCGTCCGAGCGGGGGGCAGGCTCCCGCGGGGCCGGCGGCTCCGCCCGGGCCGGCTCGCGGTACGGCTGCGGCTCCAGCCGGGGGGGCTCGCGGGGGTACTCGGGCTCACGCTCGGGCCCCGGGTACTCGGCCTCGCGCCGCCGCACCGGTGACAAGCTAATGAACGCTACTCTGCGCGGCTCCGCCATCCCCACTGTTCTGGCCCTCCGCTTTTGCTCGAGCCGGCGCTCGCTTCTACGGCGCGCTGCGTGCCTGCCCGCCCTTCCTCTTGCTCTCTGTCGCTTTTCTTCCCTCCACCACCCTCAGCCGTCTCCGCCGGCGCCACGGTGAGTGCGGACCGTGTCCCCTTCCCCGCTACTACGTTCTGATGGGCTTCACCGCCATCGCCAGGGTCGCCGCGGCCGCCATGTTGGATCCCCCACATAAATAGAAGCAGGCCGCTGAGCGGGCGCATGCGCACAGAGGAGACGCTCGCGTCCACTGTCGTGGCTGTTGCTCAGTTTTCCTCTTTTCCTCCCAACAGTCTGGAGTCCAGACAGGTCGGCGGAAGTGACGACATGGCTCGGCCTGTTTCCGTGGAAACGGAGACGCCGTCTGCACCCTTCCTCAAAGGGAGGGTTCTGGGGTTTCCCGAGCAGTTTACTATTCGCACCCGGAAACCAGAGGCGCTCCAGGAGCTTCCCGGGGCTAGCATCGGGATGGGACTGAGACCGACCTAGCCATTGGCGCCGGGTCTCCCGTGCTGGGTTCAAGGGAATTGGGGTTGTTAGCTGATTATTCAAGGCGGACTCTGGGCAAGGGTAGAGAGACGCGCCAGCCGTTGTGCCTGCCCGCCCTGTGTCCCCGTAGCCTTAAGTATCGAGGGAAAAAAGGAAGTGCCCAGCTTCAGCCAGACTAGCCCCAGCGGCTTCCCTCCCGAAAGCGCAGGCCTCCCCTTCCTCGACCTACTCCGGTTTCCCTCGCCCGGCCGCAGTGGGCGTTGCGTGGGGCAGGGTCATTAAATGTTCAATAACGCTTTGCAGTTGGAAAATTAACAAGCAGATGAGGAGTTCTGGGCTCATTCAGAAGGCCTAAACTGCTGAAATCATAGAAAACTTCTTAAGAGGGTTTAGTGGTATTTCAGGAAACGTACTGTTTATGAGAATGCTAAAGGACCCATTTCAGGATGGGGAAGGAATTGATTGGGCACGCCCCATAGGCTCACTTGTAATTAATTAATTGGAAGTCGGGTTTAAAAGGATAAGAATTACTGGCCATTTTAATCCATTGAATAAAAAGTAAATTTGAGGGCTCGCCCTTCACATCCTGAAGGGAATCCAAGCCTTCTGTTAATTGCATTAACTATTGAAAGCTCTTTTATTAAGTCAGTGTGACGTCATTGACAAATTCTGAGAGGGTTCCGTTTTTTCCTCTCCTGTTATTACTTTCCCTACTTGGACGAAGATGGTGATGAAATCTATGATTCCAAAGGTCTCTCCCAGCTCTAAAACCCTATCTTTTCTACTCGGCGCCATGTTTTACCTACATTATCTCCTTCCCTATTGCTCCTTTTCTGATTCTGAATTCGGGTCTCATTTTTAGATTGCCTTAGTGATACTTAAATGACCTTTCTGCCTTCAGTCTCTGTTCCCACCAGTCTTGAGACGGGGTCATATTAATGTCTCTAAAAGAGTTTTTATTATATCGTTCTCTGTTCTGGCTGCAACTTACCTACAAACTGAGTTCTATGTATGTATACTCATATTCAATATCCTCCACAATTTAGCTCAGAGACTGCAAACTGGTGGTCTGTGGGCCAAATCCTTCTACAGGTGTGTTACTTATCCAACATTATCTTCTAACTTCTCACCCACTGAGTTTTCCAACTTTTTGATCCATAACCCACAGTAAGACATTTTACACTGTAACCTAGAATATACACCCATATATACATAACACATATGTGCATATGTGAAATATAAGTTTCACAATACTTACCTACTGCTTAGGATAAAGTAAAAGCAACAGACGCAACAGAGTTAATTTAATATAAAATATTTTATAATACAGTGTAGAAAAAAATGTTAACATCATATAGAAGCAAATTAGGAAAGATTTTATTTAATGCCATGGAAGTTCTTGCCTGATCATAGGTTTATTGCACTCCAGAATTCATTAGGACAGTGGTACATGAACATCTGATCCACTGTGGTGCCTGATCTTTTTCTTCTTCTAAACTGATCAAAATTGAAAACCCTAGTTCAGATATATAGGCAGTCATGAATAGTAATAATGCGTATGCATGTTCTGCATAGTAATAAATTCTTCTTTAATCTTAGTCTGACATCATGATAAATTGCATACCCGACAATCATTTCTCTGTGTAAATGAAGTACTAAGCTGTAATAATTTATTCTCTTCATAAAATACCAAGTTTAATCAAGTTAATTATTTAAATCAATAAAAATGATCTGGTTCACCCTATTAACTGCCCAACAAACTGTTTGAAAACTATATATTCTTTGTTAAAGGGTAGATTACAAGAAATGTTTTCCATGTTCTTAATTTAAAAAACAAGATTCTGATATAATGAACCTAAATCAAAATTCACAAATGGTGGCTGAAATCCTGTGAGAGTACAACATAAATCCATAGTTATTGTGCATAAACAATTCAAAATTAGTTTATAAAGGGAACGTCAACAAGTCCTATAACCACCACACCTTATTACTAATGGGTTCCACCACACTTCACCCAGGCACAGCAGATATAAACATCTGACAGACTGCTCAGAAAATTAAAGCTATTAGAGCTATAAATAAGGAATGCCTAAATATAAACATAGCAATGCCAATACATTAGTGCCGTTTTAAAAAGTGAATAAGATGCAGTGTAAACACACCTGATAGTTCCCTCTGTAAGCCACTTTCCCACTGATTTATAAAGCTATGGTTCTGTAATTCTTTTAAAAAGGACTATTTTTCTACACTGCTGCATGCAGTAATTTCACCGTACGTTCTTGATTACGACGCAGTCTTCAAATCCTCTTGAAGAGCTCAACATATCAGGATTTCTCCAGAAAGTTAGATTGTCATGTTTTCAGCAGCCTTTTGTGCTTTGGTAGTCTTTCGAAGCTCCTTAATAACCAGTGATATTTCCTTGGTTATTTATTAATTCTGGGTTAAGTCCTTGCTCACAAAGCTGTACACAAATAACCAGAGTTTCCAGTAAACCAGTATTCAGAATTCTTGAAATCTCTTTTTGTTTTTGAGATGGAGTCTTGCTCTGTCGCCCAGGCTGGAGTGCAGTGGCGCGATCTCGGCTCACTGCAAGCTCCGCCTTCCGGGTTCACACCGTTCTCCTGCCTCAGCCTCCCAAGTAGCTGAGACTACAAGCAGAATGTCCACAATCTCCCTCACCGCATTTTGATCACTGCTGCTGCCCCAATGCCGCTACTACTTGCCGTGATGGAGGCCAAGGGAACTATTTTAAAATTCTGAATATATTTTTCTCTATACAGTCAATAATTCCTCTATAAAATTATCTTGCTACACATATCTGGCATGAAAATATTATGCAACTTTCAGTATTAGTACTCTCAGCAAGTTGGACTGTTACTACATCATAGTTATTGTTGCTGTAAATATTCTGTGGTAGGTAATACACTGATACTGTGTTTTTGCCAAGAAGTATAGTTTTTCATTTATCAGCTGATTTGTCACTGAAAGCATGTGCACCATACCCATAAATACTGGATGAAGTTTTTCAGCCCTTACTATGACCCATATTTCTTTTGCACACTGATTGTCTTTCTCCTTAAGATTTGCGGAACAGCTCTCTGAGCTCGGACGTAGTTCACAGCAACGTGGCTAAACCAAGAAGTTGGAATCGTTGGTAAATACAGGACCCGCTATGGGGTCTCCCTCCAGAAAATGGTGAAGAAAATTGAAATCAGCCAGTACGCCAAGTACATTTGCTCTTTTCTGTGGCAAAACCAAGATGAAGAGACGAGCTGTGGGGATCTGGTGCTGTGGTTCTGCATGAAGACAGTAACGGTGTCTTCATCCAGGAACCACATTGTCTGGACCTACAATACCACTTCAGCTGTCACGGTAAAGTCCACCATCAGAAGACTGAAGCAATTGAAAGACCAGTAGACGCTCCTCTACTCTTTGAGACATCACTAGCCTATAATAAATGGGTTAATTTATGTAACCAAAAAAATTAAAAAGGTTTGTGGAAAAACTGAGAAATTGTGCCAATAACTCTACTCCCCCCACTTTTTTAGGAACATATTTGAGGGGCTTATTGACAAGTTCATCATGTTAAATTTTCAGATGTCCTTTTATTTTTTTCCCGAGATGGAGTCTTGCTCTGTTGCCCAGTCTGGAGTGAGTGGCGCGATCTTGGCTCACTGCAACCTCCGCCTCCTAAGTTCAAGCAATTCTCTTTCCTCCGCCTCCTGAGTAGCTGGGATTACAGGCGCATGCCACCATGCCCAGCTAATTTTTGTATTTTTAGAAATTTTATATTTTTGTATTTTTAGAGGTGGGGTTTCACCATGTTGGCCAGACTGGTCTCGAACTTCTGACCTCATGATCTGCCCACTTCAACCTCCCAAAGTGCTAGGATTACAGGTGTGAGCTACCGCACCCAGCCTCAGATGTCCTTTTAATTTTGAAGGCATTAAACTTTCATTTGCAGGAAAAGTGCTTTTTTTTTTTTTTTGTATTTATTGATCATTCTTGGGTGTTTCTCGGAGAGGGGGATGTGGCAGGGTCATAGGATAATAGTGGAGAGAAGGTCAGCAGATAAACACGTGAACAAAGGTCTCTGGTTTTCCTAGGCAGAGGTCCCTGCGGCCTTCCGCAGTGTTTGTGTCCCTGGGTACTTGAGATTAGGGAGTGGTGATGACTCTTAAGGAGCATGCTGCCTTCAAGCATCTGTTTAACAAAGCACATCTTGCACCGCCCTTAATCCATTTAACCCTGAGTTGACACAGCACATGTTTCAGAGAGCACGGGGTTGGGGGTAAGGTTATAGATTAACAGCATCCTAAGGCAGAAGAATTTTTCTTAGTACAGAACAAAATGGAGTCTCCTATGTCTACTTCTTTCTACACAGACACAGGAACAATCTGATCTCTCTTTCTTTTCCCCACATTTCCCCCTTTTCTTTTCGACAAAACTGCCATCGTCATCATGGCCCGTTCTCGATGGTCGCTGTCTCTTCGGAGCTGTTGGGTACACCTCCCAGATGGGGTGGCAGGGCAGAGGCGCTCCTCAACTCCCAGGCGGGTCGGCCGGGCAGAGGCACTCCTCACCTCCCAGGCGGGGCAGCCGGGCAGAGGCGCTCTGCACCTCCCAGATGGGGCGGCCAGGCAGAGGCGCTCCTCACCTCCCAGACGGGGTGGCCAGGCAGAGGTGCTCGCTTCCTAGACGGGCAGCTGGGCAGAGATGCTCCTCACCTGCCAGATGGGGCGGTCAGGCAGAGGCGCTCCTCACTTCCCAGACGATGGGTGGCCGGGCAGAGGCGCTCCTCACCTCCCAGACGGGGTGGCCGGGCAGAGGCGCTCCTCACCTCCCAGATGGGGCGGCCGGCCAGAGGCGCTCCTCACCTCCCAGACGGGGCGGCCGGGCAGAGGTGCTCGCTTCCTAGACGGGCGGCTGGGCAGAGATGCTCCTCACCTGCCAGATGGGGCGGTCAGGCAGAGGCGCTCCTCACTTCCCAGACGATGGGTGGCGGGGCAGAGGCGCTCCTCACTTCCCAGACGGGGCGGCTGGGCAGAGGCGCTCCTCACTTCCCAGACGGGGCAGCCAGGCAGAGGCGCTCGCTTCCTAGACGGGCGGCCGGGCAGAGATGCTCCTCACCTGCCAGATGGGGTGGTCAGGTAGAGGCGCTCCTCACATCCCAGACGGGGCGGCCGGGCAGAGGTGCTCGCTTCCTAGACGGGCAGCTGGGCAGAGATGCTCCTCACCTGCCAGATGGGGCAGTCAGGCAGAGGCGCTCCTCACTTCCCAGACGGGGCAGCCAGGCAGAGGGGGTCCTCACTTCCTAGACGGGGCGGCCAGGCAGAGACGCTCCTCACTTCCCAGACGGGGTGGTGGCCGGGCAGAGGCACTCCTCACCTCCCAGATGGGGCGGCTGGGCAGAGACGCTCCTCACTTCCCAGACGGGGTGGCGGCCGGGCAGAGGTGCTCCTCACTTCCCAGACGATGGGCGGCCGGGCAGAGGCGCTCCTCACATCCCAGACAGGGCGGCCAGGCAGAGGCGCTCCTCACATCCCAGACGGGGCGGCCGGGCAGAGGCGCTCCTCATCTCCCAGACGGGGCGGCTGGGCAGAGACGCTCCTCACTTCCCAGACGGGGTGGCGGCCAGGCAGAGAGGCTCCTCACTTCCTAGACGGGGTGGTGGCCAGGCAGAGGCTGTAATCTTGGCAATTTCAGAGGCCAAGGCAGGCAGCTGGGAGGTGGAGGTTGTAGCGAGCCGAGATCATGCCACTGCACTCCAGCCTGGGTAACATTGAGCATTGAGTGAGCGAGACTCCGTCTGCAATCCCAGCACCTCAGGAGGCCGAGGCAGGCAGATCACTCAAGGTCAAGAGCTGGAGACCAGCCCGGTCAACACAGTAAAACCCCGTCTCCACCAAAAATACAAAAAGCAGTCAAGCGTGGCGGCGCGTGCCTGCAATCCCAGGCACTCGGCAGGCCGAGGCAGGAGAATCACGGGAGCCCGAGGCAGGGAGGTTGCAGCGAGCTGAGATCACGGCAGTACAGTCCAGCAACAGAGGGAGACCGAAGAAGGGAGAGGGAGAGGGAGAGGGGGAGCTTTTTCTTTTTAGAATGAGATGTAAAGTCAATGTTTGATGATAGAGTTAACATTTTCTTAGTATTTCCATTATAATTCCAGACCCAGCAGCTAAATTGGAATATGTTTCTGTATTTTTCACTATCTTATTCCTTTTTCTTCTAATAATAAAACAATCTCTTTGAGAGCAATTTATACTAGTTTAATATATCATAGTTCACACACACATGTCATACTGATGGTGCTTTCCCAAAAACATACTTAAAGTTCTTCACTGTAACCCAGTTGAAAATTATGAGTTTTTTAATCACTGAATGAAATTCTCCTTTATTTCATTTCATAAGTTACGGGCAGTTGTGATAACATAAAATTAGGCTGTACAATGTTATCTGTCCAACAAAGGAACCTAGGAGTTCCAGTGAGATCCCAGTGACTGCAGTCACCCCTCCCTCCCTGTCCTTCTCTTCATCAGCAGTTACAGTGTCTGTATTCCTGGATAAGGATCAGTGTGGTACACTCTGATATTTTCCATAAGATTCTGTTGTAATATATTGCATGTTTTTAAAATGCTGCTTGTGATCCTCAAAACTGTTTCACAAACTTCTAATTGGCTGCGATCACCAATTTGAAAGTTAGTTCAGTCTCTTCCAGCAGAGACTGAGCAGGTGATGAGAAAGTAATTTTGTCACTAGGGACTAGGGGTAGAGCACACCTACTTATGCATTTCCATGTAAATTTGGAAAATCCAAAATGCTTTTGTTGGGTAGTGGGGGCTCTTCAAGGAGGCTGAGAAGAGGTCAAAGTCAATTCCTGTAGAATGCAAAGTCAAAATACCTTTAATATTATTTAACTGTAATGCTGTAAGATCAGAGCAGGCACTCTTGTTTTATTTAGCAAATAAATGAATACATAATAAAATACCCTGTGAGATCAAGTTACTCATGCCTTCTTGACAACATTTAAGTTTAAAGACCAAAATGCCTTGTGAAGATCCAAAGGAAGAGTATCAGAGAGAAAGAAAAGCAAGTACGAAGCCTATGGAGGGGGTGATTTGGTGAGTTGGAAGAAAGGTGAGGGTGGCCAAACTGCAGTGAGCAGGGTGGGCAAAGATGGAATCTGAGAGGGAGCGAAGGGCCAGGTCATGGAATGGCATAAAGAGATTGGATCTGGCCAGGTGCAGTGGCTCACGCCTATAATCCCAGCGCTTTGGAAGGCCGAGGCAGGAGGATCACTTGAGTCCTAAAGTTTGAAACCAGACTGAGCAACATAGTGAGACCTATCTCTAAAAAAACTAAAAATAAAAAATTAACCAGGCATGGTGGCACACACCTGTAGTCCTAGCTACTCAAGAGGCTGAAGTGGGAGGATTGCTTGAGCCGGGGAGGTTGAGGCTACAATGAGCTGTGATCGTAACATTGCACTCCAGTCTGGGCAACAGAGCAAGACCCTGTCTCAAAAACAAAAACAAAAAAAAGAGTTTGGATCTTACTGTAAATGAAACCAGAAGCTATTCGGGAAATTTTAAGTAGAAAAGTGACATGATCTTATAACAAACACATTTCAAGACAGTAGGAGTAGCCAACTAACTGTTGAATGCTACCAAGAATTCTAGTAAGATGAGAGCAGAGATACTGGTAACCTTGACGACCTTTTTATTTTTAATTTTCACTTCGGGCAAAGAAGGTTGAATTAACCATATTTCACAGTTTGTGGCACATTATCATCATCAGTCTTTTTCTCTCTCTTTGAAATTCCTCTTTATTTCCATTCATTACATCCAATGGCAAAAATTCTAAAATTTTAACTTTTTTTTTTTTTGAGACAGAGTCTCGCTCTGTCGCCCAGGCTGGAGTGCAGTGGCACAATCTCAGCTCACTGCAACCTCTGCCTCCCGGGTTCAAGTGCTTCTCCTGCCTCAGCCTCCCGAGTAGCTGGGATTATAGGCATTTGCCACCATGTCTGGCTAATTTTTGTATTTTTAGTAGAGACGAGGTTTTACCATGTTGGTCAGGCTGGTCTCGAACTCCTAATCTCAGATGATCCACCCACCTCAGCCTCCCAAAGTGCTAGGATTACAGACATGAGCCACCGCGCCTGGCCAATTTTAACTTTTTGTATGTGACCTTATATATATTATTATTTTACATGCATATATTTTAAATTTGTAAATTTGTTATTATATTATATATCTCATTCTGTTTCTTTTTTTGCTCAACACCATATTTTTAAGAACCATTCATGCTGCTGTGTATAATATATTCAGTTTACAACTTTTTTTTTTTTTAACAACTTTTGAGTGGTAATCTGCAATCGCATATTTTGCCTGTTTACTTCCTCAGTGATGGATGCTCGGCTTGCCTCCAACTACCCACCCCCCACCCCACCACCACCACAGTGCAACTATGGACATCCTCAGTCATGTGCTCTTTGAGTCTATATGAGAATTTATTTCGGACACAGACCCAGGCAAGAACCGTTGGATCTTTAGGCCTGCGTACACATTAAGAGACTATTCTCCAAAATGGTCACACCAGTGGTGTGAGGGTTGCTGTATTACCTCCTCTTCTCCCATCGCATTGCCACCAATAAATACAGTTTAATTTCTGCCATTCATTATTATTTTAATTTGCACTGCTCTGATGACTAAGGAATTTGAGCATCTCTTCATATATCTGCTAGTCTTTTAAGTTTCTTCTTGTGTAAATTGCCTGTTTATAATCATTATTCATATTTCTATTATGGTTCCTGTCTTTTCTGGTTGAATATGCAAGCATTTCAAATCAGTGAGGAAAGCTTAGATTATTCAATAAATAGCTTAAGACAAATAGGTAATTATCTAGACTAGAATAAAATTGTATCTCACACCCTACAAAAGGATAAATTTCTAGTGAATGAATGTTTTAAATAGAAAAAAGAAGTTATAATATTTCTAGAAGAAATTGGCTGAGATTAAAAAAACAACAGACTAAGAAAGGCCTTTCCAAGTATGACTGATAATTGCAACTGCTTTAACAGCATTAATCAAAAGACTAATGACAAAACTGGAAAAAAAATTTACAATACATTTCACAAAGAGTAAATTTCCCTAATCTATAAAGAACTCCTGCAGATCAAAGAAACAACAATAACCTCTTAGAAAAATGGAGAAAGATATGAACAAATAGTTCACAGGAAAGGAAATATAAGGCTCTTATACGAATGAAATATGTTCAACCTAACTCAATTGCTGAACCAAATAATATGTGTATTTCTAACTTTGATAAATTGCCTTCCATAGAAAGTACTGATTTATATTCCACTGGCAATACATGAGGGTCTCTATTTCCCAATCCCCTTGGCAACTTATGTTATCAAATGTTTTAATCTTTGCCAAAAGCTGATATATTTCAAAAAATGATTTTGGTGTACATGTCTCTTATTTTGAGTAAATCCATGCAGTCGAATTCTATGCAATCTTTTAAAAAATCAATTGGCGTAATCTATTCTTAAGTGAAAAAAGGAATATGCAGACTATTATTTAATATACTACCATTAGAATAAAAAGAGGAACATTTTGTTAAAAGGGAGAACTAATGTATTATTTGTATATGCATGTATCTATGTATGTGTATGTATATAAGAATTAAAAAAAAAAAACTCTTGGTGTATATTCACAACACTGAGAACTGATCTCAAAAGGGATATTATGTGGCCCAGGTTTAGAAACAGAAGAGAGACCTGTAGATTTAACTACGGAGACAGCCCAGCTGTGCTTGTTTAGCCTTGGGGCAAACTCTGATAGCAGAACATTTGTATCTTTTAAAATTTTTAGGCCGGCACGGTGGCTCATGCCTGTAATCCCAGTACTTTGGGAGGCCAAGGCAGGAGGATCACCTGAGGTCAGGAGTTCGAGACCAGCCTGGCCAACATGGTGATACCCCATTTCTAGTTTAAAAAAAAAAAAAAAACTTGATGCGGTGGCTCACACCTGTAATCTCAGCACTTTGGGAGGCCAAGGCAGGCGGATCACGAGGTCAGGAGATCGAGACCATCCTGGCTAACACGGTGAAACCCCGTCTCTACTAAAAATACAAAAAATTAGCCAGGCGTGGTGGTGGGCGCCTGTAGTCCCAGCTACTCGGGAGGCTGAGGCAGGAGAATGGCGTGAACTTGGGAGGCAGAGCTGGCAGTGAGCTGAGATTGCACCTGGGTGCACTCCAGCCTGGGTGACAGAACGAGACTCCCTCTCAAAAAAAAAAAAAAATTAGCCTGGCATGGTGGCTTGCACCTGTAGTCCCAGCTACTTGGGAGGCTGAGGAAGGAGAATCGGTTGGGCGGAGATTGTGCCACTGCCCTCCAGGCCTGGGTGACAAAGTGAGACTCTGTCTAAAAAAAAAAAAAATTTTTTTAAATTAAGGGATTCTAGACACACAGAAAGATGCATACAACTTGATGAATTTTACCCTTTGCACACATTCCTTTAACCACTATCCATTCAAGATGTATAAGATTTCCATCACCTCTAAAGGTCCATCTTTCCCCTTTCCAGTCCATATGCTCCCAGAGGTAACCATTCTGACATCCATCACCACAGATAAGTTTTGCCTGTTCTTGAACCTTATGTGCATGGAATCATTGCAATATGTATTTATATATTATGTCTGGCTTCTTTCTCTCAACACAATGGTTTTGAAATTCATGTTACTGCATATCATCAGTAGTTTATCCTTTTTCCTGCTGTATGGTATTCCATTTATGAATATACCACCATTTGTTTACACTGTGAACTTATAATGGATATTTTATGTACTAGTCAGTTTTTATGCTTATAAAGTATAATAATTTTGTTTTTTAATTAACATTGAACAGTTCCCTTGAGCAAAATTTGTTTTGTTGCAAATTGTGCTGGAAGTAGTGAAATAATAAATTAATAGTAGATTTAGTCCTGTTTTTTTTGTTTGTTTTGTTTTTTTTTTGAGATGGAGTTTCACTCTTGTCGCCCAGGCTGGAGTGCAATGGCGCGATCTTGGCTCACTGCAACCTCCGCCTCCCAGGCTCAAGTGATTCTCCTGCCTCAGCCTCCCCAGTAGCTGAGATTACAAGTGGCTGCCACCACGCCCATCTATCTTTTTTTTTTGTATTTTTAGTAGAGACAGAGTTTCGCCATGTTGGCCAGGCTGGTCTTGAACTCTTGACCTCAGGTGATCCACCTGCCTTGGCCTCCCAAAGTGCTGGGATTACAGGCGTGGGCCACCACGCCCAGCCAATTTAGTCTTGAATAGGTTGATGAGATTGTAACCATGGGTCAAGACTGTGGGAATTTCACTGCAGAAGCAGGAGGACTAAAAGATTCCATGTGAAATTCACTCAGAAGCTTGAGAATTAAAAAGCTTTGAGTGTTATTTGGCATAGCTGGGGTAACATTTTTCAGCTCTTCCAATATATAAATGCAACATGGAAATTCAGAGGAGGGAGAAATCAATGAAATTTAGAATACTCAGGGAAAACTTGATGGAGGATATGGGGACTTGATGAGAATATGGATAAATAGAAAAGAGCAGGCGTGGCCAGGCACGGTGGCTCACACCTGTAATCCCAGCACTTTGGGAGGCCGAGGCGGACGGATCACCAGAGGTCAGGAGTTTGAGACCAGCCTGGCCAACATGGTGAAACCCCACCTCTACTAAAAATACAAAAATTAGCTGGGCATGGTGGCGCATGCCTGTAGTCCTGGCTACTCAGGAGGCTGAGGCAGGAGAATTGCTTGAACCCAGGAGGCGGACGTTGCAGCAAGCTGAGATCATGCCACTGCACTCCAGCCTGGGTGACAGAGTGAGACTCTGAGAAGGAAGGAAAGAAAAGAAAAGAAAAGAAAGGAGAAAAGAAAAGAAAAGGGAAGGAAGGGAAGGAAGGAAGGGAAGGAAGGGAAGGAAAGGAAGGAAAGAAAAGAGGCAGGCATGACTACAGTTTAGAGATGAACTCAACAGCCTGGGAAGGTGGAGTGAGCTGCCTCGACAGAACAGAGCCAGAAGAGGGGCAGTGGGAATTAGAACTGAAGAATATGTTAGAATTTTTGGTTGCATGCACTATAAATCAACTTAAGCTAGTTTAAACAGAAGAGTTTGTACAGCAGAGGTAGGAATATCTCCCAGAATCCAAAGGAAGGATTGCAGTCAGGTCCCAAGAAGATGGAACCAGGATTGGGAGTTTAAAAAGTCACATGGATTCCAGGCAATTTTATCTCTGTCTCATTTATGCATCTAAGATCTACTTCATTCTGTTCCCCTCTCTGTGGATTAGTTTTCTCTACTCCCCAAGTTACATGGTTAAAAATATGGCCTTGTTATAATTAGCAATTTTTTAAAATGCCTTTGTTGAAGAGACCAGTCCAGACTAAGACTGGAAACCCTTACACCTACCTCCAAAATTCTAGGGAAGGATCTGTGATTGACCTATTTTGGGACAGTCTTAGAAACAGAAGAGAGACCCATAGATTTAACTATGGAGAGAGCCCAGCTGTGCTTGTTTAGCCTTGGGGCAAACTCTGATAGCAGAACATTTGCATCTTTTAAAATTTTTAGGCCAGCACGGTGGCTCATGCCTGTAATCCCAGTACTTTGGGAGGCCAAGACTCACCCCTAGGTCAAACAACTGTGAGGAAAGGTATGGCTACCAGGAGCTTCTGATTAGGTGGCAGGGGCTTAGGGGGCAGGATGCTATTCCAAGAAAGGGTAAGGGGCCTGTCAGGCAATTCATCTGATGTTTACAACATGAGATAGCAGAAAAAAACAATGCAGGATGGGCTGGGCACAGTGGCTCACGCCTGTAATCCCAGCACTTTGGGAGGCCGAGGAGGGCAGATCACTTAGAGGTCAGGAGTTCTAGACCAGCCTGGCCAACATGGCAAAACCCCATCTCTACTAAAAATACAAAAAAAATTTAGCCGGGCCTGGTGGCAGGCACCTGTAATCCCAGCTACTCGGGAGGCTGAGGCAGGAGAATCGCTTGAACCCCGGAAGTGGAGGTTGCAGTGAGCCAGGATTCCACTGCACTCCAGCCTGGGGGACAGAACGAAACTCTGCCTCAAAAAGAAAAAAAAAGAGCCAGGTGCGGTGGCTCACGCTTGTAATCCCAATACTTCGGGAGGCCAAGGCGGGTGGATCACGAGGTCAGGAGTGTGAGACCAGCCTGGCTGACATGGTGAAATCCCGTCTCTACTAAAAATACAAAAATTAGCCAGGCATGGTGGCAAACGCCTGAAATCCCTTCTCTACTAAAAATATAAAAATTAGCCAGGCATGGTGGCAAACACCTATTATCCCAGCTACTCAGGAGGCTGAGGCAGGAGAATCGCTTGAACCCAGGAGGCAGAGGTTGCAGTGAGCCAAGATTGCGCCACTGCACTCCAGCCTGGGTGACAGAGCGAGACTCTGTCTCAAAAAAAAAAAAAAAAGATGCAGGATGCTTTGTGTAAAAATATGAATTACAGTGATGGCTTATCCATAAAAAAGGATAACAAAACTGGTTTCAGAAAAGACAGAAAATCCAGACCAGTTACTATAAAAGAAATCAAGAATGTTGCCCTGTATTCCCAGCACTTTGGGAGGCCAAGGCGGGAAGATTGCTTGGGAAGATTGCTTGAGGCCAGGAGTTCAAGAGCAATCTGTGCAACATAGCAAGACCCTCTCTCTACATAAATTTTTAAAAAACTGTCCAGGCATGGTGGTGCATGCCTGTAGTCCTAACTACCTGGGAAGCTGAGGTGGGAGGATCACCTGAGCCCAGGAATTCAAGGCTGCAGTGAACCATGATCATGCCTCAGCACTCCAGCCTGGGTGACAGAGCGAGACCCTGTCTCAAAAACAAAACAAAACAAAACAAAAAAACTAGGACCAGACAGTTTCACAGGGGAATCCAACCAAGCATTTATAGAAAAATAGGTTTAATGCCCACTGTCAACATTAGACAGATCAACGAGACAGAAAGTTAACAAGGATACCCAGGAATTGAACTCAGCTCTGCACCAAGCGGACCTAATAGACATCTACAGAACTCTCCACCCCAAGTCAACAGAATATACATTTTTTTCAGCACCACACCACACCTATTCCAAAATTGACCACATAGTTGGAAGTAAAGCACTCCTCAGCAAATGTAAAAGAACAGAAATTATAATAAACTGTCTCTCAGACCACAGTGCAATCAAACTAGAACTCAGGATTAAGAAACTCACTCAAAACCGCCCAACTACATGGAAACTGAACAACCTGCTCCTGAATGACTACTGGGTACATAACGAAATGAAGGCAGAAATAAAGATGTTCTTTGAAACCAACGAGAACAAAGACACAACATACCAGAATCTCTGGGACACATTCAAAGCAGTGTGTAGAGGGAAATTTATAGCACTAAATGCCCACAAGAGAAAGCAGGAAAGATCCAAAATTGACACCCTAACATCACAATTAAAAGAACTAGAAAAGCAAGAGCAAACACATTCAAAAGCTAGCAGAAGGCAAGAAATAACTAAAATCAGAGCAGAACTGAAGGAAATAGAGATTAAAAAAAAAAACGCTTCAAAAAATTAATGAATCCAGGAGCTGGTTTTTTGAAAGGATCAACAAAATTGATAGACCACTAGCAAGACTAATAAAGAAAAAAAGAGAGAAGAATCAAATAGACGCAATAAAAAATGATAGAGGGGATATCACCACCGATCCCACAGAAATACAAACTATCATCAGAGAATACTACAAACACCTCTACGCAAATAAACTAGAAAATCTAGAAGAAATGGATAAATTCCTCAACACATACACTCTCCCAAGACTAAACCAGGAAGAAGTTGAATCTCTGAATAGACCAATTACAGGATCTGAAATTGTGGCAATAATCAATAGCTTACCAACTAAAAAGAGTCCAGGACCAGATGGATTCACAGCTGAATTCTACCAGAGGTACAAGGAGGAACTGGTACCATTCCTTCTGAAACTATTCCAATCAATAGAAAAAGAAGGAATCCTCCCTAACTCATTTTATGAGGCCAGCATCATCCTGATACCAAAGCCGGGCAGAGACACAACCAAAAAAGAGAATTTTAGACCAATATCCTTGATGAACATTGATGCAAAAATCCTCAATAAAATACTGGCCAACCGAATCCAGCAGCACATCAAAAAGCTTATCCACCACGATCAAGTGGGCTTCATCCCTGGGATGCAAGGCTGGTTCAACATACGCAAATCAATAAATGTAATCCAGCATATAAACAGAACCAAAGACAAAAACCACATGATTATCTCAATAGATGCAGAAAAGGCCTTTGACAAAATTCAACAACTCTTCGTGCTAAAAACTCTCAATAAATTAGGTATTGATGGGACGTATCTCAAAATAATAAGAGCTATCTATGACAAACCCACAGCCAATATCATACTGAATGGGCAAAAACTGGAAGCATTCCCTTTGAAAACTGGCACAAGACAGGGATGCCCTCTGTCACCACTCCTATTCAACATAGCGTTGGAAGTTCTGGCCAGGGCAATTAGGCAGGAGAAGGAAATAAAGGGTATTCAATTAGGAAAAGAGGAAGTCAAATTGTCCCTGTTTGCAGATGACATGATTGTATAACTAGAAAACCCCATTGTCTCAGCCCAAAATCTCCTTAAGCTGATAAGCAACTTCAGCAAAGTCTCAGGATACAAAATCAATGTACAAAAATCACAAGCATTCTTATACACCAATAACAGACAAACAGAGAGCCAAATCATGAGTGAATTCCCATTCACAATTGCTTCAAAGAGAATAAAATACTTAGGAATCCAGCTTACAAGGGACGTGAAGGACCTCTTCAAGGAGAACTACAAACCACTGCTCAATGAAATAAAAGAGGATACAAACAAATGGAAGAACATTCCATGCTCATGGGTAGGAAGAATCAATATCGTGAAAATGGCCATACTGCCCAAGGTAATTTATAGATTCAATGCCATCCCCATCAAGCTACCAATGACTTTCTTCACAGAATTGGAAAAAACTACTTTAAAGTTCATATGGAACTAAAAAAGAGCCCGCATCGCCAAGTCAATCCTAAGCCGAAAGAACAAAGCTGGAGGCATCACGCTACCTGACTTCAAACTATACTACAAGGCTACAGTAACCAAAACAGCATGGTACTGGTACCAAAACAGAGATATAGATCAATGGAACAGAACAGAGCCCTCAGAAATAATGCTGCATATCTACAACTATCTGATCTTTGACAAACCTGAGAAAAACAAGCAATGGGGAAAGGATTCCCTATTTAATGAATGGTGCTGGGAAAACTGGCTAGCCATATGTAGAAAGCTGAAACTGGATCCCTTCCTTACACCTGATACAAAAATTAATTCAAGATGGATTGAAGACTTCAACGTTAGACCTAAAACCATAAAAACCCTAGAAGAAAACCTAGGCATTACCATTCAGGACATAGGCATGGGCAAGGACTTCATGTCTAAAACACCAAAAGCAATGGCAACAAAAGCCAAAATTGACAAATGGGATCTAATTAAACTAAAGAGCTTCTACACAGCAAAAGAAACTACCATCAGAGTGAACAGGCTACCTAAAAAATGGGAGAAAATTTTCGCAACCTACTCATCTGACAAAGGGCTAATATCCAGAATCTGCAATGAACTCAAACAAATTTACAAGAAAAAAACAAACAACCCCATCAAAAAGTGGGCAAAGGATATGAACAGACACTTCTCAAAAGAAGACATTTATGCAGCCAAAAGACACATGAAAAAATGCTCATTGTCACTGGCTATCAGAGAAATGCAAATCAAAACCACAATGAGATACCATCTCACACCAGTTAGAATGGCAATCATTAAAAAGTCAGGAAACAACAGGTGCTGGAGAGGATGTGGAGAAATAGGAACACTTTTACACTGTTGGTGGGACTGTAAACTAGTTCAACCATTGTGGAAGTCAGTGTGGCGATTCCTCAGGGATCTAGAACTAGAAATACCATTTGACCCAGCCATCCCATTACTGGGTATATACCCAAAGGACTATAAATCATGCTGCTATAAAGACACATGCACGCGTATGTTTATTGCGGCACTATTCACAATAGCAAAGACTTGGAACCAACCCAAATGTCCGTCAATGATAGACTGGATTAAGAAAATGTGGCACATATACACCATGGAATACTATGCAGCCATAAAAAATGATGAGTTCATGTCCTTTGTAGGGACATGGACGAAATTGGAAATCATCATTCTCAGTAAACTATCACAAGGACAAAAAACTAAACACCACATGTTCTCACTCATAGATGAGAATTGAACCATGAGAACACATGGACACAGGAAGGGGAACATCACACTCTGGGGACTGTTGTGGGGTCGGGGGAGAGGGGAGGGATAGCATTAGGAGATATACCTAATGCTAAATGACGAGTTAATGGGTGCAGCAAACCAGCATGGCACATGTATACATATGTAACTAACCTGCATATTGTGCACATGTACCCTAAAACTTGAAGTATAATAATAATAATAATAATAATAATAATAAAGAAAAATAGGTTTAATATTATTTAAAGTAATACAGCATGGAAGAAAAACTTCCAACTTCTTATCATGACTCAAGCAAAACAGATTCCAATTCTGGCAAAGGCTATAACCACAAAACAAAACAAAAAAAATAGACATTTGTCTATAATACTATACAGAGGCACTACTTTTCATCTTTCAGGTTGACACATTGTAAAAATGGCTAATACTGTGTTGTTGAACATGTGAGGAAACAATCAGTTCCATTCATTGCTGGTGGAGATGGAAACTGGAAAAATCTTCTGTATATGGCAAATCAGCAATATCTGTCAAAATTATAAATGTTCATACTCTCTAACCAGGATTTTCCACTTCCATGAATTTTTCTAAGATCTGTAATATTTTGTATGTTTTCGTTTCTTTTGATTGTTTAAAGGCTCTTCTGTTTTATTGGTTTACCTTTTTTTCAAAGAACCAGCTCCTTCACTTATTTATTGGTAGTACCATTTTTTGTTTGTAAATTCATTAATTTCATTTTATTTTTCTTTGTGGATTCCTTATTTTTATTTCAATTATGTTTTTATAACCTCTTGATAAGATCCTTAAGTCACTCATTTTTATTTTTTTGTTTATTAATATAAAAATTAAAGACCTTGTCTTCTGAGCTTTAACGCTAGTCCAGTTTGGATTGTCTTTTACCCAAAACTTAATGGGTAGTTTTTGTTTGTTAACTGTTTGTTTCTTTGGTTGATTTGTTGGTTCGTTCATTTATTTTTTTCTTTTTAAATTTTAGGTGGCAGAGTTCTTAAGCTTTTTTGTTTTTACTATTAACTTCTGCTTTTAGGGCATTGTGATTAGAAACTATCTGCAGCGGTTCTACTTTTGAGACTTTATGGAAAAAAGTCTCTGGCCTAGTGGTTCAGAGCACAGATTGGGAGTGAGGCCGCCTGGGTTAAACTCCAGCTCTGCTGCTCACTAGCATGCTCTCTGCAATCTTGGCAAAAGTGATAGATATAACCATTCTGTGCCTTAGTCTCCCCATCTGCAAAATGGGAATCATAATATATGTACTTTTATAAGTTGTTGGAATTAAGTGAGTTAACATACATGAATTGCTTAGAAGGATGGCTGGGGCATAGTAAGCACCTGTGTAAGTGTTTAGTGTTATTTTCTTTGTGACCTAAGGTACAGCCAGTTTTATTGAACATGCTATGGATCCTACCCTTTGTTTTCAAGGCATAAGCTATATTTACAATCTAGTCTGTATTATTTGTGATATTTAGATTGCCTATAAGCTTTACTCCTTTTTTCATGTCAACTCTCATGACCTGTAATCTTCTGTTACTACTGTCCTTGTGACTCTTACCGTTTTTGTTTTTGAATATTGATGCCATTTTCTTTGCTGCATATTCATAACTGTTATATCTTCATTGAGAAATGGATCCTTTATCATTCAATGTGTGTTTCTTTGACTTGCTTAATGATTTTGACCCGGATTCAACCTTGTTTGATTGTGACACCTGCTCTCTTTTTATTTGCATTTGCCTAATTGTACTAGTGCCCATCTTTTTATTATCAACATTTATGCATCACTTTGTTCTAAGTAGAAGTAACAGCACAGAGTTAGATTTTGCTTTGTGGTCCAATCTGCCAGTCTTTTTCTTTTAATAGGTGAGTTCAGCCTATTTGCATTTTTGACACCAGAGGTATGTTTGAGCATAGACCTATCACATTATTTCATGTCATTCTCTCTCCTTTAAACCTTAAAAAAAAATCCTCCATGAGCTTCTCCATTTGCTTTATTTTGTGTATGTTACTTCCAATAATTTGGAAGGCTTATATTTTTGTTCTAGCATTTATCTTTCATGTTACAAAAATCCAATTATATTCTTTTTGTTATTTTAAAATGTACAATTAAATTACTATTATTTATTTTTTTGAGACAGGGTCTTACTCTATGCCTTTAACCTTTAATTTTTGGAAACACATCTATCATTTCATACTATAATTCAATGATGAAATTAGTGGGTTTTTTTCTACATTTTGTGTTGAACTTGGTATTGCAAAATACACTCACTCCTACTATTTGATTTATCACCTTTAAATGATATCTTAAATATATTAAGTTGATGCAAAAGTAATTGCATTTTTTGTCATTGAAAGTAATGGCAAAAACCGCGATTACTTTCGCACCGACCTAATATCAATGTACTAACACTACTTTCTACCTTTCTGTCCAATATGGTTTGGATCTGTGTCCCCACCCAAATCTCATGTTGAAATGTCATCCCTACTGCTGGGGGTAAGGGAGGTGACTGGTGCATGGGGGCAGAGTTCTCATGAATGGTTTAGCATAATCCCCTGCTTGGCACTGTGTGGCGAGTGAGTTCTCACGAGATCTGGTTGTTTAAATGTGTGTGCCACCTCCCCTGCTTCTCTTCCTCCTGCTGTGGCCATATAAGATGAGCCTGCTTCCCCCTTCCTCCTTCACCTTCCACCATAATTGTAAGTTTCCTGAGGATTCTTCACAAGTCCAGCAGATGCTGCCACCCTTCGTCTACAGCCTCCAGAACTATGAGCCAATTAAACCTCTTTTCTTTATAAATTACCCATTCTTGGGTATTTCTTTATAGCAATGTGAGAACAAACTAATACACTGTCAGAGTAAAATGTTTGGTGATAGCTTTCCTATACAAGAATATTCTAGTTATCTATTTTCTATTGATAATCTCTGTCCACCATTTGATTTTTTTGTTCCTTTCCCTTCTGTTTTTTTTTTTTCCTCTTCTGTTAATTTTCTATAGACTCTCACCTGTGTTGTCTGTGTGGTTGCTCATCTTTGAGGAAGAGTTTTCCTGGACCAGCTATTTTGATGAATATACTTGCAGGGGGACCCCAGAGCCATGTGCCCACCTATTTAGCAGGCATTTACCTGACTCTGAATTTTGCATTTACTCTTCTCCATCTTCTTTGATAAGCAGCTGTGGAACTCTTCACAATGATGTCTTCTCTTCTGCAGGGCAAAGTGCTTCCTACAAATATGGCTTGTCTCTGTGATTCTTTACTTTGCTCAGCTTCCTCTGCTTCTCAGAAGTAAATATGAGAGTTTCAGTCTAAATGCATTGCATCTATCATATTGCAATGAAATATGAGGATTTGGTGTCCACACACTCTCCCTCACACACACATATCCCCACACATGGATAGTTCCTATCTCCCCATCCTCCTAATACAGTTGGGTCAATTTTTGGTTGAATCAGTGTTCAGTGCTTACAGTTTTAGGACCAAATAAATACTTTTTATGGCTGACCCATGAAGTGTTTTATGAATACTTTTCGTTTCTTGTACACCTTCTAATTGTCTTCTCATTTGCTTAGTTTTCTATGTAACTCATCTCTGAACTCTCACAATGTTAATTAACGTGTTATTGAAGTGTTGATAAATGAGGTATTTGTGTATTTAATCTTGCTTGAGCCTATCTTAGAGCCTTCTGACCTGCTTCTGACCTGTCTTGAAATATGTCCCCACCATTAGTCAGGGTATTCCCTTCATCTCTCTTGTACTCAAGTTGGAGCCCTTGTTTCTTATACGCCATGTCTTTTTCCCTGAATTTGTTCCCCTATTTTTGATGGAGTACATTATTCAGGAAATAATTTTATGCTATATACGTGTCTGAAAAGATATTTGTTCTACTACATATTTGAATGACAGTTTTTAGTTGGAAATATATTTTCCTCGGAATTCTTAAGGCATCGCATCATTATTTTAGTGTCCAGAGTTGCTACTGAGAAGTCTGATGTCGGCCAGGCATGGTGGCTCACACCTACTATAATCCCAGAACTTTGGGAGGCCGAGGCAGGTGGATCACCTGAGGTCAGAAGTTCAAGACCAGGCCGTCCAACATGGTGAAACCCTGTCTCTACTAAAAATACAAAAAATTAGCCAGGCATGGTGGCAGGTTCCTGTAATCCCTGCTACTCGGGAGGCTGAGGCAGGAGAATCGCTTGAATCTGGGAGGCGGAGGTTGCGGTGAGCCGAGATCCTGCCATTGCACTCCAGCCTGGGCAACAAGAGCAAAACTTCGTCTCAAAAAAAAGAAGTCCGATGTCATTTGTCGATGTGATTTTTGATTGTTTGCAACTTGTGCCCACCTCCCCCCATGATTGAATTCTCTTTGTCTCTGGTGTTCCTATAATTTTCTTTTTCAATTTCACTGACACCCTGGAATGATGCCCAGGTCTAATTCTAGTCTCTGGTCAGTAGTTGTGATCATGGAGAGTGAACACTACTAAGATTGGAAAAATTAAATTAAACCTGGGATTTAAAAAATAGCTTTATAGTTTTTTTAATTTTTATATATTTAGGGAGTATAAATACAGGTTTCTTTTTTATAATTTTTAATTTTTGTGGGTTCATAGTAGGTGTATATATTTATGGGGCACATGAGATACTTTGATATCTCATACACAGGGATACAATGTATAATAATCATATCAGGGTAAATGGGGGTATTCATCACCTTGAGCATTTATCCTTCGTGTTAAAAACAATCCAATTATATTCTTTTTGTTATTTTAAAATGTACAACTAAATTATTATTATTATTATTTTATTTTTTGAGACAGGGTCTTGCTGTATTGCCCAGGCTGGAGTGCAGTGGTACGATCACAGCTCACTGCAGCCTTGAACTCCTGGGCTCAAGGGATCCTCTTGTCTGTCTCCTGAGTAGCTGGAACTAGAGCCCTACAACACTGTGCCTGGCTATTTTTATTTTTAGCACGTGTTGTGCTATCAAACACTAGATCTTATTCATTCTCTCTATTTTTTTGTACCCATTAACCATCCCACAGTGCGCCCCACCCATATCCTTTCCAGCCTCTAGTAACCTATCATTCTACTCTCTATCTCCATGAGTTCAAGTGCTTTAACTTCTAGCTCCCACAAATAAGTAAGAACATGTGAAGTTTGTCCTCCTGTGCCTGGCTTATTTCACTTAACATAATGACCTCCAGTTCCATCCATGCTGTTGCGAGTGACGGGATCTCATTCTTTTCATGGCTAAATTGTCCTCTATTGTGCATATGTATCACATTTTCTTTATCCATTTGTCTGTTGATGGACACTTAGGCTGCTTTCAAATTTTGGCTATTGTAAATAGTGCTGCAATAAACAGGAGTGTGCAGATGTCTCTCTGATAAACTGATTTCCTTTCTTTTGGGCATATACCTAGCAGTGAGATTGCTAGATCATATGGTCATCCTGTTTTTAGTTTTTTGAGGAACTTCCAAACTATTCTCCATAGTGGTTGTGGTAATTTACATTCCCACTGACAGTGTACAAGTGTCCCTTTTCTCCACATCCTCTCCAGCATTCGTTGTTGCCTGTCTTTTGCATAAAAGCCACTTTAAGGGGGTGAGATGATCTCTCACTAATTTTAATTTGCATTTCTCTGATGATCACTGATGTTGAGTACCTTTTCTTATACCCATTTGTCATTTGTATGTCTTCAAGAAATGTCCATTCAGATCTTTTGCCCATTTTCAAATTGGATTATTACATTTTTTCCCCTATTGAGTTGTTTGAGCTCCTTCTTTTTATTTTTATTTTTATTTTTATTTTTTTGAGACAGAGTCTCACTCTGTCACCCAGGCTGGAGTGCAGTGGCATGATCTCGGCTCACTGCAACCTCTGCCTCCTGGGTTCATGCGATTCTTCTGCCTCAGCCTCCCAAGTAGCTGGGACAACAGGCGCGCGCCACCAACCCTGGCTAATTTTTGTATTTTTAGTAGATACGGAGTTTCACCATGTAGGCCAGGCTGGTCTCGAACTCCTGACCTCATGATCCACCCGCCTCGGCCTCCTAAATTGCTGGGATTACAGGCATGAGCCACCATGCCTGGTCCTGAACTCCTTCTATATTCTGGTTATTAATCCTTTGTCAGATGGATAGTTGGCAAATATTTTCTCCATTCTGTGGGTTGTCACTTCACTTTGTTAATTGTTTCCTTTGCTATGCAGAAGCTTTTTTCACTTGACGTGATCCCATTTCTCCATTTTTGCTTTAATTGCCTGTGTTTGTGGGGTATTACTCAAAAAATCTTTGCCCATACCAATGTCCTGGAGAGTTTCCCCCATGTTTTCTTGTAGTAGTTTCCTTGTCTGAGGTCTTAGATTTAAGTCTTTAATCCATTTTGATTTGATTTTTGTATAGGGTGAGAGACGGGAGTCTAGTTTCATTCTTCTGCATGTGGATATCCAGTTTTCCCAGTACCATTCATTGAAGAGACTGTCCTTTCCTCAGTATATGTTCTTGGTACCTTTGTCAAAAATGAGTTCACTGTAGATGTATGGATTTATTTCTGGGTTCTCTATTGTGCTCCATTGGTCTATGTGTCTGTTTTTATGCCAGTACCATGCTGTTTTGGTTACTATAGCTCTGGAGTATATTTAGAAGTCAGGTACTGTGATTCCTCCAGTTTTGGTCTTTTCTCTCGAGATAGCTTTGGCCATTCTAGGTCTTTTGTATTCCACAAAAATTTTAGGATTTTTTTTTCTATTTCTGTGCAGAATGTCATTGGTATTTTGATAGGGATTGCATTGAATTTGTAGATTGCTTTGAGTAGTATGGACATTTTAATAATATTGATTCTTCCAATCCATGAACATGGCATATCTTTCCATTTTTGTGTGTGTCCTCTTCAATTTCTTGCATCAATGTTTTATAGTTTTTATTGCAGAGATATTTCACTACTTTAGTTATGTTAATTCCTAGGTATTTCATTTTATTTGTAGCTATTGTAAATGGAATTACTTTTTTGATTTCATTTTCAGATTGTTTGCTGTTGGCATGTAGAAATGGTACTGGTGCACCTTTATTGAATTTATGAGTTCTAATAGTTTTTTTTGGTGGAGTCTTTAGGTTTTTCCAAATATAAGATCATATCATCTGCAGACAAGGATAATTTGACTTATTCTTTTCTACTTTGGACACCCTTTATTTCTTTCCCTTATCTGATTGTTCTAGCTAGGAATTCCAGTACTATGTCGAAAAACATTGGTGAAAGTGGGTATCCTTGTCTTGTTCTAGATCTTAGAGGAAAGGCTTTCCATTTTCCCCATTCAATATGATACTAGCTGTGAGTCTGTCATATATGGCTTTTATTGTGTTGAGGTGTGTTCCTTCTATACTCAGTTTTTTGAGTTTTTTTTAAATCATGAAGGGATATTGAATTTTATGAAATTCTTTTCACCATCAGTTGAAGTAGTCACATGGTTTTTGCTCTTCATTCTGTTGTTATGATGTATCCCACTGATTGATTGGCATCTATTAAACCATCCTTGCATTCCTGGGATAAATCCCACTTGGTCATGATTAATGATTTTTTTAATGTGTTGTTAAATTTTGTTTACTAGTATTTGGTTGAGGATTTTTGCATCCATGTTCATCAGATATACTGGCCTGTAGTTTTCTTTTTTTGATGTGTCTTTGTCTAGTTTTGGTATCAAGGTAATACTGGCCTCATAGAATGAGTTTGGAAATATTTCCTCCTCTTCTCTTTTTTGAAATAGTTTGAATAGGACTGGTATTAGTTCTTTTTTAAATGTTTGGTAAAATTCAGCAGTGAAGCCATTGGGTCCTGGGCTTTTCTTTGCTAGAAGACTTTTTATTATGGCTTTGATTCTGTTACTTATTATTGGTCTGTTTAGGTTTTGGATTTCTTCATGGTTCAGTTTTGGTAGGTTGTATGTGTCTAGGAATTTATCAATTTCTTCTAGGTTTTCCAATTTATTGGCTTATTATTGCCCACAGTAGCCTCTGTGATCTTTTGAATTTCAAGTCCAGGTTTCTTACCTGCATATATTGCATAGTGGTGACGTCTGAGCTTTTAATGTACCCATCATCTGAATAGTGAATATTGTACCCAATAGTAATTTCTCAACCCTCACTCCACTCCCTCAAAAATAGCTTTATTATACAAAAAACCCCACCTATTTAAAATGTACATTTCTATAAGTGTTGGCAAATGTATACAGTCATGTAATGACTACCATATACATGTGCATTAATGATATCCTCAGTCCTTTCCCAAAAGGACCTATCACCATTTACTCAGGGATAGTACACTAGGGAATACCCAGCTATTTTGAGGATTATGAGACACAGGGTTTTAGTTAGCATTTATACACAGAGACCCAAAATGTCATCCTGGTCCCCTTTGTTGGGGTTGGCAGATGAGGTAATAAGTGCAGTCCTGGCCAAAGTCCATCTTACTGTGAGTTCACTGGGTCCCTAAGACCATTGGGTAGTCATTTCTCCTTCCACTGAACCTATGCCACTAAACCCTCTTCCAGTCTTTTGGTTATACCAGAAGAAAATATTTTTTCTTCAGCTACTCATAGATGGATGTATAATGATTATTAATAAAAGTCTAAATTTAACTTTTCATGAATAACCTTCTTGACATCTCTATGCATATACAGACAAATATATATGCACAAATAAAATCACATGTGTCTTAGTCCATTTTGTTCTGTTATAACAGAATACCTGTGACTGGGTAACTTATAATGAACAGAAAGTTATTATCTCATAGTTCTGAAGGCTGGGAAGACCAAAATCAAGGCACCAGCATCTGAGTGCTTTCTGGCTGAGTTCTCCCATGAAGGAAGGCAGAAGAGCAAGAGAGAGCAAACCTACTCCCAAAAGCCCTTTTCATAGTGGCATTAATCCATTCATGGGGGCTGAACCCTCATGACCTACACACCTCCCAAAAGATCCTACCTTTTAACACTGTTGCAGTGAGGATTAAGTTTCTAACATATGAGTTTTGGAGGATACATTCAAACTATAACAACAACACAAAGTTATTTTGTAACCTACTTTTAAGATTTATCAGTATGTCTTATAAATGTTTCTGTAGTGTTATTAGTTTCCTATTGTTGCCGTGACAAGTTATCACAAATTTAGTGGCTTAAAACAACACAAATTTATCTTACAGTTCTATAGGTCAGAAGTCTGAAAAGGGGTCTAACTGGGCTAAAGTCAGATTGTTGGCAGGACTGCATTCCTTTCTGGAAACTCTAGGGGAGAATCCATTTCCTTTCCCTTTCCAGCTTCTAGAGGAAGTCTACATCACTTGGTTCATGCCTTTCTTCCTCCGTCTTCAAAGCCAGCAGCTTCAGCTGAGTCATTCTCATGCTGCCATCTTTTTGGTTCTCCCTCTTCCACTTTTAAGGACCTCTGTGATTACACCACGTCCGCCTGGATAACCCAGGATAATTGCCCCATTTTAAGGCCAGTTTAATAGCAACTTTAGTTCTGTCTGAAACCTTAATTCACCCTTGCCATGTAGTTGCATGTATTTTCAGGTTCCAGGGATTTGCATATGGACATATTTGTGGGACCATTGTTCTGACTACCACAGTCATTAGATGTAAATCTACCTCACCATTTTTCAATGATTGCAAAGTAGTATTATTTTTTGAAATAGGGTCTCACTCTGTCACCCAGCCTGGAGGGCAGTGGTGTGATCACAGATCTCACTGCAGCCTTGACTTCCTGGGCTCAAGCAGTCCTCCAACCTCAGCCCCCTGAGTAACTGGGACTACAGGCCTGGGCCACCATGCCCAGCTAATTTTTAATGTTTTTGTAGCAATAGAGTCTCACTATGTTGCCCAGGCTGGTTTTGAATTCCTGAGCTCAGGCAATCCTCCTGCCTTGACCTCTCAAAGTGTTGGGATTACAGGCATGAGCCACTGTGCCCAGCCTATGATTGCAAAGTATTATATTTTATGATGCACCTGCATTTATGTAACCAACATCTTGTAGCTGGATATTCACTTATTAGTTCACCTAAGAAATATTCATTGGATACCTACCATATTGCATGTTAGGTGCTAGGGATATATTTGGGAGCAATCATTTATGTTGTTTCCCTTTTACACTACTATAAACGATATTTTAATCATCAGGTTTGTGCCTATATCTTTATGCATATATCTCCAACTATTTCCTTAGAATAAATTCCTAGATTTGGAAACGATGGATCAAAGGATAGTCTACATTTTGATACATTTGTCATACTGCTTGCCAAGCAAAGGTAGTATCTTTATTTTCTCATAACTGGTGCATGAGATTTTTTTCTACTCTTTTCCCAGCTGGTTATTCTCAAATTTTTAACATTTACCCAACGCAGAAGTGACAAAATTTATAGTTGCATATCTTTGCTTTCTAGTGAGACTGAATATCTTTTAAAAATATCATTATCCTGGAGATTGAATATTTTGTCATAATGTTTATCAAAAATTTTAAATAAATTTCTCATCTGGATCTTGGATTCCTAGGTACAAGCGCCTTAGTGATATAGGAAGGAAGAGGCACCTATAAGAAACATTTTAAGGCCGGGCGTGGTGGCTCACGCCTGTAATCTTAGCACTTTGGGAGGCTGAGGCAGGAGGATTGCTTGAGGAGTTCAAGACTAGCCTGGGCAACATGGTGAAATACCGTCTCTACAAAAAATACGAAAATTCGCCAGGCATGGTAGCACACACCTGCGGTCCCAGCTACTCAGGAGGCTGAGGTGGGGGGATGGTTTGAGCCCAGGAGGCAGAGGTTGCAGTGAGCTATGATCATGCCACTGCACTCCAGCCTGAGTGACAGAGCCAGATCTTGTCTCAAAAAAAAAGAAAGAAATAACAAAAGAAAGAAAGAAAGAAAGGTATTACTTTAAAAATCAATATGAACCCTTAGCTTTCCTCAGAAGAATGAATGATTCTGAGTCTAGGGTAGAAAAAGAACAAGATAAATCAGAGACACCTTGAGTCAGAGAGCAAGGAAATTATCGAAGACTGATGGAGTCATGTCAAAAGTCACAGGAAGCCAGGCACGGTGGCTGCTTTAGAAGGCATTTGAATGATTCTATCTAAACATGTCCTTATCTTTTTCTCACTGAAATAAAATGATCAGGGGTAAAGAACTATTATTATTTTTCTTGAGACAGAGTCCTGCTCCATCACCCAGGCTGGAGTGCAGTGGCATGATCATAGCTTGCAGTAGCCTCGAACTCCTGGGCTCAAGTGATCCTCCCATCCCAGCCTCCCGAGTAGCTAGGACTACACACATCTGCCACCATGTAAGGGTAATAATTTCTTTTTTTTTTTAGACATGGTGTTTTTAGATATGCTGCCCAGGATGGTCTTGAATTTCTGGGTTCAAGTGATCCTCCCACCTCAGTCTTTCAAAGCCCTGGGTTAGAGGCATGAGCCACTGTGCCTGGCTGGTAAAGGATTATTAAAGATTCCTTTGTTCTTAGGTTACATTAAAAAGTACAATGTAGGCTGGACACAGTGGCTCATGCCTGTAATCCCAGCACTTTGGGAGGCCAAGGTGGGCAGATCACCTGAGGTCAGGAGTTCAAGATCAGCCTGGCCAACATGGTGAAACCCCATCTCTACTAAACACAAAAATTAGCCAGGTGTGGTGGCATATGCCTATAGTCCCAGCCACTAGGGAGGCTGAGGCAGAAAAATCACTTGAACCCGGGAGGTAGAGGTTGCAGTGAGCCAAGATCATGCCACTGCATGCCAGCCTGGGTGACAGAGCGAGACTCCGTCTCAAAATACAAACAAACAAGCAACAACAATGTGGAGCCAGGCATGGTGGTGTGCACCTGTGGTCCCAGCAGGCATGGTGGTGTGCACCTGTGATCCCAGCAGGCATGGTGGTGTGCACTTGTAGTCCCAGCAGGCATGGCAGTGTGCACCTGTGATCCCAGCAGGCATGGTGGTGTGCACTTGTAGTCCCAGCTACTTAGGAGGCTGGCGTGGGAGGAAACTTTGCGTCCAGGAGTTAGAGTCCAGCCTGGGCAACACAGCAAGACTCCATTCTCTAAAAACAAAGTTCGCAGGACAGGAGTGGGTGTAGATATTGTTTGGCAAGAGGAAAAGAGTTCTGGAAATTGGTTGTACAACAATGTGATTTTATTAAAACAACAAGGAGATATAACTTCATGCCTGTTAAGATGGCTATTATCAAAAAGACAGCAGATAATACGTGTTGGCAAGGATATGGGCAAAAGGGAACCTTTGTACGCTGTTGGTAGAAGCCATTATGGAAAACATTACGGAGATTCCTCCACAAATTAATAATAGAACTGCCATATAATCCAGCAAGCCCATTTCTGGGTATATATCTGAAAGAAATGAAATCAGTATGTCAAAGAGGCATCTGCACTCCCATGTTCATTGGCAGCATTATTCACAATAGCCAAGACATGGAAACAACCTAAGTGTCCATTGGTAGACGAATGGATACATTGTTATATATATACACATACACATATACACACGCACACATGTACATACAGAGACGTGATAGACTATTACTCAGCCACAAAAAGAAAACCCTGCTATTTGCAACAACATTATTCATAATCGCCAAGTATAAACCTTTAAGGCATGATGCTAAGTGAAATATATCAGACGGAGAAAGACAAATACTATATCATCTTACTTACATGTCAAATTTTAAAAAGATGAACTCACAGAAAGAGTAAAATGGTGGCTGCAGGGGCTAAGAGGTAGGAGATATGGGGAGATGTTGGTCAAAGGATAAAACTTTGTCATAAGATGAGTAAGTTCTGGAGATCTAATGTAGCATAGTGACATTATTTGATAACAATGTATACTTGAAATTTGCTAAGATACTAGATCTCAAGTATTCTCATCACAGAGACACACACACGGTAACTAGGTAAGGAAATAGATGTGTTAACTAACTTGATTGCGGTAATTATTTCACAATATAGACATATATCACATAATCACTTTGTACACCTTAGTTTTATGCAATCATATTTGTCAATTATACCTCATAAAGCTAGGGACAAAAAGAATATGGGGAAAGAAAGATTAATAACTATAAAAAGTCTTCTTTAAGAGCTATTTCTTTTTTTTTTTTTTTTTTTTTTGAGACAGAGTCTCGCTCTGTCCCCCAGGCTGGAGTGCAGTGGCGCCATCTCGGCTCACTGCAAACTCCGCCTCCTGGGTTCACGCCATTCTCCTGCCTCAGCCTCCCTAGTAGCTGGGACTACAGGCATCCACCACTACGCCTGGCTAATTTTTTTTGTATTTTTTTTAGTAGAGACGGGGTTTCACTGTGTTAGCCAGGATGGTCTCGATCTCCTGACCTCGTGATCCGCCCACCTCGGACTCCCAAAGTACTGGGATTACAGGCATGAGCCAACGCGCCTGGCCTGAGCTATTTCTTATTACAACTTTTTTTTTTTTTTTTGAGATGGAGTTTCACTCTTGTTGCCCAGGCTGCAGTGCAGCGGTGCGATCTCGGCTCACTGCAACCTTCGCCTCCTGGTTTCAAGCCATTCTCCTGCCTCAGCCTCCCAAGTAGCTGAGATTACAGGCACCCACCACCATCCCCAGCTAATTATTGTATTTTTAGTAGAGACGGGGTTTCGCCACGTTGACCAGGTCTCCAACTCCTGACCTCAGATGATCCACCTGCCTTGGCCTTCCAAAGTGCTGGGATTACAGGCGTGAGCTGCCACTCCCAGCCTAACTTCTTTATTTTTTTAAGATGAGGTTTTGCTCTGTTACCCAGGCTAGGATGCAGTGGTGCCATCATAGCTCACTGTAGCCTCAAATTCCTGGGCTCAAGCAGTCCTCCTACCTGGGCTTCCCAAAGTGCTGGGAATTACAGTTGTGAGCCACTGCACCTGGCCTATAACTCCTCAGGTTACTTGATAGCCTTATGCAGTTTTATAACATGTGCTAAACACAAATGAAGGGCAGATAAAAATATTATATATAAAAACCCAATGCGAATGTACTTTACACCACTGAACTGTATACTTAAAATGGCTAAGATGGGCCGGGCTCACACCTGTAATCCCAGCACTTTGGGAGTCTGAGGTGGGCGGATCACCTGAGGTCAGGAGTTCAAGACCAGCCTGGCCAATATGGTGAAACCCTGTCTCTACTAAAAATACAAAAATTAGCCGGGCGTGGTGTCGCATGCCTATAGCCCCAGGTACTCGGGAGGCTGCGGCAGAAGAATCAATTGAACCCGGGAGGCAGAGGTTGCAGCGAGATGAGATCATGCCACTGCACTCCAGCCTGGGTGACAGAGTGAGATTCCGTCTCAAACAAAAAAAAAGGCTAAGATGGGATTCCGGAAGAAACAAGAGTGTGATGTGAGTGTGCAGAGGCAAAAGAAATCAAGGAATTATGCGACCATGAAGCCAATGCTTAGTCTCAGAGATCAGAGGCTTGAAGAAAGGGATAGATTAAAACCTAAAAAGGAAGAAAAGAAAGATTCCAACATACTAAAGGAAAGAGAAGTTCCTCAACACCCTTCCTGCTTATTTTTCCAATATAATACACAGCTGGGCCACCTTACCACATTCTTGTTGATTCCAACTTTATCAACTTTTCCATTAAAGCCAAACCAGACTTAGTGCAGTCAATGACGGACTGTCTGTAGGCCACGTGTATCCCTTATATAACTGATTGTGTAATGGCTGAAATTGAGAAATTGGGGCAGAAGTATTGAGTGGCTCTAAGAATCTCCAAGGATCCAAGGTTTGAATGATTACCATGCACACACAAAGGAACCTATGCAGATGACTGCTTAGTACAGAGAGAAACTCAGCACAAATGGTACATTGTGGCCACGGTTGACCAGGACCCTAAAAGAAGAATCTGTAAGATTCTGGGAGTTCCTATCACGTACATTTCTAACCATAGATATAACATCGAATGAATGCCAGATGATTATGGAGTCCTTGGGTTCTAATTCTTACAAGACAAAGTTTCCCTGCCTTTCTTTGACCAATTTTCCTCTTGTTGCCAGTTTCCTCTGCCTTTCTTTGACCAGTTTTCTCTTGCTGCCAGTTCATTAAACATGTAATAGCATGAATTATTATTCTATTCACCCATTTGCTCTATTATGAGCTGAGTATGAATAATTATGCTCACTTTTTTTAATGCTGTTTTGAAATTGATATTTTGTCTCATTTAAAAATTTTAAGGCCGGGTGCAGTGGCTCACGCCTGTAATCCCAGCACTTTGGGAGGCCAAGGCAGGTGGATCACCTGAGGTTGGGAGTTTGAGACCAACCTGGCCAACATGGTGAAACCCCATCTCTACTAAAAGTACAAAAAATTAGCCGGCGGTGGTGGTGGGTGCCTGTAATCTCAGGTACTCTGGAGACGGAGGCAGGAGAATCGCTTGAACCCGGGGGGCAGAGGTTGCAGTGAGCCGAGATCGTACCATTGCACTCCAGCCTGGGCAACAAGTGCGAAACTCTGTCTCCAAAAAAAAAAAAAAAAAAAAAAAAAAATTTAAATGATGGCCAAGGTACAAAATCTCAGGAAGAAGACCTTTTATACTCTGAGTTCTGTTGCACAGTATGGTGAATATAGTTAATAATAGAGTTTTTGTTTTTTTTTTTTTTTTGAGAAGGAGTTTCACTCTTGTTGCCCAGGCTGGAGTGCAATGGCGCGATCTTGGCTCACCGCAACCTCCGCCTCCCGGGTTCAAGCGATTCTCCTGCCTCAGCCTCCCGACTAGCTGGGATTACAGGCATGCATCACCATGCCCGGCTAATTTTGTATTTTTTTAGTAGAGACGGGGTTTCTCCATGTTGGTCAGGCTGGTCTCGCACTCCCGACCTCAGGTGATCTGCCCGCCTCGGCCTCCCAAAGTGCTGGGATGACAGGCGTGAGCACGGCGCCCAGGCTAATAATAGAGTATTATACCTTTCACAATTGCTAAGAGTAAATTTCAAATGTTCTCATCACAAAAATGTTAAGTATTTGAAGTCATGGTTACATTAACTAGCTTGACTTTGTTATACCACATTGTACCCAAAAATTATGACATCACTTTGTGACCCATAAACTTATACAATTATAAATTGTCAATTTACAATAATTGGTTGCAAATAATGGTTAAGATGGTAACTTTTATGTTATGTGTATTTTAGCACAATTTAAAACTTTTTTTACGGTTCACAGGAGCCAGTTTAAAGGAGCTCTTGCTGGAAAGCTCAAACATCAAAATAAATAATGTTTGCAGTTAATTGATACATATATAATATGTAACACTCCATGGTTTCAAGGCTCCTAATCCCAGCAAGCAGGCAGATTGTTTGAGCCTAGGAGTTGCAGACCAGCCTAGGCAACATGGCAAAACCCTGTCTCTACCAAAAATATAAAAATTAGCCAGTTTCATAACCCAGTCTCAAAATAAATAAATAAAAAATTTTAAATAAAATTTAAAAATTAAAAATAAATAAATAAATTAAAGTAAAAAATCTCCATGGTTTCATGATACTTGAAAAGAAAAAAAAAAGGAAAGGAAAGAGAACCTTGTTGGTTACTATAGAAGGTTGCTAGGGCACTTATTTATTTTTTTGAAAACTGATAAAAGAATTTTCCTTCCTCTCACCTTCCCTGTATAAATTGATTTTGAGAGCAATCAAATAGTTAAATGAGAAAGTTCTTCTTTACGGAATTTCAGTCAAAAAGCAGATAACGAATGACAGAATTAGGAACTCACTATTTTGCAACCCTAAATAAAAGAACGCCTCTCAGCATGATCATCATGGCTGCTCCAACAGTTAAATGAAAGGTCGAAGGCGAGCTTTGCAATGGAGGGATCAGAGGGAGCCGACTGATCCTTGGCATCAGCCTTTACATCCAATTACCAGTGTAAAGGCAATCTGAGTTACACAGGAACATGTTCAACAATCCTACATGGAATCAGCCAACCAAATTTGTAACATGGGGCATTCCACAACACAAATGACTCAGTTTCTCCAACAAATCAATGGCTTGGGAAAACAGTGGGGAAAGGATAGCCATTAAAAAAATAAGTGGGCTGGGCCTGGTGGCTCACATCTGTAATCCCAGCACTTTAGGAGGCTGAGGCAGGCGAATCACGAGGTCAGGAGTTCGAGACCAGCCTGGCCAACATGGTGAAACCCCGTCCCCACTAAAAATACAAAAAATGAGCTGGGTGTGGTGGTGGGTGCCTGTAATCCCAGCTACTTGGGAGGCTGAGGCAGGAGAATTGCTTGAACCCAGAAGGTGGAGGTTGCAGTGAGCCAAGATCGCGCCATTGCACCTCCGGCCTGGGCAACAGTGTGAGAATCTGTTTTGATAAAAAAAAAAAAAAAAAAAAAGTGTAGACCGGGTACAGTGGCTCACACCTGTAATGCCAGCACATTGGGAGGCTGAGGCGGGGAGGATCACTTGTGGCCAGGAGTTTAAGACCATCCTGGCCAACATAGCGAGACCTCATCTCTAACTTTAAAAAAAAAAAAAAAAAAGTGTAAGGGATACAGCAGCGAAATGTAGTGTTGTACTTAGTTTGGATCCTATAGTAAACCATTTTGGAGACAATTGGAAAAACGTGAATAAAGACTAGGCATTAGATGATACGAAGAAATTATTTTGCTAGATGTAAAGATTTATTTTACACTTTTTTGTTTGTTTGTTTGTTTGTTTTGCAGACTGGGCAACATAGCTCTACCAAAAAAAGTTACAAAAGTTAGCCAGGTGTGGGCCGGGCCCGGTGGCTCACGCCTGTAATCCCAGCACTTCGGGAGGCCGAGGCAGGTGGATCGCGAGCTCAGGAGATTGAGACCATCCTGGCTACCACGGTGAAACCCCGTCTCTACTAAAAATACAAAAAATTAGCCGGGTGTGGTGGTGAGCGCCTGTAGTCCCGCTACTCGGGAGGCTGAGGCAGGAGAATGGCGTGAACCTGGGAGGCAGAGCTTTCGGTGAGCCGAAATCGCGTCACTGTACTCCAGCGTGGGCGACAGAGTGAGACTCTGTCTCAAACAAACAAACAAACAACAACAACAAAAAATTAGCCAGGTGTGATGGCACATGCCCATAGTCCCAGCTACTTGGGAGGCGAAGGTGGGAGGATCGTTTGGGCCCCGGAGACAGAAATTTCAGTGACCCAAGATTGTGGCACTGCACTCCAGCCTGGGCAACAGAACGAGACCCTGTCTCAAAAACAAAACAAAACAAAAAAATGTTTTTGATGATACAAATAACATGTGCTCATTCTAGAAAAATCAGAAAATACAGAATACAGAAAGAAGAATATACGGTACCCAGTTCCATCATTTGAAGATAATCATTGTTCTTATATTTAGGAGCATTTCCTTCTAGTTATATATTTATCAACTTTGTTTTGTTTTACCTCAGTTGCACAGGATTGGGTTGGTCATAATCTTTGGCTCAAGATGACACTCTCTCACCATTGGCCCTCTTTTATTTAACTATTTATAGTTTATTTTTAATAGTATATTTATAGTTTATTAAAGAATAAACCCCTGTGACTCATCATCTACATGAAAACTAGAATCCTGATAATAACCTAATACGATATGATGAATCCTGATGATTATCTATGTGGCCTCCTCTCCATCTTAGCCCCTCCTCCCCAACTTGGTAACCACCATGCTGACTTGGTGTTCATCATTCCCCTGCTTTCCTTCTGAGTGTATATGTGAGTTGTCTTTAACTTATAAAAGGTTATTGCTCTAAGCAATATATTGTTGCAAGAGGCTGTAGTTCATTTATTCTGTATAATATTCCTTTGTGACTTTACTACAGTTTATTTATCCATTCTCCTGTGAATGGATATTTGGGTTGTTTCTAGGTTTTCCTGGGAAGAGTTCTGACAGGTAGTTAAATTTTATACTTCAAATTTCATCTTAGGATACACTACTCCCATGCCACCTTTTCTTTTTATTTCCATAGGTTTTTGAGGAACATGTGGTATTTAGTTACATGAGTAAATTCTTTAGTGGTGATTTGTGAGATTTTGGTGCACCCATCTCCTGAGCAGTGTATACTCAATTTGTGGTCTTTTACCCCTCACCCCCTTCCCACCCTTTCCCCCTGAGTCCCCAAAGTCCATTGTGTCATTCTTATGCCTTTTGCATCCTCATAGCTTAGCCCCAACTTATGAGTGAGAACATATAATATTTGGTTTTCCATTCCTGAATTACTTTGCTTAGAATAATCATCTCCAATCCCATCCAGGTTGCTCCAAATGCCACTAATTAATTCCTTTTCATGGCAGAGTAGTATTCCATCATATATATATATATATATACACACACATATATATATATATATATATATATATGTATATCACAGTTTCTTTATCCACCTGTTGATTGATGGGCATGTGGGTTGGTTCCACATTTTTGCAATTATGAATTGTGCTGCTATAAATATGCGCGTGCAAGTATCTTTTTCGTACAATGACTTCTTTTCCTCTGGGTAGATACCCAGTAGTGGGATTGCTGGATCAAATGGTAGTTGTACTTTTAGTTCTTTAAGGAATCTCCCGGTTTTCCATAGTGGTTGTACTAGTTTACATTCCCATCAGCAGTGTAGAAGTGTTCTCTTTTTACTGCATCCACACTAACATCTATTATTTTTCGGTTTTTTAATTATGACCATTCTTGCAGGAGTGAGGTGGCATCACATTGTGGTTTTGATTTGCATTTCCTTGATCATTAGTGATATTGAGCATTTTTTCATGTTTGTTGGCCATTTCTATGTCTTCTTTTGAGAATTGTCTATTTATGTCCTTAGTTTTTTTCTTTTTTCTTTTTTTTTTTTGAGACGGAGTCTCGTTCTTTTGCCCAGGCTAGGGTGCAATGGTGCAATCTCGGCTCACTGCGACCTCTGCCTCCCAGGTTCAAGTGATTCTTGTGCCTCAGCTTCCTGAGTAGCTGAGATTACAGGTGCCTGCCACCACGCCTGGCTAATTTTTGTATTTTTTCATAGAGACAGGGTTTCACCATGTTGGCCAGGCTGGTCTTGAACTACTGACCTCATGATCCACCTGCCTCAGCATCCCAAAGTGCTGGGATTATAGGCGTGAGCCACCGTGACCGGCCATCTCCTTCCTCCTTCACCACAATCACCAAATCAGCCCCTAGGTGTTTTTGGTATTCAGATTTCATTTAAAGAAAAAGTTTTGATGGCAACAAATTGTGCAAACTTCTCTACACACTCCACACTCAACACACACACATTGACTGATGACATTCATTTTGTTGTGTGCTGTCTTTTATTCTTCTCATATTCCAGAAGCTCTGTGTTAAGGTAGTTTACAGGCATGTCACTAAGTCCCTAGCTCTGCTGCTCTGAGACCATCTTAATAGTCGGGAGTACTGTTTGAACATTATTATAAAGTACCTACTATAACCTTGAACTCCTGGTCTCAGGTGATCCTCCCTTCTCAGCCTCCCAAGTAACTGGGATGACAGGAATGTGCCACTACACCTGGCTAATTAAAATTTTTTTTTTTTTTTGTAGAGACAGGGTTTTGGTATGTTGCTCAGGCTGGTCTCGAACTCCTGGCATCAAGTGATCCTCCCACCTCAGCCTCCCAAAGTGTTGGGATTACAGGCATAAGCCACTATGCCCAGCCTAGAAGTATTTTATAGGATGAAGAAAAGAGTCGTAAGACAACTATTCATCTAAGACACAGATGTTCTCAATACAGGATCTAGTAAATCACTACTTCATTTTTGCCATTAGAAAGTAGATGTAACTATTGTGATATCATGCCTGTTTGCTAGCACCTTTCTGAAAGTGCACTAAGCCACAGAGGAGGAAAGCAGTCCCTTGGCTTCCGTCTACTTGGATGCATGTGATGTGTGTGGCACACATGGCAGAGCTGTGGGCATCTTGCTAGCTGTTGAGCTTTGGGATCCATTCTGATTGCTTCTCCCAAATGAGGCAGGGGGCATCTCATTTACACGGATACAAACATTCCATTGCCTTCTTTTATTGCTCAATACTTTATTCCCACTGATGATATCAATCACGTTGTTGTGTTTAGTTGTGTATACTTCTGTTAGAGTTCCTTGAGAGTCAGGCCTGTGCATTATTTATCTTTGCAGCCCAAGTACCTGGCATATGCTTAGCACACAATAAAATAATAATTCAATGGGAACTGAATATATGAGGTTAGACTTCACAAGTCACTTGCCCTACCAGTTACTGTATGTTTAATTATTCAGTCAACAAGTATGTGAGAGCTTTCTATGTGTGAGGTACTACACTATGCACTGGTCATATAACTTCTGAATGGGCTGTAATTCAGCAAAGAGCCAAGCCTAGTATGATTCAGCAGGAACTACCAGCCTCTTAGTGGAAAGGGCTTCTTGGGGAATATGTACTTTTCTCTCTTCTAAAGAGTAACTTATGGGGCCCAAAACTTTCTCTCCTTTCATTCTAGGGCTAGGAAAGAAAGGGTAGAAGGCACATGACATACTTAGGTCCCACCCTCATCACACTCAACAGAATATCATACTAAGAATCAAATAATAAACTTTAATTTGAATATAATACAGTAGAATATAATAATTATTTTGAGGTACAAAAATAATTATAAAATACTTTTCCCATTTGCAAGTAATGTATGCTATAGACTATAAATAGTACACTGATGCCAGAAACTGTACATATTTCACTACATGCCTAAGTCTGGGTCTTCCTCTCTCCTCCATCATCACATGTAAGAAAACCAGCTATGCAATACTACTTTGCAATCTTGAAACTCTGTTAAGACATTTCAGAAGTAGCTATCTTTAATAAAAGAATTAGATGGTACCTTTCTTTAAAATAGTATGTATGTTTTTTGGCTCAATCCTATAGATGAAAAAGTTTACAAAAATTAGATTTCTGCCATTTTTGGAATATCTGCTTTTTTTTCCCAAAAGACAGGAAAATGTCAGAGAGAATCTAGAGTGCTGAATTCAACACAAGCTCATTTGAAAGTAAGTCTCCATCAATGGAAAAGCTTTTTGACTATAGGCAATTTGAAAATAATAGCAATTCACTGGAAGACAAATTTCACTGCCAAAACCTGCAGACGAGTTCTCCCTGTCTTTTCTATTACTGTGTTTCCTAATATTTTAAGTGAGGTAAGAATTACAAGAGTGATTCTAAAAATTATAGCAGGTTCTACCCAGATGGGACCCATCTAGTTCCTAAGATGCTGAGAGCCATTTATTATTTAAAAAGTAGGAACAACATGAGGAAACAGAAGCTTTGGCATATGAAAAAAGATGTAGCTTTGCTTCCTAGAATTCAGTTATTTAGGCCAGTTTATTTTGATTTGTGCTCTGAACTGATTATATATGGGTCTAAAGATAAAAGACAGAAAAACTGGCCATCCTCATGAGTAGAGGTGAAATAACCCCTTGAGACAGTCCTGAAGGTGAAGGAGATCTTCAGTCATCGATCTCTTCTTGGCTGCTTCCACTCCTGCCATTTTCTCATCTCCTTTCTATACAACTCCTTCATCCACAAGTGGAGTGCTGGGATAAATGGAACAACTAATACAGTGCCTACGGGGATTTTCCTGACTTCAGTGCTTGAGGAATTCTTTCTTTCAGTTCTCTTCCCATCTATTCTCTTCTAGGTAGGGATGGCTCTGCACTTTCTAGACCTGTAACACTAGGTACCTTAAACTAATAGAAAAAAACTATATGGTGTAAAAACAAAGGTAGTATAAAACATAGAAAGATGTGGGTCTCTTTTCTGGAAATAGGTTGTGAGCTTAAGAATGCTCAGTTGTATGTTATAAGAGCTCAGAAGCCTGGGGCTGGAATATGACTTACGACAGAGAGCCTAGCCATTAGGAGATTCCCTCAAAGGACTTTATACGATTCATGTTTTATTATCGTTACATTAATAAGTGCCCACAATACATATAAATCACTGTAGCCCTACTTTCAAAACTGATGTTTGGGCCAGGCGCGGTGGCTCATGCCTGTAATCCCAGCACTTTGGGAGGCTGAGACGGGCGGATCACGAGGTCAGGAGATGGAGAGCATTGTGGCTAACACGGTGAAACCCCGTCTCTACTAAAAATACAAAAAATTAGCCGGGCGCGGTGGCGGGTGCCTGTAGTCCCAGCTACTCAGAAGGCTGAGGCAGGAGACTGGCGTGAACCCAGGAGGTGGAGCTTGCAGTGAGCCGAGATCGCACCACTGTACTCCAGCCTGGGCGACAGAGCGAGACTCCGTCTCAAAAACAACAACAACAACAACAACAACAACAACAACAAAAACTGATGTTTGTTAAGCAAGATACATTAACAAAAACCTAACCTGCTTTGTTACCTAAAATAATTATGGTACCAAACTATAATGGACTAGTGAGATTCATAAACATTGTTTCTTGAATACCTTTAGAGGTACTACAATTTTTTTCATAGTACTCACCTTTTAAAACATTGCAATACTCATCTTACTGCGCTGTAACATGTTATTATCATCAACAATTTAATTACTGAAAGAGTAATCCCATAAATCTATCCTATTAATGACTGGACAGTTTGATAAAGTAGCTTACTGCCTTTCTTAGAAACACATAGCTAGTTATTCTCCCAAGATTCAGAGATGACGTTATAAAACCCTTTATGGAATTCCCCAATAAAATGGGATAACGTACAGAGACGCCTTAAAGTTAAATGATACAATGATGCTGATTCTTGAACATCAAAGATGTTTGTTATTGCAGCCAGGAGACAATGCCATAAAATGCTAACAAAAAAAAGTTATACTGTTTTCCTTAAAGTCAGTAAATTGCATAAAAGTACTCTGAGCATTTTTGGAAGAAAGGCACCAGATAAGTCCAAAATCTTATTGCTACTAGGATCATACAGGGTCACAGACTATGGCACTCTGTTCAGCCAGGAGACTAAGTCTCAGCAAGTCAGTCTCTGACCTTGAGGCTTAAAGAGCAAGGAAGGAAAATGTCAATAAAACAGAGCCCTGTATCACAGATTAAACTGGAGTGAAAATGATTTCCAGTTTTATGTCAAAGTAGAAGCTGGTTCCTAGGACGCTGGCGCTATTTTAGATGGACACTCTGTTTTCTTTGGCCCATTTCTTCATGATCCGGATCATGTATTCTACTTGGGTGTTACCTGTGCTTCTCAGTAAATGGAGCACTTCTCGAAGGGTCTCTCTGAGGAAAAGATTTGAAAAGACAAAGTGTTTCAATGAAGAATGAAAATTAAAAAATAAAATAAACTCTGAACTGTCCTTCATACTGTATGTCTTGTAGGGCATTTTTGGTAATAGACTCTTTCACTGTGTATTCACAAAGCAATTACAAACTGCCTAGCCTTATGTTCTTATTGTGGCATAGTAAAATGGAAATTATGTGAAATCTTTCTTGCCAATCCAAGTGTTCCTTGTTTATCCATACTACCTATATACATACTGATAATCTTTTTGTCCTTTCTGAGATGACCTAACTATTCCCATTTCTATTCTTATTCTGCATGACTAGAAAGAGTATATCCAGAAGTTGGGGTTCAAGTTCTAGCTCTAACACCAGCAAGTCACTTAATTTGTCTAACTCATGGATTTCTCCCTTGTTTAAGGTGGTAACCACCTTCAACTAGGCATCATTGTCAAATTCATAAAATTTTACAAAGCCAAAGGAATAAGGGATTTTTTCAAGAAAAATAATACATGAATAAAATGGAAGAGATGGACATTAAGGACTAAGCCTAGCATTTATATTTGAAGTAATTTAAATTTAATTAAAATTAAAACATATTTTAAGTAATGAATGCTAAAATTTCCTTATTGCCCTAGCAAATCTGTAGGCGACTGCCTATGAACCTATTTGCTTAAGAGTCTTCTCATATTTTCTACTTCTTTTTCCCCACAAACAACCTCTTTCACCTAACCAAATGTTTTTAAACTTTTACTTAGAACTAGAAGTACTATAAGGTAGGAAGTAATTTTTGATAGATTATTTTCTTACAAAATTAACACATTTCCTATTCATGTATCAGTAATAAATACATTCCATGAAGTTATTTTTAGAAAATGGAATCGAGTTGTGTTTTAATGTTTGTTTCAAATGAAACTATAGGCTGGGCATGGTGGCTCATGCCTGTAATCCCAGAACTTTGGGAGGCTGAGGTGGAAGGATCACCTGAGGTCAGGAGTTTGAGACCAGCCTGGCCAACATGGTGAAACCCTGCCCCTACTAAAAATACAAAAATTAGCCAGGCATGGTGGCACGTGCCTGTAATCCCAGCTACTCAGGAGAGTGAGGCAGGAGAATCACTTGAACCCGGGAGGCAGAGGTTGCAGTGAGCTGAGATCACACCATTGCACTCCAGCCTGGGCAACAGAGCAAGACTCTATCTAAAAAAAAAAAAAAGAAAGAAAGAAAAAAAAAAAGAAAAAGTATAAACCACTGAATTTTATTAATTTTATGTAAACTAATGTCTCAGTATTTCCTAGAATATGAGAAGGTGAAAGAAAACAAAAGAGTTATCAACCACATCTACTCCATTCCTAATTTTTTGAGACCTAAACTAAAGCACACAAGAAAAAGCCAATAGGCAAAAAACAAAAAACAAACAAAAAACCCAAAAGAGTAGAAGAGTAAAAAAAAAAAACACTTTGCCTATAAAAATGGCTGTTCATTTGGAACCAAATATACATCCTGCTCTTATATTTGGAGGCTGTTAGTGTACTTAATGTATATATGACTTAGAATGATCTGATCCTATTATATATGATTTAGAATTATCTGATTCTACAAAATGAAAGATTTCTGGAGGAAAATGGTCAGACAGAAATATTTAATATCAACCTTTTTTTCATCATTCTAAAACATCATTATAATCATGTGTTTTCAGAAGATATCATCCAAGAGAACAAGTATTTTCCCTCACAAACAAGCAAATGAGTAGAGGTAGTATTTCTTGCCTGTTTACTTACTTGGGTTCTCTCCCAGCTATGATCATCTGGAAAATGCCCACACAGGCACCCCGTTTGCCTTCCCAATATTCAGGGTTAGGATCCAGCCTCTCAAGGACATCAAAAGCTTTGGCAGAATAGTAAAACTGGCCCATCTGAATAAGAGAACGTATGTGGTAATACTTGCAGTAAAGAGATTGCACAGAAAGAACCTGAACATAAAGATAACATGAAACGGGACTGTATGAAATAAGTGCATGGGTGCTGACAACATTTTCAGTTAGCAAGTTAGAAAAACTTCAATTCCCAATTAAAACAATAAGAAGGAAAATTACAGTTTGGGTACATGGGTTCAGTTTAAACTACCTTATGTTCACTCAGTTTTCAACAGTATAACATTTTTTCTACATAGAGTCAAATTATGCTACAATCAGCACTTTTTTTTTTTTTTTTTTTTTTTGAGACGGAGTCTCGCTCTGTCGCCCAGGCCGGACTGCGGACTGCAGTGGCGCAATCTCGGCTCACTGCAAGCTCCGCTTCCCGGGTTCACGCCATTCTCCTGCCTCAGCCTCCCGAGTAGCTGGGACTACAGGCGCCCGCCACCGCGCCCGGCTAATTTTTTGTATTTTTAGTAGAGACGGGGTTTCACCTTGTTAGCCAGGATGGTCTCGATCTCCTGACCTCATGATCCACCCGTCTCAGCCTCCCAAAGTGCTGGGATTACAGGCGTGAGCCACCGCGCCCGGCCACAATCAGCACTTTTGCCTTTTCTTCTAATTGTCTTCTAATCTTGAGGATAAACTGAGGATTGTGATTTGAACTGAGTATTTTTCAAGTCTCTTCAGTACATTCTTTTCAGATGACTACTATCATTCATTTTATGCTAATTTGATCATGTTCAACTCCAGGATGGTCTTTCCCTAGTCTTGTTCCTAAATTCTCAGAATGCTTAGATGTATACTGACTACTATTCTAAACACTAAATCTTTTAAATGTTTAATGCATTTTGACAGACATTTTTCCCAAATGTACTACACATTTCCTTGGCCTCATAGAACATGTTGAATGCCATTAAATTTTGCTTAGATTAGTTTTCTTTTATTTAAAAAAAATTTTTATTCTTTTTTTTTTTTTAGAGATAGGATCTTGCACTATTGCCCAGGCTGGAGTGCAGTGGTGCCAACATGACTCACTGTGACCTCAAATTCCTGGGCTCAAGAGATCCTCCTGCCTTAGTGTTCCAAGCAGCTGGGACTACAGGTGTACACCACCATGCCCAGCTAATTTTTAATTTTTTGCAAGACAGGCTCTCACTATGTTGCCCAGGTGGGTCTCAAACTCCTGGCCTCAAGTGATCCTCCCACTTTGGTTTCCTAAAGTGCAGGGATTACAGGCTTGAGCCACCGCGCCTGGCCAGATGAGTTTTCTTACTTGGCAATCATAAATACATACTGTTACCAATTTCACTTAAGGCTTCAAATTGCTGGGCAACTCTCTTTATGGTTTAGTTACTTCTTTATTCCTGACAGATGTTTTTCTAAATCTTTGACAATTTCCTTAAGACAGCCTTCTTAGCTTAGCCTTATTCTGTACTTCATAGGGAAAACACAACTTTCTTCTCTTCAGTTCAAATTATATTTACACCTTCATTCTTCCTTTCCTCCTTTCTGCCTAATCTCACGCGAAGATTTTTTTTTATTTTCAAGGTTTGTCCTTCTATTTATGTACTCTTTTTAAAAAAAGTCTTTATTGTGAAATAACACACATACAGGATGGTAAATGAAACATCCATGTACATCTTACTAATTATAATGTGAAAATACTGTAAACACTACCCAGGTCAAGACACTGAGAGCAACACAAAAGCTCTCTGTGTGTCACTTCCAGACCATAACTCTCTCTTTCCATACCCAGAGGTAACTACTCTTCTGACTTTTATGTTCTCTCTTAAGTATACACATCTTTAAACAATATAATTGAGTTCTGCTTCTCAGAACTTTATATGAACGAATACTGTAAATATTCTATTATGTCTTGTACCTATGATTCAACATTATAAGACTCACCTATATTGCTGTATATAGCTCTAGTTGATTCATTTAAAAAATTTTTTTATTTTGAAGTATTAATAATTATAGATCCATGGACAAAGATAGGACAGAGGTCATGTGTACCTTTCACCTAGTTTCCTCCAAAGGTTACAGCTTAAATAAGGATAGTAAAATATCACAATATAAAAATCAGGAAATTGACACTGGTACCGTGTATGTTGATGATGGTCCTGTTATTTCATCCTATGTGTAGATTCACGTAACCACAGCCATACAACTATCAAGATACCGAATTACTCTTTTTTTTTGGACACAAGGTCTTGCTTTGTCATCCAGGTTGGAATGCAATAAGGCAATCACAGCTCACTGCAACCTTGAACTTCTGGGCTCAAGTGATTCTCCTGCCTCAGCCTCTTGAGGTAGCCACCATGCCCAGCTACTTTTTTTTTTTTTTTTGAGATGGAGTCTCGCCCTGTTACCCAGGCTGGAGTGCAGTGGCGCGATCTCGGCTCACTGCAAGCTCCACCTCCCGGGTTCACGCCATTCTCCTGCCTCAGCCTCCTGAGTAGCTGGGACTACAGGCGCCCGCCACCACGCCTGGCTAATTTTTTGTATTTTTAGTAGAGACGGGGTTTCACTGTGTTAACCAGGATGGTCTCGATCTCCTGACCTTGTGATCCGCCCGCCTCAGCCTCCCAAAGTGCTGGGATTACAGGCATCAGCCACCACGCCCGGCCTGCCCAGCTGCTTTTTAAAAATGTTTTATAGAGACGATGTCTCACTATGTTGCCCTGGCTGGCCTTGAACTCCTGGCCTTAAGCAATCCTCCTGCCTTGGCCTCCCAAAGTACTGGGATTACAGGCATAAGCCACCGTGCCTGACCAAGATGCAGAACTATTATATCACCACAAAGATTTCCCTTGTTACCCTTTTACAGTCACATGCACAGCCCTCCCTGCTCACCATCCCTAACATCTAACAACCACTAATTTGTTCTCTATCTCAATAATTTTGTCATTTCAAGAATGTTACATATATGAAAGCAAACAGTATGGGACCCTATGAAACTGGCTTTTTTCCTTCAGTATAATGTCCTTGTTATTCCCTGTTAATTCAAGTTACTGTGTGTTCCAATAGCTTGCTCCTGTTCTGGTCACCCTGCAAATGCAACAGGGACTCCCAACCAAAGTTTGGTTTGGATGGTGAAACTGATGACGCCACACACACACAGCAAGAGGATATGAAACGTTTTCTTACATACTTGAAGCCTAGGGAGAGTAGAACGGCCCTATTAAGCAGATCTGAAAAGGCCTGAGAAAGCAAGGAAAGGAGACTGGCCTTGGTGTTTACTGTGGTTAGGAGGTGGGGCCGTGGTGAAGGTTCCTGTGCATGGGCAGGGGCTTGTGTGGTTTAAATCACCCTATGGTGCCAAAGAAGGGAGCACGTAGGTTTTCTTATCATTTTGTCCAGATGCGGGGCACAACGGGAAGAGGCAGGGGTGAGGCTTAAAAGCTGTCAGCAGTCAAACATCCAGAAATGGAGTCAGACTTCTCATTATAGTTCCTTTTTATTACTGAGTAGTATTCCATGCCAAACCCATCTGTTTAACCATTCACCTGCTGAAAGACTTTGTCTCCAGTTTTAGGCTATTACAAATAAAGCTGCTATTAACATTTAAATATTAAAATTTGTGTTATTAACATTTATATATTTCTGTGGATATAGGTTTTCATTTATCTGGGATAAATACACAGGAATGCAATTGCTGGGTCATATGGTAAGTATGTTTATTAAAGAAACTGCCAAAGTATTTCATGGTTGGTTTTTTTTTTTTATCCTTTTATTTTTGACCTATGTAAATATATTTAAAGTGAATTTCTTGTTGAGAACACATAATTGGGTTATGTTTTTTAATCCACTCTCTCAATAGATGTCTTTTAATAGGCATACTTAGACCATTTACATTTAATTATTGACATGTTAGGGCTTAATTCTGCCATTTCCCCCCTTATTCTCTTTGTTTTTCTTTGACAAGGACCTCACACATATGCTTGATAAAGACTTGACTGTGTGATCCCCACAAAAGGAAGATAAGAAAACCTGTATTTGGCTTCTCTAGCCTTCACCTACACCCATCGTTTTCCTGCTGTTCCTGTAGTGTAATAAATTTTAGCCATGAGTATAACTTTATGTTGAGTCGTATGACTCCTTCTAGTAAATCACCAAACTAGTGGGTGGTCATGGGACCACTGAGACAGTAGGTAATGCCAACTTGTTTTTCAAGTAGTTATCTTCCTTTGATGTTAACCCTATTCCCCTCTCATCTCCTCAGGGCCTAACTCCATCAAAAATGCCCCATCCTCCTGAATCTTTAATCTTACTGTTCAATGGCTCATTTTCTTCTGCCTACAGATATACTCCCCTATCCCCATTCTAAAAGAACTCTCCACCCCATCCCCCGCAATTCCAAACCCTGATTTTCCATTTAAGTTAGCACTACATTTTTCCTTCTTATTTTTAATATCAAATTTTTTAAGACTGTGGTCTACATTACACTAGCTGCATCTGCTTTGTAATCTGACTCTATTCTCTACCTCTTACTGTCTTCTCAGTCCTCATGCATTTCTATCCAGTTGCAGATTTGACACTCTCCTGCCTTGGTTTTTGATTAAATGGGAGCAAGAAAAAGTAATGAAAAGCATTTTTTTTCCTGTCCTCATTGTTTTCCTTCTCTTCTGTTCATCCTCTCTTTCATTTACTCTTCCTTCTCTTTCCAGCCCTTAAACACTGGTTTCCACAAGGTTCCTCACCCCATTTACTGGCTAATCTTATTCTCTCTCATACTTGGCTGTTGCTGCTCCTGCTGCTGCTACTACCACCACTAACTACGGTTAACTTCTAAATCTACATTGTTAACTACTAAATCTACATTGCTAATCTTGATGAATACCAAAGCTCCAAGCACAGCCTGTTAATTTCCTACTTCTGTTATCTCTGCTGGGAGCCTCAAAGACACTTCAGATTTAATACATCTAAAACTGAAATAATTTCCTGTCTTCTAATGTTTTCCTTCCCTCTGCCTCCCCTAACTTATTTAAGAGCATTGCCACCCACCAAGTCATGTTAAACTGTTATTTTTAAGTTTCCTATGTCTTAAAGTATTTTCTACTGATGGTAATTCACCTCTTTTTTTGGTAACGATTCACTTTGAAATGAGCTTTTGTTGATTAATTTAATACGAGTTTCTCTTTACCTGACATTTACCTGATTTTTGACATTTTTGGAAGAGATATTCCAAAAATAGGAACTTCCAGAATTTGAGGCTGATTTTAAAAAAATCTTAATCTTTTTTTGAGGCTAGGTCCCCAAACTACTACCTCCTCCCAGCCTTTCCAACTCCCCCCGCCCCTCCACACACACACCCCAGCATGCACACAAAACAGCCATTTCTTTACTAAATCTGACTACTTTTTTATTCTCTTTTTCTGGTTCCTTTGTCTTTCCTGTCTGCCATTTGCACCTCAAAGTTTGGTTTGCACCTCTTCTCACTTTACATTTTACTTGGGTAATCTCACTGTTTTTCAGGGCTTCAGTTAATCCAGTCATGTACTTCATAACCGTATTTTGATCAGTGATGGGCAGCATATATGATTGTGGTTCCATAAGATCATAATATTATATTTTTACTGTGCCTTTTCTATGTTTAGATATGTTTCAACACACAAATATTAGCCATTGTGTTATAATTACCTACAGTATTCACTACAGGAATATGCTGTACAGGTTTGTAGCCTAGGGAGCAATAAGCTATATCATATGGCCCAAGTGTATAGTAGGCTATACCATCTAGGTTTGTGTAAGTACACTCTGATGTTTGTACAATGACAAAATCACCTAATGACACATTTCTCAGAACTTATCCCCATTATAAAGCAACACAGGACTGTACTTAAATGTTGATGACTCGCAATCTATGTCTCCAGATGTCAGAAGACATTTTTCTTGAGCTTCAGAACCAAATTTCCAACTACCAGATGAATATCTGTACATCAACGCTGACTAAAGATTCATATCCTTTAGAAATCTAAAACTTCCTGTCTAAATAATTATTTCATATACATGTAAATCTCTGAAATACTGCCTATCTCTGAGTTCAGTTAATTCATAAAAAGAATGGCATCTCTTATAACACTACGTGAATCCTCTCACTACTAGCCATTTAGTCTGCAGGACATTTTCCCCTAATATTTAGCCAATGCAGCAATGTGATAATGAATCTTTAATGTTCCCTTTAGTCTCAGTCAGACTCACCTTGTAGCAGTCATTAGCAATGAGCTGTAAGAGACTGAAGGACTCGCCGGAGGTTTCCATCTTAAGATAAAGTTCCCAGGCTAGTCTTGGTTTCTTATTCATAATATCTGCAAAAGGAAACAAAGATTTGTAAACAAATGAGTCATTTTTACTGTACAAAAATAATTTCTGCACCTTATTATTCTATGGATTTGGTTCTATATTCCAAATAAAGTAATGGAAAGCTTTCATGGAAAGCTTGCAATGTTGGCATTAAGCTGGCTCCCTGCCAGAATTCTACCATACTTAAAATATTTAAGTTAGGAGTCACATAATTATGTCTTTCAGATGGGATTGACTTCTGGTAGTTCCTACTTTGCTCATATGCTTAAAAGAGGATACCTATCATTCATTCAATCCTACTCGTCGTTTCAATCTCACTTAGAAGATACGATTGCTAAATTTTCCTCTGACTACAAAAATTCAGTAAACATTTAATTTTTTTTTTTTTGAGACAGAGTCTTGCTCTGTCACCCAGGCTGGAGTGCAGTGGTGCGATCTTGGCTCACTGCAACCTCTGCCTCCCAGGTTAAGTGATTCTCGTGCCTCAGCCTCCCAAGCAGCTGGAATTATAGGTGTGTGCCACCACACCCAGCTAATTTTAGTATTTTTAGTAGAGCTGAGGTTTTGCCATGTTGGCCAGGCTGGTCTTTAACTCCTGGCCTCAAGTGATTTGCCTGCCTCAAGCTCCCAAAGTGCTGGGATTACAGGTGTGAGCAACTGTGCCTGGCCAACATTTTAAATCTTGAGTTTTAAAAAGGAACAAGAAACAATAGTGAGTTAGAGACAGAGACAAAGTAAAGTTCTTTTTTTTTTCTTTTTTTGAGACGGAGTCTCGCTCTGTCGCCCAGGCTGGCGTGCAGTGGCGTGATCTCCCCTCACTGCAGCTCCGCCTCCCGGGTTCACGCCATTTTCCTATCTCAGCCTCCCGAGCAGCTGGGACTACAGGCGCCCACCACCGCGCCCGGCTAATTTTTTGTATTTTTAGTAGAGATGGGGTTTCACCGTGCTAGCCAGGATGGTCTCGATCTCCTGACCTCGTGATCCACCCGCCTTGGCCTCCCAAAGTGCTGGGATTACAGGCATGAGCCACCGCGCCCGGCCTAAAGTTCTATAATATACCAAAAAATTACATTTTTGACATTTTGCCACTTTTCAGACTTGACCCATAGTGAAAAGTTAAAATTAGTGTAACAGCATCATTTCATAAACAACACTATAAACTGAGACTCTGGAAACTTTAATGAGACTTTAGGAAGAACTTGACATTTTTCAGGCTATAAGTACTAGGTCAATGCTATATAGTAGAACTAATCACAGGGTAAACTTGCATGACACATTTACATGGCAACTCTTACTGAGTAGCATTAACAACGCTTAATTTCAGTGTTTACTCATTCTACAGAACAAAATGCAAAATAAAATTAGAAAACTTTCAATGTCATTTCCGAACAGATTATGCAACCAAAAAGAAAAAGAGGATTCTTCTTGTAATATTTAAAAAAAGAAGACTCACAGCACCGAGCTAACCAGCTGAGGTAAATGTAATCATTTTTCATCTTCTCACTTTGGATCAAGAGGAACGCCTGCAAGAAGAGGAAAGAAAGGGAATACACATGAGGATGCTTTTGCAATAAAAATACCCATTATTGGCTTGCCTTAGATTGATGATCACTGTAGCATTATAGACAGCCCAATTCTATACAGGCTGCTAAGAAAAGTGAGGGACAGAATTGTGGTGATTTAAAGTATTTCACCAGAAATTGATATTACAAGTTGACAAAAAGTTGGTAAGGATATAGAAGATTTAAACAGAGTAATTAACAACTGTATGATACACATTCTTTTTAAGCATATATGACCATGCTACACACAGGTCAGTAAGGCAAGCCTCAACAAATGGCACATGCCACTATACTCAGCTATTTTAAAAAAATTTTTGTAGAGATGGTGTCTCACTATATTGCCTAGGTTGGTCTCGAACTCCTGAGCTCAAGTGATCCTCCCACTTTTCAGCCTTCTGAAATGTTGGGATTATAGGTGTGAGCCAGCTCGCCCAGCCCAGAGCACATTCTATGACCACAAAAATACAATTAAGTTAGAAATCAAATAAGAAACATACTGATAGTCATCAAGCTGTATACTTATGATATGTATACTTTTCTGTACATACGTTATATTTCTATAAAATTTACTAAAAAGGGAAAATTTTAATATGGTTATAAAATCTATGTCTATTCACATTGTAATTTTTTTTTTTTAAGAGACAGGGTCTTGCTATGTTGCCCAGGCTGGAGTGTAGTGGCTATTCACAGGCACGATCATAGTGCACTGCAGCTTAAAACTTCCAGGCTCAAGCCATTGTCCTGCCTCAGCCTCCCAAGTAGCTGGGACTACAGGTGTGTGTCACTGCACCTTCTCCACAGTGTACTTATTCATGCATCCTAAGAACAGAGGAATCTTTAATAATCCTTAACCCTTGACCATTTTATTCCAGTGAGAAAAAGATAAGGATGTTTTTAGATAGAATCATTCAAATGCTCTCAAAAGCAGATACCCACCTCTTCGCCCTCACTGGTATTGCCTGTTGCAGCTTTGGCTTGGGCATAATTAAAGTTAAAGATGTCATCATTATAGAAGTAACTCTGAAAAACATCCCAAGAACAGGTCACACTGAGAATTAACATATAAAATATAACCATCAGTTATACCAGATAAACACAAAACTAACCTTAAGGATTAGTTGATGCCACTAATGCCACCACAGAAAATGGGCCATCTCTAAGGGTATCTTATCTTCTCTGACACATTCCATAGTATTTTGTATATAAAGTCTTATAGATAATTCTATACTGACCTTAAATGAGTTGAGGTAAATCAAAACATCATCAAATTGCTTAAGCAGGAAGAAACAGGAAGCCATGCACTGCCTCCCTGGTATTGTATCTGAAACGGAGGGGAAAAAAACCCCACATATATTCATGAGACTAAAATCCTCTTTAGCTGAAGTTTGAGTTATTTAATAATTTAAAGACAGGAAAATATTCCAAAATATCTTTCTAGATTCTGACATTATACATTTTCTTCAGTGGACAAAACCCCAATATAATGGAGGTCATAGTTCTTGAGAGTGACCAATAATCTCTCTGGGGATTAACTCCCAGAGTCCAAAATGAACACACGCCCTGCAGGTTCATTAACTACGACATTACCCAGGTCATTTTTCAGGGCTTTGATGCTCTCATCCAACATGTGCACATTCAATTAGTGTGGCCTGGTCTCCATTATCACTTTTCTAAATCAACCTAGCACTTCCAATCTTAAACGGAAAAATAATTTGCCATGGAACCATCTGATTCTGATCCTGATTCAACTTTTTGCCTGATACTGGATTCCTATTTGAGTGGTGGAGGATTAGTATAACTCCCACCCTTGCCACAGACATTCCTAAGGCTCCTTATCCTGTTTAATTTTTTTCCTTTAGCATTTATCACAGTCTGATATACTATGTACATTTGAGATATATATACACACACACACACACACACTATATATATATGTATATCCGATCAGATATACATATAAAATATAAAACAATCAGTTATACCAGATAAACACAAAACTAATCTTAAGGATTAGTTGATGCCACTAATGCCACCACAGAAAATTTTCTGGTATATTTGATGAGATGTACATACATACAGTATATATATATCTGATATACATAGTATATCAGACTGTCATAATTGATAAAGGAAAAAAATTAAACAGAATAAGGAGTCTTAGGAATGCCTGTGGCAAGGGTGGGAGTTATACTAATCCTCCACCACTCAAATAGGAATCTGATATCAGGCAAAAAGTTGGGTAAGGATCAGAACATACATATCAGATATACATATGTAGTATAAATATATATATATACACACACACACTATACATATATATGATATATTATTTCTTTTTTTCTTTTCTTTCTTTTTTTTTTTTTGAGACGGAGTCTTACTCTGTTGCCCAGGGTGAAGTGCAGTGGTGCGATCTTGGCTCACTGCAACCTTCGTCTCCCGGGTTCAAGTGATTCTCCTACCTCAGCCTCCCAAGTAGATGGGATTACAGGCACACACCACCACACCTGGTTAATTTTTGTATTTTTAGTAGAGGTGGGGTTCCACCATGTTGGCCAGACTGGTCTCGATCTCCTGACCTCGTAATACGCCCACCTCAGCCTCCCAAAGTGCTGGGATTACAGGTGTGAACCACCGCACCTGGCCACTATATAGTGTTTCTGATCCATCTGCCCTACTAGACTTAAGTTCCATAATGGTTGGGAGTTTTGTTTGTTTACTGCTGTATCCTCAACAGCTCAATAAATTTTTATTGTGTGAATGAATGAATGAAATGGGGAAAATTGAACTAAATAACCAGTGCTGGTGAAACATTTGTGAACGTCCAGGAGTGATAAAAATATTTAATTTTCAGTTCAGCATGAACACTGTTACTCAGAATAGATGCCAGGCATAGACAACCAGTACAGGCAGCACCATATTGGTTCATGCTGGCTAACTAGCATCTCTTTTTATACCCCTTTCTCAAATCTTTCACTGAATCTTGGCTGATGAAATACTTTAATCATAAAAATGAAGTTTCAAGACTACTAGTGGGCAATATAGGTGAACATTATATAACTGTGGCAGAAAGAAAGCATTTTCTAAGCTTAATATCCATGCAAGAAATCATTATAGGAAAGAAAAACTTAATTAAATATGGTTTTAATATTTTTTATTAATCTACTTTATTTTTTTTAATTTTTGTGGGTATGTAGTCCATATATCCATACTGCATATGGATATCCAGTATATTTTGATACAGGCATACAATGCATAACAATCACATCAGGGTAAATGGGGTATGCATCACATCAAGCATTTATCCTTTCTTTGTGTTACAAACAATCCAATTATACTCTTCTAGTTATTTTGAAATATATAATAAATTATATTCTTAACTGTAGTCACTCTGTTGTGCTGTCAAATACTAGATCTTAAGCCGGGTGCGGTGGCTCATGCCTGTAATCCCAGCACTTTGGGAGGCTGAGGTGGGTGGATCATTTGAGGTCAGGAGTTCAAGACCAGCCTGGCCAACATGGTGAAACCCTGTCTCTACTAAAAATACCGGGCGTGGTGCGGGCGCCTGTAGTCCCAGCTACTCGGGAGGCCGAGGCAGGAGAATTGCTTGAACCCGGGAGGCGGAGGTTGCAGTGAGCCGAAATCATGCCACCGCATTCCAGCCTGGGCAACAGAGCAAGACTCCATCTCAAAAAACAAAACAAACAAACAAACAAAAACCAAATACTAGATCTTATTAATTCTAATTTTTTTTTTTGGAGCCATCCTCACTGCCCTCCCACTCCACTACCCTTCCCAGGCTCTGCTAACCATCATTCTACTCCCTATCTCCATGAGTTCAAGTGTTTTAATATTTTTTAGCTCCCACAAATAAGTGAAAAGTGTGTCTTTCTGTGCCTGGCTTATTTCACTTAACATAATGTCCTCCAATTCCATACATGTTATTGGAAATGACAGGATCTCATCTCATTCATCTCATCTCATCCTTTTTATGGCTGAACAGTAAGTATTCCATTGTGCATATGTACCACACTTTCTTTATTCCTTCACCCGTTGATGGATGCTGAGAGTGCTTCCAATTCTTCGCTATTTTGAACTGTGCTGCAATAAACATTGGTTTGCAAATATCTCTTTGATATGCTGATTTCCTTTCTTTTGGGTATATACCTAGCAGTGAGATTTCTGTATCATATGGTCATCCTATTTTTAGTGTTTTGAGGAACTTCCAAACTGTTATCCATAGTAGGTGTGCTAATTTACATTTGTACGTACATAAATTAGCACACATACATAGTAGGTGTGCTAATTTACAGTGTACGAAGGTCCCTTTTCTCTACATCCTCTCCAGCATTCACTGTTGCCTGTCTTTTGCATAAAAGCCATTTTAACTGGAGTGAGATGGTATCTCACTGTAGTTTTGATTTGCATTTCTCTGATGATCAGTGATGTCAAACACCTTTTCATATACCCATTTGTCATTTGTATGTCTTTTTTTTTCTTTCTTTCTTTCTTTTTTGAGACGGGGTTCCAATCTTGTTGTCCAGACTGTAGTGTGATGGTGTGACCTCGGCTCACTGCAACCTCTGCCTCCTGGATTCAAGCGATTCTCCTGCCTCAGTCTCCTGAGTAGCTGGGATTACGGGTGCCACCACCATGCCCAGCTAATTTTTTGCATTTTTAGTAGAGATGGAGTTTCACCATGTTGGCCAGGCTACTCTTGAATTCCTGACGTCAGGTGATCCACCCGCCTCAGCCTCCCAAAGTGCTGGGATTACAGGTGTGAGCCACGGCACCCGGGCCTTGTATGTCTCCTTTTAAGAAATGTCTGTTCAGAGCTTTTGCTCATTTTTAAATTGGATTGTTAGATTTTTTTCCTATTGAGTTGTCTGGGCTCCTTCTATATTTTGATTATTAATCCCTTGTCAGATGGCAAACATTTTCTCCATTCTGTGGGTTCTCATTTCACTTTGTTGATTGTTTCCTTTGCTGTGCAGAAGCTTTTTTCACTTGATGTGACCCCATCTGTCCATTTTTGCTTTGGTTGCCTGTGTTTGTGCGGTATTACTCAAGAAATCTTTGGGCCAGGCTGCTCACACACGGTCGGGAACCTCACGCGTGCTTTGTTGTTACTGTTTGCACCCCCTGATGCCAACGCGGGCCGCCAGTGGAGGAGGCCTCTGGACTACACTTTCTGTCTTCATGTTAAATCTCTCCTCCAGTGTGGCCCAGCACCAGGTGGGCTCCCGTGGGACGCCCTGCCGTCAGACCCAGATTGTTAATGTTATTGTTGGGAAAGACAAAAAAGGCAGAAAGATCCCAGAATATCTGATCCATTTTAATGGCTGGAACAGAAGCTGGGATAAGTGGGCAACTGAAGATCATGTGCTTCATGATACTGATGAAAATCGTAGATTACAGCATCAATTGGCAAGAAAAGCTGTAGCTCGCCTGAGCAGCACAGGAAGAAAGAAGTGCTGCAGGTTGCCTGGTGTTGATTGACTCTGTCTTAAAAGGCCTCCTCATTGATGAAAAAGATGAAAATGATGAAAATTCATTAAGCAGTTCCTCTGGCAGCAGCAAAGGATGAAGAATAAGTGAAGAAAGTGATATTGAAGAAAAGACTGAAGTGAAAGAAGAACCAGAGCTTCAAACAAAAAGAGAAATGGAAGAAACAACAGTAACTATAGAAATACCTGAAGTTCTGAAGCAGCAGAAGGATGATTGTTATTACATTAACAGGAGGAAATGGTTAGTGAAACTTTCATGCCAGACCAACATCATAATGATTTTGGAAGCATTTTGCTCTCAATGCAGCCTTTTCAGCCAATGAGAGGCCTCGTCACCATCATGCTATGCCACATGCCAATATGAACGTGCATTATATCCCAGAAGAAAAGAATGTTGACCTTTTTAAGGAGATGGTGGATGGATTAAGAATAACCTTTGATTACACTCTCCTGTTGGTTTTACTCTATCCATATGAACAAACTCAGTATAAAAAGGTGACTTTGCCGGGTGCGGTGGCTCACACCTGTAATCTCAGCACTTTGGGAGGCCGAGGTGAGTGGATCACCTGAGGTCAGGAGTTGGAGACCAGCCTGGCCAACATGGCGAAACCTCGTCTCTAGTAAAAATACAAAAATTAGCCGGGCATGGTGGCAGGAGCCTGTAATCCCCAGCTACTCGGGAGGCTGAGGCAAGAAAATCGCTTGAACCCAGGAGGCAGAGGTTGCAGTGAGCCGAGATCACACCACTGCACTCCAGTCTGGGCAACAAGAGCGAGACTCCATCTCAAAAAAAAAAAAAAAAAAAGGTGACTTTGTACAAGTTTTTTTTCCAATTAAGGAAAGTGCCATAAACACTAATACGATCCAGGAGGAACTCTCTCCCAGCCTGCCTTTGTTGAATCCATCCATGCCACAGTCCACAGAGAGTCAGCCAACCATTAGTGAACCAGCCACCCACAAAAGGCGCAAAGCTGAGTTGGAAGCATTGCAGTCTCTGAGGTGGTCCCTGAGCCACACCACCAACTGTGACAGACTTTCTGACAGCAGCACCTCACCTCAGCCCAAGCGCCAGCAGCAGGACACATCCGCCAGTATAACCAAGCTGTTCCTGCACCTGGAAAAGAAGACACCCGTGCATAGCAGATTGTCTTCACCTATTCCTCTGACTCCTAGCAAGGAAGGAAGTACAGTGTTCGCTGGCTTTGAAGGGAGAAAAACTAATGAAATGAACGAGGTCCTGTCCTGAAGCTTATGCCTGACAATTACCCACCAGGTGACCAGCCGCTTCCACCCTCTTACATTTATGGGGTATAACATTTGCTGCGATTGTTTGTAAAACTTCCAGAAATCCTTGGAAAGATGTCCTTTTCTGAGAAAAATCTGAAGGCTTTGTTGAAGCACTTTGATCTCTATTTGAGGTTTTTAGCAGAATACCGTGATTACTTTTTCCCAGAGTCAGCTTGTGTCGCTGCCTGTGAGGTGCATTACAGCAGCAAGAATCTCCGGGCAATTTATTACAGTGTTGATGGTTCTGTAAGAACAACTCCTCTATCTAGCTCAGCGCTCTGGGTTCCAGATGAACAACTATCAAGGTAGTGGGTCTTTACCCAGAGCACAAATACAATGCCCACCTGGCGGCTCTGACAGAGGTAGGCCCTGAGTTGCCCACATACTGTAGTTATTCTGTTAGGAATTGTTTCCTGGGTGCCTATAGTGCTCTGACACAACACTTGCTACTGTGCAGGCCATCTGTGATGGCAGGAAAAAAGCAACTGGGTCCACAGTGAAATGTTCGTGGAAGCATACATAGGTTAGGCTATTTCAATAGACATTGCAGTTAATTAGCTAGAACCACATTGTTTTTTTATTTGTTAGCATTAAGTAATTTTTTTTTTTTTTTTGCAAATTGGTTTCATTCTTTTGATGAAGCTGAGCAACTCTGTCCAACAAGGTTTAGTTTGTACTTGGAAACCACAAAGTAGTCTCAAAGTATTTTAGAGGGACTCGATATTGACGGCAAAAGAAAATTTGCAGCTACACGTTTGCTTCTAACAGTTCCCTCTCTATGAAACATTATTTTTGGTGATCTAAAGAAAGCATTGTGTTTCTTGTTTGAGATTTTACAGCTATACTTTGCTGTGTAATGTTATGGCTACCTTTCTGTAAAATGTTAGTTTTGGTGATCTAAATAAAGCCTATCTTGTTTGAAAGAAAACAAAAACAAGAACAACAACATAAAAAGAAGTCTTTGCCCACACCAATGTCCTGGAGAGTTTCCCCAATGTTTTCTTGTAGAATTTTCCTTATTTAAGGTCTTAGATTTCAGTCTTTAATCCATTTTGATTTGATTTTTGTATAGGGTAAGAGATGGGAGTCTAGTTTCATTCTTCTGCATATGGATATCCAGTTTTCCCAGCATAATTTATTGAAGAGACTGTCCTTTCTCTACAGGTTCTTGGCACCTTTGTCAAAAATGAGTTCACTGTAGACATATGGATTATTTCTGGGTTCTCTTAATGTGCTCCATTGGTCTATATGTCTGTGTTTATGCCAGTACCATGCTGTTTTGGTTACTATAGCTCTGAGGTATAATTAGAAGTCAGGTACAGTGATTCCTCCAGTTTTGTCCTTTCTGCTCAGAACAGCTTTGGCTATTCTGGTCTTTTGTGGTTCTGTATAAATTTTAGGATTGTTTTTTCTATTTTTATGAAGAATATCATTGGTATTTTCATAGGGATTGCATTGAATTTGCAGATTGCTTTGGGTAGTATGAACATTTTAACAACATTGATTCTCCCAATCTATGAACATGGAATATCTTTCCTTTTTTGTGTGTCCTCTTCAATTTCTTGCATCAATGTTTTATAGTTTTTATTGTAGAAATATTTCACTACTTTGGTTAATTCCTAAGATTTTTAAATTTTATTGGTAGCTATTATAAATGAGATTACTTTTTTGATTTTCAGATTGTTTGCTGTTGGCATATAGAAATGCCAACGATTTTTGTTTGCTGGTTTTGTATCCTGCAATTTTACCACATTTGCTTATGAGTTCTAATAGTTTTTTGGTGGAGTTTTTAGGTTTTTCCAAATATAAGATCATATCATCTGCAAACAAGGATAATTTAACTTCTTCCTTTTCAATTCAGATGTCCTTTATTTCTTTCTCTTGTCTGATTACTAGCTAGGACTTCCAGTGCTATGTTGAATAACAGTGGTGAAAGTGGGCATCCTTGTCTTGTTCCAGATCTTAGAGGAAAGGCTTCCCACTTTCCCCATTCAATATGATACTAGCTGTGGGCCTGTCATATATGGATTTCATTGTTTTGAGGTATGTTCCATTTATACTCAGTTTTTGGGGGGATTTTTATCATAAAGGGATGTTGAATTTAATCAAATGCTTTTCCAGCATCAATTGAAATGATCATATGGTTTTTGCCCTTCATTCTGCTGATATGATGTATCCCATTGATTTGCATATGTTGGACCATTCTTGCATTCCTGGGATAAATCTCAGTTGGTCATGATGAATGATCTTTTTAATGTGTTGTTGAATTCTGTTTGCTAATATTTTGTTAACAATTTTTTCATCCCTCTTCATTTGAGATATTGGACTTTAGTTTTCTTTTTTTGATGTGCCTTTGGTTTTGTTATCAGGGCAATACTGGTTTTGAAGAATGAGAGGAAATATTCCCTCCTCCTTTCTTTTTTGGAATAGTTTGAGTAGGATTGGTATTAGTTTTTCTTTAAATGTTTGGTAGAATTCTACAGTGAAGCCAATGGGTCCTGGGCTTTTCTTTACAGGGAATCTTGTTATTATGGCTTTGATCTCATTACTTGTTATTGGTTTGCTCAGGTTTTGGATTTCTTCATGGTTCAATCTTGGTTGGTTGTATGTGTCTAGGAATTTGTCCATTTCTTCTAGGTTTTCCAATTTACTGACATATCATTGCTCATAGTAGCCCGTGGTGATTCTTTGAATTTCTGTAGTATTGGTTGTATGGTGTATACATATTTGAGATGACGGTCTCACTCTGTTGCCCAGGCTGGAATGCAGTGGTGTAATCATGGCTCACTGCAGCCTCAACTTCCTGGGCTCAGGCAGTCCTGACACCTCAGCCTCTCAAGTAGCTGGGGCCATAGGTGTGTGCCACCATACCTGGCTGATTTTTTTATTATTACTTATAGAGATGGGGTCTTCCTATGTTGCCCAGGCTGGTCCTGAACTCCTGGGCTCAAGCCATCTGCCTGCCTCAGCCTCCCAAAGTACTGGGATTACAAGCCTAAGCCAGCATGCCTGGCTGGTTTTAATATTTTTATATGGAAAAAAATATCATAGGCAAAGTTTAAAGGCAAATGACCTACCAGAATGTGACAAAAGTTAATGCTCAAAAGAGCTCTTGAAAACTCAGTAAAAAATAACATTTTATATCTAAAACTGATTCAAAGTTTTAAAACTCTCAGGAACAAAACAGGAAATTTACTCTATTTATTCTCTTATCCCACTTTCGCTGAGATGTTGAGAAGAACTAATTCCAATATTCTCTCTTATTTCTGACCTCCCACTTTATAATGTGAAGCCTAATAGATACATCCCTAGACAGAGAATCAAACTTCACGGTCAATATATGCCCCACTCCAATTATGAAGCAGATCATAAGTACAGATTTCAGACATACCACATTCACTAGCTGATCCTCCCACCAACTGGAAGAACTGCTGGGCAATTTTCATATGATCCCTCTGAAAAACAAACTGAGCTGATATAGAGGAATAAGGTAAAAATATTTTATTTTATTATACTATATGGTTCTAACATATTTGTCAGGATTTAAATATACCTTTGTTTTAAATCTTGCCCCAAACAATACTAATTCTCATTAACATAACAACTAGACCCGAAACTGAATTAAAACCTGTGCAGGGACAGGCAGAGGAGAAGAAAAAGAATCAAATCCTTAAATTCTATCCTAAAACTTCATTAAATGAACTCAATCATTCTACAAATACCTATTGCTCTTTTACCATATATCAGACCTTGGAACAGGAGCTGTAGATATAACAAGGAGTATTTATTAAACTCATTTATTTAATAAATATTTGCTGCCTATCTACTATACAAGGCACTGCAGAATGAACTTGAGATAAAAAGATTTATTTGTATCCCATTTTGTTCCAAAAAGAACAAAGAACGCTGTATTAAGATGGATAAGAGCTTAATTTTAGACAGTGTTTTGGTGTTTATAAAAATAACTTCTCCAGAGAAACAATTTTCCCTACTTTACAGATGCCAAAATTATAGCTAGATATATGTAAGTTTAAAAAAAGTCGCTGCAAATAAGAATGAAGTTGCGCAATGATTTTTAAGTTAGTTATTAAATAAGTTGCTATTTAAAAATTGGACCCTTTTAAACAAGCAGGAGTCTTTAGGGTTACAAGTTTTTTTTTTGTTTTTTTTTTTTGTCTCTAAATAACATAACATTCTTTTCTCAGTGGAGTCTGGATTGGGGGATATGGAGAAATAAAAGGAGCTACAGGAGAGCCTATTGCTGCTTGCACTTTGATAGTCATTTTGTTCTCTTCCATACACTTATAACTTTGCAACCTATAGATTATCAGTGATTTCATACTCACTGAACCCATTTCCTGGCCAAGGGCTGCATTGACCACTCCTTTGAGAATATACTCCTAGAAACATGGAATAACACTGATTAAGAGGAATGTGGAGCTATGAGATCATTTTCAAATTAACTCCTTGCATTAACTCAATACTTTATATAAAGTATCAAAGATTACCCACAGTTACTTTTCTCTGTTCTATCCCTGGCTTGAATAAAAGAATTAGGAGACACTCATTTAGTTTCCAGCAGCCAAGTATCTATATAACAAAATTTACCATATTTGTAAATTCTCAATCTTAAGCAAAAATAATTTAGTGGAAGCTCCAGCAGATAAGTTTCATTTTATTTCAATTCTATGGAAAAAAAAGTAAAATGTTGATATAATAATTTTTATTACCTTCTCAACCACTGCCATTCTCTGTGACCATATCATATATATTATTTTTCTTTTCCAATTTTTTTTTTTTTTTGAGACCGAGTCTTGCTCTGTCGCCCAGGCTGGAGTACAGTGGCGTGATCTCAGCCCACTGCAACCTCCACCCCCAGGGTTTTAGCAATTCTCCTACCTCAGCCTCCCGAGTAGCTGGGATTACAGGCCCCAGCCACCACACCCGGCTAATTTTTTTGTATTTGTAGTAGAGACGGGGTTTCACCATGTTGGCCAGGCTGGTCTCGAACTCTGGACCTCAGGTGATCCACCTGCCTTGGCCTCCCAAAGTGCTGGGACTACAGGTGTGAGCCACCACTCCTGGCCCCTTTCCAATGTTATAGTAACTTTTCTTTGCTAGTAATCCTTTTCCTAAATAAAAAAAAAGTGTCCTCTGATATCCATTTATAAGGTATTCTCTCTTTTGGAGTCCTGGGGCCTCACTTCTATCCCTTTTTTCAGACTTGGATCAATTCTTTAATAGATACCCTCCCTAGCTAGCAGCTTTATCAATCTTTCATTTAAGAGAGCTCACAAAGAACAGCATGAAAGAAGCTCAATCTTTTAATATACTTGAGAAATATACTTGTTTAAACTCCATGGGGTCTGGAAATATTTTTCATTCAGTCTTTCATTCAATAAATGGAATGTTTACTATATACTTTATGCACATAGTGTTAGAGATACAATATAGACACAGTCCCTGACTACAAGGAGTTAACGATCCAATGGGGAAGAAAGACAAGTTACAGACAATTTATGAGATAATTGCATGTATCTAGTTGTTATTTTCATCAGAATTCTAAATTTTCATATTTCCAAATACTAAAGGAATTTTCCAAATTTCCTTACCCTTTTTGACAAAATGACTACATATAAGGGAGTTTAAAAACATCAAAAAGCCTAGAACATTCATTCTCATATCACAAGTCGCATATAACATTCCTGAATGAATACATATGGTCTTTTCCTGGGATTCTACAGGCAGGAGTCTGCCTAATCTTCTCTAATATGACTTCCAACTAAATTTCTGAAGTTCCACTTTTAGCAGAACTTGGTTAGTAAAAATATAAAACATTCTCAGTTACCTGAGGAGTAGTAGGTTCCAGATCCTTAATTAAGTTATAAGCTTCTTGTACATCATCTGAAATACAACAAAGTAATTATACTAGTCTGTATTCCAGAAAACCCTCCTGAAGCAGTCCTCCCAAAAGATAAGATCCTTCAGTACTTAAATATTCATGGGAAATATGATCTGTTTTATCTGTCTTCTAACTCTCCATGTTCGGTGTTGAGTAGTTATGCTAAAAATAACCAAATATCCTTAGAAAACTCATATTAAGCCATGAAGTACCTTAAAAATTGTTGAAGCTAAGAACATGGATGAGGCATTCTATGCCAATGGCATTGTATTAGATAAGAAAAGCAATGATTTCTTTAAAAAAGAGATACATATATATATATATTAAGTATATAGGAATTAAATGACATGAAGTCTGAGATTTGCTTTAAAACATTTCAGGAACAAAAAAGAGGTGATGAAAAAAGAAGACTGGAAATATCTTGAAAAGTGCTGAATCCAGGGTGAGTATTTGGGTGTTTATTGTACCATTTATTTTTGTCTATGTTTGAAATTTTCCATAATAAAAATAATTTATAAAATATATAAGCTGTTTATTTCATTCTTGTCCAAAACATATTTCTTTTTGCTTTTATATAAAAGAGAGGCCGGGCACGGTGGCTCACACCTGTAATCTCAGCACTTTGGGAAGCTGAGGCAGGCGGATCACCTGAGATCAGGAGTTCAAGACCAGCCTGGCCAACATGGCGAAACCCCGTCTCTATTAGAAATACAAAAATTAGCCAGGCATGGTGGCGCATGCCTGTAATCCCAGCTACTTGGGAGGCTGAGGCAGGAGAATTGCTTGAAACTTGGAGGCAGAGGTTGCGGTGAGCGGAGATCACGCCACTGCACTCCAGCCTGGGCGACAGAGTAAGACTCCGTCTCAAAAGAATAATAATAATAAATAAACAAATAAAATAAAGTAGGACTGTTTGCAAGTTCATATTCTTATTTTAATAAATACATTTTCCTCCATGAGGAATATGTTGTCCTGGTTGGTTTCTGCCATGCACCTAAGAAGGCCCACATTGTTAGTCCAGGGCCCATGACCAAATGCCACCACAAATGCATGGTGGCTGCTACCCTGTACTCATAGCTGTTAGAAAAGGCTGCTTTAGGCGTGTGTCTGACAATTTCAATCTTACTTAGGGGCAATAAATATCACATCCTCTTTGAATCATAGTATTTCTCATAAGCAGCCTGGGGTACAAAGAAACGGAAAGGCAGACAATCAAAGCAAATAAGAAACAGTTAATACTTTTTTCAAAAGACACAAGAAAATGTGAATGTACATAATGCAGTGGGGGAAACTAGAAAAAGAAAAAAGAACTGTAAGGGAAGGGGAGGAAAAACAATGAAAAAGAAAGAATGGATAGAGAATAAAGGATAGCAAAATAAAAGGAAAAAAGAAAAAACAGAATGAGGGAGAAGGTAGGAAGCGACAGAAGAGGAAAGAGGATAAAAAAAGGCACAACAAATAACCACCAATAAACTTGTTCTATGAACTTGTTGCAAATATATTTTTGGAAGTATGGATTTAAAAAGTGAAGCAAATAGTTCCATCAGACATATTTAACTATTCTAAAATATCTCATTGTAAGTAAGACCAGGACAAATTTTTCTTACCTTGACGAAGGTAGTAAATCACCAAGTTTAGCCTAGCTTCAGGAATGACATCAACTAGGGGAGGTAAAACCTGCAAAGCCCCTTCACCTCCTCGGAAAACAACCTAGAGATACAGAAATCATGCTATTATGGCAACAATGATGTATATATTTATTGGTGACAATGTTTAAGGAGCTGGCATATATAACTGGGTTCATGATATTCAACTAAAATAGCTCTGGGAATCAGTTGATATATTGAGAACTTTTACTATTGGCTGAATTTATTATTGCCTACCTAATCCCTATGCTTCTTACCTTCTCTCTTCTTTTCTCTCCTCTCTGCTTTTGATCCTTCTTAACAGCCTTGTCATAATTAAACATTTTATTTTTAACCCTATGTAAAACCTACCTCCATTATCACTCTCTCTATACCCTTGCCCTTCTTTTTTATTCATAGCCCTTATATCTTTATTTTATTGTATATTTCTTTATCTGTTTATCTGTTACATCCACCAGAATATAAGCTCGATATGGCAAGGAACTTTGCATTTACTGTGTATTCCTAGCCCCGAGAACTGCGACTAGTATAGTCAGCACTTGGTTATTTTTTGAAAGGACAAATATATTTTTGAAGCTCTATTGATGCATATGACCTTGACTTCATTGAAAGAAAGCCGTGATCTAAATTATAACAATATACACCTACTGTATACTCACAAACATTTAAATTAAAAAGAGTTAAAAATAAAATTATAACTATGAGAAATAGAATAAAAGCATAACCCTTATTGTGTACTTCTCTTTTCCTCTTCATAAGAACTGCAGAAAACTCCTAAAGTACCCAATAATTAACAAAACTCTTTTCTAGGCAGACATTCTGCATCAAAAACTCCATAAAGGAATTTATATAACCTTTCTGAGCCTGTTTCCTCATCTCTAAATGGCATTAGTAATGCCTACCTTTCAGGTTATTATGAGGATTAAATGAGCAAAAGTGGGCTAAATGGCACATATTTCAGTGTTTCATTGAATTAATTTAGTAAACATTCATTAGCATGTACTATATGCCCACTACTGTAACAAGCACAGGGGTTATAGCAGGAACAGGCCACTCCCCTGTCACCACAGACTATTCAAGTGGGGACAGACCTCCATAAAGCAAACAAATAAATATGTTATCAGGTGATAATAAGTGTTACAGAGAAAAGCTTAGAAATCAAAACAAACAAACAAACAAATCCATGAAAGGACAATTTATTTTGTGTACTGTTGTATTTCTAGAGCCTAGCATAGTGTCTGGAATGTAGCAAACTGTTTCACAAATAAATGCACAGAAAGCAAGGTCATCCAGCATGAACTACAAAATCTCTTCTCTCGACCCCGAAATATCTATTTAGTGCTTTTTTGGTTCCTTTTTCAGATATTCCCTTCTTTTGCCGAGATTAATTCATTCACCTGTCTTCTTGATCCCATGACTTCTAACTCCATCTGAACCTCTTTTCTCCATTAATTATTGTACCTTCAATCTTCCCAAAGCCCTGGTCCTACTTCTCACTTTAAACACACACAAGGGGTTTTTGTTCTCTTGAAAAATCTTCCACTTGGCCCCACTGTTTCCTCTGGATAGTGCCCTATTTTTCTCTTCTTTCAATGCCACACTTCAAAAGTATGTGGCTTACTGCTTCTACTTTCTTCTCATCCTCTCACTCCTTAACCTCTCAAAACATTGGCTTCTGCTCTCAGCATACGAATAAACTCACTCTTAGGAGTCACAAATTAATCTCTTTAGCCAAATTCAATGGACTTTTCTGTCCTCTTGCTCCATGATGTGTCTGCAGTTTTGACACGGATGCCTACAAGATGACAATAATAACAACAATGCCACTTTCTTTTTTTTCTTTTTTTTTTTTTTTAGATGGAGTCTCGCTCTGTCACCCAGGCTGGAGTGCAGTGGCGCGATCTTCGCTCACTGCAAGCTTCGCCTCCCGGGTTCACACCATTCTCCTGCCTCAGCCTCCTGAGTAGCTGGGACTAAAGGCACCCGCCATAACACCCGGCTAATTTTTGTATTTTGGTAGAGACGGGGTTTCACCGTGTTAATCAGGATGGTCTCGATCTCCTGACCTCGTGATCCGCCCACCTCGGCCTCCCAAAGTGCTGGGATTACAGGCATGAGTCACCGCACCCGGCCTATCAATGCCATTTTCTAAATGCATACTGTGTAAAGCACCTTACACATATTACCTCATTTAATCCTCCCCCAAAAAAGCAAGATAAGTACTTTTTTTTTTTTTTGAGATGGAGTCTCCCTCTGTCGCCCAGGCTGGAGTGCAGTGGTGCAATCTTGGCTCACTGCAAGCTTCACCTCCTGGATTCAAGCAATTCTCCTGCCCTGGCCTCCCGAGTAGCTGGGATTACAGGTGCATGCCACCACACCCTGCTAATTTTTGTATTTTTAGTAGAGGTGGAGTTTCACCATGTTGGTCAGGCTGGTCTTGAACTCCTGACCTTGTGATCCACCCGCCTTGGCCTCCCAAAGTGCTGGGATTACAGGCATGAGCCTCCGCGACCGGCCAAAATAAGTACTTTCATTTTCCCTATTCTACATATGAGAACACAGACTCAGCAATGTTAAGTGACTTACCCAAAGTTATAAAACTAGTACATGGTAGAACTTGATTTTGACCTCAAATCTAACTTCAAAAGTTGATGTTTTTTAACAACCACTTATATTGCCCTGATATTTTTCAGGTTTAAAAAAAAAATAAAAGTAATATGTGTTCACTGGAAAAAAATAAAGTATTATGAAAGAAAAATTTCCATATTGTTACTTCTCTTTCTAATCCCACTCTCTAAGAATTATCCCTATTTCATATGTTCCTTTCAGTCATATATTTATATAGTGGTTCTTTACCTTAGCTGTATATTGTATCCACCTGGGATGCTTTAAAAAAAATACTGATAGCTGGGCTCCAGACCAACCATTAAATAAGATTCCCTGGGGATGGGGCCCATGCATCATTAATTTCAAAAGCCTCCCAGGTGACTAAAATGTGCAGTTGTAAATGACATTACATTATCTAGATGCTTCTTCTTGTTTGCCCTTTCTTGTTTCATTTGTTGATACTCCTTCTTCCTGTCCCATAAATACAGATGCTGTTTTGGAACCATATTTTTCTATTTTTAATCCATTCTACAATATTTATTTCACTTCAGCGATTGAAAACCTTCCATATTAATCTGTCAAGACTCTTACAATAACTCCTAAATCTATTCTCAAGTCTTTATCTTTCTCCAAGCTTAAATTCCAGACTATTATGTAACCCATAATTATCCAGAAAAATTAATCGGGTTTCAATTTAGAAACTAAATTTGAAGTTAAAAGATTAGATGCAGAAACTCATAGTAGTAACTATCCAAATAAAACTGTATCTGTGATGGAAGCCTGAATTAGATAAGAAATGGAGTAAATATAAGATACTGCCAACAAGAAGAGAATAGGATTTAGTAACTGAATAGAGATTGGAGATAAAGAGAAGGGGAGTCTAAAACAGCTGTGGTTTACTGGAAGAATTGGTACTACAAAAAGGAATAGAGAAATCAGAAGGAAAAAGCATAGTTATTATTATTGCCACTTCTGGATGAAGAATCTCAGTAGTATTAGATGATTTGCCCAGTGCTCCCAGGTATCTGAATTGAGAGCAGCTGTTCTGCATCTCACTATATTGGTCAATAGAATCATAATCTAGCCCTAAACCCAACCACCCATCCAACTTGAGTGTCTGCTATTCCCCAGTACAAATTTACTGTTCTAGTAAGATCAATCTGCTCACAATCTTTTACATATGTCAGCCTCATTCTAGCTCCATGTCCTTGACTAGAATGAACACTCCAAATCTCAGCCATCCTTCAAAGATGCAAAAATATTTCCCATTTATTTTAAACCACAGAGGGATACGTTCCTTTGTCTTTCTCAAAAAAACAGACACCTGGATCTACACTGCCTTGTGCTTCTTTCCAAATATTAAATATATTCCTGTTCTCCCAACAAGGATTTCCTTAAGGAAACAGATTAGTACTTTAAAACTTATCTCCTCCACAGTGAGGAGGGGTTCCCTTGGAGTAAAGCATTACTTGCTGGCGCATCTCCTTTTATTAATCTTTCTAATTGCTGTGATGTACCAAAGCAGAGTAGGACTGAACTCAGTCAAGACGGGAAATCGTTATTCACCAGATTGTGCCTGATGAGTTCTTTAGCAAATTCAAAGGATGAAGAAGCATTGTCCATCAAGCTTTTGAGTTCTGCCTGAAATTTAAAGAAGAAAGGCTTATGAAAATGACAAGTGTATAGTTCTTATACCACATATTGACACAATGGTTTATAATTTACAAAGAATTTAACATGCTATTTCATTTGATCCTCATGACTCTAGGTCAATGTAATTATTATTACCCACATTTTCAAATGAGAGCAATAATAAATGAAAACAATGAGGCTTATAAAAGTTAAGTGACTTGGGCCGGGCGCAGTGGCTCATGCCTGTAATCCCAGCATTTTTGGAGGCCAAGGCGGGCGGATCACAAAGTCAACAGATCGAGACCATGTTTCCTCTGGTCAACGTGGTGAAACCCTGTTTCTACTAAAAGTACAAAAAAATTAGCTGGGCGTGGTAGCGCGAGCCTGTAGTCCCAGCAACTCAGGAGGCTGAGGCAGGAGAAACACTTGAACCTGGGAGGCAGAGGTTGCAGTGAGCCAAGATTGCGCCACTGCATTCCAGCCTGGCGACAGAGCAAGACTGTCTCAAAAAAAAAAAAAAAAAGTTAAGTGACTTGAAACTTATACTAAGCAGCAAGTTTGAAAACTGGGATACTCAAGTCTGAAGACTACTAGAGTTAGTTTTTTCTTTCAGTGTCAAAGGTGATTAACGAACTAAGCCTTAAACAACTAAGGTTGATTCTTTAATCTGAAAGGAGATGTTAATAAATCCTCCTTTCTTCCCTTTTCTATTTCTATTAGTGGGTTGCTAAGCTTTTCTGGATAAAATCATTAAATTCTTGATTGTTCTTCACTAACTACCACAAACTTGTTCTGCCTGATCTCATAGTTGGGAGTGCATGTCTGCTCAGCAATTTTTTTTTATCACTCTTCTCTTGTCCACAGTACAATTCCAAAATTTTGGGTAATATTAGGTTACATCAGCAGTTTTCAAGCTTTTTGGTCTCAAGATCCCTTTTATACTCTATAAATGATCTCAAATAATTTTTGTTTATGCGGGAAATAGCCATCAATACTTATCGTATCAGAAATTAAAACAGAAAATTTTAAGTATTCAATTCATTGAAAATGGTAGTAATAATATGCCTTAAAATATGTTGGAATTAACATTTGGTCTCAATTTCAGAGCAACTTGTCATTACTGAAAATAAAAACAATTAAATTTTTTTAAAGTTTAAAAATAACAATAATAAACCCCACTACACATTGACATACATATTTTTTTACTTTAAAAAACTGTATTTATCAAATCAAAAATTTAGTGAGAACAATGTTATTGTTTTACATTTTTTGCAAATCTCTTTAATGTCTGGCTTAACAGAGGATAGATGGATTGTCACATCTGTATCTGCATTTGATCTATTTTGAGACCATATTGTGCCAGGTGACAAGGACAAAAAAGAAAGCCCAATACCAGCACAAGGTGGGAAGTCTAGTGAAAGACCCTTCCCACAATCAGCAGGAACTGCTAAAGAGCTACACTGGCAAAGGAAGGATAAAACAGAATTTTCTATGAACTTTTTGGGGACCCCTTGTACATAAATTAATAAAATAAAAAAACAGTTATATAATAGGATTAAAAACAAAAGTTGGTTTTTGAAAAGACTAAAAAACTGTGAAAATGTAAATGAAATTATCAAATTTTTAGAAAAATACAACTTACCAAAAATAACACAAGAAGAAATAGAAAACATGCATAGTCCTATAACCACTAAAGGAACTGAATTAGGTAATTTAAAATCTTCCAAACCTAGATAGTTTTGTCAATAAGTTCTACCAAACATTTAAGAAATATAAAAGCCAATCTTATACAAACTCTTGCAGAAAATAGAAACATATGGTACCTGCTTCAATTCATTCATTTTCCTTTAAGATAACCTTTGCACCAAATCCTGACAAGAACTATACCAAAAAAGCAAATTATAAAACAGTCAAACCATTATGTATTGATGCAACAAATTAAATAATAGCTATCTAATATGTGATATGTAAAGAGAAGAATGAACCATGATGAAGCTGGGTTTATTCTGGTATAACGTTGATTTTTAAAATTTTTTGTTTTTTGAGACAGGGTCTCACTCTGCCACTCAGGCTGGAGTGCAGTGGCGCCATCTTAGCCCACTGCAACCCCTGTCCCCCAGGCTCAAGTGATCCTCCCACCTCAGCCTCCCAAGTATCTGGGACCACAACTACACGCCACCACACCAGGGTAATTTTTGTATTTTTAGTAGAGATGGGATTTCACTGTGTTGTCCGGGCTGGTCTCAAACTCCTGACCTCAAATGATCCGCCTATCTCAGCCTCCCAAAGTGCTGGGATTACAGACGTGAGCCACCATGTCCAGCCTAAAGTTGATTTAACAATAGAAAATACTTCAAATAATTTGCCACAAGAATAAAGGAAAATGATATGACCGTCTTAATAGATGAAGAATACAACATGCTATACTTCAACATCTGATCCTTATAAAACCTCTTAGCAAACTAACACTACAAGGGAAGTTCCTTAATCTGATAAAGGATATCTTTAAAAATCTACATTAAACATCATACTTAATGATGAAATGCCATTTCTTAATGATGAAATATCATCAAAAGCTTTTCCTTTGAGATAAAAAACCTTACAAGGATATTTCTTTTTTTACTTTGTTGGTTTTTTTTTTTTGAGATGGCGTCTAGCTCTGTCGCCCAGGCTGGAGTGCAGTGGCGCAATCTTGGCTCACTGCAACCTCTGCCTCCCAGGTTCAAGCGATTCTCCTGCCTCAGCCTCCCAAGTAGCTGGGATTACAGGTGCATGCCACCATGCCTGGCTAATTTTTGTATTTTTAGTAGAGATGGGATTTCACCATGTTGGCCAGGCTGGTGTGGAACTCCTGACCTCAAGTGATCTGCCTGCCTCTGCTTCCCAAAGTGCTGGGATTACAGGCATGAGCCACTGTGCCTGGCCGGGTAGGTATGATTTCTTAGATTCTGTTGCATACTCCTCATGCTTTGGCAACCCACCACCACACCCCCCACTGTCCCTGTCACCCCACTGCAATCACTTGGTGAGTAAATGAATGACTAGATATCTTACTTCACTGATTATATATATAGAAAAACATCAATATACAGAGATACATTAAGATAGCTAGAAGCAAATCTAACAAAACACATAAAAAGACCAATACAAAGGCAAAGCATGGTGGCTTATGCCTGTAATCTCACTGTTTTGGGAAGCCAAGGCAGGCGGATCGCTTGAGCCCAGGAGTTCAAGACCAACCTTAGCAATGTAGTGAGACCTGTCTCTATTTAAAAAGTTTAAAAAATTAGTTGGACACAGTGGCATACACCTGTAGTCCCAGCTACTTGGGAGGCTGAGGCACAAAGATCACTCAAACATGGAAGGCAGAGGTTATAGTAAGCCATGATCCAGCCACTGCACTCCATCTAGGCTGGGTGAAAGAGCCAGAGCTTGTCTAAAAAAAAAAAAAAAAAAAAAAATCCAATACAAAAAAAAGCACAAAACCTGACTAAAAGAACTTAAAGGTCTGGCCGGGCACGGTGGCTCACACCTGTAATCCCAGCACTTTGGGAGGCCCAGGCAGGTGGATCACCTGAGGTCAGGAGTTCAAGACCAGCCTGGCTAACATGGTAAAACCCCATCTCTACTAAAAATCCAAAGATTAGCAGGGTGTGGTGGCGGATGTCTGTAATCCCAGCTACTCAGGAGGCTGAGGCAGGAGAATCGCTGGAACCCAAGAGGTGGAGGTTGCAGTGAGGCAAGATCACGCCACTGCACTCCAGCCTGGGCAACAAGAGCAAAACTTCGTCTCAAAAAAAAAAAAAAAAAAAAAAAAGAAATTAAAGATCTAAATAAATGGAGAAAGATACCATATTCATGGTTTTAAAGACTTAATTTAAAACTATCAATTATCTCCCAACTCATCCATGGATTCAAAGCAATACAATTAAAATCCTGACAGGTTTGTTTTTGTGTTTGGATTTGGCAGGCTTGTTTTAGAATTCATACTGAAAGATAAAGAGCCAAGAATAGCCAAGACACCCTTGAAGAACACTAACAAGATGGCAAAACTTGCTAGACCCACTACATGTGAAACTTGATTACAAATCTGTAGTAATTAAGGCCGTATGGCATTGAGGGCAAGGATACACAAATGGATCAACAGAATACAGAGTTCAGAAGCAGACATATCTAAACACTGGAATTATTTTCCAAAGGTGGCGGAATAGTAGGAAAAGACTGATCTTTTCAATAAATGGTCTGAAACAATGAGTTATTCTCATGGAAAAAAAAATAAAATTTGACCTCTGCTTCAGTCTACACAAAAATCAATTCCATGTAGAATATGGACTTAAATATAAAAGAAAATCAGGAAATAAACAACATACCCTAAATAACAAATGGGCCAAAGAAACCAAAAACAAAATTAGAAAATACTTTGAGATAAATGAAAGATACAATATAACAAAACTTACGGGATGCAGTTAAAACATTTCTTAGAGGAAATTTTATAGTTGTAAATGCCTATATTTAAAAAAGAAAATAAGAAAGACCACAAATTAATAACCTAACTGTAAAAAAAAAAGAGAAAACTAAACATAAAGCAAACAGAGGAAGGGAAAAATAAAGATTAGAGCAGAAATCAATTAAACAGACAAGAGAATGGAGAAAATCAATGAAACCAGAAGCCGGTTCCTTGAAAAGATTAAGAAAACTTATAGCTAGACTGACCAAGAAAAAAACAACAAACTCAATTTACTAGAATCAGAAATGAAAGAAGGCAATACTACTGACCTTAGAGAAATAAAAAGGATTACAGAGGAATACTGTGAACAATTATAGGCCAATATATTAGATAATTTAAGTGAAAGGGACAAATTCCTAGAAAGACATAAACTATCAGAACTGACTCAAGAAGAAATACTATTAATAGACATACAACATGGATGGATGTGCACAGATTGAAAGACTTAATGTCATTAAGATAGCATTAACCCCCAAACTGATCTTTAGAGTCAATGCAATCCCTAAATAAATTGGATTAATGATTTAAAAACTACAATGAAATAAAAAGCCCAGGCCCAGATGGCTTCACTGCTTAAAATCATACCACTTAAAGAAGAGTTAATACCAGCTCTTCATAAACTCTTTCAAAACACAGAAGACGGAACTTTTCCCCTTATACTATGTGGCTAGTATTACCCCAATACCAAAACCAAAAAAAAATTACAAGAGAAGAAAATGACCAATATATTTTTTGAATATGGACACAAAATCCTCCAAAAAATTCTTAGCAAATGGAATCCTGTAATGTATTAAAAAGATTATTCACGATGACCAAGTGAGATTTATTCCAGGAATACAAGGGTGGTTTAACATTCAAAAATCAATTAATATACCATATCAATAGAATAAAACCCAAAAACTAAATGATCATCTCCATAGCTAATAGAAAAAGCAGTTCCATTAACATCCTTTCATGATAAAAAACATTTGGAAGTTCCCCCACCTGGAAAGAACATTTACAAAAAACCCACAACAAACATCATTCTTAACAGTGAAATACTGGATGCTTTCCACCTACGATCAGGAACAAGACAAGGATATCTGCTCTCAGCACTTCTATTCAACATTGTACTGAAGGTTCTAGCCAGGGCAGTTAGACAAGAAAAAGGAAGAAGAGGTATCCAGACTGGAAAGGTAGTAGCAAAACTATCCTGATTCACAAACATAATCTTATATATAGAAAATCCTCCCCAAAATCTGCAAGAAAGCCAATAAATGAGTTCAGCAAGGTTTCAGGATACAATCAATACAAAAATCAGTAGTACTTCTATTCTCTTGCAATGAACAATTCAAAAATGAAATTAAGGGAACAAGTTAATTTACAATAGCATCAAAAATAATAAAGTACTTAGTAATAAATTTATCAAAAGAAATGTAAAACTTGCCCCATAAAAACCACCAAATATTGCTGAAATTTAAAAACACCTAAATAAATGGAAAAACATTCCATGTGAATGGATTTAAAGACTTAATGTTATTAAGATAGCATTAATCCCAAAACTGATCTTTAATGCAATCCCTATCAGAATCCAATCTGGGTTCTCTGTAGGAATTGATAAGCTGATTCTAAAATTCATATTGAATTGCAACAGATCAGAGTAACCAAAACAATCTGGGAAAACAAACAACAAATTAGGAGGCCGCATACTTCCTGATTTCAAAACTTGCTCTAAGTAAGGAAGATAGTGTGGTATTAATGTAAGGATACACATATAGACCAATGGAAGAGAACTGAGTCCAGAAGAAATGAATCCATTTGTCTATGATAAACTGATTTTCAACAAGAGTGCCAAGACCATTCAAAGGGTGAAAGAATAGTCTCTTCAACAAATGGTGCTGGAATAACTGGATATTTACAAGCAAAAGAATAAAGTTGGACTTTTACCTCATGCCATTTACAAATGTTAATTCAAAATGGATCAAAGACCTAAAAGCTAAGATTATAAAACTCTTAGTGGAAAACACAGGGGAAAATCTTCATGACTCTGGACTTGGCAATGGAATCTTAAATATAACCCCAAAAGTACAAGAAACAAAAGGCAAAAAAAAAAAAAAGGATAACTTTGACTTCATCAAAATTAAAAACTTTCGTGCTTCAAAAAAAATACTATTAAGAAAATGAAAAAATCTATAGGATAGGAGAAAGCATTTGCAATTTGTGTATCTGATAAGGGACTGAACCTAGAATATATGGGAACATGTGAAACTCAATAATAAAAAGACAAATAACTTATTTAAAAAATGGGCAAAGAACTTAAATAGACATTTCTACAAAAAAGATATGCAAATGGCCAACAAGCACATGAAACAATGCTCAACATCATTAGTCATCAGGGAAATGCAAATAGAAACCACAAGATTCCACTTCACACCACTAGAATGGCTAGAGTCAAAAAGTCAGATGATAACAACTGTTGGCAAGAACGCAAAGAAATCAAAACGCTTATATACTGCTGATGGGAATGTAAAATAGTGCAGTTTCTTTGGAACAGTCTGGCAGTTCCCCAGACAATTACATATACAGTTACCATATGACCCTGTGATTCCACTCCTAGGTATAAACCTGAGAGAATTGAAAACATACATACAAACAAAAACTTACACAAAAAGTATAATGTTTATAGAAGCAGCATTCGTAACAGGCAAGAGGTGGAAACAACACAAGTGTCTATCAACTGATGAATGGAAAAAACTAAAAGAGGTATATTCATAAAACGAAATATTATTTGGTCATAAAAATGAATAAAATACTGATAGATGCTACAACATGATGAACCTTGTAAACACTATGCTAAGTAAAAGATGCCGATCATAAAGACCAAATATTATATGATTCCATATATATATGAAATATCCAGAGCAGGCAAATATATAATGACAAAGTACATTAGTGGTTGCTCAGGGCTGGGGGAATGGGGCAATAGGGGTTGATAGCTGAAGAGTATGACTTTTTTTTTTTTTTGAGACGGAGTATCGGTCACCCAGGCTGGAGTGCATTGGTGCAATCTCAGCTCACTGCAACCTCCGCCTCCCAGATTCAAGTGATTCTCGTGCCTCAACTTCCTGTGTAGCTGGGATGACAGGCATGCGCCATCACGTCCGGTTAATTTTTATATTTTTAGTAGAGACAGGGTTTCACCATGTTGGCCAGGCTGGTCTCTAACTCCTGACCTTGTGATCCGCCTGCCTCGGACTTCTAAAATGTTGGGATTACAGGTGTGAGCCACTGCGCCCGGCCATTTCTTTTTTTTTTTTTTCCGGAGACGGAGTCTTGCTCCGTTGCTCGGGCTGGAGTGCAGTGGCGCAATCTCGGCTCATTGCAACCTCCGCCTCCCGGGTTCAAGCGATTCTCCTGCCTCAGCCTCCCAAGTAGCTGGGACTACAGGCGCACGTGGCCACGCCCTGCTAATTTTTTGTATTTTAGTAGAGTCGGGGTTTCACTGTGTTGCCCAGGCTGGTCTCGAACTCCTGAGCTCAGGCAATCCGCCCGCCTCCGCCTCCCAAAGTGCTAGGATTACAGGCATGAGACACTGTGCCTGGCCAACATTTCTTTTTGAGATAATGAAATGTCCTAAGATTGACTGTGGTGATGGTTGCACTTAAGCTGTGACTATACTAAAAAACCAACTGTACACTTTAAAAGGGTGAATTGTATGATATGTTAATTATATCTCAATAAAGCCATATATAAATAAAACTATAAATTAAAGATGTAGGTCATCATATCTACGTTAGAATGAAAGTGACCTTTCTAAAAACATGACACCAATGTTAGAAACCATGTAAGACATATTTCACATGAAACATATCCTTTATGTTCAAATTTTCTTTTCTATTTAAAATATATATTAGGGTTTTGTCTTTTCTAATTTACTAATCTTTGTCTTTTAACTGGAGAACTTAATCCTTTAAAATATAATGTAATTACAGAAAATTTGTGCTTAAAAAGAAAAATAGGCTATTAGAAGATAATATCAGAAGTGATTGGGCACAGTGGCTCATGCCTGTAATTCCAGAGCTTTGGGTGCCCAAGGTGGAAGGATTAGTTGAAGCCAGAAGTTTGAGACCAGCCTGGGCAACATAGCAAGACCCCATCTCTACAGAAAATTTTAAAATTAGCCAGGCACAGTGGCGCATGTCTGTAGTTCCAGCTACTTGGGAGGCTGAGGCAAAAGGATCACTTGAGCCCAGGAGTTTGAGGCTGCAATGAGCTATGATTGTGCTACTGCACAGCCTTGGTGACACAGTGAGACACTGTCTCTAAATAAATAAGTAGATAAATTTTTTAAAAAGAGGATACCAGAAAATATAATCTTGAGCTAGGAAATGGTTTCTTTTTTTCTTTTTGAGATGGAGTCTCACTCTTTGTGCCCAGGCTGGAATGTAGTGGCGCAATCTCAGCTCACTGCAACCTCTGCCTCCCAGGTTCAAGCAATTCTCCTGCCTCAGCCTCCCAAGTAGCTGGGATTACAGGCATGTGCCACCATGCCCAGCTAATTTTGTATTTTTAGTAGAGATGGGGTTCCATCATGTTGGTCAGGCTGGTCTCGAACTCCTGACCTCAGGTGATCCACCCACCTTGGCCTCCCAAAGTTCTGGGATTACAGGCGTGAGCCACTGTGCCTAGCCGGAAATGGTTTCTTAAACAAGATACAGAAAGCACTAAACATAAAGAAACAGATCAATGTGACTATTTTTCAGCCTACAAAATCTTTAATAATTACAAATATTTACTGAGAGTTTACTATGTATATCAAGTTAAGGACTTTACATACCTCATACCATTTAATCTTCACAAGAACCTACAATGAGTCAGTACCATTTTTTCCCTGTTTTACAGATGATGCTTAAGGAGGTTAAGTATTTCACCTAAAGTCACACAGCAACTATGCCAGGGTTGAAATTTGGGTCTATCTGATTCCAAGCCCAAACTCATAATCACTACCCTAGAGGCCGTGCCAGTTTTGGGGGAAAAGTTCTTCAACTCTTTAGTCTCTAAAACCAGCAGCTTTCTCCTCCTTTTTTATTTTATTTTTTTAAACCACTGTCTTACATTCAATGTTTCTATTTTTTCATCATCTGTTTGCCATCCCTTCTGCCATACCCTTTATGAGAATTCCCAGTCTGAGTTGTTACTCACTCACTCCTGATCTCCCTGCAACCTAGCTTCAAGCTCCAATAATAATGATATCCTAATCAGATATGGCAATGTAGGAAACTCTAATTAAAATGGCCTTTTCTCAGTCTTCATTTCTACTGACCTTTTGTATCTCCTCCTTCTTTAAATGTGATTCTCCTTAATTTGTCAGTCATACTTTTAATTTCTCATTCAACAAATAAGCAGTTGGCATCAACTTTGTGCAAGCATTGTGCCCAGTCCTGGGACACAAATGTCAAAAGACACAGTCTCAACCATCAATGAGCTTGTTTAGATTGAAGATAATTAGGCAACTGACAAATAATAAGCAGAATGGAGACATTTTGTGTGTGTGTATTGCAGGACATTTTAGTGGTTAAGTCTATGTTGGAGTCAGACAAAAGTTTGAGATCTGCATTTGCCACTTGTTATGTTAGTTGTGTAAGCCTGAACAAGTTACTCAAAGTAGTTTAAGAATTAAGTCAATCATTACAAATTATTTCCTGTTTACTTTAGAAAAGCAGGATGCTATTGGTGTTTGTGAGACACTGAACAATGTAATACAGACCCTGTTATACAAGTTAGAAGAATGCCTGAATTTAAATAGTTTATTAAAATTATAATAATTAAACATAAACTCTATCTTATTGGTACCAAAAAAAGGTTCTTCTGGTACATTTGACATAGCCTTCTACTGCTGGAGTACATTATAAAATCAATATATAAACTACATTGACACAATTTCAAAGGAAAAAGCTTGCCTTTTGAGGTTAGAAGTACACTCTGATGTCCTAACTTGGATAATTCTAGGTGTATACTATAGATAGGATATTGAGTAACCATACTAGACTATGGAAAAGACATATACAGACAAAATGTAAACATTTAATAAATTGGACCACACACCAAAATTGGTAAATTTCCCCAAGACTGACTCTAGGTAGAAAGGCAAGAATGTATTTCATTTATTTGTTCTTACTAACGGGTGAAAACTCTAAAGATACCAAATTGCTAATCGAGTCTCTTACTAAACTGCTGATGCTGGAAACAAGCCAATTAGGCAGACTTGGGGGACTCCTTAGTTGAAATGACTATTACCCCAAGAATGCATTTTATTTAATATATAAGTATATACTATGTGCTCAAGTGTATACTAAGCAATTCAATTTGGAGGGCAAGGGTAGGATTTTTAAAGTTTGACACATGCAGAAATTTTACATGTAAATTTTGGTGGCTTCTGACATCAACTAAAGTAATAACCATGTTAAATGATCTATTTATACCCACATATTTGTATATAGATATAGTGTAGAACATATTTTCTATTCTATATCTATGTATGTATCTACCTATATCTATATATTATATATGTATATATGTGTATGTGTTAAATAAAATTATGTTATTAAAATGTTAGTAAAGTTATGTGTTATTTAAAACATGTTAAATGAAACAAAAGGAGGTAATAATCTATGGCCTCCTGTGTTTTCTCGGTTTCCTATAAAACGAGAACTACAATAGCCTCTAACCACAGGCTTGTCAGGGAAACTAAATAATGGATTTAAAGTGTTCTGCATGGTGCCTACAAGTTAGCCAATTAAGTATTTATAAAATGTCCACCATTTTTGCCTCTTGGGCTAACCTTTGTTGACGTGTACCAAGCAGAGAAAGAAGGAAGTCATTCCAGGAGTGAGAATGTTGCACACAAAGCTATGGTGGTAAGAGAGCATGGCATGTGGAACAAATTCAGTGGTTGGACTGAAGATAACAAGACTGACTAAAGGCAGGAACACTATTTAAAGGGCCAAAATAAGAGGTGAGAAACTCCTGGGTTAGAATAGTAGCCAAGGAGAAGAAGGGATAGATAAAAGAGATATCTAGGATGTATAGCTGATAGGAACTGATGATTACATGGAGATGAAGAAGAGAGTCAACAGATATGCCAGGGTTCTTTTTTTTTTTTTTTTGAGATGGAGTCTCGCTCTGTCACCCAGGCTGGAGTGCAGTGGCACCATCTCGGCTCACTGAAAGCTCTGCCTCCCGAGTTCACGCCATTCTCCTGCCTCAGCCTCCCAAGTAGCTGGGACTACAGGCGCCCGCCACCACGCCCAGCTAATTTTTTGTGTTTTTAGTAGAGATGGAGTTTCACTGTGTTAGCCAGGATGGTCTCGATCTCCTGACCTTGTGATCCGCCTGCCTCAGCCTCCCAAAGTGCTGGGATTACAGGCGTGAGCCACCGTGCCTGGCCCAGATATGCCAGGTTTCTAATGTGGTTTACTGGATGTATGTTGGTGGCATTCAATCACAGAGCCACACACATATTTTAGAGGAAGAAGCTGAAGCATTTGTTTTTTGGTTTTTGGGTTTTTTTGAGACAGAGTCTCGCTCTGTCACCTAGGCTGGAGTGCAGTGGCTCAATCTCGGCTCACTGAAACCTCCACCCGCCCCCCGAACCCCCCAGTAGCTGGGATTACAGGCATGCACCACCACACCCAGCTAATTTTTTGTATTTTTAGTAGAGATGGGGCCATGTTGGCTAGGCTGGTCTCAAACTCCTGGCCTCAAGTGATCTGCCCGCCTTGGCCTCCCAAAGTGCTGAGCCACAGCGCCCGGCCAGAAGCATTTGGTTTTAAACATAAGCATTTGGTTTTAAATGTAGGGCATCTCAGTAAAATCATCTACAATTTAATGGACATAACACAGATAATTCAGAAGTCAACATTCTTTTTAGAATACCTGATAAACATATAATTAGGTTCTTATAGAATCACAGTGGCAATGATAAAGGGATATTAATCAAGAGTTACAGATAACAGAGTTTCATGAATAACTTGGAAAGTATAAAGTAATTCAAATTGGAATGAAGTACATTAAAAACACACTTCCATCAATACCTCAGCTGCTCTGCCATTGTAAAGGCGAAAATGGTTACAGGCTTTAAGATTGAGTGCGATGGTACTATCAGGAATTTGCTGAAGGTAAACAGCCAAAACTTCTTGAGACACATCATAGTAATCCAACTTGTAGTAGCAGAGGGCCACATAAACATTAAGGGCAAGGTATTCCCTATTAGATGAAAGAATTAGGGTTAACCATTTAAGTCTACTTCACGGAAATGTCAAATTACAAAGCTCAAATGGACAAGGCAAAGAGGACAGTTCATGAACCTGCCTTATGAAGAAAGAGGGCAAGATATGATCAGTATAATTTTTTTCTTTTTGCATTGCAATATTTGGGTGTTTTGATATAAGTAGAATGAAAGATGACTAGAGAAGAAAGGGAAAGTTCACGCTGTTCACACTGAAAAACTAATATATGCAATAATTGAACATAAACACAAGCACACTCCACACAGAAGACCAACAGACAAGACACATAGGCTTGATGGCTGGAAATGGAAGCAGGTAGGAGACTAAGAAGGTAATGCAAAAGAGGATGGAAAGAAGGGGGATGAGATATTTTTGGGAAGGGAGAGAGAGGCCAAGTGTTTAAAGTTGGAATGTAAATTCTTAAGAATGATTTGTATCTAATTTTGTCAGCAAGTTACCTACGATGTAACTATAACACTAAGTTTGATACATCTAGACCATACATTTCAACTGGGGTAATATCAGTATTACCCCCAAAGGGGAAAAATTGGTTCTTAATGGGAGGATGAAAAAATCATAATCATTTTATATGTAAAGCACAGTTATACATATAGTACATATATGGATATATATTAATATACATCTATCAGTATATTAAAATTTCATGGGAGGGCAATTGGGGGAAAAAGTCTTTTAGAAGGGTGACAATGCAAAAAAAGGTAGAGAAAGCCTGATTTAGACAATATCTAATTCTTAATCTCACCAAATTATCAACTAAACAGATTTGAACACATAGTGGTACTAGATCCAGAGGACACTAGATTCTCAAACTAGTTAAAGAAGAAACTAACAAAATGAAAGGAATGGAGAGTGGGCATAAAAGGACACAGACCTGTTATCTAGCAGTATTCGCTTATATATATCTATAGCTTCTTGGTAGTGAGATCGCATATAGTGGATTGAGGCCAAACTGAGTTGATCTTCTGTGACATCCTGAAGATTTTGATGAAAGCTCATCAATTTTTTCTCATCATTAAACTAAAATTGTGAGAGTGGAAAAGACATGTAAAGATTCATATTAGTGTTGTTAGAGAAATCAATATCTATGTGATAGAGATTTTAACTCTTCCTTCTTTAGCCATTGTGTCTCTCTCTTCTTCCTATTTCCCTTAGGTTCTTTGTCTTCTACTTCATTTCTCCTGCAAAGAAACAATGGAAATAGCCTCTGGAGGCATAGCTTGACAACGACAATGGAAAGCCCTTAGGTTACAGTTAATACTATTTGACCCTTCCCCTTATCTTTTCTTTTTCTTTATATTTTCTCCCTTTCCTTTTCTTTTTCTGTCTACTCTCTTTACTATTACCTGGTAACATTTTTAATCTGTTCTTTCTTTCTTCTTTTTTTTTTTTTTTTTTGAAACGGAGTCTTGCCCTGTCCCCCAGGCTGGAGTGCAATGGCACGATCTCGGCTCACTGCAACCTCTGCCTCCCAGGTTCAAGCAATTCTCCAGCCTCAGCCTCCCAAGTTCCTGGGATTACAGGCGCATGCCACCACGCCCGGCTAATTTTTTGTATCTTTGGTAGAGATGGGGTTTCACCATGTTGGCCAGGCTGGTCTTGAACTCCTGACGTCGTGATCCGCCCACCTCAGCCTCCCAAAGTGCTGGGATTACAGGTGTGAACCACTGTGCCCAGCCAATCTGTTCTTTCATATCTCGTTCTTCTTGGTAGACAATAGGGAATCAAAATGTATTTCTCATCATGTAACCTAGTGTATTCAATTTTTAATTTCCTGCTCTACATTTTTTCATCCTTTCTTCAGTTACTATATATTGTTGTTGTTTGAGATTGTCAGAATTCTATTCCAACCTTGTAATGCTTATTTTGTTAGATGGCTGCCGCAAATATTAGCTGCCTTTTGCTTATATATGGGGCAGAACAGATATATTTTTGACAGTGACCCTTAATATGTAGATTGCTCACTCCTGCCTGTTACAGAGAATGACTTATTAGCTTAAAAATTTTGTAAAGAATTGTCTTCTGTAGACTATCTAGTTACATGGAAAAATGTTCATGATACATTTTTAAGTGAAAAGCCTGGTTATAAAACAGAATATATACTATGATACAAATTTGGCAATATAAATATACACATATATACACATATAAAAATACAAATTTTTTAAAGACTGGAAGAAAAGAGAGTAAAATATTACAGTGTTAGCTCTAAGTGGCAGTCTTACAGGAAATCTTGATTTTTGTGTGTATGCAATTTGCTATTTTCTAAAAGTACTATGATGAACATGTATTATTTTTGTAATCAGAAGAAAAACACAATAAAATATATTTCTTTAAATTCAATCAAAGACTTTCACTACTAATAATATTAGAGTAGCTTGTAGTATGCAGTGCTCCCACCAAGAACATCTAGAAAATCTTAAAAACTACTGAAAAATCTGTGTAAAAGGGGCAGGGGCAGTGGCTCACGCCTATAATCCCAGCACTTTGAGAGGCTGAGGTGAGCAGATCACTTGAGCTCAGGAGTTTGAGACCAGCCTGGGCAACATGGTAATACCCTGTCTCTACAAAAATTGGCTGGGCATGGCAGTGCACACTTGTAATCTCAGCTACTTGGGAGGCTGAGGCACAAGGATTGCTCAAGCCTGGGAGGCAGAGGTTACAGTGAGCTGAGATGGCGCCATTGCACTCCAGCCTGGGTGACGGGGAGTGATATCCTGTCTCAAAAAAACAAACAAAAAAAATCTACGTGAAGGGTTCAGAGAGCTACCAAGTGAGTGAAGACTTGAGATACCAAGATCCCAAGCAGAACAGAAGTGCAAAGAGGTGATTCTGATATTTAGTACCATTTTTTTCTCTAATGGTACCTATCAATTCTCAATTGGTGGCTGAGTTGCTGAAAACTAAGCGAGCTTCAAGAAGTCTTATGGGCTTAATGGACAAAAAAATAGAGATTGGGGCCCACCAAGCTATCAGTTGGGACCCCTGGAAAGCTACCCTAGAAACAGAGGTAAAATGGAAATAGACCAGCTTTAAATTGTTGCAATCTCTGACAGGTATCAGTTGATTTGCCCCTTTTCTATGTGCCTGCCAGAAGTAAAAGTAAATTCTAAATCCTCTCTGGAAGAAGACAAAAGCATCCAGAGACTCGAATTATCTCTCTATATTTTAATATACAATAGCCAGCATTAAACACAATATTGCCAAGCAAACCAGGAGATAAGAACATTTGACTGAAAACCAGGAAACAGCTGTCCAGAGATACACTATTGGAATTACTAGACATGGACTTTAAAAATAACTTATTATCAATATATTTAAGAAATTAAATTAAAAATTAGGAAATTTTAACTGGAAATTAGAAATTTAAAAAGTAATAAAATGTAAATTCTAAAAATAAATACAATAACTGAAATTAAGAACGAAATAGATAAATGGAATAGCTGGTTAGACACAGCTGAAGAATGATGATTAGTAAAATAAATTTCTGTGGAAATATACAGAAAATGTGACAAAGTGTTTACATGCGATACAAACAAAAGGTCTACATACATACATACATACATATTACTGGGAGCCTAGAAGGAAAGAAGAGAGTATAGAGCAGAAGCAAAATTTGAAGTAACAATGACCAAGGATTCTTTTAATTAAAAAAAGAAAAGACCTCGAGCAAGCACTATGAACCTGATGTAGTGTAATACAAAGAAAACCATATCTGGGAATATTATAGGAAAAGTGCTAATAACAAAAACCAATGTATAAATCTTAAACATGATCAGAAAAAAAATCTTCATAGGAGCAACAATTAGACTGATGGCTAACATCTCAGTAGAGACAAGGACCTAGGAAGCAATAAAGCAACATCTTCAAAATGCTAAGCAAAAATAATTACCTACCTAGAACTCTACACTGAGAAAAAAATCCTTTAAAAAACCATAGTCAAATAAAAATATGTTTAGACAAAAACTGAGAGAATTCATCACCACTAAAGGAAATATTAAAGGAAATTCCTCAAATGGAAAATGATTTCAGATAGGAGCACAAACATGCAAGAAGAAATGAAGAGCAATGGAAAGGAAAAATATGGCTAATTATAAATGAATATTAACTGCATAAAACAGTAATAAAACAGTCTTATGGGATTAGAAACATATAGACACTTAAAATATTTTTCAAATTTGCACATAAGATGGAGAGTAAATGAGTTTAAATGATCTAAGGTCCTTTAATTTTTCTAGAAATTGGTAAAAGTACTAATCAATATCAAACTTTTTAATATGCAAAATACACATGATATGGTAACTGCTAAAATAATATTCCCAATGTACATAACTAGCAAGCAAATCGAGGATAAATATATAGTTTTAAAAATCAATCCAAAAAAAGGCAAGAAAGGAGAGAAAAAGGAACACAGACCACATGGACCAGCTGGGCAAATAGAGAACTAATAACAGGATGGCAGTTATGAAGCTAACTGTATTTGTAAATACATTAAGTAAATGGATTATATACTAGAGGTTTTTTTTTAATAAAGATTTTAACTGGATTTTAAAACCCACAAAACTCATTTATATGCTGTTTATAAGAGTCACCTTAAATTTAAGGACATAGAAAGGTAGAAAGTAAAAGGATAGATGAGAGATATAATAGGCAAATGCTACCCAAAAGAGCTAGTATAGCTCACAAATATGACAAAGAGAAATTTTTCAGAGATGAGAGATATTTCATGATAATATATGTTTCAGTCTACTAGGAAGACATTATTGCTAGGCAGTCTACTAGCAATTCTAAGTTTGTGTGCACTTAATGACAGAGTCTGAAAAACATGTAAAGCAGAACTAAAAAGAGAAAGAGACAAAGTGACAATTATGATGTGGAATTTCTAAATGTACCAGAAATAATTATTTTCATATAATGCCTGTGGATGATTAAACTTTCTGTAAAACAACTTAGCAATATCAATTAAAAGCTTTAAAGTTGCTCATACCCAGTAGGTATGTCCATTTCTAGGATGTTCAGAATGACATTTTTATAAATTTTTAAAATTATAAATAATCTGAAGTCAAATAACTAAGAAACACTGAATAAATAATGGCACATATGATGCATTTGGTGGAATGCTATAAAACAATTTTTTAAATAAATTAAACAATTATTTAAAATTTTAAATTTGAAAAATTATTTAAAAAATAATTTTATCATTATCAAAATTATTACCATACAGCAATTCTGAAAAGTGTATATTTATTTCTAGGAGTCAGGACAAGGTGACTCTGAGTCTGTTTCCTAACAGATAATAGTATAGTTGACACAAACTAAACTTCTTTTTTTTTGAGACACAGTCTCGTGCTGTCGCCCAGGCTGGAGTGCAGTGGCACGATCTCGGCTCACTGCAACCCCCGCCTCCTGGGTTCAAGTGATTCTCCTCCCTCAGCCTCCTCAGTAGCTGGGATTAAAGGGGTGTGCCACCAAGCCCAGCTAATTTTTTTTGTATTTTAGTAGACACATGGTTTCACCATGTTGGCCAAGCTGGTCTCCAACTCCTGACTTCAGATGATCCGCCCGCTTCAGCCTCCCAAAGTGCTGGGATTACAGGCGTGAGCTATCATGCCAGTCTAAACTTCTTATATGACTGTTGCTTAAGGAGAAATAAAACCTAACATCTCTGAATAAATGCAGTAGGTAAAGAACATTGATAGAGGAGAAAATCCTATACAATTAACAGTTATATTCCACTTGTTCTAGAAAACCATTAACAAGAATTTCTAATTAAATATCTCTCACTAGTGTTAGTAACAAGAAGGAAGAAAAATAAAAATATTTTTAAAACAAAAAAATGTGAAATGAGAACATAAATACCTTGTGAGCCAAGTGGAAGAGGAGGCGGTTTTGGAGTCGGCTTTTTGAAGCTGAAAAAAAAATCCAAGCTGCTTATTAAAGAACTCAACAGTCTAGCAGTCCCTTGTAGGAATGAAATGAGACTCGGATGAATCTTCCCAAACCTTACTCATCTGATCCTAATATGTCTCTGCTAGAATACATATTGTTTGAGTCTGGTGTCCACCTGCAGTAGCAGAAACAGCATCAAGAACTAGAAGAGAAAGGTGCTAAGATTCTGTTCTTCTCCACTGCTTGTTCTACCTGATCCTATTATGGTGATCCACCATGCAACACTCCACACACATGGTTGTAGTAGCAGCCCACCTCTGTGTTGTTCATATACCAAACCAAACAGTGGTAAGAGACACCCATGGTCATCTCAATGTGTGTATGAATCTGCTCTCATTCACCTCTTAGTCCCAGTATTCTTTGTTAATTCCTTCTGATATCTCCTTTTCCACAATTATACTGCCATATTTTCCTAAATACTAGCCCAGCCTCTATTCCACAGATTTTCTAGCATAATTATGTGCCATCCTGAAACAGGCAGTCCAGCAAAAATGTTAACAGCTTTTAAGTTCCAAATCTCCTTTGCACTCTTGGAAAACTTTCTGATTCTGGATACCCAATTCTATCTCTTTTACAGAAAAAGTCATACTTCAATGTATAAGAAAAAAAATATGGAAATAGAGATAGCTACCACAATCACCTTATATGTGTCTAACACTGTTCTTAGCACAGATAAAGCCTACAAATATGAGATAAAGTAAGTAACATAAAGGACCTTATAACTAAATTAGGAAAAACTACATTAGTACCTATGAAATAATTTGGGTACAAATCAAGAAAGGCTTTGCTGGGCATGGTGGTGGGCGTGGCTGTAGCCTCAGCTACTCAGGAGGCTGGGGCTGGAGGATGGCTTGAACCCAGGAGTTTGAAGCTATAGCATACGATGCTCACACCTATGAATAGCCACTGTACTCCAGCTTGGACAACACAGTGAGACCCTGTCTTTTTTTTTTTTTTTTCAGAGTCTTGTTCTGTCGCCCAGGTTGGAGTGCAGTGGCGCAATCTCGGCTCACTGCAAGCTCCGCCTCCCGCGTTCACACCATTCTCCTGCCTCAGCCTCCCGAGTAGCTGGGACTACAGGCGCCCGCCACCACGCCTGGCTAATTTTTTTGTATTTTTAGTAGAGACGGGGTTTCACCATGTTAGCCAGGATGGTCTCGATCTCCTGACCTCGTGATCCGCCCACCTCGGCCTCCCAAAGTGCTGGGATTACAGGCATGAGCCACTGCACCCGGCTGACCCTGTCTTTTAAAAAAAAAAAAAAGTCTTCAAGTTCCATGTTTGCCATGAATTTGGGCTGAAATTCTTTATATGTATAAATTAATTTTACCTCAAATACATTCTTCCCTATCAAACATTACAGTGCCCACTTTCTCTGCATTTCCTTGAACTTAATTTGGTTCATACTTTAATTAACTTTTTTTTTTTTTTTTTTTTTTTGAGGTGGAGTTTCACTCTTGTTGCCCAGGCTGGAGTGCAATGGCGCGATCTGGGCTCACTGCAACCTCCGCCTCCCGGGTTCAAGTGATTCTCCTGCCTCAGCCTCCCAAGTAGCTGGGATTACAGGCATGCACCACCTTCTGTATTTTTGTATTTTTAGTAGAGATGGGGTTTCTCCATGTTGGTCAGGCAGGTCTCGAACTCCTGACCTCAGGTGATCTGCCCACCTTGGCCTCCCAAAGTGCTGGGATTACAGGCGTGAGCCACCGCACCCAGCCATCTTTAACTTTTTCTACCATGTTTCCCTTTTATTCTTAAATTTGAGTACAATCGCCCTGAGATGAATATCATATGTAAGAAAGCAGAAGGGATGATTTCTGGATTCTTCAAACTGAAATTGCTGGGTTTCTCACTTAGAAACAGGAAAAGCAGCGATAAAGTCCACAGCCATAAGAGCCTGAATAAAACTATACCTAAATACCACCAACAGCATGCCCATCCTCCCGTGATAGGGCCTAAGAAAGACACCTGGCCCTTTTTCTTCTTTTGTCCTTCTGCTTTTTGGCTGTAGCCTGGTGGGGTGTAGCACTAACTCTCTCTTTAAACATAGTTACTCAAATCCAATATTCTTTGAGGACTAAAGCTATTTTTTTAGCTTTCTAATATCAATTTTTTTTTTCTCAAGAGAAAAAGGAATACAATTAAGTTTTAAAATCTTCAAAACAACTCTTAACTATGAATGAAGAATATCAGATATAAGAGCCCCTTTACCTTTAAATCCAGCTGCTTCAGCTTGTTTATACATCCCAAGAAAGAAGTAGGTGCAAGCTAGGTTCACCCAGACTTCAGAATTACAATTTTCCTCTTTTGTAGCATTTTCGTATTCCTGAAATATATAGTAAGCAGTGATCTCATTTTGGCAGCAAAGCAATTGATGGGCCATTCTTCCACAATGGAATAGGATTTCATACTGAGATTAAGCAACTTCACATTTAGGGAATCCTACATGCTCTGCAATTACTCTATTCTGAAAAGGTTAAATACTGAAGCTAAAGCTCAGTCCTACATCTGCAGGACTATTGTCCATATAATCTTATACTTGTGGTTTTTGTCCCCCAGTTAATACTGATAGGGACTAACAAACAATAGAAACAAAAAGTAACTGAACTATTTTATTTCTGCTAACTTAAAAAGACATACAAGATACCCTTTAAGAAATTCACACGTTCAGTTAACTTAAAATCTGATGGCTTTAATACACTCCAAGTTTCATTTCATTCTAATTGTTTTCTGGCTTTTTTGGCATTGAGGGAGCCTTCAGATTTTTTAAATGTTTTGTTTTTCCTGCCAAGGACACTTTCTAAGACTCACTTTGTTAACGACATTTTCCATACACTCTCACTTTTTATCAGTCTTTCCCAGGTGTCTTTATTTCATTTTCTTACTACAAGTGGGTTGTTCTTTCTATCCTCCTATGCCTTTTACGAATACTAGCATCCTCTATTCTGTCCTTTTCACACCTTCCCTTTTCCTTCACCAACTTTGTTCCTTTGTTCTTCATCTCGCCTCCTCATTAACTGTCCTTGAATATTTTCATTTTAGTTATGAACGTTCTTCAAATTTGCTTAGATTACATCTTGGGAATGAGAATATGTAGGAAATGTGGCTGGGCGCAGTGGCTCACGCCTGTAATCCCAGCACTTTGGGAGGCCGAGGCGGGCGGATCACAAGGTCAGGAGATCGAGACCATCCTGGCCAACATGGTGAAACCCCATCTCTACTAAAACACACAAAAAAATTAGCCGGGCATGGTGGCGCATGTCTGTAGTCCCAGCTACTCAGGAGGCTGAGGCAGGGGAATTGCTTGAACCCGGGAGGCGGAGGTTGCAGTGAGCCGAGATCGTGCCACTGCATTCCAGCCTGGGTGACAGAGCAAGACTCCGTATCAAAAAAAAAAAAAAAAAGTAAATCCATAATCCCATTGATTAATTATTGTAGATGGGTAGGGTTTACAATGACCAAGAAAAACAATTTCCCCAAAACAATTCTACTTGTAAAAATATAAATATAATTGTTCCTTTGTCTAAAAATAACCAAGCAAAGGAAAAGTGAAATTCTCTTGAGAGAAGACTCATGAAAGTTTTTATCAAAATGGCTTAATTTTCCTGTTCTGAAGATTGACTTAATAAATGCTAACACCAATATGTTGTACAATCTCATTGGTATGCATGTAAAAGTAAAACGTACACAAGATACATGTACATATACAGTAGCCCTCCTTTATCCACAGGGGATATGTTTAAAGATCCCTAGTAGATGCCTGAAATCTTGGATAGTACTGAATCCTATATATATTATGTTTTTTTCCTATACTTACACACCTATGATAAAGTTTAATTTATAAGTTAGGCACAATAAGAGATTAACACCAATAATGGATAACAGAACTATAACACTATATGGTAATAAAAGTTATGAGGATGTGGTCTCTTTTGCTCTGTCTCTCTGAAAATATCTTATTATACTGTACTCACCTATTTTTAGACTGAGATTGACCTTGGGTAACTCAGATTGACCTCGGGAAGCAAAATCATAGACAAGGGGGAACTACTGTAATGGGACATATTAACATTAGACGATTACTGAAGCCATAAATTTTTAAAAAGTCACTGGTTACCTTCATTAACAAGTATAATTGAAGAATGCAAATAGGTAACTTCTCTTTGTTTCCTTCTGCATTGTTTGAATTTTACCATGAATATGTATTATTATAATATAAAGTTTAATAACATTTTAAACACAGTTCTGTTAGGAAAAAAACTTTTTTTACACTAACCTCCAGAGCTCTCTTGTAGTCACCCAGGTGAAAGGCACAATATCCAATCCACAAATTAGTATCCTCTTCTTCTTCCCCAACATGACGTTTGAACTTCAGGTTAAAAATGTATTTAAAAAACATGAAAATTTTGAATAGTAAACTCTCTGTTTAAAAAAAAATGCTACGTTGGGTTACTGACAACAGGCAATCTAAGTATTAGAAGCATGACAATATGAGGTTTAATTAAACCTATACCTACAGGACAAGTATCTTCTAATTGTCACAGAAATTTATATTTTCAAGTATTTCATATTTGGCTTTCTGTATTTACTGATATTATACTCCAGAAAGTATTTGAGTTGCCTAACAATTCTGGGTGATATATAAGGAAGAGAATTATGTAAAATATTTAGAGCCAAATAACTGAAGGTTAGAGAGGCTGAACCATGAACTCAAGGCCACACGGCCAGTATGTGTGCTGGCAGGGACTTAAAGAAATGCCTGACTCCAAAGCCCGTGTTGTCACCCTCCGTGCTCTACTGCATTTAACTTCCCACTTGAGTCCTGTTGCATTAACACACGCATATATTTACTAATAGGTTGTAACCTTTCACTGAGAATCTTTCTATTACCCTTGAGCAGGCTAGCTTACCAGGCCTACAAGAGTTAAGGATGTTCAGAAGACTTGGCCTCACTTATGTCCATTGTGAACAAATATTTATGAATTCCTCAGCCAACAAAAGAAAAGCCTTATTTTGGAGGAAAAGACTGAGACCTTGACAGAGAATTCTGAATTTCCGTGGTAAGATAAGATTTTTTTTTTCACTCTACAGGGTGATAAATCAAATAGTGAGCCAACACATATTTATGGAGCATCACTATAGAATTTCAGGTGCCTCAGTCATTACAAGATGAAGACATCCCTTTGATATTTTCTTGTCTGGGCTAAGAATTTACTCCTGTAGCTAACTCTACAACATTAGAAATCCTCCTCATACCAAATGCTATGAATTTGAGTATCATGCCTTAATTCTAGAGAAATTCTCATGTGAGGTCTCCCTGAATTCCCTGGAGCTACAGGAAAGCACATGAGACTTCCTTCCCCAAACCATAGCAGTTTCCATTCCCATGCAGCAGGGTACTCCAACTAACAACCTAAGAATGTGAGCAAAGAGCAGAGCCTCCCTGCCAACTTAAAGGCAGTCTGGCCCTGTAATCCCAGCATTTTGGGAGGCCAGAAGCAGGAGGATCCCTTGAGCCCAGGAGTTCAAGACCAGCCTGGGCAACATGGTGAGACCCCTGTCTCCACACACACACACAAATAGCCAATCAAACGAAAATTAGCCAGGTATAGTGGCACGTGCCTGTAGTCTCAGCTACTTGGGAGGCTGAGGTGGGAGACTCGTGTGAGCCCTGGGAGGTTGAGGCTGCAGTGAGCCACCATCACGCCACTGCATTCCAGGCTGGGTGACAGAATGAGACCCTGTCTCAAAAATAAAATAAAATAAAGGCAACCTGGTGTTATGCAACAAGGAAAATGTGGTCATTGTCTTAGAGAAAAAAGAGGAAAACAGACTGATGAAAATAGATATATACATAGCACTCAGTCCACTGATTCACAGAACTAGAAGGTTCTTCCATGCCAACTCCCCCACTGTAAAGATGAGAAAGCTGATGCCCAAAAAGCTAAAAAACACGCTCAACACCAGAGTACTTAGTAAGAAGGCAAACTAGGCCGGGCGCGGTGGCCCACACCTGTAATCCCAGCACTTTGGGAGGCCGAGGCAGGTGGATCACCTGAGGCCAGGAGTTGGAGACCAGCCTGGCCAACATGGTGAAACCCCATCTCTACTAAAAATACAAAATATTAGCCAGGTATGGTGGCAGGCACTTCTAATCCCAGCTACTCAGGAGGCTGAGGCAGGAGAATTGCTTGAACCAGGGAGGTGCAGGTTGCAGTGAGCTGAGATTGCGCCATTGCACTCTAGCCTGGGTGACAAGAGTGAAACTCCAACTCAAAAAAAGAAAAAAGAAAAAAAAAAGAAAGTGAACTATTTGTGGAAGATGGAGAAATATATGTAAACCTAATTATAACAATTATTAAGGGTAGATTCAGAGTAATATGGACAGAGTAGCATTTTAAGAGAAATGAGTGTGGTACAACACAACCAGACCATGCTGTCAGAACTCTTCATTCTTTGGTGCAACCCTTCACCCTCCTATAACATGTGTTTCCCACAAAGCAGTTTTTTAAAGCACAGTCTCCTGGGACCATCTCCATCAGAAGCACTTAGACTACTCACCTTAAAATGCAGATTCCTGAGCACCTCTGCAGACTTACAGCAGGAGCCCAGGAATCGATATCTTATTAAGTACCCTAGGTAATTCCAATGTATATTAAAAGGTGAGAACTACTGCCATGGAGATTTGAAATATTTTCTGGGGCTATATTTTCAACCGTAAGCATGTTAGAATTATTTAAGTTTGATCAAAATTTTAGAACACATAATAGGAAAAAATCATACATTGGTCAAGGGTTGGGATAAGCAATGTGTGAAATGACATTGTATAAAAGGTCCCTTCATATTTTTAGATTGTAATCACTGTTGGTGAACTAGACATACTCAAAAGTGGCCCTCAAGAAATAAGTTTTGTTTTGTTTTTTTTTTTTTTTTTTTTTGAGACGGAGTCTCGCCTTGTAGCCAGGCTGGAGTGCAGTGGCATGATCTTGGCTCACTGCAACCTCCGCCTCCCGGGTTCAAGCGATTCTCCAGCCTCAGCCTCCCGAGTAGCTGGGACTACAGACACGTGCCACCATGCCCAGCTAATTTTTGTATTTTCAATAGAGACGGGGTTTCACCATGTTGGCCAGGATGGTCTCGATCTCTTGACCTTGTGATCTGCCCGTCTCGGCCTCCCGAAGTGCTGGAATTACAGGCATGAGCCACCGCGCCCGGCCAAGTTTAGTTTTTTAGTTCGTTTTTTATCAGGTTTATAGCTAACTTGGAATCTGGAATCTGTGCCTGACTAGATTTACAGGGGATTTGTACAGGAAGCCCCAGAATGCACCCACCTATTTCAAGAGCATAGCAAACAGCATTCACCCAAGCATTCATCTACAGTCTGGTATTCATACACTAAGAAGCAACGTTCTTTGGGCATTACCTCCAACAGGGTAATAGCTCCAGTGAAATCTCTTTTTGAAAGTAGCTCCTCTAGTTTTGGAATCTTCCTACCTTTCTTCTTTCTTTTGTCAGTGTGCTGTACGCCTCTGCCTACAGCAGGTTTGGCCCTTGAAAGCATCTGTAAAAGAAACAAAGACAGCTGTATGGTCCAATTCTGATTATCAGATTTAAACTGAGAGTGACAGCTCTGTAATTTATAAGTCAAGGCCGGGCACAGTGGCTCATGCCTGTAATCCCAGCACTTTGAGAGGCGAAGGCGGCGGATCACGAGGTCAGGAGTTGGAGACCAGCCTGGTCAATATGGTGACACCGCATCTCTACTAAAAATACAAAAATTAGCCGGGCGTGGTGGCATGCGCCTGTAGTCCCAGCTACTCGGGAGGCTGAGGCAGAAGAAACGCTTGAACCTAGAGGCAGAGGTTGCAGTGAGCCAAGATCGCGCCACTGCACTCCAACCTGGGCGACAAAGCGAGCCTCCATCTCAAAAAAAAAAAAAAAATTATAAGTCAAATCCTTAACAACGAACCCCAGGGAAGCCTATTCAAACTCGTTTTGTAACAGGTATTCTACTAGAAGAGCCATCAGCCAATACTTAGGAAGGACCAAACAGCTACTCCCAACTTTTATCTTCTCTGGCTAGAGATGCTTTCGCATTGCTTCTGTCATCTCAGCTTTCCCTTCCTCTGCTTCCCATCCCACGAGTGGTTTAAATGTGAGTAAACGGAAAAGCAGGAGGGAAGAAAGCACCGAGGTATTTACAGTTGCATCCCTGTCCCCCGTGGGAACACAGGGAGAGCTGGGGATTACTCTCTGCGGACACACCTAGACTTCACACAGAAGTGTGCTGGGAACCTCTAATCGCCAGCCTCAGGACCTACTCAAAGTACTCCCTTACTATTCAGAGCCACTAACCATCTTGACGTCGGTCTTGTGAGTCCCCACCACACAGCGAAGGCCGCGCCTCAGCGTTTCGCCGCATCCACACAGCACGTTCTGTCTCCACGGTAACCCCGCCTGGACGCTGGTACGAACGGGAGAAAAGCTCGTTGGAGAACCAGCGCCCGCGGCTTCTTGGTTCCGTGCAGCTTCTGCCGCGGAAGAGCCGAGGTTCCTCTTGGGAGGAGAGCGTCGTTCTCTGGGCTGAGAGCGAAAGTTTGGTTGTCTCTATTTATGAGTTTACTTTAGGAAAAGGCGAATTGGAATGGCATTGTTTTTCAAATGCAAGTTTTCTGGGAAAGAAATTTTCAGGGACCACTTCTGTTTGGGGCCGTGTTGGACTCCATAGCAACCCTTGACTATGTGCACCGCAGAATCTTGGTCTCTGGCTGGTGCGGGAAGCTTAGAAAATTTCTGCTGAAGGAGTTGTAGTTCTGTGATTTGGAAGCAGGAGTGCACCAAAATACAGTTTCCTATTTCCACAGATACACCTACACACAATAGAGAACTGTAATAAATATTTGTCGATTGGATGACTTAATTTATCTATCTTACTCCTGAACCCAGTTAATACAGGGGCAACCACAGTCTTTAAATTCACGAAATCGTGGAATGTTAGAGTTGGAAGGGACCTTACAGGACCTCTGGTCAACCCCTCAGAATTAACAGACTGAAGAACTAACATCTTGTTAGTTAACTAATGTCAGCCTAAAATAACCAAAAAGCTCAGGGATCCAGTTGAAAGAGTTTATTCAAGTGCAAAGTGTGAGGGCGGCTATCCCGGGAACCACTGACAGCAAAGAATGGTGATCAGTGCTCCCTGATGCAGGGAAAGGTGAGGGTCATTTATATCACCAAAAACAGGAGTGCTGTACGTAATTACAGCATTTTCTAGATGAGGCTAACGTACACAGAAGATTCAATTCACTACTATTGATTACACTGTAAGGGGGTTGTTTAATATTCTATTGTAAAGAGGTAACAATCACAAGGGTCTCTATCTCCAACGTCATTTAGTCTGAATAAAGAATAAAAAATCTGGTTAATATATAACATCAACACAAAGATCAGGAAGCAACAGTCATGCACCAGAGAAGAAAAACAGCCATGTTCTGTGATTTAGTTTACAGGGCTTAACTTTTCCCCTTGGCATAGTACGTTTGGAAAGTGCTGAAATTTTCTTTTCACATTTTCCCCTTTTCTTCAAAAGCTTTCAGAGAAAGCATTATAGAAGAATTATATTCTCAGGCCGTGTATTTGATCAAACCTCATGTCACTAGGAAGGCCCCTTCCTGGCAGTCACATCCCAGGGAGGAGGGGAAATTGGAAAGGACCAAGTCCGAATTATAAAGCAACAAGAGAAAGTAGTTCTGGAACCTGATTCAGGCTACACGGCTGCCTCTTCAATCAAACAATTCTCTGAGTAGTCTTTGTTCTACACATTTTCTCAGCTGTGTGTTGACCCAATTGCAGATAAATACCATAACAGCTCTGCAGACAAAGGCAAGACAAAACACAAACTATGATAATTCCTAAAATACATAACAGCTTTTGCCACCAAGTTCCCCAAGATCCAAATCAATTACTTAACCAGTAGCTTAGAGAGGGTTTTGGATCCGAAAGGTTAATTATTAGAGTTTTTCAAATCAGTTATTAATTTGGTGACGTTATTTGATTCATCTGGGATATAAACACAGCATTCAGTTTCTGTCATAGCACAGATTCCTCCTTGGGCTGCAGTGAGTATGTCTAAGACCATACAGTTTTGTAATACAGTCTTCTCATGACAGTAACTTCATTATTTAATAATGAGACATTCATGTGGCTGTTATTTAGGGCCTTTTGTGTGTAATTGGTTAGGGCCTGTACATGGCAAATGACATCTTCAATACACAGTTGTGGTACAAAGACAGAAGTGAATCTAAGTGGCTTCTGGAAGGTAAGCACTTTCTATTTCTTCTGTTAAAGACACTATTGCGTAAACCTTTACAGTAAGTTCCAGATTCATCCTTTAAATAACATGCGTCTGTAAACCAAACAACATTAGCCTAAGTAAGAAAAGTCTCTTGCAGATCAGTCCTAGGAGAAAACAAGTTTATCAGTTAGAGTTATGCAATTGTGTGGTGTTTCATCTGAAAGTGAAGGAAGAAGAGTTGCAATATTTAGCTTGTTACATCTAGAGATGGTGACATGAGAAGCTAAAAGAAGTGAAACTTTCTATGAAGTTAGTCTACTCATTGAATAACGTTGAGTGTGGTTCAAGTTTAGCAATGCTTCCACAGAATGAGGGATGAAAACAGTAAGGGGAGTTTTAAACAATTTCTTTTCTCTCAGAGTGTAAGGAGAAAAGGAAAGGCCCCTTTAAGTTCCATGGAGCACCCCCATTCTTTATTATCTGACTCCACCTGTTGTTCTTTCCTTTTTAGTTTTTGGCAGTTCGTTTTAATGTGATCAGGCTTTTTGCATTAATTGAAAGTGTATGGTTAAGTCTATTTGCGGATTTATAAGGATATCTTGAAGGTCCAAATTGTGTGGACATTTGTTTCGACTGTAAAATCATAATTTTATTAGCCTTGCTCTTTTGTTTGGCCTCCTTCTCAGATTTGTCTTCAGTTATGAGACAACTGGGCAGCAAGACTGACCAAATTATGATTTTGAGAAGTGGCCCAGCGAGGGTTTTGTCTTTTCATTATTAGTGCTAATTCTTCATCTAACCTATTTATAAAACTGGAGTTGAGAAGAATATCATTTTGATTATTAGCTTAGCTTTCTTCAGATAAACCCGAATATTGTTTAAGTTTACTCACACCTCTCAAAATATGATATTACTGACTCATCTGGATTTTGTTGACCTTGTTGTATTTTACTACAGTCAACTACTCTTAGAAACAGTGAGGAGTGGCTTGAAGCAATGCCTTTGCAGTTTTGTGTGTCTGCCTACAGTCCTGAGCATTTATGAAAGTCTTCTAAGAGATTTCTATAATGGGCCTTGTCTGTCTAATCTTTTTTTTTTTCTTTATACTTTAAGTTCTAGGGTACATGTGCACAACGTGCAGGTTTGTTACATATATATACATGCGCCATGTTGGTGTGCTGCACCCATTAACTCATCATTTACATTAGGTATATCTCCTAATGCTATCCCTCCCCCCTCCCCCCACCCCATGACAGGCCCCAGTGTGTGATGTTCCCCTTCCTGTGTCCAAGTGTTCTCATTGTGTCATAGCGTTCTCACTGTGTCATAGTGTTCAGTTCCCACCTATGAGTGAGAACATGCAGTGTTTGGTTTTTTGTCCTTGCGATAGTTTGCTGATAATGCTGGTTTCCAGATTCATCCATGTCCCTACAAAGGACATGAACTCATCCTTTTTTATGGCTGCATTGTATTCCATGGTATATATGTGCCACATTTTCTTAAACCAGTCTATCATTGATGGACATTTGGGTTGGTTCCAAGTCTTTGCTATTGTGAATAGTGCCACAATAAACATACGTGTGCATGTGTCTTTATAGTAGCATGATTTATAATCCTTTGGGTACATACCCAGTAATGAGATGGCTGGGTCAAATGGTATTTCTAGTTCTAGATCCTTGAGGAATCGTCACACTGTCTTCCACAATGGTTGAACTAGTTTACAGTCCCACCAACAGTGTAAAAGTGTTCCTATTTCTCCACATCCTCTCCAGCACCTGTTGTTTCCTGACTTTTTAATGATTGCCATTCTAACTGGTGTGAGATGGTATCTCATTGTGGTTTTGATTTGCATTTCTCTGATGGCCAGTGATGATGAGCATTTTTTTCATGTGTGTGTTGGCTGCATAAATGTCTTCTTTTGAGAAGTGTCTGTTCATATCGTTCGCCCACTTTTTGATGGGGTTGTTTGTTTTTTTCTTGTAAATTTGTTTGAGTTCTTTGTAGATTCTGGATATTAGCCCTTTGTCAGATGAGTAGATTGCAAAAATTTTCTCCCATTCTATAGGTTGCCTGTTCACTCTGATGGTAGTTTCTTTTGCTGTGTAGAAGCTCTTTAGTTTAATTAGATCCCATTTGTCAATTTTGGCTTTTGTTGCCATTGCTTTTGGTGTTTTAGACATGAAGTCCTTGCCCATGCCTGTGTCCTGAATGGTATTGCCTAGGTTTTCTTCTAGGGTTTTTATGGTTTTAGGTCTAACATTTAAGTCTTTAATCCATTTTGAATTAATTTTTGTATAAGGTGTAAGGAAGGGATCCAGTTTCAGCTTTCTACATATGGCTAGCCAGTTTTCCCAGCACCATTCATTAAATAGGGAATCCTTTCCCCATTTCTTGTTTTTGTCAGGTTTGTCAAAGATCAGATGGTTGTAGATGTGTGGTATTATTTCTGAGGGCTCTGTTCTGTTCCATTGGTCTATATCTCCGTTTTGGTACCAGTACCATCCTGTTTTGGTTACTGTAGCCTTGTGGTATAGTTTGAAGTCAGGTAGCATGATGCCTCCAGCTTTGTTCTTTTGGCTTAGGATTGTCTTGGCAATGCGGGCCCTTTTTTGGTTCCATATGAACTTTAAAATAGTTTTTTCCAATTCTGTGAAGAAAGTCATTGGTAGCTTGATGGGAATGGCATTGAATCTATAAATTACCTTGGGCAGTATGGCCATTTTCACGATATTGATTCTTCCTGTCCATGAGCATGGAATGTTCTTCCATTTGTTTGTGTCCTCTTTTATTTCGTTGAGCAGTGGTTTGTAGTTCTCCTTGAAGAGGTCCTTCGCATCCATTATAAGTTGGATTCCTAGGTATTTAATTCTCTTTGAAGCAATTGTGAATGGGAGTTCACTCATGATTTGGCTCTCTGTCTGCTATTGGTGTATAAGAATGCTTGTGATTTTTGCACATTGATTTTGTGTCCTGAGACTTTTCTGAAGTTGCTTATCAGCTTAAGGAGATTTTGGGTTGAGATGATGGGGTTTTCTAAATATACAATCATGTCATCTGCAAACAGGGACAATTTGTGTCTGTCTAATCTTTAGCTTTACTTTCTGATAGTCACATGTGAGTTAGTTGATATAAATCAGAATAACCAGGGCCATAAGCTCAGATATTTAATTCAAATTCCCTAGCAAAACAAATAGGATCCTGGTTAAGGTCGGGGAATTATTTAACTATGCCTTTAAGTTCTACCTTAGACCATGGTTGATAAACTAAAGCAGGTTTCCCTCTACCAGATGCTGGATGTTCATTAAATGAAGCCAAAAATGTGGGAGCAGGTGGAAGGGGAGGAGAGGGAAGAGAAGGTCAGTCTGGGCAAGGTAGTTGTGATAAGGAGGGATAGAGAGAAGGGGGAGCAGAAGGAGGAGAAGCAGCAGTTTCAGCAGCTTTTCTGAATAAAAGTTTTAGAGGCTTTTCATTCTCTTTCTATAGGAAAAGAACTCTGTCACAGCCTCTTTTGCATGCTTCTGGGTAGCATTGGAAATAACTCTCCAAATTATATTGTTTAATTCTGGAGCTGGCTTTTTCTAATTGTGCATGTGAGCAAACTAACTTAGGCATTTCACAAGTACCCTACTTTGGCCACTGTAATTCAGGGTCTTCTTGGGTCAAGTAAGACCATTTTTCCCAATACTGACAGGAGGTAGCAGGTGCGATGGCTCACACCTGTAATCTCAGCACTTTGGCAGGTTGAAGCAGGAGGATCACTTGAGCTCAGGAGTTTGAGATGAGCCTGGATGATGTAGTGAGACTGTCTCTATAAAAACTGAAAAAATTAGCCCAGCATGGGGGTGTGCCTGTGGTGCCAGCTACTCGGGAGGCTGAGGTGGGAGGATTGTTTGAGCCCCGGAGGTGGAGGTTGCAGTAAGCCGAGATCGTACTACTGCACTCCATCCTGGATGACAGAGTGAGACCCTGCCTCATAAAACATACAGACACACATACACACATATTTATGTATGTAGGTTGTTAGGTTGTGTGTATATATATACAGGAGGTGGCACTGTAAGTCTTGTACATAAATTTAGCTGGAGTTTCTAAAAGTGGGTCCTCCCTTAAAGAGGACTTTGTTTTAGATGAACAGTTGTCCATAATTTGTATCCTCTTTTAAATTGACCAAAGATTGAAAGGGAAAGACGTTTTGGGTCTAGTGTGCTGCTTAATAGTTTTTACTCCTCAAGGTTTCACCCATGAGTCACCTCTCCCCTCTTATGTGTCCCAATGAAACCCAGAAATTTCTGGGGGTTTTAGGTACTGGGAGCCCAACCCCTTATGTGTGCCCACCGAGTTAAGCAGATTTCCCTGCATATTCTTCTTTGAGATTTCCCTAGAGCATAGTTACACATCCCAAGCTATGGACTCTGACATTCTTACATGACCTCAATCACCTAAGGTGCTTTTCTTCTGGGAGGAACAAGGTCTTTTGTATTTGGGACTTATGTCCTCATATGAACCCTGTTTATAAATTTTTGGTCACTCAAGAATTAAACTTAAATGTCAATTTTTACTGAGCTCCAAAACCTGGGTCACCAACCTGGGTCCAATCAATTTTTTTTTTTTTTTGAGTCATAGTCTCACTCAGTTACCCAGGCTGGAGCGCAGTGGCATGATCTGGGCCCACTGCAACCTCCATCTCCTGGGCTTAAGCAATTCTCCTGCCTCAGCCTCCCAAGTATCTAAGATTACAGGCACATGCCACCATGCCTGGCTAATTTTTGTGTTTTTAGTAGAGATGGGGTTTTGCCATGTTGGCCAGGCTGGTTTCAAACTCCTGGCTTCAAGTGATCCACTTGCCTCAGCCTCTCAAGTGCTGGGATTACAGGTGTGAGCCACTGGGCCTGGCCTAAAACCACAAATTTACCTAAAGCCACATACATTCACTTTCTCTTTTCAGAGAGAGAACCTATTTTGTCCTCTGACCAAATTCGAATGACCGAAAGGGCCATACAAAGTGTAGCAAGTAGTTCAACAAACAAACCTTAACCTCAAAGAAAAGTGAATGTCATAAATCTGTGAAAGACAAAATAAGCAAACAAAACTTCTATCTTAAAGTACAGCTTCAATTCCAGCTCTGTGGAGCATAGAACTGGATCGCTTGTGTAAAGTGTGAATCTCAGTCAAAGCCAGGGAGATTCAAAACCTGAGAGGAAGCCTTGCCAGAGCCCCCTGCCAGTTCCAATGAGGTGGGATGAGCAAAAGCCGCTCCTGTAGACACCAAAGCTCCGAATGTCAGCAAAGAGGCACAGATCTCAGGAGGCCCGCTTAGAGTCTCTGGATCATCAAAATGTCAATCTAATATAATCAAACAGCTCAGGATCCAGTTAAAAGAGTTTATTCAAGTGCAAAGTGTGAGAGTGGCCATCAGGTAAACACAGACACCAAAGAAAGAATGGTGATCAGTGCTCCGCGATGTAGGGAAAGGTGAAGGTGGTATATGTAGGCAACCACAAGTGTGTTGCACAGAATTACAGCATATTACAGCATTTTCTTTTCTTTTCTTTCTTTCTTTTTTTTTTTTTTGAGACGGAGTCTGGCTCTGTCGCCCAGGCTGGAGTGCAGTGGCACCATCTCGGCTCACTGCAAGCTCCACCTCCGGGTTTCACGCCATTCTCCTGCCTCAGCTTCCCAAGTAGCTGGGACTACAGGTGCCTGCCTGGCTAATTTGTGTGTGTGTGTGTGTGTGTGTGTGTGTGTGTGTGTGTGTGTGTGTGTGTTTAGTAGAGACGGGGTTTCACTGTGTTAGCCAGGATGGTCTCGATCTCCTGACCTCGTGATGCACCTGCCTCGGCCTCCTAAAGTGCTGGGATTACAGGCGTGAGCCACCGCGCCCGGCCAGCATTTTCTATATAAGGCTAATATACACAGAAGATTTAATTCACTACTGTTGTTTACACTCTAAGGGGGTTGTTTAACATTTTGTTGTAAAGAGGTAACAATCACAAGAGTCTCCGTCTCCAACGTCATTTAGTCTAGGTTTGAATAAAGAATAGAGAGGCTGGTTAATGTATAACATCAACAAAAAGATCAGGAAGCAACAGTCATGCACCAGAGAAGAAAAACAGCCGTGTTACATGACTTGGTTTCCAGGGCTTGACTTTTCCCTTTGGCATAATAAATTTGGAAGGTCCTGAAATTTTCTTTCTTTTTTTTTTTTCACAGTAACAAGTTGGGCAAAATGAGGTAATTCTCCTGAGCGAATTTAAGTAATTGTGCATTGTTGAGTTACATTACATACCCTCCTGAATAACTAGCCTATGGAGATTCAAGTATACCATGAGCTCATGGAAGGCAGGTCTGATTTTTTTTTTTTTTTTTTTTTTTTGAGATGGAGTCTCACTCTGTCACCCAGGCTGGAGTGCAGTAGTACAATTTCAGCTCACTGCAGCCTCTGCCTCCCAGGTTCAAGCCATTCTCCTGCCTCAGCCTCCAGAGTAGCCAGGATTACAGGCATGTGCCACCACACCCAGCTAATTTTTTGTATTTTTTGTATTTTTAGTAGAGATGGGATTTCACCATGTTGGCCAGGCTGGTCTGGAACTCCTGACCTCAAGTGATCCGCCTGCCTCTGCCTCCCAAAGTGCTGGGATTACAGGCATGAGCAACTGTGCCTGGCCAGGTAGGTATGATTTCTTAGATTCTATTGCATACTCCTCATGCTCTGGCAACCCGCCACCACACCCCCCACTGTCCCTGTCACCCCACTGCAATCACTTGGTGAGTAAATGAATGACTAGATATCTTACTTCACTGATTATATATATAGAAAAACATCGATATACAGAGATACATAAAGACAGCTACATGTGTAGATTTCAGATAAGCACAAATTCACCAGTAGTGTACTTATAATTCTTTTGGTTCCAAATTTCAGAATTATCCCTATGTTTGGTTGAATTTAAAACAAAAATTATTTCTAGCTCCTCTTTACAGCAGAATGTTCTTGTAGGGGAGTGAAAAATGACTTCCCTCTACTCTTCTAAGTTCCTTGGCTGGGCTATGAATTAAACTGACATAAGACAGATTAACAAGAGGAAATCCATTTTTAATTATGTACATACCCATGCAAGCCCACAAAATATGAGATTCAAAGAAGGGTCAGATGATTGAAGCTTATATAGCACCCTGAGGTACAGAAGGGAATAGAGGCTTTGGACTTCTGCGTGGGTGGTGGTGACACCAGTTATGAGAATATGAGGGGAGGAAGTGTATGGTGAACAAAGGTTTCTTGTTATGCAAATGAGAAGCCTCTCAAGTAATAAAGGTTCTCTTGGAGCAGCCCTCAGAAGAAGAGGTGGCTGTCTAGGCATGATGTCAACCTCCAGTCTCCCCCTCTCTGATCTAAGTTCATTGTCCCTGGTTGATAAGGTTCCAGGGGAGGGGATTCATGACAATTGAGTTCCTTTTGGAGGATCCCTTGATCTGTCTTAGGCAGATAAGCAGATCTCAGAGAAAGTCTCTGCCTGCATCTGTTTTTCCCCAAGTGACATCAGTTCAAAGTAATGAGCATGTCAAATCATCATAGTTTGGGGTGGCATTTCTGAACTCCCATTGTGTATTTTTGGTGATAGCTTGATATATCATTCAAATTACCATAAAACCCACACTTTTAAAGTGTGAGTGGCTTTTAGTATATTCACAGTGTGCATCCATTATCACTATTGAATTCCAGGACACTGTTATCGCCCCAGAAAGAAACCCCACACCCGTCCGCAATCACTCATTGTTTCTCCCCTCCTCCCAGCCTCTGGCAACTACTAATCTCTTTATTGTCATTATAGATTTGTCTATTCTGGACATTTAATATAAATGAAATCATACATGTGGAGGTCCATATACCATATAGCTAAATGCTGGAAAATTTTAAATCAGCTTAGCAAACTGTTCAATAAAATGTTTTATCCTCCTACCTTGACAAATATACTATTATGAAGAAGGTCAGGCTCCAATTTAGAATTCTCGGACTTCTCAAAATTCTGTTGTGGATGTGGCAATGCAAAGAGATCCAGCCACAACCCTCAGCCCACAACCCATCTCTTCTCACTCCAGGTTCTCTCTACCCACACTATGTAGGGCTTTGTGCATGTGTGTGGACACCCAGCCCACAAATTCAAGCTGTAGTCACCCAACTCATCTGTGATCTGTCATTTCCTAATAGACCTATAGGGAGAACAGACCCCAGGAAGAGACCTGCTCAGGTGTGGAAACAGGCTTGGGGTTGCATCAGCGGGGGATTCAGAGTCCTGGGCACCACAGCATGGTCAGGAGAGGTGCAATGACCCCTTAACTCCATGGACTTTTCATACCTGGCTTAGGATGTGGCCACAGTACAGAGCCCAGAGCAGGGGCTTCTCTTGCCAGGGTCTGAAGGGTTGATGATACTATAAACAACCCTGCTGAATTTCCTAAATCAATTGAAATGACCACTGACTTCCAACAGTTAGGTATAGCTTTAAATCTCTAAATCCTGGTAGAGGCTGTTTGAACTGTAGCTGTAGTTATGAAGGGCAGAATATGACACTGAGTGTACTTGAGAAGAAGTTATTATTCCGAACTACGGCTCTAATGGTATTATGAAACATATAACATAGGCACACAAAACCTGGTTGCATAGGTAACAGGCAAAGTTGGAACTTGCAATTTCATTGCAGCTGCAATGGAGCAGTGGATTCTGAGGGACTGTAAAACATAATCCAGGTTTTGATGATTGTATGACAATAAAAATTTATTAAAAAGCATTGAATTGGCCAGGCGCAGTGGCTCATGCCTGTAATCCCAGCACTTTTGGAGGCCGAGGTGGGTGGATCACAAGGTCAGGAGTTCAAGACCAGCCTGACCCACATAGTGAAACCCCGTCTCTACTAAAAATACAAAAATTAGCCTGGTATGATGGTGTGCACCTGTAATCCCAGCTACTCAGGAGGCTGAGGCAGGAAAATCACTTGAACCTGGGAGGTGGAGGTTGCAGTGAGCTGAGATCATGCCACTGCACTCCAGCCTGGGCAACAGAGTGAGACTCTGTCTCAAAAAAAAAAAAAAAAAAAGCATTGAATTATACACTTTGAATAGGTGAATTGTATAGTACTGTAAACAAAAAATAAAATTCTAAGCCCCCACCCCACCCCGACAAGCATCTGAATGGATGCCTCCTCTCAACCAAGGGCATTCCAAAGTTAATCTGAAAAACTAGTTCAGGCCATGATGGGACGGGGGAGCTGGACATTCCTCATTATATCCTCCTTGCTTTTGGAATTACGGATAGAATAGACTCTTTAAATCTGATAAGAAACATTTATTATCTATTCTCTCGGAAGCCTGCTACCTGGAGGTTTCATGTGCATGATAAAACCTCAGTCTCTACAACCCGTTATTGTAAACCAGACATTCCTTTCTATTGATAATAACTCTTTGAACCAGCTGCCAATCAGAAAATCTTTGAATTTGCCTATGTCTTGGAAGCCCCTATTTATAATTGTCCCGCCTTTCCAGACCCAACCGATGTATAGTTTACCTGTATTGATTGATACCTTATGTCTCCCTAAAATATATAAAACCAAGCTGTAGCCTGACCACCTTGGGCTCATGTTCTCAGGATCTCCCAAGGGCTGTGTTACAGGCCATTGGTCACTCATATATGGCTCAGAATAAATCTCTTCAATTATTTTACAGAGTTTGACTCTTTTTGTTAACAGTAAGTAAATTGTGTCTTGCTAAATCTGGTTTTGTTTGTTTGTTTATTTTAAAGATAATCCAGCCCAGAGCTTAGAGTGCTGCTCTGGAGTCTATGTTTCTCCAATTCAGCCTTGATACACAGTGATGCTGACCCTAGGTCCTTAGAAATCACTGTAGAAATCATGTCTCTGTCATTGACCGGGGCCATGAGTTGCTGAAGGTATGCCAAGGCACTAAGTTTTGGCATTTCCTGCTAGGGTTGATTTTCCTTAAGGAAAAAAAATCTCATGAAAAGAAGAATCCTCCACTCTCTGCTACAGAGCCACAGTAAATCTATTCATTGGCTCTGTTTGAGGGCTATCAGTTTTTTCTTTTTTTGTTTGCTAGGTTTACAAATATTCTGCCTTGCCAAAAAAACAAAAGAATGTTTTGTTTTTTCTTAATAGAGATTGTTCCTTCTGAAAAAAGAGAAGGCTTTAAAAACCATATTTTGGCTGGGTACAGTGGCTTACACCTATAATCCCAGCACTTCAAGAGGCCAGAGGTGGGAAGATTGCTTGAGCTTAGGAGTTCAAGAACCAGCCTGGGCAACATAGTGAGACCCCAGCTCTATGAAAAATAAAAAATTAGCTTGGTGCGGTGGTGTGCACCTATAGTCCTAGCTACTCTGGAGGCTGAGGTGGGAGAATCCCTGAGCCCTGTTCAAGGCAGTAGAGAACTATAATCACACCACTACACTCCAGCCTGGATGACAGAGCAAGCCCCTGTCTCAAAAATAAAGCCCAAATTTTTTTTTGCTCCCTCTTAGTGAACTATATGAAATCATGGGGAAAGGATTACTGATGGCTTGTTCCAAGCAAGAACAAGAATGACTCCTGGACCAAGCATTTGAAAATATACTCCTTAAAGAAATACATTTTTTTCAAGCCAGGTGAGGTGGCATGCACTTGTAGTCCCAGCTATGCAGGAAGCTGAGGCAGGAGCATCCCTTGAGCCCCGGAGTTCGAGGCTATAGTACACTATAATCATGCCTGTGAACAATGACTGCACTCCAGTCTGGGCAACATAGTGAGATCCCCTCTCTAAAAAAAAGAAAAAAGAAAAAAAGACATTTTTTTTTTTGAGACGGAGTCTCACTCTGTCACCCAGGCTGGAGTGCAGTGGCGCAATCTTGGCTCACTGCAACCTCCGCCTCCTGAGTTCATGCCATTCTCCTGCCTCAGCCTCCTAAGTAGCTGGGATTACAGGTGCCCGCCACCATGCTCAGCTAATTTTTGTATTTTCAGTAGAGACAGGGTTTCACCATGTTAGTCAGGCTGGTCTCAAACCCCCTACCTAGTGATCTACCCGCCTTGGCCTCCCAAAGTGCTGAGATTACAGGTGTGAGCCACCGCGCCTGGCCGAAAAAAAGACATTTTTTCAATCATTTTAAAATAGCATTTTCTCTTATTACAAAAGTACTTCATATTCACTGTGGAAATTTGGGAAGGTACTGAGAAGTAAAATCAAGAAAATGTAAATCATCTATAAAATTTATACCCAAGAAACAACACTTATTAACATTTTGGTGCTTTTTAAAAAACGATTTAATAAGTACTAAGGGATAACCATGTTGTGGCTCAACTATGAGTACGTTGGCAGACCGAGACAGCTACAGGTGATAATTGTTGAAGCTATATGATGAGTACATGGGCATTTATTGTACTATTCTATTTTTGTGTAGAAATTTTCTGTAATCTAAAATTAAAAAGAAATTTGAGAACTCCCAAATTCTTCTTTATGGCCGAAGTTTAACTGAAATGAGTTAAAGATATGGGAGTCAATATTTATTTCAATATAAAAGGTAAATTACCTTTTTTTCTTTTTCTTTTTTTTTTTTTTTTTTTTTTTTTTTTGAGACAGGGTCTTGCTCTGTCACCCAGGCTAGAGTGCAATAGTGCAACCATGGCTCACTGTAGCCTCAACCTCCTGGGCTCAATTGATCCTCCCACCTCAGCCTCCCTAGTAGATAGAACCACAGGCATGTGCCAGCATGCCTGGCTAATTTTTTAATTTTTTTTGTAGAGATGAGGTTTCCCTATGTTGCCTAGACTGGGCTCAATCTCCTGGCCCAAACAATCCTCCTGCCTCAGCCTCTCAGAGTGCTGGGATTACAGGCCTGAGCCACTATGTCCTTCCTGGTAACTTATCTTCATAGCAGTTAAAACGAAGTAGCTTTGTTGGGCTGGGCACAGTGGCTCACGCCTGCAATCCCAGCACTTGGGACACTGAGGTGGGCAGATCACTTAAGGCCAGGAGTTCGAGACCAGCCTGGCCAACATGGTGAAACCCCATCTCTACTAAAAATACAAAAATTAGCTGGGCGTGGTGATGTGTGCTTGTAATCGCAGCTACTCAGGAGGCTGAGGCAGGAGAATCACTTGAGCCCGGGAGGTAGAGGTTGCAGTGAGCTGAGATTGCACCACTGTGCTCCAGTCTGGGTGACAGAGACCCCATCTCAAAAACAAACAAAAACAAAAAAAACTAAGTGGCTTTGTGTGAGAATGCTATAAAAATAATTTTCAGCTTGTAATTGCTAGTGTAACCGTTTATTTGGCAGAAAGATAATTGAGAAATCAGAAAGCAATATAAACATAAAAGGATGCTAATGGGAAAATATCAGGTGTTCCAATGCAGGGAGCCCTGTAAGGAGGGCCCCTCTATGTCAGCTAGCTGCTGAGGTGCCAGACCCTGTTGTGTTACATGGTTCACTTCCTCCTCTAGTGCTGAAGGCAGCTGCTAGCAAGAACTGAAGGTGACATAGGGTTGTATGCCTTGGAGTCAGCAAGACCCAGATTTGAATCCTGCCTCTGCTGCTTCCGATGTGTGCTAACCTGAGTTTCAGTGTTCTCCTCTGTAAGTCGAGGTAATTAAACTTACCTCACTGATTTTCTTAAGACTCACCAGATACATAAGCATGAAGCAGTATAATGTAAGCAATCAACATTCTTATCTCTTTCAGTTCCTGCTGAGTGGCTTCGCTGGGTGGTTCTGGCGCAGAGTCTCGGTGAGGTCACAGTTAATTGGGGCTGCAGTCATGTGATGCCTTGAGTGGGGCTGAAAGCTCCCCTTCCCACTGGCTCACCCACATGCTGGGCAGGTTAGTGCTGGCCATTGGTGGGAGGGTTTAGTTACTTGCCACATGGACTCCTCTCTAGGGCTGCTTGTGTGTCCACCCAACGTAACAGTTGGCTTCCCCAAAGCAAGGGATCCAAGAGAGAGCAAGGAGAAACCCACAGTGTGGTTTTATGACCTAGTCTTGAAGGTCACACTGTTATTTTGACAGTATCCTATTGATTACACAGATCTGTGCTGTTTAGTGTGGAAGGGTGCACAAAGTTACAAATACCTGCGGGTAAAACCCACTGGGAGCCAGCTGGTTACCACATCAGGCCATTGTCACCAAGTTAACCCCACCTCTGGATTTCTACATCCCCATTTTCTCTGCTCTCAGATATGTTACGGGAAGAGGGGTTGCAGCCTCATTTTAACACCACGAAAACAAAGTTTGTAAATAGTCCTCTGAGAGGAATATGGCCCTTTTCCAATTCTAAAAGTATACCTGCAATTCCTTCCCTTGCCAGTACAGTACTCCCGGAGGCACTTGCAGTGATGCAGGTTCGAGGTAGGGAAATCCCTGGTGCCTGCCCCCGACTGCAGCCTTCCTCCATTTGTCTGACCATTTGATTAATGCCTCTCTCGACTCCCATATCTCCTGTAGAACACCTGTTTGGCAGGGACTTCGGACATTCCAAATGTCCAAATTTGACTCAACTCTCTGATGTTTATGTACTTTTCATTTCTATGATTTAGCATAGCTGACTCATTACAGCATAGCTGACTCATTGCAGCCTGTGTGTTTTCTGCTTCCCTCTCTGATCGGTGCTTCAACAGGTTCATATGGCTCAATGTCACCCTAACATGCCCTAGCAACTTCAGCTTTGCACTCTCCTCAGATCTATTTCATTGAAACTTTCAAAAATACCCAGATCTTCTAGTAAAATAACAACAAACAATAATAATAATAAACAAAAACAAAAAAATAAAAACACGGGCAAGTATCAGTTGAACAAAAAAAATTCTCCCTCTCATTACCGGAACAATCTTTTCCCTCTCTTCTCCTCCCTTCCCATTCCCTTCCCTTCCCTGTCAATCCTCTAAAATGAATGTTCTATACTCAATTGTTTTATTTCTTTACTTCATACACTTTGACTTCCAACTTCAGCATTCTGAGAGAACTGGTCTGTCAAGTGAGCTGGAATAATATGAGATTGTATACAGGAGAATTTATTGACATAAGGGCACATCTCAGGATACGAGGTTGAGCATCCTGATAAGAACCAGGGGATGGTACAAAATTGCTGCTAGGTTGGCTCCCTGAATCCTGGAAAAGTGCTGATTCATGAAGAGTGAGTCTGAAGTGCCTAAATTGCTATGTCAGGCAGTAGAGGAAAGGATTAAAAGACTCAGAAAAGGGGACATGCTGAAATAGATGTAAGGTTAGGCCAGAACAGCCACCCGGGGATTATGTCCCATAGGATCGCTCAAGGAGCCATATTCATCAAGGCCATAGGGAACGCATTGGTGAGAGGGACAGCAACGTCGCTAATAAGTTCAGTGGTGCTTTCCCCAGTAGAACATAGTTGATGGAAGGAGGGGCTGTCCTGGAACTTGGCTCACTGATAGCAATGAAGATGATGGGCTCCTGATGCACTGGACACCAGAATGATGGCACTTAAGGGCGGAATGACAAAATCAGAGTGGCAGCTAACAGGACCTGACTTTTAGGGAGTTGTAGGGATTGTAAATAGCACACAGTTTCTCTAGGAAGAACATAGACGCGTGGGTAGTCAAAAAGTCCAAATGGCCCTCAACATATGATTTTTCTGCCTCACCATGGTGTGCATTCAGTAGAAACTGCACTTTGAATTTTGAACTTTGATCTCTTCCCAGGCTAGGGATATGCCATATGATACCCTCTTCTGATGCTGGGCAGTGGCAGCAAGCCACAGCTCCCAGTCAGCTACCTAATGACAAGAGTAAACAACGGATACTATACAGTGTAGTGAATTCAAAAATTACATGATGAGATATTCAGCACTTTGTTATGCACTAGGCTTTGTGTTTGATGATTTTGCTCAATTGTAGGCTAATGTAAGTGTTCTGAGCACATTTAATGTAGCTTAGGCTAAGCTATGATATTTGGTAGGTTAGGTGTATTAAATACATTTTTGGTGTTTTTTTTTTTTTTTTTTTTTTTTTTTGAGACAGAGTCTTGCTCCCAGGCTGGAGGGCAGTGGGGTGATCTAGGCTCACTGCAACCTCTGCCTCCTGGGTTCAAGCAATTCTCCTGCCTCAGCCTCCCAAATACCTGGGATTACAGGTGTGAGCCACCATGCCTGGCTAATTTTTGTATTTTTTTTTAGTAGAGGTGGGGTTTCATCATGTTGGCCAGGCTGGTCTTAAATTCCTTACCTCAAGTGATCTGCCTGCCTCAGCCTCCCAAAGTGCTGGGATTACAGGCATGAGCCACCGTGCCTGGCCTAAATACATTGTTTACTTACAGTATATTCAATGTATGATGGATTTGTTGGGACATAACCCCATTGGAAGTCAAGGAGCATCTGTCGTGCTTCACATGTATAATCTAAAATAAAAGAATTAATAAGCAGGACAATGAGGAAAACATTTCCTTGCCTGGTTTCCATTCCTGAACCAATGTTCAGACTCAGAACCCACTGAGTGAAGTGGTGGCCAAGTCACCAAGATGAAGGACCTGTAACACTGTGGCAAGAAAGTATTGTCACAGTTCCTCTGATTCTTCCCCTAAAGAGATCTACAATATTTATTCCAGTGATGGAACACGGGATGGGGGAATATGCAGACATTTTGGTGACTGTTGGGTACAAGGTCAGAGGTCAACTGATGCCCAGAGAACTGAAGCATTCTCATCGCTTCCATGTTAGAGTGGGAGCAAATGGAGTCCTGACTGAGTTCCAGCTTACAGTGGGTTCTCTGGGTCCATGAACCCACCAATCGTCCTTCTCCTAATCCCCAAATATATGGTTAGGATTGCCACACTTGGGAATTGGGCTAACTCTCACATTCATCCTGGTTTTGTAGAGTGGGAGCTATCACAGTAGGGAAGGCTAAGTGGAAGTATCTGAAACTGTCCCCCACCCCAGCCAATGTGGTAACTACAAAATAGCATTGCAGTCTAGGGTGAGGAGGATGGCAGATATTAGTGCCACTCTTAAATATCTAAAGGATGAAGAAGCATGGTCCCTGTCATGTTTCTGTTTAATTTGCCAGTGTGGACCCTGCAGCAATGGGATGGTTCCTAGAGAATGACTTCAGACTACCGCAAGGAAGTAGTAGCTCTGTACTGGATATAGCATCTTTGCCAGAGCAGATTTATGCAGTTTGAAGTGGTTTGAGGCCATTGATCTGGTGAATGCATTCTTTTCTATTGCAATCAAGAAAGAGGATCAGAAAGAGTTCATATTCATATGGAATGCATAGCAACAAGCCTTTACAGTTTTGCCACAGGGCTATGTTCCTTTTCAGTCCTCTGCCGTAATCTAGTCCAAAGAGAACTGGAGCATTTGGACATCTCACGTAACATCACATTGATCCATCACATCGAGGATGTCATGCTGCTCTAGCAGGATGAGAAAGAGGTGAAGAGCATGGTAGAGGCCTTGGTATGACACATGTGCTCCTGAGAGTGGGAAATAAATCCTACAAAGATACGGTGACCTGCCACTTCACTAACGATTTGAAAGGTCCAATGGTCACCAGTGTGCTGGGACATTCCTTCCAAGGCAAAAGAAAAATTGTTGCATCATTTATATTTATTGGAAAGAAGGAAGCACAAAGTCTGTTAGGAATCTTTGGGTTCTTGACAAAACACATTTCACACCTAAGAATACTGCTGCTGCGCATATACTGGGTTACACAGAGATTGCCAGCTTTGAGTGAGGCTCAGAACAGGAAAGAGCTCTCCAGGCTGTGACACAAGCAGCCCTTTTGAGTGGACTGTAAAATCTGGCACAGCTTCTCATGTTGGAGATGTCAGTGATGGAAAAAGATGTAGTATGGCATTTATGGTGAGTCCCAATAGAGGAATCACAATGCAGACTCCTTGGATAGTGTAACAAGGTCATGCCAACTGCAGTGAAGGATTACACTCCTTTCAGAAAACAGCTCCTACTTTCTACTGGGCCCTGGTGGAGACACCAAGTGATCATGGATTCAAAACTGGCTGCCATCAGCTACGTCCTGTTAGACACACCAAGTGATAAGGTCAGGGCGGGTCAGTATCAAAGCCATCATAGGATAAAACTGGTACATCTGGGACTGAACACAAGTGGGACCAGAGGGCACACGCACACTCAAGCTGCATGAGCAATTAGCCCAGATTTCCATGTCATTCACTACGGTTGCACCAGCACCCCTCCCCCAGCCTCACCTGTGGTCATGTGAGGGGGTCCCATATAACCAGCTAAAGGAGGAGGGAAAAAGACCAAGTTTGCGTTAAGGATGGGCTAGCTTAATATGTGGGTACAAGCTGAAAATGCATGGCAGCTATATTACAGTCTCACTCAGGGAAGTCCTTGAAAAACAGTGGTAAGGGAAAATCTCCCCAGCGGGAGGAGCTTTGAGAGTGTACCTAGTCATCACTTCGTATGGAAGGAGTATGGCCTAGGGTTAGAACATACATGGTCTCATGGGCAGTGATGGTGGCCTGGCTGGGAGTTTGGGAGCCTAAAAGTAAAAGGAAGCATATGAATAGATGTATGGAAGTGGGCAGTTCATATCACATTAAGACCCACAAAAGATGTGCCAACTACACAAAATAACTTGGCCAGTTAATGTTGGCCAGGCTTAGTGACAGGCCCCCTCCCCCACTGCTGCTCAAAGAGGCCATGGTGGCCAGGAGATGGAAGCGATGCAAGAACCTAACAGCATAGATTATCATTTGCCAAAATAAACACAGCTACTGCCACCTCTGAGTGTCTGATCTGCCAGCCATAAAGACCAATGCTAAGCTCTATTCCTTAAGGAGACCAATAGACTACTTGGGGACCAGTAGACTGCATCGGGCCCCTTTTGTCCTGGCAGAACCATCGGTGGTTCTCACAAGAAGAGGCAGTTATTCTGGATTTGGGGTTGCCCTTCCTCCCTGCAGAGCCTCAGTAGTAGCACTCTTTTTTTTTTTTTTTAGATGGAATTTCACTCTTGTTGCCCAGGCTGGAGTGCAATAGTGCGATCTCAGCTCACTGCAACCTCTGCCTTCTGGGTTCAAGCGATTATCCTGCCTCAGCCTCCCAAATAGCTGGGATTACAGGCGTGTGCTACCACACCCGGCTAATTTTGTATTATTAGTAGACACAGGGTTTCACCATGATGGTCAGGCTGGTCTGGAACTCCTGACCTCAAGTGATCCCCCTGCCTCAGCCTCCCAAAGTGATGAGATTACAGGCTTGAACCACCGTGCCCGGCCAGTAGCACCACTTTCTGGAGACTTAAAGATTGCCCGATCCACAGACATGGAATCACACTTAACATAGCATCTTATCAGGTGAATCTTTTCATGGCACAGAAAGTGGAGGGAATGAACCCATGAACATGGTACTATCCATGGTCCTATCATACACTTCACCACCCAGTAGCTATAGGATGAAGTATTGGAATGGCTAGTTAAAGATGGAGTCAAGCACCAGAATGGAGCTGATACCCTACAATGATGACACAGACTCCAGAACATCGTGGTATATGCCTTGAATCGGTCAAGTTAGTATGGTACTGTGTCCATACATGAGTCTGGAAAGAATGGGTAAGCCTGAGTGGCCCTACTTAGTATAATTCCAATGACCCCCTGCAATTTCCTCTCCCAGCAATGCTGGGCTCTGCAGAGTTATAGGTCTTGGTTCCCCAAAGGGGCACACTCTTGCCTGGAGATACCACAGAGATCCCACTGGACTACTGTGATGGCTGTCACCAGGTACTTTGGCCTCCTAATGGTCAGAGACTAGCAAGTAAGAAAGGGAATGGCCATCTTATTCGAGGTAACTGTTGCTGGTCAGCAGGAGGTGTGGCTGTTGTTACACAATGTGGGCAGGTGGAATATGTATGGAATTCTGGTGACCTATTTTGGTGTCTCTTGGTAATCCTTTGCCCAGCTGGGACTGAGATGTGCTCAGACCACTTTCAAATAGGGCACCCGACCAGATTAAGCTACTGAGAGCAGCTGAGGTGGTGGCCAAGGGTGAGAGGGATTGGAATGGATAGTGGTAGAGGGATATGATGAGGACCAGACCACCAGCTGTGGCCTTGAGACCAACTGCAGTGACAAGGACTATAGTTCATTCCACTAATTTCTCTCTGGTAAGCTTCCTTGTAGGAAGAGTGACCCTGAAAAGCCTGTTCCCTAAATACAAATGGATAAAGAAAGCCATGTAGTACAAAGGGTGGACTACAGCTGACACAGGGTGGCACTCAGGTCAAGCTTGCAGCCCAGCTTTGAGGAGCATGTTTAGCCAATATCCTCCAGCTTTAGCTCTTTCAAGATCTGCCCCAGCATTCGAGCTGAAGTCATCCACTTCTCTGGTGGCCCCCACCGGTGACTGAGCAAGGCAGTACAAGGGCCTAGCCTTTTCTGTCCAAAGCTGGACTCCTACTCCAGAGCTCCTCATTGGGCTGGCAGAGACTTTGTTAGGTCCGCACAAAAGTCTGATAGGCCCCATGGATCAATCATGCTTTTTCCTTTGACTTTTTCTGGCATTATGCCCCAGAAAAAGTGCAGAGAAAGTTCTGCACTCTTAACTCCATGTCAGGATCTCCTTCCTGGAGAACCCAATCTCTGATGGCACATATTTCAAAATTTTTCAAAATGTCTCCTTTTCCCTTCCCAGAACTCCTTAAATCACCTTTCTCTTTCACTTTCCCTTTCTTTTTTCCTTTCACTTTCCCTTCTTTTTTCCCCTTTTCCTTTTCCTTCCTTTTTTTCCTTTTCCTTCCTTTTCCCCTTTCCTTTCCCTTCTTTCCTTTCCCTTCCTTCCTTTCCTTTCTCTTCCTTTCCTTTCCCTTCCTTTCTTTCCTTTCCCTCCCTTTCCCTTTCCATTTCCCTTTCTCTTTCATTTTCACTTTCCCTTTCCCTTTCTCTGTCACTTTCCATTTCCGTTTCCCTTTCCCTTTCCCTCTCTTCCCTTTCCAAAAGGATCTTCCTCTGTTGCCTTTGCTGGAGTGCAGTGGCACAATTGTAGCTCACTGCAACCTTGAACTCCCGGGCTCAAGAAATCCTCCCGCCGCAGCCTCCCAAGTAGTTGGGACTACAGGCACATACCACTATGTCTGGCTAATTTTTATTTTTAGTGGAGATGAGGTCTCGCTATGTTGCCCAGGTGGATCTCACAGTATGTTGCCCAGGATGGTCATGATCCTCCCGCCTTGGCCTCCCAAAGTGTTGGGATTACAGGCACAAGCCACTGCACCTGGCCCTTAAATCATTTTTCATGGCTTCAAATTGGAGGAGATTCTATGTCTGTACTCCCAACCACTGTAGCCAAACTAGACTCTTCAGTCTCTCATCTTCTATATTCCCATTGTGGCATTTACCCATGAATTTGCTTATATTTCCATGCATTTTTTCATGTCTTCGCATACATGCTCCTTGAGTGCAGGGACTGTTTTTTAAACTTCTGCATGTCCTTACATTACTAACTAATGTAAATACCACATAGAAGATAGTCAATAAACATCTAGAACTTAGTTGATTTGATAATAAAAGGTCCCTGGGAACCTGTCAGACCACAAATAAGGCCAAGTGGATTAAAAGACAACTATAGAAGCAGCAACTAGAGGGAACAAGATGTCCCTCTTAGACATCCTAAGATGATCCTATGTGGCCCCCATGTTTGGCTGGTTTTCATAACAAAGTACTCTATTCCTGAAAGAGGGTTTATATACCATGAATGACAAAACTGAGGAGAATTCTCATTAATCATTTTGAAGAATTTCTAAGTTAGCAACCAGAATCTATTATTTTTTAAAAAGATGTATTTCTTATCTGATCAAATGACCCATCTATTTTATTTGAAGATGTTGGAAAAAAAAACCTTTTTTCTCTTCAACTTGTGTCCTGTCTTTGGGGGCCTAAAAATTAACTGGCACTAGACAGATAAATAGGAGAAAAGACAAAGTTTATTTACACATGCATGCAGGAGCTTCCAGTAACAGAAAACTCAAAAGTAAAGGTTTATATACCTCAACTTAACAAAAAGGAAAGTTTTAGGGCTTCAGTAGGAGAGTTTGGAAGTTTTGATTGGGTTGTTTTGTGTTTTTGAGACAAAGTCTCAGCGCTATCCCCCAGGCTGGAGTGCAGTGGCACAATCCCGGCTCGTTGCAGCCTCCTCCCGTGCTCAAGCAATCCTCCCACCTCAGGCTCCCGAGTAGCTGGGACTGCGGCTGCACACCACCATGCCCGGGTTGTTTTTATTATTATTATTATTATTATTATTATTATTATTATTATTATTATTGAAGAGAGCTCACTATGTTGCCCAGGCTAGTCTTGAACTCCTGGGTTCAAGCAATCCTCCCACTGCCTCGGCTTCCTAAAGCGCTGGGATTACGGGCTGAGCCACAGCACCCAGCCCATTGGGTTTTTTGGTGCTAATGGTAATGGGACAGTCTGTCTTCCTGGCAGCTGAATACTCCGAGAGGCTTTTAATGGCACCATGTTTTCGGGAGGTTTTGCTTTAGTCAGATAAGGGAAGTTTCATTAAGATTTCTTTCTACATCTTCTGTAGCTCAATGTTTTCACTTAAAAACAATCTTTATGTCAACTCTGGGGGTCAAAGTACGTCCCCACGGTGGAAAAGTTCTTGTCCCAATCTCTACGGGGAGGAACCGATCTGAAATCTTGGGATATGTCTTAGCATGTCCACCGTGATTGAGGTACAAGCAGTGGTTCAGGGCACCGAGTTAGCGATTCTAGGTAAGCAAGACCATGTCAAGAAGTGGTTTGTCCAAAAGTTCGTGAGAAGGCAGAAACGAGGGAGAGTGGCAATCGTTGTTCTTTAAGAGGGCACGGTGGTGGAGGAGAAACTTGCACATCGGGGCCTGGGGTACCACGATCTGGGGCCTGGGGACGCGATTTGGGGAAACTCGGTGGCATCTGGGCTCCGCTTGATGCCAGTGCGTGTTCGTGCAAGTTACTTCCTCAAGTTCAGGGTGAGGATAATAATATCTACCATGTGGAGTTGCTGGGAAGATTCACTACCAACAGAGGCAGAGCGCACGGCTCGCAGGAAGCGCTCGCTAGGGTCTGCTCTTTCCGGGAATGGGTGGGGTGCGCACTCCTCAACAGGGCTCTCAGGACTTGCGTCACACGCCTCAGTCGGCTGGCTTATAAAACACCGGCCAGAGCCCCAAGATCGCTTTTAGTTTCTCTTCTTTCTAAAGAAGGCTCGCGGAGCCCGGCTGGAGAACCTCACCCTCGCCGAGCCTAGAACCGAGAGGGGGCCACCCCAGGCGGTCACCAGCAGATTTGCCCGCGCGTTCTCTTTCTTTCCACCCAGTTGCCCTTGCGGCCGGCTGTAAACCTGCCACTAGGACCCGGTCGGTGAGATCTAGCCTCTTGACCTGAGAGCCGAGAGTGGATCGCTGGGCTGGGCTAACGGCGACGGAGAGCGCGCCCTCGCTGACTCCGGGCGCGCCCAGCAGTAGCACCGCCCGCGCCCGCCCCTGGACACTTGTAAGTTTCGATTTCCGATTTCCGCGGAACCGAGTCCCGCGCCGCGGCAGAGCCAGCACAGCCAGCGCGCCATGGCGGACCCGGAGGTGTGCTGCTTCATCACCAAAATCCTGTGCGCCCACGGGGGCCGCATGGCCCTGGACGCGCTGCTCCAGGAGATCGCGCTGTCTGAGCCGCAGCTCTGTGAGGTGCTGCAGGTGGCCGGGCCCGACCGCTTTGTGGTGTTGGAGACCGGCGGCGAGGCCGGGATCACCCGATCGGTGGTGGCCACCACTCGAGCCCGGGTCTGCCGTCGCAAGTACTGCCAGAGACCCTGCGATAACCTGCATCTCTGCAAACTCAACTTGCTGGGCCGGTGCAACTATTCGCAGTCCGAGCGGTGAGTGCACCCGGAGGGAGGGGCGCTGTCCGCAGCCGTGGTCGGGGTGGACTGTCCAGGCGGGCAATGTTCTGGGAGGGGCACGGCTTCGCCGGGACCCCGCACCTGACAGCCTCCGCCTCCAGCCACTCCCTTCTCTGCTCCCCTCTGGGAGCCTCTGCAGGGCCCGCGCTTCTACCTTTGCAGTTCCCTTCCTTCCGGCACCTCCAGACATTTTCTCGAGAATGGCTAAAATGCTAGTGCCTGGAGGAGACCAGGCTCAACCTCCACCCCTTTCCCCGCCCGCCCGCACGAATCAGAAGAATAAAGTGCTCTGGAGCCAGCCAGGGCCTAGAGAAGCGGTAGGCAGGTTTGGGAAGGAAGGAAAGAGCCTCCCGTCTTTGGTATCTTGAGTCTTTCCCTCCCTACTACCTCCTTCCCTAGACGTGGCGGAGCCAGTAACCCAGCCGCCCTGGGCCCCCGGTCCGTCTCCGCCGGAGCGAGCCGCAGGTCTCTCTGCTTGTCCCTCCCTTCCCGGTCACCCCCATGCCCCTCATCACCGCTTTTCTGATGCCTGGCGCGTAGCAGGGGTGGCCCTTTTCCAGGTTCCTGAAGTTGTAGCAGCCGCGGGCCTTCCCTCCGGGTGGTCTCTCTACGGTGGCGCGCGCAGTTGACCGCCTGCCTTGGGACAACTCTCTTAAATCCCTTTGAAGCAGTGTGGCTCACGTCTCGGGCCACTGCTTCTGTTGTTTCCGTTTGCCTTTTTTTTTTTTCGTCTAAATGCAGATGCGCTGCAAGGTTTGGGTTAAGACTCTTGAGTGATTTTCTTCCCAGTTTCTCCCTAAGAGAGCTTGCTCCCTCGAGGACAGCTGCACATCTAAAAAGATGGCTTCCAGGTCCACATTCGCTGCCCAGGCCTTTCCCTTGATCCCAAGCCCTTCCTCTCCCGCGTGTGTCCTGTCCATGGAGTCAAACTCATCTTTTCCCCCAGGCAGGGTTTTAATCCTCCTCACAATCTGTCATCACCAAGTCCTTTTTGTGAAGTCTCTTTCCCTTCTTGGCGGATTCTGCCTTCCCATCTAATTTCTGAATGAACTGAATGAACGCCTTGTTGAATTAATGAATGGCCAGTCTTTCCTCCCACCCTTTCTGTCACTATGTGCTCTGCTCAATTACTTTTCTCGATACAGTACTTTTTACACTTGGCCCATTCTTAAACACTTTGACTTGTGTCCCAGGGTTTAAAATGGTTGTCAGCAAACTTTTTAGGCTGGAGTGCAGTGGCTCCACCTCGGTTCACTGCAACCTCCACCTCCCAGGTTCAAGCGATTCTCCTGCCTCAGCCTCCCGAGTAGCTGGGATTACAGGCATGCACCATCGCACCCGGCCAATTTTTGTATTTTTAGTAGAGACAGGGTTTCACCATGTTGGCCAGGCTGGTCTCGAACTCCTGACCTCAGGTGATCCACTTGTCTCAGCCTCCCAAAGTGCTGGGATTACAGGCATAAGCCACCAAGTCCGACCAGTCGGCAAACTTTTGATCACGCACCTAACAAAAACTCCAGTCACTCACCCCCAATATACGTGTAATAAAACACACAAAGGTAAGTGTTTTAGATGGATGAGGTAGAGGACGCAATGTATTTTTTTAAAAATTTCTTTAGAGCAAAAACCCTTTCAGCTCACTCTAACGTTTTTAAAAAGTGCTTGAATGTGTTCCTTTATTTAAAATTTTCTTTAATATGTTGTGGGGCAACAATTTGAAGGTTGTTTCTGAGTTGCTGGGAGTTATGGGTATCGAGGAAATCATCTAAGTCATTGCTGGTCACTGAAGAAATCTCTGAGAAGGAGAAGAGAGCAGAGGGTGGAGGATAGAAAAGGAAGGAACATTCTAGCATGTTCTAGCACTACACCAAATAACATGGTTGGAAGGCTTTGTTATGTTTTTTCTGTTCTTATCTTTTCTATTATGACAAATTCTTCACCAACTAGTGTTGATTTTTAGTATGAAATACATATGCTTTTTATTTTTTTATTTCTTACTATGGATATTTTCAACATACTCAAAAGTAGAGAGAAAAAAATGATGAAGCCCCTTGTACCCATCATTTCAACAGTTTTGAAAATATGGCCAGTTTTGTTTCATTTATTCTCCCTATTCCCCATGTGTCCCCAACTCCAATGTGTTATTTTAAAGCAAATCTCAGCAACCATTTGATTACTAAGTACTTTAGTATCTCTAAAACATAAGAACTATGTTTTATTAACATAATACAGTACAATGATCACATTTTTGTAAAAAAAATTACAATTTTAATATCATCTATTGTCCAGTTGGTATTCAAATTTCCCTGATTGTCTTATAAATCCAACTTTTATTTTCAGGGAAAAGGATACATAGACATAATCCTTTTAAAAAAAGATTTTTTTAAAATTTTTTGAGATAGGGTCACCCAAGGCTGGAGTGCAGTGACCCGATCTCAGCTCACTGCAAACTCTGCCTCCCAGGTTCAAGCAATTCTACTGCCTCAGACTCCCAAGTAGCTGGGATTATAGGTGTGTGCCACCATGCTTGGCTAATTTTTTGTATTTTTAGTAGAGATGGGGTTTCGCGATGTTGGCCAGGCCGGTCTCGAACTCCTGAGCTCAAGCGATCTGCCGGCCTAGGCCTCCCAAAGTGCTGGGATTACAGGCCTGAGCCACTGCCTCACCTGGCCTATAATTGTTTTCATATGTTACATATCTAACATTTAAATACTTTGTTTCAATTTGTTGTAGGCAATATGCTTAGAAATTTTAGTTTTATGAAGTTTATTATGGTATATTTTTCCCTGGTTTGAAACAGCAAAACTGTTTTAAACTCGTTAATTGGGTTGTTAACCTCCACTTTTATAAGAATATATATAATATAGGGATTATTTGGTCTATCTAAATTTGGATGGACCCTCCAGAGAAGTCAATAAAGTTTATTTTTTTTAGTAGAGTGATAAAATCTTATTTCCTAACATTTATTGGCAGAGCCATATTTTTAATTTCATTTTATATCACTTTTGAATTTGGGAATTACAAACTTTTAATCTATTAATGTATAAAGTGTTGTAATAAGGACCTCTGGGAGAATTTTTTTTTTGTCCTCGGGTCCTAGAAAACATGTTTTTTTCCTCCCTACTTATGTTTTAAAAATATTCTCCTCTTAGCGAGTAATAAAACCTTGTCTTCCAAAACTTGCCACTTGTGAGTTTAAGAACTTTCTTTGTAGATTACCAGTTAATGGGGTCTGTTAACTAATTGATACCCATCTTGACATTACTATTCAGTTCACTAAACTGGTCTCTGTTTACAGGGGGACGATTTGCATTGTGCTGGGTGTATAAAATTTTGTCTGTGGTACTATTATTTATAGATAGGATTTATCCTGTCTATTCTGTAGTTCCTGTCTTTTCTTTTGCAATGTTTTTAGTGATACATTTTAGTTGACAACAGGGCTTGCTTCAATGTTGGATAATTGTTTTGGTGAATCGGTTTGGATATTTCTATTTGCTTTGCTGAAATATATGCCCACACATGGAGTTCTAATCCCACTTCTGATGCAAAAATAATCACTATTTATCGAACAAATAACTATGTGCCAACCACTATGATAAGCACTTTGGAGATGATATCCAGGTTAGTCTTTAGGATAGCTCCTAAGGTAGTATTTTAAGTCCCATCCTTATTGTAGGAAACTCGGGCATGGAGCCTTTCAGAAATCTACTGAAAGTAACATAACTAGAAGCTGGCAGGATTGGTATTTGAACCTAGATCTGCATGACTTCCTTTTTTTTTTCTTTAGAAATGAGATCTTGCTTTGTCACCCAGACTGAAGTGCAGTGGCACGGTCATAGCTCACTGCCACTTCGAATTCCTAGGCTCAGATGATCCTCCTCCCTCAGCCTCCTGAGTAGCTGGGACTACAGGTGGGCGCCACCATGTCCGGCTAACTTTTCTTTTCTTTTTTTTTTTTTTTTTTTTTGAGACAGAGTCTCACTCTGTCACCCAGGCTGGAGTGCAGTGGCGTGATCTCAGCTCGCTGCAACCTCCGCCTCCCCGGTTCAAGCGATTGTCCTGCCTCAGCCTCCCGAGTAGCTGGGATTACAAGCATGTGCCACCACACCCAGCTAATTTTTGTATTTTTTAGTAGAGATGGGATTTTGCCATTTTGCCTGGGCTGCTCTCAAACTCCTAGGCTTAAGCAATCTTCCCAGCCTCCCAAAGTGCAGGATTACAGGCATGAGCCACCGCTCCCGGCCTTGTTTGACTTTTTTTTTTTTTTTTTTTTTTTTTGTGACAGAGTCTCGCTCTGTTGCCAGGCTGGAGTGCAGTGGCGTGATCTCAGCTCGCTGCAACCTCCGCCTCCCCGGTTCAAGCGATTCTCCTGCCTCAGCCTCCCGCGTAGCTGGGACTACAGGCGCCTGCCACCACGCCTGGCTAATTTTTTTTCATTTTTGTATTTTAGTAGAGACGGGATTTCACTATGTTGCCCAGTCTGGTCTCCAACTCCTGAGCTCAGGCAATCCGCCCACCTCAGCCTCCCAAAGTGCTGGGATTACAGGCGTGAGCCACCGCGCCCGGCCTTGACTTCTTAACTAGCTACTTACATTGTCCAGTAACTATATGAAGTTATTAATTCAAAAATTTATTTTGCCTGCATGATTTCTGTTAACTGTTTCAAGCAGGCTGCCTAAGGGTCTTTACCTTGCTTTGCGGTTTTTGCCGATGTGGGTGTTTCCTCTGGGTTCTTTCCTGTTTGTATGTCTTTCCTTTTCGGTTAATTCACATTTTGGGTGGGGGTGGGTAGATGGGAAGAGGACTAGTTGACTGTTTCGCAAGTTGAATAGAATACTGAAAAACGCAAGCATCAGAGAATATTTATTCTGAACCCATAAAAGTTATAACTCACCTCCTGGGATAAATAAGTGTTCACATTTTTCAGTTTTGCTCCTCTTTTAAAATATACTAAACAATCATAACAGACCTAAGGTTATTTTTTTCTCATCCCCAGTCTCATTTCCCTTTCCTAAGAAGCAGCTTCAATCATGATTTTGGTGTGTATCTTGTCCTTCCATGATTTTATAATTTCCTCTTGTATATGTTTGCATCCATATACAAAATGTAGTATTTTATGTGTTTTAGAATTTTTATTCAATGCTGTGTTTTGGAGATCTATTCATATTGCTACACAAGGACCTAGTTTATTCATTTTAACAGTTGAAAAGTATTTCATCATAGGATTTATACCACAGTTCAGTTACCTATTCCCCCCAGTAATGGATATATAGTATATTTCCAGGTTTTTGTTATACCAAATCGTGCTGCCAAGAATTTACGTGCAAGTGTTTCCTGGTGCTCATGGTTAGAGCTTTTCCAGGGTAGATCATTAGGAAGTGGAATTGTTGGTTTGAATTGTTACATAGCTTCAACTTTTCCAGATTCTGACGAATTAGTATAAAGGTGGCTGTGCCAATTTATACTTATATGTCTGAGTGTCCCAGTTTCCTCATTTTCTGGCCAATTAATGCTTGGTGTTATCAGACTTTTTTGGCTTATGCCAGTCGGAAGGCTTTGAAATAGTCATTATTTGAATTCAAAAAAAATTTTTTTCCTGGGCTGGGTGCAGTGGCTCATGGGTGTACTCCCAGTGCTTTGGGAGGCCAAGATGAGAGGATTGAGGACAGGAGTTCAAGACTAGCCTGGACAACATAGTGAGACCCCATCAAAAAATAAAAAAAAAATAAAAAAATAAAAAAATAAAAAACAAGTAAAATAAATAAAAAATAAAAATAATTATATAAAAAATATTAGCTGGGCGTGGTGGTGCATGCCCATAGTCCTAGCAGTGCTGGAGGCTGAGGCAGAAGGATTGTTTGATCCCAGGAATTTTGAGGTTACAGTGAGCTATGTTCATGCCAGTGCACACCAGCCTGGGCAACAGAGTGTGGCTCTGTCTCCAAAAAAATTTTTTTACAACAAATTTTAAAGTTTTTGTATTAAAGTTTTTATTTTATATATATCATATATAAACACACACACACATATACATATACATATACATATACATATACATATATATATACTTTTTTTTTTTTTGAGACAGGATCTTGTTCTGTCACCACTCTGGAGTGTGGTGGTGCAAATATGGCTCACTGCAGCCTCCACCTCCTGGATTCAAACGATCCTCCCATGTCAGCCTCCCAGTAGCTGGGACCAGGCTAGTGCCACCATACCTGGCTAATTTGTGTGTGTGTGTGTGTGTGTGTGTGTGTGTGTGTGTGTGTGTATAGAGACAGTGTCTCACTATTTTGCCCAGGCTGGTCTCGAGTGCCTGGGCTCAAGCATTCCTCTTGCCTCAGCCTCCCAAACTGCTGGGATTACAGGCATGAGCCACTAAGCCCAGCTCAGCATGATTTATTACTGTTAAATATTTAGACATTTGTATCCAAGCCTCCATTTATAACCTTGCTCTGGGCCCCACCAATTTTAGAGAAGGTCTACTCTGATTCCCTGAAATGTCTTCATTGTTTTCTTTTGCATGAATGTACACAATTTATATATTGATCTTCTTATTATTAAAATTGAGACTGGCCTCAGTAGCTAATATCTGTAATCCCAGTACTTCAAGAGGCCGAGGTGGGAGAATCTCTTGAAGTCAGGGGTTCGAGACCAGCCCGGGCAACATAGCTCCTACAAAAACATTAAAAAATAAAATTAGTTGGACACAGTGGCACACACCTGTGGTCCCAGTTACTCAGGAGGCTGAGGCGGGAGGATCACTTGAGCCTGGGAGGACAAGGCTGCGGTCAGGTGCAGTTGCGCCACTGCCCTCCAGCCTGGGCAATAGAATGAGACCCTGCCTCTGAAAAAACAAAGTAAAATTGATATTGTTTTAAGTATTTGCTATTAAACCATTATGCTTTGAACATTTTGGTATATGCTTCTTTGTGTACATGTACATGAGTTTCCCTAGAGATCTAGTAGTGGAATTTTGATTTTTTTTTTTTTTTATTGATCATTCTTGGGTGTTTCTCACAGAGGGGGATTTAGCAGGGTCATAGGACAATAGTGGAGGGAAGGTCAGCAGATAAACAAGTGAACAAATGTCTCTGGTTTTCCTAGGCAGAGGACCCTGCGGCCTTCCGCAGTGTTTGTGTCCCTGGGTACTTGAGATTAGGGAGTGGTGATGACTCTTAACGAGTCTGCTGCCTTCAAGCATCTGTTTAACAAAGCACATCTTGCACCGCCCTTAATCCATTTAACCCTGAGTGGACACAGCACATGTTTCAGAGAGCACAGGGTTGGGGGTAAGGTCATAGATCAACAGCATCCCAAGGCAGAAGAATTTTTCTTAGTACAGAACAAAATGAAGTCTCCCATGTCTACTTTCTACACAGACACAGTAACAATCCGATTTCTCTATCATTTCCCCACCTTTCCCCCTTTTCTATTCCACAAAACCGCCATCGTCATCATGGCCCGTTCTCAATGAGCTGTTGGGTACACCTCCCAGACGGGGTGGTGGCCGGGCTGAGGCGCTCCTCACATCCCAGACGGGGCGGCAGGGCAGAGGCGCTCCCCGCATCTCAGACGATGGGCGGCCTGGCAGAGACGCTCCTCACTTCCTAGACGGGATGGCGGCCGGGAAGAGGCGCTCCTCACTTCCCAGACTGGGCAGCCGAGCAGAGGGGCTGCTCACATCCCAGACGATGGGCGGCCAGGCAGAGACGCTCCTCACTTCCCAGACGGGGTGGCGGCAGGGCAGAGGCTGCGATCTCGGCACTTTGGGAGGCCAAGGCAGGCGGCTGGGAGGTGGAGGTTGTAGCTAGCCGAGATCACACCACTGCACTCCAGCCTGGGCAAGATTGAGCACTGAGTGAGCAAGACCCCGTCTGCCATCCCGGCACCTCGGGAGGCCGAGGCTGGCGGATCACTCGCGGTTAGGAGCTGGAGACCAGCCCGGCCAACACAGCGAAACCCCGTCTCCACCAAAAAAATACGAAAACCAGTCAGGCGTGGCGGCACGCGCCTGCAATCGCAGGCACTCGGCAGGCTGAGGCAGGAGAATCAGGCAGGGAGGTTGCAGTGAGCCGAGATGGCAGCAGTACAGTCCAGCCTCGGCTCCGCATCAGAGGGAGACGGTGGAAAGAGAGGGAGAGGGAGACCGTGGAAAGAGAGGGAGAGGGAGACCGTGGAAAGAGAGGGAGAGGGAGACCGTGGAAAGAGAGGGAGAGGGAGACCGTGGAAAGAGAGGGAGAGTGGAATTTTGATTCTTAAAGTTTTATGTGATAATGCCAAATTGTTTTCCGAAGTGTGTTTGCCAAGTTATACTCCCACCAGAAGAATAAGAGCCTTCCCTTGCCTCACATAGTGGCCAAGTGGTATCGTCAGCTTTTAAAAATTTGTGCCAATACAAGGAATGTGAAATTGTATCACTGTGGTTTTTTTTGTTTGTTTTTGTTTTTGTTTTTGTTTTTTTTTGAGACAGAGCCTCGGTCTGTCGCCCAGGCTGGAGTGCAGTGGTGCAATCTCGGTTCAGTGCAGTCTCCGCCTCCTGGGTTCACGCCATTCTGCCTCAGCCTCCTGAGTAGCTGGGACTAGAGGTGCATGCCACCACCCCTGGCTAATTTTTTTTTTTTGTATTTTGGGTAGAGACAGGGTTTCACCATGTTCGCTAGGGTGGTCTCGATCTCCTGACCTCGTGATCTGCCCACCTTGGCCTCCCAAAGTGCTGGGATTACAGGCGTGAGCCACCGCGCCCAGCCCTCATTGTGGTTTTAATTCTTTATATATTCTGGATCTCTAGCCCTTTTAAGTCTTATTACTCATTTTTTTAAGTTTGTCTTACTTGGCATCTTAGTAGTTGCTTCTTATTCGCATTTTACTTTTTTGGTCATCATAGCACTCTATTTTTGTTTGTAACAGTTTTTGTTTGTTTGTTTTTTACCATTTTAAAAATGGCTAAAACTATTTTTATTTATTTTTTGAGATAAAGTATTTATTTTTTGTTTGTTTTTTACCATTTTAAAAATGGCTAAAACTATTTATTTTATTTATTTACTTTTTTGAGGTTTATTTATTTATTTATTTATTTATTTTTTGTTCTGTCACCCAGGCTAGAGTGCAGTGGTGTGATCTCAGCTCACTGCAACCTCCGCCTCCTGGGTTCAAGCGATTCTCTTGCCTCAGCCTCCCAAGTAGCTGGGATTACAGGCACGCGCCACCATGCCTGGCTAATTTTTGTATTTTTAGTAGAGACAGGGTTTTGCCACATTGGCCAGGCTGCTCTTGAACTCCTGACCTCAGGTGATCTGCCCTCCTGGGCCTCCCGAAGTAAAACTATTTTAAAGTGTACAGTTCAGTGGCAATAAGTATATTCATGATGTTGTGCAACTGTTACCACTATTGGAATTCCAGAACATTTTCATCACCCCAAAGAGAAACCCCACAACCATCAGGAACCAGTCCTCATTCTCCCCTTTCCTCAGCCCCTGGCGATCTCTAACCTACTTTTTGTTTGTTTTCCAATTCTGGACATTTCCTGTAAATGGGATCTAATAATATGTGGCCTTTTGTGTCTGCTTCTTTCACTAAGGAAAAATGATTTGCATTTTACTCTTGCATGTTCTGTGTTGTTTGTGTGGGCGTATTCATCTAGGAGAAATCTTCCTGAAGTTCCTTCTGTAACTAATTCTGCACTGTCCATGGAGTCATGTTATTGTCAGACTGGTGGCCTTAGAGACATGCTGTTTTCTGCAACATCGTGACACAAAAGGGTGCACCCTGTAAGAATCATTTGGGAATTTTTGTTCTCTTTTCACAAACACTACATCTCAAATTTTTAATTTGATCAAATTTGACTCTCGGTGTCTGCAATTTTCTTTAGAAATTAAGCTAACAAACATTATGACATTGTAATATTGTGAACCATGATAAAATCTTAAATAGTGACAAATGAAGCATGTGATAACACAATATTTTCTACTTTTTACATAATGCAGAGATGGCAAAATTACACATTTAAAATAAGTAGATATATTTTTCCATCCATTAAATGGTTCTAATTTGCTTACTGCTTCTGCCTGTATTTACTTCCAAACCAGGTATCTGCGAGCTTTTCCTGCGGCTACTTTGGAACAGAAGAAGCCATAGTAACATAGAGGTGAAAAAGGGGTAAAAGGTTTCAGGAGCACCTAGGATTTCAGGCCCAGTGAGAAATCACTTCAACCAAATTGCAGCAGGGGAGCTGGTCTCAGGTTGGGAGGAGAGAGGGGAGACTTATTTCATGATCTTTTCTCTATTTCCCATACAGGGAAGAGATAGTATTTTATTATTTTTTATGTATTATTTTGTATTTACTTATTTATTTATTAAAATAGAGACGGGGGTCTCAATATTTTGCTTAGGCTGATCTAAAACTCCCGAGCTCAAGCCACCCTCCTGCCCCAGCCTCCTGAATAGGTGGGATTACAGATGTGTACCACCACTCCTGGCACTGGGAAGATATTTTAATATGTTTTAGACCAATTTAGAAAATGAAGCTAAAAGAGGTCATCTAAGGGAAATCGTTTCCTAACATTTTGATCCCGCATGCCTATCAGCAGAGAATGTTTTGAGCATGTACTCCTAATGTGTGTACATTTATTTAAACATTCTATGATGGAAAATTCTTAATTTGTATACTATTTACTGTTCTACTTTTTAAAACTTTTTAAAATCAATTTTATTGAGGTATGATTTACATACAATAAAATGTACCCATTTAAAGTGTATGGAGGCCGGGCGCCATGGCTCATGCTGTAATCCTAGCACTTTGGGAGGCCAAGGCAGGCGGCTCACTTGAGGTCAGGAATTTCACCAGAGATGGTGGAACCCCATCTCTACTAAAAAAACAAAAAAAAATTTAGCTGGGCATGGTGGCGTGCACTTGTAATCCCAGCTACTCAGGAGGCTGAGGCAGGAGAATCTCTTGAACCCAGGATGTGGAGGTTGCAGTAAGTCGAGATTGCACCATTGCCCTCCAACCTGGGCGACAGCGTGAGACTCCATCTTAAAAAAAAAGGTAAATAATGTGTATGGTTTAAAGAGTTTTGATAAATGGATGCCCCTGTGTAACCATCACAACACTCTAGATACAGAACATTTTCATCAGCCCTAAAGGTTCTCTTGTGCCCCTTCTCAGTTAACCAGGGAGTCCCCCCACTCCTCCAGCCCTTTCAGCCCAGGCAATACTTTTCTGGGCTGAAAAGATTTTTTTACATTAAGAAATATAAGGAGTTCCGGCCGGGCTTGGTGGCTTATGCCTGTAATCCCAGCACTTTAGGAGGCCGAGGCGAGCGGATCACGAGGTCAGGAGATCCAGACCATCCTGGCTAACACGGTGAAACCCCGTCTCTACTAAAAATACAAAAAATTAGCCGAGCGTGGTGGCGGGCACCTGTAATCCCAGCTACTCGGGAGGCTGAGGCAGGAGAATGGCGTGAACCCAGGAGGTGGAGCTTGCAATAAGCCGAGATCGCGCCACTGCACTCCAGCCTGGGCGACAGAGCGAGACTCCATCTCAAAGAAAAAAAAAAAAAAAAAAAATATATATATATATATATATATATATATGGAGTTCCAATATTTGTTTCCATCCATGATGGATTGTTTTGAGTAGCTTCTGGGATGCAGTTACCTAGCTTTGGAGCAGTGCTTCTCAAACTTTGACATGCATTTTCATCACATGGGAGAGTCTACTAAAATGCAGGTTCCCAAGTCACCTATTGGAAATTCTGTTCCGAAGAGGAGGGTTGGGGCCTGAGAATCTGCATTTTTATTCATTTATTTTTAAAATTTTCTTTTTTTTATTTTTTATTTTTATTATTATTATTTTTTTAGACAGAGCCTCCCTCTCTCACCCAGGCCGGAGTGCAGTGGCACGATCTCTGCTCACTGCAACCTCTGCCTCCTGGGTTCAAGCAATCCTCCCACCAAGCAATCCTCCCACCTCAGCTCTGAAGTAGCTGGGATTACAGGCCTCTGCCACCATGCCCGGCTAACTTCTTGTATTTTCAATAGAGACATGTTGCCCCGGCTGGTCTTGAATTCCTAAGCTCAAGCTATCCACCCTCCTCAGCCTCCCAAGCTGCTGGGATTACAGATGTAAGCCACTGCGCCCCCAGGATCTGCATTTTTAAATACCACCCTAAAGAATCCATTTGCAGGGGTCAAACCACACTTTCAGAAACATATAATTCCTTGGGGGTACACTTCCTGGAAGACTGCAAATGCAGAGTTTTATGTGGCTTTCGAGTTTGAGGGAGTGAGTAAAAGAAATGAATTTTTTAGTTCTGAATAAATGAAAGATTTTTCTTTAAGTGATCTTTCTCAGAGATTAGGGGTTCTATGACTTTTATGTGACAGACCAAAAGACATAGGAAACTTTTGGCATCCTAGGTACCAAGTCAATAAATATTTATTGAGCACAAACTTTGTGTCACAAATGATAGACAATTCTAGAGGCTTCTACCCCTTCCTTTGTCACTCACAGGATCCTGAAATACTGTCAACCAGTTAATTAATCTCTCTCTGGTTAATATTTGTTAACTTTCAGAGGGACTTATGCTGGGAAGTATTGTGGCGGGTGGTGGGGAGAAGCCAGCCTGTGAGAGGAGAGGGGGCTTGTGTGAACTACTTTCTCTGATCATCAAGATTTTGGTGGTCGGGTACGGTGGCTCACGCCTGTAATCCCAGCACTTTGGGAGGCTGAGACGGGTGGATCACCTGAGGTCAGGAGTTCAAGACCAGCCTGATCAACATGGAGAAACCCCGTCTCTACTAAAAATACAAAATTAGCCGGGAGTGGTGGTGCATGCCTATAATTCCAGCTACTCGGGAGGCTGAGGCAGGAGAATCACTTGAACCCGGGAGGCGGAGGTTGCGGTGAGCTGAGATTGCGCCATTGCACTCCAGCCTGAGCAACAAGACTGGAACTCCGTCTCAAAAAACAAACAAACAAAAAAAAACATTGTAGCAGTAACGCCACCACCTGCGGCCATCTACTCTCCTTTTTCTCAGTCCTGATGTGGACCTAGGGCAATGTTTCTCAAACTTTGCTGCATGTTGGGATCACTTAGGAAATCTTTAAAAAATACTGATGCCCGTCTCCTACCTTCTGATTTAATTAGGGTTTGAATTGGACTTTGGGATTTTGTTTTTTTAAGTCCCTAGATGGTTTTTAATGGGCAACAAGCTTGTGAACCATGAACTTAGGGGACTAGAGAAGTCAAGACTGGAGAGACTGTCCATAATAACAGAAAGATGATATTTTGGTGGCACCGGTGCTGTTTGTCCCACTCTTGGTACAACTGTAGGGTATGTGCGGATTCTTGGCCTCCGGCCTCCCCTATCCTCAGCGGGCCCAGCCTCCTCTGCTCTCCAGTCTTGCAAGGCCCTCGGTGCTTTCCTCTTCCTCCTCGGTGCAGGCTGTGGCTTGCCGTGGCTGCAGCCTTAGGTTCACCATTTTCTGCAGTGAGCTGGGGCTCTCTTTGTGCCTGCTGTGTTCTGGGTAATACAGTTGTGGTTAAAGGAAGCTCATTTTTTTCGGCTCCACCCTCTGTGTCTCCCCACATCCTTCGTTACCCTGCTCATGTGATCTCGTCTGGTCTATTCTGTTTCTCCTCCATCTCACTAGGGGCTCTAGAGGCAGTAAACCATCCCTACCCTCTAATAACACGGCAATTTAATCTTGAATATCAGAAGTACAAATATGGGGAGTAGGAGCCTCGTGGCTTTAAAATAATATCGCGTTAGGGTTGGTTTTGACTGATGACATTTTATTCTTTAGCTCAATGTTCTCTAGATTTTATCTTTCACACATCCTGGTTCCTTTTTTACCTGGCTTATATCATGGTGAGTGATTTCCTGTTTTCTATACAAATCAACGATCTTTTTGTTTTTGCCAACCCTATTAGGTGTTAGGGAGCAGAGGGGATGAAGGAGAGAAGGGAAGGAGTACTTCGATATAATTACTGTCCAAAAAAAAAAAAAAAAGACTCGGGTTACTGTCTCTTTTTGGTCTGACTGTTGAGTTCAGAGCTAGTCCTGTGTTTACCGATTTGTGAAGTGCAAGAGCTCCGAGGTGAACATCCAGTTCAGGAATCTAACTCAGAATCAAATCTGACAAGCGCATCCAGTGATTCTCAGCTCAGACTGCACGTGGGAATCACCCGGGCTCCCACCGCAGTAAGATGAAGCCAGTCTCCAGGGTGTGGCCCAGGGTTAGGTTATTTTCAACACTGCCCAGTTGATCATTATGTGTAGCCAGGAATGAGAATCACTGTGCAGGCTAGTTGTTTAGACTGCACCCGTGGTGAGAGAGAGCGCTTATTGCCTGGGCTAAAATAACATTTTGTTCTGTGGCTGGAAGAGAAAAGTGAAAAGGTCGTTTGTTTTTAGGCTTTTGGCCTGAGCTCCTTAAAGAGAGACAATTCTGCTCCTTTCAAGGATGTCTTTGCTGTTTTTTTTTTTTTTTTTAAGTTATCACCTCCTACTGCAACTCGCCCTCTTTGTTTGAGGTTTATCTGCTCCAAGTGTGGGTAGCATTCTGCAAACGCTTGTTTTGTCCTGGGAAATTCATAATAATTAGTAGGAGAGCTCTTTTTGTACTGGCGAGAGGGGAGTTCCCACAGCTTCTAACCAACCTTCTGTAGGACCTGTTGTCCTTTTTGGGGAGGTGGCCCTGAGCTGCCTATACTCCAAGTATGTTCGTAAAACCAGATTGTTAGACATGCAAATTCTTGGCCTCCAACCCTAGATTTACTGATTCAGACACTCCAGGGTGGGGGCCCAGGAATCTAATGGACCTCCTGTCTAGGTGATGCTGATGCATCCTAAAAGATTGAGAATCACCCTGGGATGTCTGGGATGGGGCCTGAGAATTTGCATTTCTGAAAACCTCCCAAGTGATGCTGATGATGTTGGCCTAGGGACCAAATTTTCAGCATCGCTAGCTTAGCAAACCCCAAGAGGCCACGGGAGACTTTCATACTATTTCCTGGCTGAAGCCCACTAGCCAATATTAGGCACCTGGAGCTGGGACAGAGTGATCAGAAGAAAGTCGGAAGGAAGGTTCTGCCACCTGAAACCTACACATGACCCCCTTCAAGCTCTGATCGTGGCCCATGCTGCTGAGCTTGTCTGTACAATACTAATTTTCACTCGCGTCCGTGTGAAGAGACCACCAAACAGGCTTTGTGTGAGCAACAAGGCTGTTTATTTCACCTGGATGCAGGCGGGCTGAGTCCGGAAAGAGAGTCAGCGAAGGGAGATGAGGGTGGGGCCGTTTTATAGGATTTGGGTAGGTAGTGGAAAATTATAGTCAAAGGGGGTTGTTCTCTGGCGGGCAGGGGCCGGGGACACAAGGTGCTCAGTGGGGGAGCTTTTGAGCCAGGATGAGCCAGGAGAAGGAATTTCACAAGGTAATGTCATCAGTTAAGGCAGAAACAGGCCATTTTCACTTCTTTTGTGATTCTTCAGTTACTTCAGGCCATCTGGATGTATACGTGCAGGTCACAGGGGATATGATGGCTTAGCTTGGGCTCAGAGGCCTGACACTAATCACAACAAATAATGCCTATCACATAATGTGTTCCTACCACACCCTTTATGTGATTTATGTCCACGATCTCTGCTTGCACCCTGCTTAAATAGTTGGGGGAACAGTGGCTTAAATAATTCAGGATGCCGATTTAAATTTTTTTGGTTTGAAAAAGTTTCAGATCTGTTTTTGTTCATTTTTCCGGCTTGGGTTTTTGCTTGTGTTTTGGGATGCGTGTTCATTCCTGGATCTTCCTCTTATCTGTCACCTTTGATTTCTCATTTTATCAGTCATCAGTTTCCCAAAGTAGGATTATCGTGACTACTAAATTAAATAACATAGGTAAAGTTCCTGTCACTTAGTAAATGCATAATAAATGTTAATTTCTGTAATTAACCCAAGTAGAAGGTAAGTGTAAACTGCCCCACCTTCGTGGCTGATCAATATCCTGAAATTAGGGCAAAGATAAAGCCCCTAAGAAGCCGCTGGGGAGAAGTCTAGGGAATGTGGGAAAACGAAGCAGAATTTGCCAGGGAAGGGGCTGCAGGTCAGACCAAGACGAGACAGAGATGTTGCAGGTTGAGACTGGGTTCAGGGTGAGAATCACAGAATCTAGAGGAATAAGAAGTTTGCCTGAGGATGGAGATGAAAAATGAGAAGGAAAACCAGGCCCCCAGGTGGGCAGCACCACGGACCCCAGCCAGTGCAGCATGGGCTAGCTTTGACTTTTCTTTCAGACATGAGCACCTTTGGAAAAGCCTGGACACCTGAGGTTCCAGGCAGAGGGCTCCCCATTAGGCTATCTGGCTTCCTTTAGTTATTTAGAGGAAGTGCTGACTTCAGGGACCCTGGAAGTGCCACACTCCTCAGCTAGGACAGGACAGGAACAATTCTGCATCTCTCTGTGACCTGCAGAGGTGCCGTAGGCTTGGCTCTAAGTTCAGGACGTCTGGGCTGGAGCTAAAGTGGAAGCAAAGATTCTTAATTCCTTCTGACTAACAAGTTGCTATGTAATGCCCAACCTTGTTTTTACTAACCCTGTCTTTAGACTCTCCCTTTCCTTTAATCACCTAGCCTTGTTTCCACCTGAATTGGCTCTCCCTTAGCTAAGAGAGCCAGACAGACTCCATCTTGGCTCTTTCACTGGCAGCCCCTTCTTCAAGGACTTAACTTGTGCAAGCTGACTCCCAGCACATCCAAGAATGCAATTAACTGATAAGATATGGTGGCGAGCTATATCCGCAGTTCCCAGGAATTCGTCCGATTGATAACGCCCAAAGTCCCGCATCTATCACCTTGTAATAGTCTTAAAGCCCCTGCACCTGGAACTGTTTACTTTCTTGTAACCATTTATCCTTTTAACTTTTTTGCCTGCTTTACTTCAGTAAAATTGTTTTAACTAGACCCCCCCTCCCCTTTCTAAACCAAAGTATAAAAGAAAATCTAGCCCCTTCTTCGGGGGCGGGGAGAACTTTGAGCGTTAGCCGTCTCTTGGCCGCCGGCTAAATAAACGGACTCCTAATTCGTCTCGAAGTGTGGCGTTTTCTCTAACTCGCTCAAGTACAACAGCTAAATATATCAGAGCCAGAGGGCAGAACCTGTCTTGTGGTGGGAAGTTTCAGTGAGGTCATTTTCAGCTCAATATCAAGAAGAATATTAGGGTGGCACGGTGTCTCAAGTGTGTATCCCAGCACCTAGGCCTAGGTGGGAGGATCGCTTGAGCCCAGGAGTTCGAGGCTGTAGTGAGCCGTGATTGTGCCACTGCACTCCAGCCTGGACAACAGAGTGAGACCCTGTCTCAAAAAGAAAAGAAAACATTAATGGTAATGGCTAATGGCCGTCAGAACAATGAGGTAAGATCCTTGTGAGATAAAGAGGCTCACAGTCATCTGGTCAATCCACCATAGAGAGGACTTCTGCTTTGAGGTGGAGGCTGGAGGGCATTACCTTTCTTTTTTTATTTTTTTGAGACAGAGTCTTGCTCTGTCGCCCAGGCTGGAGTGCAGTGGCGCGATCTCGGCTCACTGCAAGCTCCGCCTTCCGGGTTCACGCCATTCTCCTGCCTCAGCCTCCCGAGTAACTGGGACCACAGCTATTTTTAGTAGACACGTGGTTTCACAGTGTTAGCCAGGACGTCTCGATCTCCTGACCTCGTGATCCGCCCGCCTCGGCCTCCCGAAGTGCTGGGATTACAGGCATGAGCCACCGCGCCTGGCCTGCTGGAGGGGATTACTTTTCAAAGGCCCTTCTTGCTGTAGGAGTCTTTCCTCCGGGATTGATAAAGTGGAGTCTTAGCCCAGCTGCTGAGGGTTCTGGGTGGGGGCTGGCGGGGACTGGTTATCTGAAACCACAGTGCAGGACCAAAAAGCTGAGGTCGACCTTATCAAGGAGTGCCAGGAAGCCAGGGTCACAGGGTGGAGAAAGCAAGGAAAGGGCCCGCCTGGGAGAATGGCTAGGATAGAGGCTGTCGCTAGAGCCTGAGTGACTGGCCTTGACTTCTCCAGGAGGCAAGGTACACGGATGGCTGGCCGGGTTTCAAGGTCTCGGCTCCTGGTTGACAGAGTCCTTGGTTCTCTATTTTTTCATATGAGGTTACACTGTAAGATCTGAAGGCAATCTAGAGAGTTGCAGACATGATTTACACACAAATAATAGCATTGAATAAGTGACTTTTAAAAATTAATTCTTAGAGAATAACTTTTACCTAGATGTTTACATTTTCAAAAATTCATCAATTTCAATAAGATCATTTTGCATTTCTATTTACCAGTGACAAACAAAAAATAATAGTGCAACCGATAATATTCAATATTTTGGAAATGAAGGAGAACTATTAAAAGAAAAATTTAAATTCACGATAGGAAAAAACAGAATAAATGGAGAGATATTTTCTGTTCCAGAATCAGAAGATTTAATGAAATTAACATGATATACTTAATATCCAGTCTAATTTATGGAGTTAATAGAAATTAAATTCCCAATATACTGTTTTATGGAAATTGACATATTTTATTCCCTAATAAAATGTTTATAATGAAAATAATAGGCTGGGTGTGGTGGTTCACATCTGTAATCCCAGTGCTTTGGGAGGCCAAGGAGGGAGGATCAAAGAAAAGAATAGTTAAGCACACTAAGGAGTTTTTTGAAAAGGTGTAAGCCAATGATATGAAAAATTACTGTTAATATTTAAAGTATATTTAAAATGTTAACAAAGGGCCAGGTGTGGTAGCTCATACCTGTAATCCCAGCACTTTAGGAGGCTGAGGCGGATGGATCACCTGAGGTCAGGAGTTCAAGACCAGCCTGGCTAACATGGTGAAACCCCGTCTCTACTAAAAATACAAAAAATTAGCCGGGTGTGGTGGTGCGTGCCTGTGTTTCCAGCTACTCGGGAGGCTGAGGCAGGAGGATTGCTCGAACGCAGGAGGTGGAGGTTGCAGTGAGCCGAGGTTGCACCACTGCACTCCAGCCTGGGTGACAAGAGCAAAACTCTGCCTCAGAAAAAAAAAGTAAAAAAAATAAATAAATATAGTGTATTCTTTAAGCAGAACCAACCTGTGTCTGTTGTCAGAGAATATGGGCACGGGTCTTTGCAGACTGAAAGTTTTATGGCTGATTTCTGTTTCTTTGCATCTGTGTAGTAGAAATACTGACCATTGTCGTGTTTTCTTCCAGGAATTTATGCAAATATTCTCATGAGGTTCTCTCAGAAGAGAACTTCAAAGTCCTGAAAAATCACGAACTCTCTGGACTGAACAAAGAGGAATTAGCAGTGCTCCTCCTCCAAAGTGATCCTTTTTTTATGCCCGAGGTAAGTTGTGATTCCTCAGTTTAAGGAGGGAGAATATTACTGGCAGTATTGTGTCACAGATATTTTGGAGTAGGAGCAGAGAAAATTCAAAATTAATGCCAGGGTTCTGCAGGTGGTAGTCGAGGCTGTTATTGAGTGAACTAAGAGATCCCAGAAATTTCTCTCCTATTTGAGGTTTTATAAGAATTTGAGTCTGGAATACCTCTTCCACTGGGCTGCAAGGGAACCCTGTGTGAGTAAGTATGAGCTGAAGATCTGATAGTAGTCAGACTACTTGATGCTTTAAATCAAGGTGGCTTCTTGGAGGAGATGGACTTTGGAATGAGGTTGGGAAGTTGGCGGGGAAGATGAGGGTATGGGCTAAGCTGTTGTAACAGAGACCCCCTCAAAATACAGTGATTCAAATAAAATGTAATTTTGTTTCTCTATCTCTTGATAATCTAGGTCAGGGGTCAGCAATCTATAACCCAGAGGCCAAATCTGGCCTGCCACCCTTTTTTTTTTTTTTTTTTTTTTTTTTTTGAGATGGAGTCTCGCTGTGTTGCGCAGGCTGGAGTGCAGTGGCACGATCTTAGCTCACTGCAACCTCTGCCTCCCAGGTTTAAGCAATTCTCCTGCCTCAGCCTCCCAAGTAGCAGGGATTACAGGTGCCTGCCACCATGCCCGGCTAATTTTTATATTTTAGTAGAGACAGGGTTTCACCATGTTGGCCAGCCTGGCCTCGAACTCCCGACCTCAAGTGATCTGCCCACCTTGGCCTCCCAAAGTTCTGGGATTACAGGTGTGAGCCACCATACCCGGCCTGTTTTTATAAACAAAGTTTTGTTGGAACACAACCACACCTATTCGTTTATGGCTGCTTTCACCCTGCAAGGGTGAGTTGAGTAGTTGCAGCAGAAACAGAATGGCCTACAAAGCCTAAAATATTTACTATCTGATCCTTTATGGAAAAGATTTGCCAACTCTTGGTCTTTCCTGCATATGGACAGGGGGGTAGCCTGAGTTGTTGGGCAGCTAGACTCAATGATGTCATCAAGGGGCTCAGGTCAGTAGGTCAGCTCTGTTATCTTCAAAATGTGGCTTCCGTCTCTGTGTACAATGAGTCTGTACTCACTGTCACCATTTTCTAGCCAGTGGAAATGTAGAGAGGAAGTAAATGGAAGGCAAGCAGTTTCCTTTTTTAAAAGATGTGACATGGACATTGTATATGGCACATCTGCTCAATCACATTGACCAGAGATTATTACATGTCACACTTAGCTGAAAGGGAGTCTGGGAAATGTAGTTTCTGTCTGGGTAACCATGTGTCTACCTAAAACTTGGGAGCTTCTATTACTAGAAGAAAGACGGGGACAATGGTGGATAATTAACAGTTTCATCCACTCAGGAATATAGACTTAAGGATCAGAGAATACTGTTTAAGCCTGGTATCTGGCTGGATAAAATCCATGAATAGAGAAGTTAGCCTCACAGTTAAAGAGAGGCATAGAAACATAATGGGTGAGTGGAAGGGATGGAGAAAATGTAAGTAAAGTTGAAATTCAGTTGCACTTTTTTTTTCTTTTTTCTTTTTTTTTTTTTTTTTTTTTTTTGAGACAGGATCTTGCTCTGTCACCCGGGCTGTAGTGCAATGACATGATCAGGGCTCACTGCAGCCTTGACCTCCTGGGCTGAAGTTATCCTCCTGCCTAAGCCCCCCAAGTATCTGGGACTACAGGCATGCACCACCATAGCTGGCTAACTTTTTTTTAAATTTTAGTAGGGACAGGGTCTCACTATGTTGACCAGGCTGGTCTCGAACTCCTGAGCTCAAGTGATCCTCCTGCCTCAGCCTCTCAAAGTACTGGGATTACAGGTGCGAGCCACTGCACCCAGCTCAGATGCACTTTTATACACAATGAGATAGCTGTTGGGGACTTCTGGAGGCTTAAATACTTTTTGACTCTGAACTCAGTGTGTTTCCCTAAGAACTTAAAAATCTTATAACATGAGAAGTGATTTTGAGTTGGCCACTGAGCTCAGGAGAGATATGAATGCAAGACACATTATAAAGACTTGTTGGGGGTTGGGGGAGGAAAATATGTCCCATTTGCTCTCCAGCCCCGTGCATTCTTCTATCTAGATACTTGGGTTTGTTTCTCTCTCTCTCTCTGTCTCCCTCTCTCTCTCTCTCTCTGTCTCTGTCTCCCTCTCTCTCTCTCTCTCTCTGTCTCTGTCCCTCTGTCTCTCTCTCTCTCTCCCTCTTTCTCTGTCTCTCTCTGTCTCATTTCCAGGAGTCCAAGGTTTAAAGGTCTTGTCTTGGGATATCTATGGCCCTTGGCCTAGGTACTAACCCAGTCCTCCATGACTACCAGCACGGGAAAAATGCCTTACACATCATTCCCGTTAAAGCTCCTGCTGATGATCAGAGACATATCATCCTTTTTCTTTCATTGAGGGAATGACAAGATGCAGTCTTGTCATGGCACTTGAGAGAAGGTGTTTTGTGGTCTATCCTTAGTCTAGTGTTAACCCGGAGGCTTAGAAAGGCCATTCATCATGTCTGATCGCTGCTTCAGTTCTTCAAAAGTAACAGGTACTTTTAACATCGGGCCACACATCTACGTTGAGTTCCTGGAGAATAAGGACAGTCTTCCTGTATTAGTCCATTTTCATGCAGTATGAAGACATACCTGAGACTGGGTAATTTATAAAGAAAAGAGGTTTAATTGGCTTACAGTTCTGCATGGCTGGGAGGCCTCATGAAGCTTACAATCGTGGTGGACGGCAAAACAGGAACATCTTACATGGTGGCAAGCAAGAGAAGTGAGTGCTAAGCAAAGGGGGAAGCCCTTTATAAAACCATCACATCTTGTGAGAACTCACTATCATGAGAACAGTAGAATGGGAGTAACTGCCCCCATGATTCAATTGCCTCCTACCAGGTCCCTCCCATGACACGTGGGGATTATGGGAACTACAATTCAAGATGAGATTTGGGTGGGGACACAGCCAAACCATATCACTTCCCTTTTCTAGGGAGGAGGTCGGCAGATATGAACCTAAGACAAGGCACTGTTGTGTAAGGGATCCCAGAAGAGCCCATTGACTACAGTGCTGTGAGGGTCCCTATAGGAAAATGTTGTCATCATACTTTTATCAAACAGTGCAAACAAGAGGTCAGCATCACCCAAGGCTCCCTTTCCATTGTTAGAATTCAGTACCCACAATTAGAGGGTGGGGTGGGGTGGGGAGGTTCTTGCCTGAAGCTTATTTTTAGCTAATAATTTAATTGCTGTTTTCCACTCGTCAGAGTTAAGATCCCAGAATGGGGGACTGCATTATTTCCTGAACTAGAGGTCTGAGGAGCTGGTTTCTGGAGTTAGCATGAGTTAGTACTGTTGGTATAAGTTTTTGTTCAAGAATGCTGGGCAAGAGAAGGCTCTAAAGGAGTGTTTTAACTTAGGGGAGTAGGATGGAATTTTTTCATAGGGCTTTGGCAGGAGGAGTCAGCCAGAGTTCAGCTAATTTCAAGAAGAGTTGGTCCAGGATGGCTCTCTAAAGATGGAGGAATTATCCCTGCAGATTTGCAGCTGTTGTTTGGGCAATTTGGATTTTTTTTTTTTTCTTTTTTGAGATGGAGTCTCACTCTGTCTCCCAGGCTGGAGTGCAGTGGTGCAATTTCAGGTCCTGCAACCTCCGTCTCGGGTTCAAGCAATTCTCCTGCCTCAGTTTCCCGTGTAGCTGGGATTACAGCCATACACCACCACACCCGGATAATTTTTTGTATTTTTCGTAGAGATGGGGTTTCACCATGTTGGCCAGGCTGGTCTCAAACTCCTGACCTCAGGTGATCCTCCCGCCTCAGCCTCCCAAAGTGCTGGGATTACAGGTGTGAGCCACCATGCCCAGCCTGAACCACTGTGCCTGGCTGATTTGGATTTTATCAGAAGGAAAGAGGAGGAAGAGAGGGGCGAAGTTAAGTGTAAGAGGCAGTGCAGAGAAACAGCTTTGTGGTTTAGGGGGTGTGAGATGGGGACCACAGTGAAATGTTTCCAGTCACTTCATTGATTGCTTTGCATTCATTCAACTAACATTTAAAAGCACCTGCAAGTGTTAGTCACAATGTTAAAATACTGGAGGTAACCAGTGGGAAGCCACACACTCAGCCCTAAAAAACTACGTATTCACACTTTTTCATTTTGCTTTGACTTGTGAGAACATAAAAAGATCAGGCAAACCTGACTGCCTGATATATAAACTTGTACAATTGAAATGTGCTTCTTAAAGGAAGAAATGCTTTCATTTGTTCTGGTCTAATGAAGGCAGGAGCATTCTTGCTTAATATCGGCGTGGGAATAGGAATGTTACCAAAACATCATTTGTGAAGTTGCTAATGGTGCTTTTTTGCTACAGCTCAAACTTTAGCGGACATCAGAATCATCCAGAAGGTTTGTTAAAACACAGACTGTTGGGCCCCACCTCTGATGGTTCAGACTCTATAGATATGGGCAAGTGCCTGAAGATTTGCATTTCTAACAAATTTACAGGTAGTGCTGATGGTGCTGGTCCGGGGACCACACTTTGAGAATTGCTGGTCTAGAGTCTAGAATCTGGATCATAGACTTGATAGCAGTTACATATATCTATTTGAATCAGGTTTTAGCGATTATCCATGTGGCAAAATCATTGCTAGTGGGGTTTGAATCATGGCTTGCCATCTAGACAGATCACAGTGAACCATACTGATCTGGTTTGCTCAGAGTCTATCGAAGTGACTCATTAAAATGTCTGAAATTCAGGTTTCTTACTAATTATATTGGTTTCCTCATTTCATGGTTCAAACACGTGCATCACACTTTATATTTTGCATAACGCATTTACAAATTTTGCTATTTAGTCTGCTTAACAACTTGGTTTTTGTAGACAGAACAAATCTTTTCCTCCTGTTACAGCAAAGGAAACGGAGGCTAAGAGTAGGTAAGGGATCCCTTGAGGTCACACAGCTGCTTCCAGGGCCTCAGATTTTAAAACCAGCATCCTCCAGTTCTGTATCATATGGCGTGGCCTCAGCTGCAGTATTTTCTCTGCCCTCTTTCCAGTAGGGACTACATCTCTTCAGAGCTAGTCACGTACATGTATCTATTTAGATGGAAATACAAAACTTATCTTCTTTAGGCAATCTTTTGAGAAATGTCATTCTGCCTAGCAGAGTCTAAATTTTGGATTTCCAAACAGTTGCAGGTAAGACCCACATGTCCTTTTCATTGCAAAGTGAGTTGATAACCAAAGATGAGCCTTCCTGTGCTGGGTTCCTTCATGATATAGGGCTCACTTTGGGTCCTGTTTGTAGCTAACCAGCTTACATTGATTCTTCCAAGGGTTATCAAATTGATCAGTATCTTTTGGTTAGTCTGTGGACCTCTTCTGCCCCAAGTAAATCACCAACTGAATGTGACTCATCAAAGACTGCAGAATATGCATGTATTTTTCCCCCTTTGGTATATCTCTGCTTGCTTCAGAGATTTTTGCACACGTGAGCTTGCCTTAATGAATGTTTGGCAAATACAAGAAGGTGTTTTGACTCTGGCTGTTGTTTCTCCCTTCTGTAGATATGCAAAAGTTATAAGGGAGAGGGTCGGCAGCAGATTTGTAACCAGCAGCCACCGTGTTCAAGACTCCACATCTGTGACCACTTCACCCGAGGGAACTGTCGTTTTCCCAACTGCCTCCGGTCCCATAACCTGATGGACAGAAAGGTGCTGGCCATCATGAGGGAGCACGGGCTGAACCCCGACGTGGTCCAGAACATCCAGGACATCTGCAACAGCAAGCACATGCAGAAGAATCCCCCAGGGCCCAGAGGTAAAGGCCTTTTCTTTTTCAATTGTGTGAACTCTTTTTTTTTTTTTTTTTTTGAGACAGAGTCTCTCTCTGTCACCCAAGCTGGAGTACAGTGGCGTGATCTCAGCTCACTGCAACCTCTGCCTCCCAGGTTCAAGTGATTCTCCTGCCTCAGCCTCCCGAGTAGCTGGGATTACAGGTGTGCACCACCACACCCAGCTAATTTTTGTATAAATTAGAGACGGGGTTTCGCCATGTTGGCCAGGCTGGCCTTGAACTCCTTACCTAAGGTAATCTCCCTGCCTCAGCCTTTCAAAGTGCTGGGATTACAAGCATGAGCCACTGCACCCGGCCAATTGTGTGAACTTTCAAATCAGCAGAAATCACAAGGAAAGAAAAACTGCCATAATCACTCTACCTTGCCGTGTAAAACTCTTCATTTTCCCTTCCAAACTTCATGCATATGTATACACCATTTTTACATAATTATAATGGTAGTATACATGCAGTGTTTGCAATTCAATTTTTATGCTTAGCACTATTGCCCCCCCCCCCAGGTTTAAAAAAGTGTATATCATTTTTCTAAAAACTAATTAACAAAGCTTTTTTTTAAGGAAAAGAAACAAACATAAAATTGTTTAGATTTATCAGCTGTTAACATTTTGTCCCAATTGCTTTAGCACTTTCTTTCTCTCTATGTATACATGCAGCTACTCACACACACGTAGAACATTTTGGTGTTTAAAGCATTTGATATATGTAAATATCATGACATTTCACACCTGAATATATCAGCATGTATCTCCTCAGAACAAGGCCATTCTCTTACATAATCACAAGACAATTAATACAGAAAATTTATTATTGATGCAAAACTATGTATAATTTAATTTATGGTCCTCAGTGCCATTTCTTTAAAAAAAAACCAATATTTTAAAATTTCTAAAAAAAGCCACAATAACTCCCATTCCCTTCTTTCCCCAGCCCCTGGCAACTAACATTCTGCTTTCTGTTTGTATGAATTTGACAACCCTAGGTACTTCATATAAGTGGAATCGTACAATATTTATCCTTTTCTGACTGGCTTATTTCACTTAGCATGATGTCCTCAGGGTTCATCCATGTTATAGCATATGTCAGAATGAATATTTCATTGTATGTATATAATTATAAATTTTTTATCCATTCATCTGTCGATGGATATTTGGGCCATTTCCAGTTTGGCTATTGTGAATAATGCTGCTGTAAACATGGTGTACAGATACCACTTTGAGACCCTGTTTTCAGTTCCTCGGGGGTATATAATCAGAAGTAGAATTGCTGGATCATATGGTAATTCTATGTTTAATTTTTGGAGGAACGATCATACCATTTTTTGTAGCAGCTGTGCCATTTTTCATTTCTGCCAGCAGTGCACATGGGTTCAAATTTCTCACATCCTCTATCATTTTGTGTTTTCTGATTTTTTTTTTTAATAATAGCCATCCTAAGGAGTATGAAGTGCTATTACTTTTTTTTTTCTTTCCTGTTTTGAGACAGAGTCTCACTCTGTCACCCAGGCTGGAGTTCAGTGGTGCGACCTCGGCTCACTGCAATGGCCGGCCGCCTCCTGGGTTCAAGTGATTCTTCTGCTTCAGTCTCCCAAGTAGCTGGGATTACAGGTGCCTGCCACCACTCCCAGCTAATTTTTGTATTTTTAGTAGAGACGGGTTTTCATCATGTTGGCCAGGCTGGTCTTGAACTCCTGACCTCAAGTGATCCACCCACCTTAGCCTCCCAAAGTGCTGGGATTACAGGCGTAAGCCACCATGCCCAGCCAAGTGCTGCTATTTCTGAAGCATTTTCATATTATATAATGGCATTCATTTTTAATGTCTTTATGAAGTGGATGTAGGAAAGATGAATTTTATGAAGCAGATAGAATACATGATTCTAGGATTCTGTGCAAATTAATGAACAATTAAACCTCCTTATATTTGGGAAATGGTTTATCATTTACAAGGGACTTTCATCCCAAATAAATATTTCATCATTGTTCCTCACAGTGAAACCACAAAGAAAGGTAGATATGTCATTTTTTAGCCTTACTTAAGAGGGTAAAGAAACTGAGGCTCAGAAATAGTAAGCAATGTTTATTGCAAGCAGCCTCAGCTCATTTTTAGAAGAATGAAGGATAATGTAATGAAGAAATAAAAGGTAACATTTTCAAGGCCTCACATCACTAGAAAGTAGCAGAGTGCATGTTCTGATCCCATATCTAATGCTTTTTCTCTCTCACTACAGTTCCCTCTGAACAGAGGAATGTCTGGAGGGATGGGTTTTGGTGGTAGCTTCTCAATGTAAACTTATTGTGAATGAGAAAGATCTGTATATATTTTCACTTCCAGTTAATCTCCTGAGTTAAGCCTTTTCTTGACAGGAGGAGGGTGTTTGCTTTTACTACATAACTACTGCCCCCTGGGTTTGGAAGAGAAAAAAAATGTCTCTTCTACCCCTTCCCCACACAAAAAAGCACAATTCACACACACACACGAGCACACATGCACACCTCACATTCACACACCACACGTGCACATGTGCCTCAAACACAGACATGCACATCTTCCACATGTACCCCCGGCACACAAACACACCCCACATAAACATCACGTGCATGCACGCCACACACACTCCACACGCGCTCACAAACACACCCTAACTCCTTCCTTCCTCCCTGCTTCCAGAAGGGTGTGACCTATCAAGTTTCTAGAGGAAGGCCAATTCCCTGCAGGCCACACTGCTTTGTCGATGTTGACTTCTGATATACTTTGGCCTTATGGAGTGAGATGAAGAAAACTGGAAAAATTTCCAGCTTAAACAAAGTCAGGCCTTTAGACTGTGGTTTCATTTTCTGTTGGTTTCTTTGAGCATTGTGAATCTGTCAATAGCCAGGTACACCCGTATCACGATATGGGCAAAATCGAATGCTTTCTGGAAAATCTTCTCTGATTTGCCCTAATCTATCTCTCCATTGACCCCAGTGATGAACGTTGACTCAGGACCAGGAGATAGTGGACAGCCCCACCTAAAAGTTTTGGGGTTTGGGGGCTACTTTGAGTCCCAGAAGAGAGCCGGGGACTGTCATCCTAGAGCTGATCCTCACTGTCATCCTAGGCCATGGAATGACGTGCTCTGCCGTGCAGGCAGAATGTCAAGATTCTTTCATCAGCTGACACAGTTGGTGAGCACCTGTAGTCTCAGCTACTCAGGAGGCTCAGGTGGGAGGATCGCTGGAGCCCAGGAGTTCGAGCTTGCAGTGAGCTGTGGTCGGGCCACTGCATTCCAGCCTGGGCAACAGAGCAACACTCCATCTCTTAAAACAAAAACAAAAACAAAAAAAACCGTCAGTGTCAAACCACCCATCTTCAAGATTTTTACACATCAGATTACGCCAAGTAATTTGATAGCACTTGGATAGCAAAGCTACAAAAGTGAAGAGGAGGAAGGGTGGTAGGAACTCAGTCACATTAACTCCAATGTTCATTATTTTGTTTCATTTTGGCTTTTTTTCCCCTTAGCTCCTTCTTCACATCGTAGAAACATGGCATATAGGGCTAGAAGCAAGAGTAGAGATCGGTTCTTTCAGGGCAGCCAAGAATTTCTTGCGTCTGCTTCAGCGTCTGCTGAGAGGTCCTGCACACCTAGTCCAGATCAGATCAGCCACAGGGCTTCCCTGGAGGACGCGCCTGTGGACGATCTCACCCGCAAGTTCACGTATCTGGGGAGTCAGGATCGCGCTCGGCCTCCCTCAGGCTCGTCCAAGGCTACTGATCTTGGAGGAACAAGTCAGGCCGGGACAAGCCAGAGGTTTTTAGAGAACGGCAGTCAAGAGGACCTCTTGCATGGAAATCCAGGCAGCACTTACCTTGCTTCCAATTCAACATCAGCCCCCAACTGGAAGAGCCTCACATCCTGGACGAATGACCAAGGCGCCAGGAGAAAGACTGTGTTTTCTCCCACGCTACCTGCCGCCCGCTCTTCTCTTGGCTCTCTGCAAACACCTGAAGCTGTGACCACCAGAAAGGGCACAGGCTTGCTTTCCTCAGACTACAGGATCATCAATGGCAAAAGTGGAACTCAGGACATCCAGCCTGGCCCTCTTTTTAATAATAATGCTGATGGAGTGGCCACAGATATAACTTCTACCAGATCCTTAAATTACAAAAGCACTAGCAGCGGTCACAGAGAAATATCATCACCTAGGATTCAGGATGCTGGACCTGCTTCCCGAGATGTCCAGGCCACTGGCAGAATCGCAGATGATGCTGACCCAAGAGTAGCACTTGTTAACGGTAAATACAAAGGGAAGACACTTTGGGCTAGTACATTTGTTCATGATATACCAAATGGCTCTAGTCAAGTAGTGGATAAAACTACTGATGTAGAAAAAACTGGTGCCACTGGTTTTGGCTTAACAATGGCAGTCAAGGCAGAAAAAGATATGTTACGTACTGGAAGTCAGAGTCTGAGGAACCTGGTCCCCACCACACCTGGGGAATCCACTGCCCCTGCACAAGTCAGCACTCTGCCTCAGTCACCTGCTGCCCTTTCCTCAAGCAACAGAGCTGCAGTCTGGGGGGCCCAAGGGCAGAACTGCACCCAGGTTCCTGTTTCCTCTGCCAGCGAGCTCACAAGGAAGACAACAGGCTCTGCTCAGTGTAAGTCACTGAAGGACAAAGGGGCCTCTGTGTCTTGAGTCTGCAGCAGAGTGGCTATGGCTGGTGGTTTTTCCTTGGATGTTCCCCAGTTCTTAAAGGGTAGAGAGTTAGAGGGTTTTGGTTATGGGGTGGTCTGGTGAGGAGATTGACTAGTGAAGACAGGGAAGGGCCAACCAGTAGAACCACAGGGAATAAACTGCCACATTTATTGACAATAGGAATATTTCAACTATGATTTAAGAAATAAACATAGCTTTCACAGGACTCTGAGGTCCACATTTTTGTTTTATGGAGGGGCTGTCTAGATGCTCATGGGCAAAACATAAATCATAGGAATTTTCTTGAACATGGCCCCCATTTCAGATATTCTTTCCCATTGTGAGACCAAGTGCTTTGATTTTTGGTTTAAACATTAAGATCAGCATACATGCATCCTTTTTTGTTTCATAGATTCTTTATCTGATGTCACAAGTACCACATCTTCTAGGGTGGATGATCATGACTCAGAGGAAATTTGTCTTGACCATCTGTGTAAGGGTTGTCCGCTTAATGGTGAGTAACCTAAGGACTTTTCTGTAAGCTTCCACCTTTTGGCCATTGTAAATAACACTGCTATGAACATGGGTGTGCAAATGCCTTCTGAAAACCCTGCTTTCAATTCTTTTGGATATATACCCAGAAGTGGAGTTGGGGGATCATATAGTACTTCTATGTTTAATTTTTTTTTTTGAGGAACTATTATTCATAGTGGCTATACCATTTTTCTTTCCCACCAGCAATGCACAAGCGTTCAAATTTCTCCACATCCTCACCAACACTTGTTCTTTTTGTGTGTGTTTGTTTGCCTTTTTTGTTTGTTTGTTTTGAGACGGAGTCTCACTCTGTCACCCAGGATGGAGTGCAGTGGTGTAATCTCAGCTCACTGCAACCTCTGCCCCCTGGGTTCAAGTGATTCTCCTGCCTCAGCCTCCCAGGTAGCTGGGGTTACAGGCGTGTGCCACCCCGTCCGGCTAATTTTTGTATTTTTAGTAGAGACGGAGTTTTTGCATGTTGGCCAGGCTGGTCTTGAACTCCTGACCTCAAGTGATCCACCCGCCTCGGCCTTCCAAAGTGCTGGGATTACAGGCATGAGCCACTGTGCCCAGCCACTGTTTGTCTTTGATAGCAGCCATTCTAACAAGTGTGAGGTGTGGACTATAATGAGTGGTTGTGTACTTTTCAGTCAGCCAAGTCTCAAGTAGGGCCACTCTATGGGTGTCCCTGCAGTGTCTAAACCTGTCTTTTTTGTTTGTTTTGAAGTTGTCACACATCTTCATTTTGAATATTTCAAAACAATTTAAACATAATATAAGGCAAATTTTGAAAAACAGAACTATCTTCTGTCTTCCTGTACTGTAGCTTATAACATCAATTCATTCTTCAGCCGGCATTCCTGCAATGGCTGTCTTTTGTATGCCTAGCCCTGTGCCAAATATGTAAGGGGGATGTAAGCTAAACCATAGTGCAGCCTTCTCTTTAGTAAGTTTATAATTAAGGTAGGGCATGAAAACATCCATAAAATGCCAGGCATGGTGGCTTACGCCTGTAATCCCAGAACTTTGGGAGGCTGAGGCAGGTGGATCACTTGAGGCCAGGAGTTCAAGACCAGTCTGGCCATCATGGTGACAACCCATCTCTACTAAAAATACAAAAATTAGCTGGGCGTGGTGGCACATGCCTGTAATCCCAGCTACTAGGGAGACTGAGGCAGGAGAATTTCTTGAACCCGGGAGGTGGAGGTTGCAGTGAGCCAAGACTGCGCCATTGCACTCCAGCCTGGGCGACAGAGTGAGTGAGATTCTGCCTCAAAACAAAAACAAAAACAAACAAAAAATTTGCAAATGGGAAAACTGCGTGAAGTAAGTAAAAACATATAAAAAATTAACCCCCAACTGACTATTGGGTACTGGCTAAAGGAATGCAAAAAATACAAGTCAGATGGGGATGGAGTGAGATTCGTTAAGAGAATCTTTCTGGAAGAGATGAACTGTAGGCCAGGGCTTCAAGGAAATAAAGGCTGTTGCCTCTGCTGGAGAGCATTTTGGCTTCATACACTTGGGGGGGTGCAGAAAGGGTAACTAAATTTCTGGTTACCTCGAATTTCTATCTGGGTGGAGTGACTTTGGGGGCAGTGGGGAATTTTTGTTTCCTTTTCTTTTTCTTTTTTTTTTTTGAGACAGAATTTCACTCTGTCACCCAGGCTGGAGTGCAGTGGGGTGATCTCGGCTCACCGCAACCTCCACCTCCCAGATTCAAGTGATTCTCCTGCCTCAGTCTCCCGAGAAGCTGGGATTACAGGCACCCACTACCATGCCTGGCTAATTTTTGTATTTTTAGTAGAGACAGGATTTCACCATGTTGGCTAGGCTGGTTGTGAACTCCTGGCCTCAAATGATCCGCCTGTTTCGGCCTCCCAGAGTGGTGGGATTACAGATGTGAGCCACCACACTCTGCCTGAATTTTTGTTTTCTGATGAGTCTCCAAGGTAATGAAGGAACCTGGATAATGGACACACAGCAGTGTCAGCTGGTATAGATGGAACCTGTCTGGCAGGGGGCAGGGCAGGCATGGATGGGGAAAGCTGGCAGTGAACTTGACTGAATTGGTTAGAATCCCTGCTCAACAGTCCCTCAGACCCCTTCTTTGTCTTTGTAGGTAGCTGCAGCAAAGTCCACTTCCATCTGCCTTACCGGTGGCAGATGCTTATTGGTAAAACCTGGACGGACTTTGAGCACATGGAGACGATCGAGAAAGGCTACTGTAACCCCGGAATCCACCTGTAAGTTGGTGGCTGTACTCTGGCTTTCAAGAGTCCAACATTATCAAAGGGAAGCATTAGTGCTAGGCTCAGGGGAAAAAGAAAAAAACACTTTTCCATCAGAATCCCATTCGAGTGTGAAATACCTCTTGAGATAAAAAATGGCAAATGCCTGCCGAGTTAATGAAGGAAAACCACAGCTGGGTGGGTTTGAGGTCACACTGAGCCTGGCTAATACCAGAGATCCTGGGAATGTTTGCTAACTCAAATGAAACAAACAGTGACATGATTATTTGTTTAGTTGACAGTTGTCTGTGTCCTGCAAAAAAACACAGTTCAGTGTCCGGCTCGTATCCTGATCAGTTCATCACAGAACTATTAAAAGTACTAAATGATTTAGGACAAAAGAGCCTTTGGCTTAACTTCATAATTTAAAAACACGGTTTGAATAATTTCATATAGTTTTACTGTAGAATTTTGTTGTATACTTTAGCATTTAATACCTCCCTTATGTTTGCTATTTTCTCTAGCAAGGCATCTAAGAGGGTACCTTACATTTCTGCTTCTGGCCGAGCGTGGTTGCTCATGCTTGTAATCCTAGCACTTTGGGAGGCTGAGGCAGGAGGATCACTTGAGCTCAGGAGTTCGAGATCAGCCTGGGCAACATGATGAAACCCTGTCTCTACCAACAATACAAAAACTAGCCAGGCATGGTAGCACGCACCTGTGGTCCCAGCTACTCGCTACTCGGGAGGCTGATGTGAGAGGATCACTGGAGCCCAAGAAGTTGAGGCTGCAATGAGCCGTGATTGTGCTACCACACTCCAGCCTGGGTGACAGAGTGAGACCCTGTCTCAAAAATAAATAAGTAAAAACATTTCTCCTTCTGGAAGAGCTGAAATGGGTGATACCCATATGACCGTATTTATCTATGGTGTGCAGGGATATAAGAAACATCCCAGTTTTATAAGGAAATTCTTAAGGGGGAAAAGTTACATTACTTTTCATCATATGAGAATTTAGTGATTTGAGGGTGGAGATTCTGTGTTGCTGGATTTTTACCACTAGAGGGCGACATGAGCTACTTTCTGGTTGCTAGGTCTATATTTCCGCTCCCAGGCAAGTGGAGAGCCGGGTTTCTCAACCTCAGCACTACTGACGTTTTGGGCCAGATTCTGTTTAGCACTATTCCTAGCCTCAATCCACAGATGACAGGAAGCACCACCCCCCCACCAGCCCCACTGGTTGTCCTAACCCAAAATGTCTTCAGATGTTGTAAAATACCCACTGAGGTCAAAATCGTTCCTGATTGAGAACCACTGATCTAAGAGGTCTTTCTTAGAGCAGCAATTCTCAAACTTTTTGGTCAGAGGACTCCTCAACACTTAAAATGTATTCAGGATCCCAAAGAATTTCTGTTTGTGTGGAATATAGCTATCAATATTTACCATATTAAAAATTAAAACTGAGAACAATTATATATTTGATTCACTTAAAAATAAGAATAAGCTTGCTATATGTTAACATAATGAACATGTTTCATGTAACTATATTTAATACTATATACATATTCATGTATATCCATTTAATATACATACCCAGGTATATAACTGTGTGTATTTATTTACATATTTATATATAATATTTATATGGATAATTATAAAATAACTGTTTTCCAAAACAAAAAATTTATTGAGAGGAGTTTTATATTTTTGCAAATTAATGTCTGGCATAATAGAAGATAACTAGATTCTCATATCCGCTTCTTTATTCAACCTGCTGTGAAATCATATATTGTGTAGCCTCTGGAAAATTTCATCGTGTATTCCTGAGAGAATGAAAGTGAAAAAAGCAAATAATGTTTAATGTTATTATGAAAATCACTTTAACCTTGCCAATTTTCTGCAAGGGTCTCCACATTTTGATAACGATTTAAATAATAATAAATAATTTTAAAAATGGACCAAATGCGAATTTCTAACTTACTTTATAACATTGAGCCAATCAGGAGTTTTGTGGGCACAGTTTTATTTTGGGATATTTTCTGAGGGAAGAATACATTATGTAACACCATTAATTATGTGGTGCAGGCGAGTCACTTTCCTCTCTGCGTTTCCGTTTTTCTTTTATGTGTAGGACCTGGAGCCATGGAAAGAAAACTTGAAGATCTATTTTAGCCCTGAAAGTTTAATTCTGTGCTCTCATTAGGGAAGACGAGATTGTAGAAAACAGGGGTCAATGAAGCATTATGTTAACTTAATACTTTTCTCTCTCAGCTGTTCTGTAGGAAGTTATACAATCAATTTTCGGGTAATGAGTTGTGATTCCTTTCCCATCCGACGCCTCTCCACTCCTTCTTCTGTCACCAAGCCAGCCAATTCTGTCTTCACCACCAAATGGATTTGGTATTGGAAGAATGAATCTGGCACATGGATTCAGTATGGAGAAGAGGTGAGCACTGTTCCTCCTTGTAGGGGGCTCTTGTTTAAACTTGTCAACTTAAAAAGAACACTGTTGGCTGGGCACGGTGGCTCATGCCTGTAAGCCCAGCACTTTGGGAGGCTGAGGCAGGTGGATCACCTGAGATCAGGAGTTCGAGACCAGCCTGGCCAACATGGTGAAACCCCATCTCTATTAAAAATACAAAAATTAGCCAGGCGTGGTGGCAGGCGCCTATAATCCCCGCTACTCTGGAGGCTGAGGCAGGAGAATCTCTTGAACCCGGGAGGTGGAGGTTGTAGTGAGCTGAGATTTCGCCACTGCATTCCAGCCTGGGGGATGGATTGAGACTCTGTCTCCAAAATAAATAAATAAATAAAATAAAAAGAACACTATTAATAAAATGTTTGAAGCCTACATGGTTACCCGTGGAGTGTGGTAGAGGAAGTGGTATTTTTTTACTTTGTACACAGCTATATTCAATTTTTTTTCAGCAAACATGTACTCCAATTGCAGTCATACATTAAAGTATATATTAATTTTTATTTTTATTTATTTATTTATTTTTGAGATGGAGTTTCACTCTTATCACCCATGCTGGAGTGCAATGGCGTTATCTTGGCTCACTGCAACCTCCATCTCCTGGGTTCAAGCGATCTTCCTGCCTCAGCCTCCCGAGTAGCTGGGATTACAGGCATGCACCACCACCACACCCAGCTAATTTTTGTATTTTTAGTAGACATGGGGTTTCAACATGTTGGACAGGCTAGTCGTGAACTCCTGACCTCAGGTTATCCGCCCACCTCGGCCTCCCAAAGTGTTGAGATTACAGACGTGAGCCACTGCGCCCGGCCATATATTAATTATTTTTAAGGAACCGCTTGAGACATGTCAGCTGCACTTCCCTCTTTCCTCACCATGAGAGGGGAGGGTGGAACCTTGAGATAGCTTTCTATGTATAAACACATAAAATGTACAGAGACTACTGCTTTGAGCTGGAAAAGAGGGTGAGAGTGAGAACTTAAAGGACTGTATGGATGATGGCATGGTTAATTAGACCAGGGAATGTGTTAATTCACTCAAGCAGTGAAACCACATCTGGTACAGATAGTCACTACTATTCATTCAGAGTCTGGATTTAGATGGACTTAAAGGACTGGAACTAGAAGATCCTAGGCTGACCCATAGTGGGGGCATAGTAATAGGGAGGGAAGTTTAGGTGAGCAGAGCCTCTGTCCTTCTGTCTCAGTGTCCCTTCCTCCCTTTAACTCATAGGATTAAAGAGAGAGAGAAAACAGACCTTAAGCAGGTAATGGAATCAGGGTGATGAGAAACAGAAAATGAAAGCAAGAGATTAAAATGAAGCCAAAAATAATGCATGGGCTGGGTGCGGTGGCTCACTCCTGTAATCCCAGCACTTTGGGAGGCCGAGGTGGGGTGGATCACCTGAAGTCAGGAGTTCGAGACCAGCCCGGCCAACATGGTGAAACCCTGTCTCTACTAAAAATACAAAAAATTAGCTGGGTGTGGTGGCGCGTGCTTGTAATCCCAGCTACTCAGGAGTCTGAGGCAGGAGAATCGCTTGAACCTGCAGGCAGAGGTTGCAGTGAGCCGAGATTGCACCACTGCACTCCAGTCTGGGTGACAAAAGTGAGATTCCAAAAAAAAAAAGATAATGCAGGGACAAAGGAATGGCAGCGTAAGGTTCTACATATTTAGGTTGGTGTAAAATTACTTTTGGGTTGGTGGTAATTACTTTTAATGGCAAAAACTGATTACTTTTGCACGGAACTAATAATTACGAGTCAGTGGGCTATACATTTGGCTCTGAGCTGCCTAACTGCCAAAGCAAACAAAATACTTGGGAGAGGCACTACTCTGTTATGTTAGTGAGGCCTGAGAAAAACACCTCCTATAGTGGGCCACATGGCGGGAACCCTGTGTGCTGTGGTGAGGTCCTCAACCACAAACAGCCCTACCATGAATTCAGCAGCATATTGGTTTCCAAACTGTCTTAGCAGCAGATACATTTTATCAAACCATCTTTCAAAGACTCTAAACGAGCCAACTAGAGTAGAGCAGGGCTGCCCTGGTGGAATAGGATATGGGCTCAGAGCTGTCTCCTGGACCCCTCCTTGTTGCTCTTCTCTCTCCTGTGGTGGCCCATGTAGCATCTCTGTGGAACAGAGTTCTGCTGAAACTCCCGTGTGTGTGAAAACACCTATGATATTAAACTTTGCACAGATTCTTTGTATGCTCAAGCCAAGGATGATGTCAAATAAGCGATTCTGTCAGGCGCCTGTGGAAATAAAATTATAAACCCAAATTAATTAGCCTTGGTTAAAATAAAAATAAGCTATAGGTCTTGATGGTTTTTATGTCAAATAATTGGAATTTTTAGTAAGATATAAAGGGGAAGGGTTGGCAAACAAACATTTGCATTCTAGTTACATCAAGGTTCCAGGAGGCCGGGCGTGGTGGCTCATGTCAGTAATCCCAGCACTTTGGGAGGCCAAGGCGTGTGGATCACCTGAGGTCAGGAGTTCAAAACCAGCCTGGCCAACATGGTGAAACTGTGTCTCTATTAAAAATACACACAGAAAATTAGCTGGGCTTGGTGGCGTGCACCTGTAATTCCAGCCACTTGGGAGGCTGAGGCAGGAAAATTGCTTGAACCAAGGAGGTAGGGGTTGCAGTGACCCGAGACTGTGCCACTACGCTCCAGCCTGGGTGACAGAGTAAGACTCCAAAAAAAAAAAAAAAAGGTTTCAGAAACCAAAAGGAACTATTTGGGGGAAAGATACTGTATTTAAATTTAAATTTACACAAGTTCAATCATGTTCTCTAATAAAACATCAAGAAACTTCCTGAGCTTTTTTTTTTTTGAGACAGAGTTTTGCTCTTGTTACCCAGGCTAGAGTGCAATGTTGTGATCTCGGCTCACTGCAGCCTCTGCCTCCCAGGTTCAAGCAATTCTCCTGCCTCAGCTTCCCCAGTAGCTGGGATTACAGGCATCCACCACCATGCCTGGCTAATTTTTTGTATTTTTAGTTGAGACGGGGTTTCACCATGTTGGCCAGGCTGGTCTTGAACTCCTGACCTCAGGTGATCTGCCTGCCTCTGCCTCCCAAAGTGCTGGGATTACAGGTGTAAGCCACCGCACCCAACCCAGCCCTTCCTGAGGTTTTTTTTTTTTTTTTTTTTGAGACGGAGTCTCGCTCTGTCGCCCAGGCTGGAGTGCAGTGGCGCGATCTCGGCTTACTGCAAGCCCCGCCTCCCGTGTTCACGCCATTCTCCTGCCTCAGCCTCCCAAATAGCTGGGACTACAGGCGCCCGCCACCGCGCCCAGCTAATTTTTTATATTTTTAGTAGAGACGGGGTTTCACCATGTTAGCCAGGATGGTCTCGATCTCCTGACCTCGTGATCTGCCCGCCTCAGCCTCCCAAAGTGCTGGGATTACAGATGTGAGCCACTGCGCCCGGCCTCCTGAGGTTTTTAATACAAAGTTCTCGCTGGGACATTTAGTCTGTGTTAGCTGTAGAGTTTTTATTTTATTTATTTTTATTTTTATATTCTGGATTCCCATGAAAACTGTGGAGTTTTTAGAATGTAACATTCAATCTGCAAACACATGAATGTTGTATTCATTAAATGTGACACAGGTTTGTTGGATGTTCACTGAAGATGTGAATGAACTCTTACTGTCTCATACTAATAAGACCCATCATTATATAAATTGAATTGGCTCTAGTTATTAAAAAAAAAAATAAGGAAAAATCAGGCCCTGGGTTTAATGTTTTCCTTGCTGGGAGTCCAAGTAAAATTAAAATAATGTTTCCAGGAGATTTGAACCCCACATATCAAGAACAGCCTGGTTTCTTTCATGGATCAATGCATTGTGGTCCAAGTTTGCAGCTCTTTGGTGACCTGCCTTGAGCCAGCGTACAGGCTAGAATATTTAGAGAAAGGAGTGGACTGTGAAGCCTTCTGCCAGTGCCCCACAGCTTTTATTTCTTGTAACTGAATTTTGAATAAGTCAGGCAACTAAGAGTTGTGGGTTGGAACCTCCCTAAGAGGAACGTGAGGAGTAGAAACTTCTGCCAACAGAGTAGGCACATATGCTTTGATTATGAGCTCTCAGGGAGGTAAAATAGATATCCTTTTATGGAAATTGATGTACTTAACCAGGACTCATACCTACATAGATGGTGGGCAGGGAGAGGGTGTGGTATTAGGAGAAGTGATGATTGAATCGATGGGCAGTTGGGCAGCAATGGTGTAGGGTAGAGTGATAGCAGGGCTGACAGGAGGGTAGAGCCTGGGAGTCGTTGAATGTGCACCAGTTAGGGAGTGCAGATTCAGGTCCTCGAAGATGTTTACCAGCAAAGTAGCTAAGCTTAGCAGCTGTGGAAGCTGGTGTTGAGAAACAGCGGGAGGCTATGGCCTGAGAGACCCTCTCAGAACAAGGACAAGCCACAGCTCTAGAAAGCCAAGGTTGAGGCAATCATTGACACACAGGATAAAAGCTAAGACCTGTTTACTGCAACTGAAACATAAATTCAAGTCTTGTGGGGAATAAATAATTGACGGCTGTGTGATTCATTCATTTACTCAGACCTGGAGTAACAGTACTGTTCTCTAGGACACATTATGGCTATTAAACTAATGGTAGCTAAAAGGTCTAATGAGACATCTTGCAAGGCTGTCACTACCTGTCACTTAAGAGTATGGGGCAACTGTAGCTTAGGATTGCCAAAGAACTGGGGCCAGCTCAGCACAGATATGACTGACTTTCAGATACCACAAAAAGGACTTATCCTTACAAGAGTAGCTTAGAATACCTTTACAATAGAAACACCTGGTAATTGACCCAGACAACACACAGGAACAAGAGAGGGACTTTGAGAGTTGCTTCTGGACCATCAGTCAGTTGTGTGACCTCTTGACCATAACATACGCATGACATGGGCATGCTCCCGCTGTCCTGTTAGTCTTACAACAGCGAGGGTTGAATGAACCAGCCTACACATCACATCAAGCAGTGCCTGAGACTCGTCTCTGATGTGGACTGAACCAAGGGGAAATGTTACCTTTGAGGACTTCACCACCTACCGGGGTTCATGAACATGACAAGTGCAGTGTGAGGGCGAGGCTAGAGAAGGTCGGTGTGGAGCCATGCTAGGCTGTGCAGGTACTCAGACACTGACTTAGTGGCCCTGTGCTGTCCAGTATGACAACCACTTGCCACATGCGGCAATTTCATTTTAAACTTTAATTAAACACATAAAAAATTAAGAAATCAGTTCCATGGTCACTGTAGTCACATTTTCAGTGCTGTATAGCCACACATAGCTTGGCTACTGAAGGAGTTAAAAATATGCCACTCTGGCATATTGACTATTTTGAGTTAAACGCACTTGAAAAACAGCAGGTGCAAGACGATCACTCTGACCTTCTGTTACTTAAAAGCAGGAGATGAAATTCTCATGTGGAAGATGTTCTTCCTAGGCTGGGCACAGTGGCTCATGCCTGTAATCCCAGCACTTTGGGAGGCTGAGGCGGGCAGATCACTTGAGGTCAGAAATTGGAGACCAGCCTGGACAACATGGTGAAACCCCGTCTCTACTAAAAATACAAGAATCAGCCGGGTGTGGTGGCTCATGCCTGTAATCCCAGCTATTCGGGAGGCTGAGGCAGGAGAATCGCTTGAACCCAGGAGGTGGGGGTTGCAGTGAGCTGATATCACACCATTGCACTCCAGCCTGGGTGACAGAGAGAGACTCACTGAGTCTCAAAATAATAATAATAATAATAATAATAATAATAATAATAATAATAATAAAGAAAGAAAGAGGTCCTCCCTATACCAGAATGAAAGTAGCATTCTTATCAAAGCCAGGAAACCTGTGCAAACAAACCCTATTAGACAAATCTTCATCCTTCTGGACACTTCTCCACCCAATTAACTTCCCTAGCTGAAGCCCCTTTGCCTCATCCCATTTTCATAATTTATGACTCGTCTAATTCAATACAAGTGTTTATCTCTAACTGCAGCTTTAGGTCTTCACTTTCTCGTGAAGGCTCCTGTGCCACGTAAAACTTGTATTAAATGAACGTGTATGCTTTTCTCCTGTTGGTCTTTTTGTATATAAATTTATAGAGTACGAATGTAATTTTGTTACATTTGTTACATGCATAGATTACCTAGTAGTAAAGTCAGGGTTTTTAGGGTGTCCGTCACCTGAATAATGTACATTGTACCCATTAAGTAATTTTTCATCATCTACTCCCCTCCCAACCTGCCCTATCCTTCTGAGTCTCCATTGTCTGTCATTCCTGTTGTGGTCTTATGTCAATTTAATGCTCAGGTCCAGCCAAAATACTGTAAAAGGGTAGAGGTGAAATTTTGCTTCCCTGGCCAGGTGCAGTAGCTCATGCCTGCAATCCCAGCACTTTGGGAGGCCAAGGCAGGCGGATCACCTGAGGTCAGGAGTTCGAAACCAGCCTGATCAATACAGTGAAACCCTGTCTCTACTAAAAATACAAAAATTAGCTGGGGTGTGGTGACATGCACCTGTAATCCCAGCTACTCAGGAGGCTGAGGCGGGAGAATTCGCTTGAACCCAGGAGGCGGAGGTTGCAGTGAGCCCAGATTGTGCCACTGCATTCCAGCCTGGGCAACAGAGGGAAAGGGACACCCTGAAAAAAAAAGAAAGAAAGAAAGAAAGAAAGAAATTTTGCCTCCCCTACATATCATATAGGACAGCGCAGAGAACATTTTCATCACCACAGAATGTTCTAGTGAACAGCACTGGTCTAGACCCTAGAGGCTTGCTAGTCAAAGTGAGGTCCACAGACCAGCAGCATCAGCCTCAGCATCACCCGGGAGCTGGCTGAAGTATGGAATCTAAATCATCCCCAACTTTCCCAGAATCATATCTGCACTTTAATATGATCTCTGGGGCACTCACATGTATGTCAATGTTTGAAAGTCTCCGGCCTTTTAAGCCAGGAACAGAGTGGGTTTTACAGAGCTGAGCAGGCAGTGGATGCATACAGGACTTCAACTGTAGGGATGGGAAATTGGGAAGCGATTCAGCTAGTGGTCAAACCAGGGGATACCAAGGTGCTAGAGCTGTTCTACCCGCCCCACATCATGCCAGAGGTGTTTTGCCCACTTTGGCCCGAGGAAGGCATAGGGTTTACCGGGCACCATTGAATCACGGCAGCAAGCTCTTTTACAATCACTCTGATAGATACTATCCACAAAGCTGTGGCAACAAGCATCTTCATGATATGACTTAATTGTTGGCTGCAGTAAGTTAGAACGTTCTGCTAAAGTCAGCGTCCTTGTCCCTTCCACCCTTTGTACTGGTCCTACCTCCTGAAACACATTCAAGTTTATTCCCACTTTGCCCTGGGTACAAATATTTGAACACTGCTTTCTGCTCCCACCATGCTGCACTCCAGGATAAAGAGACCCAGCTCGGGCCTTTCTCTGTGCAGGACGTTTTCCTTGGACACGTACATTCTGTTGCCCTCCGCTTACAACCAGCAGGCATTTCCACTAGGGAAGAGGAAGGGGCGTCGGTCCAGCTGAAAGTCTGGAATGTCATTAGCAAAAGGAACCGTGAGCCCCTCTCCACCACGGCTGCTTGGAAAAATTTGTTGCCATTAACTCCTTTGTTCTAGATCACAGGAAACAAGAGTCTCCTCACCATTAAATACTGGGAACCCCTGCTGCTAGGGGCGTACTTCTAGTGTGCCCTGATCGCCCACCCTGGCCACGGAATGAGGAATGAGGGCAGTGGATCGGTAGCCTAGCCTGCCCCTTGCTAAAATCAACTCATTTCCCTTTTACCTACACATTCTGATGTTTGCATGCTTTCTATATGCTTTGAGACTAGAGATTATAGCTTTACATTTGGGGGTTATGCCTTATCCCTTCTTTCCTTTTCTTTCTTTTTTTGACAGAGTCTTGCTCTGTCGCCAGGCTCTGCAGTGGCACGATCTTGGCTCACTGCAACCTCCGCCCCCCGAGTTTAAGCGATTCTCCTGTCTCAGCCTCCCGAGTAGCTGGGACTACAGGTGCATGCCACCACGTCCAGCTAATTTTTGAATTTTTAGTAGAGACAGGGTTTCACCATGTTGGCCAGGATGGTCTCGATCTCTTGACCTCGTGATCCACCTGCCTCAGCCTCCCAAAGTGCTAGGATTACAGGTGTGAGCCACTGCACCCGGCCACCTCATCCCTTTCATTATAGCTCCAGTTAGTGGCAAATCCAAGTGCATTTTCAGTTAGTTGGCTAGCAGGAGGCTCGGCCAATTTTGTTTACTTACTCTGGTTCAGGGCAGAGGAGAGGGTTAGGTTATTTATATTTGAACACTGCAACTATTGGAGTTTGGACGAGGACCAGATGGTCTTTCTTTACTTCCCTTCACGACTACTGTAAACCGTGCGTGGCTAGAATAGCCCACGATGTTCTATTTCATGTAAGAGTCAGTGTCAGATTCTGTTAGATGACAGATGCCGGCGTGGCATCAGAAAAGAGGGGATGCAAGTTGCTCTGTATATTTGGCTCATATTTTATGGAAGGCTGTAAAAGAGTATTGCAAACAGCTACACTTCTCAGGCCTCCCCCAAGTGTGTAGTGAGTTTCTGCAGGATAGACTTCTCTCTCTAGGGTACCATGATAGAGAAGACCACAGAAGTCTGTGACATAGCCCTGAGCTGGAAGCTTTTACAATCTGGTTTGGGAAGCAAAATGCACTCCTGTTCACATCTCATTGCTAAAACGAAATCATATAACAGTAGAGATTTCCTAAAAGCCTACCCTGACTTTACCTTTTATTTTTTTTCCAATTAGAAAGACAAACGGAAAAATTCAAACGTCGACTCTTCATACCTGGAGTCTCTCTATCAATCCTGTCCGAGGGGAGTTGTGCCATTTCAGGCGGGCTCACGGAACTATGAGCTGAGTTTCCAAGGTGGGTTTCTGTGTTTGGCAGTGTTGTGTGTCATTGAAATCCGCCTGCAGTGTACACGTGGGAGTGGGAGCAGAGTGGGTATGCATTGCTATGGCCAGGGTCAAGGTCAAGATTTAGCAAGGCGGTGGAGTGCAAGCTAGTGGCCATCAGAAGACCTGTGTTCTAGAGCTCTGGCTGTGACGAACACTTGCTCTGCCACCCTAGGAGGGGCACCTGGCCTATCTAGGCCCACTTCTCTCAACTGCAAAATCAGGGGCTCAAACTAAGTAGTCTTGGGGGTACTTCCAGCTCTGCCATGCTGTTTCTGATTCTGGGTGGGCAGCTGCCCAGGGAGAGGCAATATTTCAGGTGCTGGTGACTACGGTAGAGGCCTTGGGCTTTTGGGCACCTTCAGAGTTTTAGAAACTTGCTGTTTCTTTTAGGGTTTATCATCTAGGTCAGTAGTTCCATCATCACATTGATTAAAGTACTTTGCCTTCCACCGTGTTTATTGGAGCTACTATAGAAAGGTCTTCTGGTGAGCTGCCGCCAATCTACCTGCTGTGTTTAGTTAGATATCAGGGCAGGAACTGCCCTCCTTCTGAAGGTACCATCCCATTGGGCACCCCCTGCACATGATCAAGTGCTTGCCCTTTCGGGACTTGCAGGTGCTTTGGAAGAGGTAAAGGAGCCTTTCTGAGGTCCCTGAATTCGCAGATGGTACCTGCAGTTGGATCCTGTACCGCTTAGTGGGCCTTAGATGACGTAGCTTTTACAAGGACCATTATACCAAGTATTTGGAAAAACAGTCTGGCAGTACATGTCAAGTGACATTAAAATATGCTAATATGTTTGTCTTTTCATTCCCTTAGGAACCTTTCTTAGGAAATAATTCACTAGAAGAAGGGGGGAGAAAAGCTATAGGCATAAAGTAAGGTGCTTGTTAAGCAGCATGGTGTGACCGAAGAATACTAGACCAAAACCAGTACCTATAGTACTAAAAGTAGGACCAGTCTGTACCAGTGCAGTGGTGACTAAATAAATTAGGGTATTAAATTTCAGTGGCGTATCTGGCACTTGTTAAAGATTTTGATTATGAAAACTAGATAGGAAGAGCAAAATTTGGTGTTGTTAAATGAAAAAGGCAGAACACTTTTTTTTTTTTTTTTTTTTTTTGAGACAGGGTCCCACGCCATCACTCAGGCTAGAGTGCGGTGATGCCATCACGGCTCACTGCAGCCTCAACCTCCCTGGCTCAAGCGATCCTGTCACCTCAGCCTCCCAACTAACTGGGAGTATAGGTTCATGCCACCATGCCCAGCTAATTTAAAAATTTTTTTGTACAGATGGGGATCTCACTTTGTTGCCCAGGCTGATTTTAAACTCCTGAGCTCAAGCGATCCTCCCACCTCAACCTCCCAAAATGCTTCGATTACAGGCATGAGCCATAGTGCTCAGCCAGAACCCCAAATTTATGTTTCTGAAATTTTGTTTATATTTAAAATAGGAAAGTTAAAAAAAACACAAAAATCAATGTGCATGATAATTGCAGCAATGCATGCATGTGGGCCGACTGGAAGATAATAAAGAAAAATTAAAATCTCTTCTATTGGGTGGTAGAATTAAAAATGACTTAAATTAAAAAAATTCTTAGGTGGTATTGTATTGTTTTTATGGTTTAAAAGGGTGGTGGAGAGATGAGAGCCAATAGACTTTGTTCCTGAATCTAGAGCAATTTGTCCAGCTACTTCTGTTTGTTTGGTTCATAGAAACCAGTTCAGAGCAATTTATGGGTTCCTAGTGTTCCAGATGGCTTTTTCTTTTCTTTTCTTTTTCTTTCTTTCTTTCTTTTTTTTTTTTTTTTTTTTTTTTGAGACAGAGTCTCGCTTTGTCACCAGGCTGGAGTGCAAAGGCGCAATCTCGGCTCACTGCAACCTCTGCCTCCCAGGTTCAAGCAATTATCTTGCCTCAGCCTCCCAAGTAGCTGGGACTACAGGTGTGTGCTACCACACCTGGTTAATTTTTTGTATTTTTAGTAGAGATGGGGTTTCACTGTGTTAGCCAGGATGGTCTCAAACTCCTGACCTCGTGATCCACCTGCCTCAGCCTCCCAAAGTGTTGGGATTACAGGCGTGAGCCACTGCACCCGTCCGCCTTTTTCTATTCCTGAACTAGACTGCAAGTGTATTCTGTCATGCATTAAGCTAGTATCTGAGTGCCAGCTGTGTACTGGCTCCTGTTGTGGGTGCTGGGATACAGTGATGAAGTTGCTCTTCGAGCCTGTATTCAAAAGGGTGGTGAGAGACAATGGTCAAGTAAACAAGTCAGGCCATTTCAGAAAGTGGTAACAGTTACTGAGAAAATGAAACGGTGGAGAAAATGAAACAGTGCAAGGAAGCAGCCAGAAAATGGAGGAGTCAGTGGGACAGCACTTACTTTTATAGACCAGCCTCTGCCTGTGGGAAGGAGGGCGCTCCAGGAGGAGGAAGAACTAAGGCTAAGGCTGGAAGGTACAGACCAGCTTGAAGTTTCACAGAACAGGTAGATGGTCTGTAAGAGATGAGAGCAGTGATAGAAACTTGGATATTTTATTAGGCGGAGGTCCCGGGAAGATTTTGAGCAGTGTTGTGGCATGATCTGATTTGCTTTGTGTGTGTGTGTGTGTGTGTGTGGTTTATGTTTGTTTCATATTTTAAGAGTGCAGTTGGATGAGTATTGACAAATGCGTGTAACCACCACCCTAAGCAGGATATAGAACATTTCCATCAATCCCGAAAGTTTCCTTATGTCTCTTTGCAATCAGTTTCCCCAGCAACACCACATACACCTCACTTTATCCCCATCACAGGCTATTGCTGATTTGCTTTCTGTCCCTGTTTTACCTGTTCTAGAATTTGATATTAATAAACGCTTGCAGTAGGCACATTGCATGTGGCTGACTTCTTTCACTCTGGAATAATGTTTTTTAGACTCAACCGCGTTGTTGCATGTATAGTAGTTGTTCCTCTTTTATCACTGAGGAATAAGTAATAAGTTATTGTAAGGCTATTCCATAGTTTATTTGTTTACCAGCTGATGGACACTTAGGTTATTTCTCCTTTTTGGTTATCATAATAACGCTGCTGTGAGCATTCACGTGCACATCTTTGTGTGGATACAGGTTTTCATTTCTCTTGGGTAAATACCCAGAAATGGGATTGCTAAATCACATAGGAGTGCATATTTAACTGTATAAGAAACCACCAAACTGTTTTCCAACGTGGTGGTTTCATTTTACACTCTCACTAGCAATGTATTATGACTTACTTTCTGAAGGGTTCACTCTGGTTACAGTTTGGACTGAGGTTTACGGCATGAATTGAAAATGATATTTCACACTTGATGTAGAAAAGAACCCTTCAAGACAGCTACCAGATTCCAACCCGTAATCACTGATGTCTGGTGTAGGGAAGCTTGAAAGGATGGTGTCTTGTTATTTGGCTGCCCCAGCTCTCCTCTTTTACCATCCAACTTGGATTTAAAGATGAGATTAATTCCTGAATATTCATTCACTCCTTTGCTTTGAGCCTTCTACTAATGGCAGTGAAGGATACAAGTCTTTTACTGTGAGCAATTCTCATCCCAAAGGATTTTCTCTATTCGTATACATACAGGTCAGTCTTGAATATTTGCCGTGTAAATAGCCTCTGCAAAATAACAAGAAGTCATTTTCTAGGGCTGATCTTGATTCTCACTGCTTTTATTTTTTTTTCTGTCCAAAGGGATGATTCAGACAAACATAGCTTCCAAAACTCAAAAGGATGTCATCAGAAGACCAACATTTGTGCCTCAGTGGTATGTGCAGCAGATGAAGAGAGGGCCAGAGTAAGTGTTCTGAAGCAGCTGTTTGCTGACAGATGCTTGAGATGTTCATGCCCTGGGCTCATCAAGTCACTCGTGAATCTGGAGCCTGTTTTCCTGAAAAGTTCCTGTTTGCATTACTCTGCAGTTTCCATTTGCATTATCGATGAGTAAGATGCTTGTTAAGCAGCATGGTGTGACTGAAAGGATACTAGATCGGAAAATGAATTTTCTTTCTGAAAGGGAAGTCTGAGCGAGTCTCCTAAATACTCTGGGCTTTAGCTTCTCCAGCTGTGAAGAGCTGGATTGATGCAGTACACCTAAGGAATAATCATATATACTGGGTTTTTGTTTTGCTGTGGATTCTTTTTTTTTTTTTTTTTTTTAGAGGGGGTCTCACTTTGTTGCCCAGGCTGGTCTTGAACTCCTGAGCTCAAGTGATCCTCCTACCTCAGTCTCCCAAAGTGCTGGGATTACAGGCATGAGCCACCGTGCCTGGCTTTGCTGTGGATTCTTTTGGGTGTCTTTTGTTTTCCTACACGATTTATAGAGGATGAGGGGCGGAGAAAGAGATAGAAAAAAGGGATGAGCTAGCTGTTAGAGCAAGGGTTTTGGTGAGAGATAATATTGATTGAAGGGATTTTAAAGGAAATGTTGCTGTGGGGGATTCATTGTAACTCTCCTTGTGAACTGCTCAGTAAACTCTACATTGTTCATGAACATTTTTGGAGTTGGATATTTTTTTTCTGGGTGATGTGTGATTACATAAAACAGGCTTCAAGAGAAGTATAAAATCAAGGTGTTCTAACTAGGTTCTTTTGGTTGTAAGAATTCAAGCTATTTGATGAAAAAGGAAGTTACTAAAAAGATAAATAACTATGAAGTCATATGGAAAACAACTCGCAAGAATCTAAGAATGGAAACTGAGCTATATCAGGGCCTCAGGAAGGGGAGTTGCTTCCTATTCTGCTTTAGAACTGCAGCAGCCTAGAGTCAAAGATTCTTTCTTGGGACCAGGTTAACAGCCTGGATGCTGGATCTAGCTCACCTAGGTTCAAATTCCACCTTGCCACCCATTAGCTGTGTGGATTTGGACAAATGAATCACTCTGTATATCCTCATCTGTAAAATGGGCTTAATAATAATACCTTCCTCACGGTTGCTTGGGTAACACATTCCGAACACTGATCAGGTGTTCAGAAAATGTTAACTGCTCTGGTTATTATTATTTTTATTCCCCTGCTATTAATAGACTTAGTAACTATATATATAATTAAGTTGACTTAATTCTAATTCATAATTCCAACCTGCATATCTCTTCAGCCTTATCTTCTGCCACTAACTGCCTAATTTTCTCTGAATTTCTCAAGTTGATTTCCCAAGAATTAGAATCTGATTGGTGTAGCTATCTAAAGTCCCTTTCAGTAAATTTTTTTTTTTTTTTTGACAGAGTCTTACTCTGTCACCCAGGTTGGAGTGTAGTGGCACAATTTCGGCTCACTGCAACCTCTGCCTCCCTGGTTGAAGTGATTCTCCTGCCTCAGCCTCCTGAGTAGCTGGGACTACAGGCACATGGCACTATGCTCAGCTAATTTTTGTATTTTTAATAGAGACAGGGTTTCACCGTGAGGGCCAGGCTGGTCTCGAACTCTTGACCTCAGGTGATCCACCTGCCTCAGCCTCCCAAAGTGCTGGGATGACAGGCATGAGCCACTGCACTTGGCCCCTTCCTGTAGTTTAAATATTCAAATTAATAAAGTAAAAAGAATATTTCAGGGTTTAGGGAAGAGAGGAGTAAATCTCATGCCCTCACGGGAGCTTACATTCTGGTGGATGAGGCAATAACTATTTCAGTTCCTGACAAATGTTAGGTGGGGGAAAAAGGCAGAGTAGGAGGATGGGGAGGGGCTGTTCACATTCAGCCAATGAATGAGATCATCAGAGCTGCTTTCCATTCGTTACAATCGTTACAATCGTTCTGGCAGGATGTCTTCACAAAAGTGTGTTGGAACTGTCTTTCCTTAAAGCAACAAAACTGCATTTTTTTTTTTAAAGTTCCGGTAATTTTGATTTTTTAACAATTCAGATACTCCCAGTTAGTCTCAACTAGTGAGACCATGCTTTATGGCCCTTCCAGACAGCAGGAACTGTGGAAAGCATAGTAAACCTTGACGCCAAGCTGGATGGTTCTTTCTGTGCACATGTATTTCTAGGGGAAAAAATTGCTTTGTGGCATTTCCAGATAGCTCCTGTAGTCAGCCATTGTCGATCTCAAGAACTTCCATATGTCAGAGTTGCTTCGTGCTTTTCCATTTGCTCTTCCCCTCTCCAGGAATACTCCTTCCCGTCATTCACATGAATACAGCACCCCTCACGATTTAGCTGGAATGCCACTTTCCCATACTATAACATTCCTTGTGATTCTCCTCCAATTCTCCAACACTCGAGATTCCCTTATAGTACTTACCCACTTCTACCTTGTAATACAGTTACTTATGTAAATGTCTCTAGCACAACCTTCCCTCCTCCTCCCTTCCCCCTCCCTCCCCACCAACCTCAATTATCAGCTCCTCAGAGCTCTTGAAATATTTTGGTGTTTTTTTGTGGGGGGGGGGGGGGTTGGGGGTTAGGTTGCTGGGGTGCAGTGGCGCAATCACAGCTCACTGCAGCCTCAACCTCTCGGACTCGGGTGATCCTCCCACTGCAGTCACCCAAGTAACTAGGACTATGGGTGCACACCGCTACACCTGACTAATTTTTTTATTTTTTAATAGAGACACGGTTTCTCCAGGTTGCCCAGGCTGTCTTGGAATAGTTTGTATAATGCATGGCACATAGTGATAATAAACAGCCACATGAATAAAAAAAATAAATTAGAAAAACATGTTAGTGGGGGAGGGTGGGGGGTGGGTCATGCAGAGAACCAAATTTAATCCTGCTCTCACTAGCCCAAGGAGACACACTTGCTGTAGGATAGAATAAGGGCTGGGGTACTATCCTGAACTACAGTGGGACATAGAAGTGAACTACGGCACACGTCACTGTTCATGGGCATCTTACAACATATTCATTCAGTCTATCCCATGTTATACAAATCCAGAATGGAAACCTGACCTTAAAATAGAGATAAACTGGGGCCAATCTTTCTCATTCTAATGAGTCACCTTCTTCTTTAAAGAGTTTTTTCCTTCAAGCATTTATTTTTTAAAATGTAATTGTTGGCCGGGCGCGGTGGCTCACGTCTGTAATCCCAGCACTGTGGGAGGCTGAGGTGGGCGGATCACGAGGTCAGGAGATCGAGACCATCCTGGCTAACACGGTGAAACCCCATCTCTACTAAAAATAACAAAAAAATTAGCCGGGCGTGGTGGCGGGCGCCTGTAGTCCCAGCTACTCGGGAGGCTGAGGCAGGAGAATGGCGTGAACCCGGGAGGCGGAGCTTGCAGTGAGCCGAGATCGCGCCACTGCACTCCAGCCTGGGCAACAGAGGGAGACTCCGTCTCAAAAAAAAAAAAAAAAAAAAAAAATGTAATTGTTTTGATCATGGAAAATTTCAAACATAAAGTACAAAGAATTGATAATAAACCCCTGAGTACCTATCATCCAACTTAAACACTGTCAATATTTTACTATCTTTGTAACGTATTTGTAGTAGTGGTAACAATATTGTTACTACCATCACCTCTAAATTTTTTTTTTCTTTGAGAAAGAGTCTCACTCTGCATGCAGGTTAGAGTGCAGTGGTGTGATCATGGCTCACTGCAGCCTCAAACACCTGGATTCATGTGATTCTCCTGCCTTAGCCTCCTGAGTAGCTGCAACTACAGCCGTGCACCACCACACCTGGATAATTTAAAAAAAATGTTTCTAGAGATGGGGAGGGGGATCCCACTGTGTTGCTCAGGCAGGTCTTAAACTCCAGAGCTCAAGCAATCCTCCTGCTTCGGCCTCCCAAAGTGCTGGGATTATAGGGATGAGCCACCACACCTGGCCTAACTTTTTTTCTTTTGCTGGAATATTTTAATGTAAATCCAATACATGTTATCATTTCCCTGTATATATATTAGGTGTCTTCCTAACAGGTAAGAGGTTTTAAAAAACATAATACAATATCATTAACCTATGTAACAAAGTTAATGATAATTCCTTAATATCATCTAATACCCAGTTCACGTTTTATGTTTTCCCATTGTCTTAAACAATGACTATTTAGAGTTGAGGTATTGCAAATCAGTATCTAAGCAGGGTCTGTACATTGTGTTTGGTTGATTTGTGTCATAAATATCTTTTAGTCTACTACAGTTTCCCCTCCTCTACTTTTTTCATGCAATTTCATTTTTAAGAAATCAGATAGGCCAGGTGTGGTGGCTCATGCCTGTAATCCTAGCACTTTGGGAGGCCAAGGCAGAAGGATTGCTTGAGCCCAGGAGTTTAAGACCAGCCTGGGCAACATGGTGAGTTGAGACCCCATCTCTACAAAAACTTTTTAAAAAGTTAGACAGGTGTGGTGGTACACACTTGTGGTCCCAGCTACTCAAGAGGTTGAGGTGGGAGGATCACTTGAGCCCAGGAGGTTGAGCTGTCTTTGCACCATTGTACTCAGCCTGGGCAACAGAGTGAGACTGTCTCAAAAAAAAAAAAAAAGAAAAGAAAAGAAAAAGAAAAAGGAAAAAAAAAAAACAATAAAAACAACGACTAGGTGATTTGACCTATAGAATTTTCCAAATTCAAAATGTAGAAAATTAACCTGGCATGCTGGCTGATGCTTATAATCCTAGCACTTTGGGAGGTTGAGGTGGGAGGATCACTTGGGCTCAGGAGGTTGAGGATATAGTGAGCCATGATCACACCACTGTACTTCAGCCTGGGTGACAGAGTGAAACTCTGTCTCAAAACAGATTAGCAAATTGTTTCCTCATGGGGTCATTTGATGTGTAATTTCTATAAATTGATCATTAGATTTAGGGAACTGATTAGATTTAGGTTCAGTTTTGAGTCAAGTATGCTATACAATTGATGGCTTCGTACCAGTGGTTCTGTCCCATCTTATGAAGAGATATACAGTGTCTGATTGTCCTATTTTTAGTGATGGAGATCACAGAGTAGGTTCAGGTCATTCCAGTCTGATCATTCCACTATACTATTCATCTGATCTTTCACTTAATGGTTTTAGTAGCTAATGATAATGATTGTTTAGAACCATGATGTCATTAAGTATTGCCAAATGGTGGTTTTCTAATTCTATCAACTCTTTTGCAACTATTAGTGTGATTCATCTATAAAGAAGAATTTTTCTGGTAGCTTTAGCTCTATGGGATAGAAAAAGAAAATTACTTCTCAGGTATGGTTACCCTGAAATACAGTTCATACTGGAAAGGCAGAATTCTTTCCTCTAAATTCCTAATATATTTAATCGTTTATCCTTTGACCAAGAAGCTGTAAGACACATTTGCTTAATGCTAACACATTAGGACCTTTGAAAGTTGAGCAGAAATATAAAAAAGAGTCAATACTTTTACATTTTAAGTCAATAGGAAAATGGCATTTAATTGACCGATTATGAATAGTTGCAGCATTTTTAAAAGACATGATTACTGGTACATCTATACCAGGAATATGTGAGGATGTAGTCCAGAGAAAAATACAGAAATAAATATTGTGTATTTCTCTAGGCATCCTTGGCCTAGTGGCTGGAAGTTAAGAGAAAACATCACTTGGGCCTGTGGAGCAGAGAGTTAAGTGAATTCTTTCTCTTTATTTGTAGCCATCAGCCAGCAAAGACCTCGTCAGTGTCTTTAACTGCGACCTTTCGTCCTCAGGAGGACTTTTGCTTCCTATCCTCAAAGAAATATAAGGTACTTGGTTTTACATGTTTGGTGGATGAGTCTGTTAAAAGTTAGAAAAAGTACTTTGCTACAAGTGTATGTGTTTGTCTGGATGAATGAATTGCTCCCGCAAAACTCTTAGATCGGCTGGGTGCAGTGGCTCAGCCCTGTAATCCTAGCATTTTGGGAGGCCGAGGCGAGTGGATTGCCTGAGCTCAGGAGTTCGAAACCAGCCTGGACAACACGGTGAAACCCTGTCTCTACCGAAAATACAAAAAAATTAGCCGGGCATGGCGGCATGAGCCTGTAGTCCCAGCTACTTGGGATGCTGAGACAGGAGAATTGCCTGTACCCGGGAGGCGGAGGTTGCAGCGAGCCGAGATCGCGCCACTGCACTCCTGCCCACTGCACTGCAGCCTGGGCGACAGAGTGAGACTCTGTCTCCAAAAAACAAACAACAACAACAAACACTCTTAGATCAAGGTAGAAAGGCAGTCATCTAATGGTTCTCTTTCCCAGAGATCACCTAACTGCTACAAGGCACCTCATTGTTTCCAGAGTTCAGCCACACACAGTCTCATTTGGGCAGATCCTCGCAACAGCCATGTGAAATGGATATTAACATCTCTATTTTATGGACAAGAAAACTAGAACTCACAGAGTAAAAGTGACTTGTCCGTTAGTTACAATTAACAAGTTTCTATGGGAGTCAAACAAACTGTGCCTCACTGTGTCACTTAACCTAGTTGGATCACAACTATTCCTAGATTGCTTAGCCTCCCCATGCTGGCTTCAGCTTTTGTGCAGGCTGGTCTGCTTGGACTGCATGGCACCTCAATTCCTCTTCCCTTGCATTGGGAAGAGGTTACTGGACTAACTCAGACTGCAGGGGACTTCCCTTTTCCCTTAGGCACAGTGCTTTGCTAGCTTTCAGTTGGCCTGGACAGACAGGCCCGCTGCCTCTCTGATTAATTACGGGAATGAGTTGGCAGATGTGGGAACCCTAAGCCAGCTCATCCTATCTGCTGTTAGAAAGAACCCTGGTAACAATACTTCATGGCATAAGGGGGCACATATGTGGATGTATCATGCTTTAAATGTTTCCTATTTCACATTTATCTATTTTTAAACTTTATTAGTTGTCAGAGATCCATCACCTACATCCAGAATATGTCAGAGTAAGTGAGCATTTTAAAGCTTCCATGAAAAATTTCAAGATTGAAAAGATAAAGAAGATCGAGAACTCAGAGCTCCTGGATAAATTTACATGGTTGGTGGCCACGTTATCGTGTTTCTTTACATAAAACCGGAAAGGATTAGTTAATATCCGTCCTTTGAGATTTATATTCACTGATTTATTTTAGTAGTTAACAGTTCCTTTAGGCGCTAGTCTTTTTTTTTTTTTTTCATTCTATCAACTCTGGCTTCTCTCTCTCAGCCTTACTGCTTTACAATTCAATGATTTCATGTGTCTATCTTTTAAAAGTTTTCATAAATTTATTATTGTACAGCTGCTGCCTTAAAGTTAGTAGCTCCGTTGTGAAAGCTGATGGAGTGAAATTTTTAGATGATTAGACTTTAGCTGGGATTAATGTTATCAACTGGAGTGGGAAGGGGATGTCTCCGTGTTAAGTCTCACATCTCTTATATTAGGAAGAAATCGCAGATGAAGGAAGAAGGAAAACTCCTATTTTATGCGACAAGCCGTGCCTATGTGGAATCTATCTGTTCGAATAATTTTGACAGTTTCCTACATGAAACTCATGAAAACAAATACGGAAAAGGTTAGTGCCGGGATAGAGAAGCGTAACTAGTAGAGTCATAACTCGGGCTTTATATGTGCTTCTATTAGGAGGTATATGTAATTATTTTGTATTAACCAGAGTGTCCAGGCTCTAGTGGTCCTGGAGAGACAGTAAGCTCACGGTAATATCAAATGCCCAAATGAGAGTGAATCAGTTGACTTGGAGCTTGATTGCTGGACCTTAGTCCCTGTCTTCTGTTTTCTTTCTGGGAGTGACCAAAGTCTTCATACGTGCTTGTAAACTACTCCATCTGTTGGTCTTGTTGTCTACCATTACTACTCACTTCTGGCTTGGCTCTTCCTGAACCCATGTCCATGCCTGCGAAGCTATATGAGGCTTCAGTTGTCACAGATTGGTTTTAATTAAAGAGCGGGAGAAGAGGCCTCTCCCCATCTCAGGCCACACTGGGTCACCTCGGTCTGAAGTGTCACAGGTCTGCCCACACACAAAATCTTTATAGCTCTTTCTTTTTGCTCCTAAACTCTTGCATCCAATTTTTTTTTTTTTTTGAGACAGGGTCTCACTTTGTCACCCAGTTTGGGTGACAATCTCGGCTCACTGCAGCCTCAACCTCCTGGGCTCAAGTGATCCTACAACTTCAGCCCCTCAAGTAACTGGGACAACAGGTGTGTGCCACCACATCCAGCTAATTTTTTTTTGTTGTATTTTTTATAGAGACAGGGTTTCGCCATGTTGCCAAGGCTGGTCTCAACTCCTGAGCTCAAATAATCCGCCTACCTTGGCCTGCCAAAGTGCTGGGATTTCAGGCATGAGCCACTGCTCCTGGATGCATGCAACTCTTTTTTTTTTTTTTTTTTTTTTTGGAGACAGAGTTTCGCTTTTATTGCCCAGGCTGGAGTGCAATGGCTCGATCTCGGTTCACTGCAACCTTCACCTCCTTGGTTCAAGTGATTCTCCTGCCTCAGCCTCTCAAGTAGCTGGGATTACAGGCATGTGCCACCACGCCCAGCTAATTTTGTATTTTCAGTAGAGACTGGGTTTCTCCATGTTGGTCAGGCTGGTCTAGAACTCCTGACCTCAGGGGATCTGCCTGCCTTGGCCTCCCAAAGTGCTGGGATTACAGGTGTGAGCCACTGCGCCTGGCCTGCATGCAACTCTTAAAAACAAACAAACCAGAGGGGAGGGGGGTGGGGGGAGGGATAGCATTAGGAGATATACCTAATGCTACGTGACGAGTTAATGGGTGCAGCACACCAACATGGCGCAGGTACACATATGTAACAAACCTGCACGTTGTGCACATGTACCCTAAAACTTAAAGTAAAATAACAATAAAATGAAAAAAAAAGAAAAAAAGAGAAATATTTATGAATGTAAATGTTTATTGTCCATTTTTAACTAATAAGCAAGCTTACTAAAAACTGCACTTCACACTTAGCTTAATGTTTGAGGGAATTAACTTCATAAATAAAAACTAGAAAATTAAAAAAACAAAAAAAAAACTAAGAATCAGTCATCTTTAGGAAATAAGTAATAGTTTATCACAGATTCAAAGTGAGTTCAACTCATACAACTAGGATTAAATTCAATTCTTGCCCCAAAAGGCAAGAAGTCAATCAGCCAGTCAGCAAATATTTTTGAGTGTCTTCTGTACACTAGATGGTGGGTACACAGTGGTGAACAAGTTAGACATGGCCCCAAACACATTTTGCATAATTATCTTACATAATTAATTAAATGACTGTGGCCAGGCATGGTAGCTTAGACCTGTAATTCCTGTACTTTGGGAGGCTGAGGTGGGAGGATCACTTGAGCCCAGGAGTTGGAGACCAGCTTGGGCAACATGGCGAGACCTTATCTAATTTTTTGTTTTAATTACAAACAAATTTTTTTAATTACCTGGGCATGATGGCACATGCCTGTAGTCCCATCTACTCAGCAGGGTGAGGTGGGAGAATTGCTTGAGCCCAGAAGTTTGAGGCTGCAGTGAGCTGTGATTGTGCCACTGTACTCTAGCCTGGGCGACAGAGCAACATTTTGTCTCAAAAAAAAAAAAAAAAAAATTAAATGATTGCAAATGTTGGGCTGCTATAGAGAAAAATAACAGATCCAGGTCAGGCGCGGCAGCTTCGCCTGTAATCCCAGCACTTTGGGAGACCGAGACAGGCAGATCACTTGAGGTCAGGAGTTCAAGACCAGCCTGGTCAACATGGTGAAACCCCGTTTCTACTAAAAATACAAAAATTAGCTGGGTGCAGTGGCCCATGCCTGTAATCCCAGCTACTTGGGAGGCTGAGGCAGGATAATCGCTTGAACCCGGGAGGCAGAGGTTGCGGTGAGCTGAGATCATGCCATTGCACACCAGCCGAGACTCCGTCTCAAAAAAAAAAAAAAGAAAAAAGAAAAAAAGGAACAGGTCCTGTGGACAACTAACCCAGCTAGAGAGGTGTTCCCAAGGATAGAGATAGAGTAGGATTCCCCTGCCTTGTAGAGTCACCACATGGCGGAGAAGGGAGAAATGGAACAAGGTATGACCATAAAGAGCTAAACTTGACTGTAAGCGCATGGGAAACTAATGAAAGGTTTTAAGCTGGGGAATGAATTTATTGATGAGATTTCATAAGTTTATTAAGTTTAAATGTATCAGTGAAACTTACCTAGAAGTGTTTGGAGGAAATGGGAAATGTAGTAACCATCTTAAGTGACATATGATAGGTGAAATTAAAACCCATCAGTTTCTTACAGGTCTATCCTATGTTAGAATTCAAACAAATATTTATCCTAAAAAATGAAATGTTAGGCTAGGCACTGTGGCTCATTCCTGTAATCCCAGCACTTTGGGAGGCCGAGGTGAGTGAATCACCTGAGGTCAGGAGTTTGAGACCAGCCTGACCAACATGGTGAAACCCCCCCATCTCTAATAAAAATACAAAGTTAGCTGGGCGTGGTGGCACATGCCTGTAGTCCTAGCTACTCGAGAGGCTGAGGCATGAGAGTTGATTGATCACAAGAAGGGGAGGCTGCAGTGAGCTGAGATCCTGCCACTGCACTCCAGCCTCAGTGACAGAGGAAAACTCTGTCTCAAAAAAGAAAAAAATAAAGCACTCAGAAATGTAGGAATAGAAATGAACTTTCTTAACACAATAAAGGGAATTTTAAAAAAAGAAAATATAGATTCCAGATTATATAAGTGTGATATAAAAAAACTGATGCAACAAAAACAAAAATGGACAAATGAGATAGCATCAAACTAAAAAGCTTCTCCACAGTAAAGGAAACAATTAACAAAGTGAACAGACAAACCCACAGAGTGGGAGAAAATATTTGCAAGCCATACATCTGATATGGGATTAATATCCAAAATATGTAAGGAACTTAAACAATTCAACAGCAAGAGAACAAATAACTCAATTTTAAAATGTGCAAGCTGTTCCCATAAGTGGCCTGCGGTGATCTGTGAAAATGGTTCACTATTCACTTGACCCAGAAAACTCCATGAAATCATGCAAATAAAGAGGTTCAAATCTTCATGTTCACTCTAAGGACACCCATGAAACTGCCCAGGCCATCAAGAGTACGCCTATATGAAAAGCCAGCAAATGTCTGAAAGATGTCACTGTATGGAAACAATGTGTACCATTCCAACGTTACGAGGGTGGAGTTGGTAGGAGTGCCCAGACCAAACAGTGGGGCTGGGCACGCAGTTTGTGACCCCAAAAGAATTGAATTCTTGCTGTACACACTTAAAAATGCAGAGAGTAATGCTGAACGTAAGGGTTGAGCTGTAGATTCTCTGGTCGTCGAGGATATTCAGGCGCACAAAGCACCCAAGATGTGCCACCAGACTTCCAGAGCTCATGGTTGGATTAACTCATGCCTAAGCTCCCCCTGCCACATAGAGACAATCTTCCTGAAGAAGCACACCGTGTTCCTAAACCAGAAGAGGAGGTGCACAGAAGAAAAAGCTATCCTAGAAGATACTGAAGAAGCAAAAACTTACAGCACGGGAATAAATTCAGCGTAAAATACATGCAAATAAAAGTTTCAAAAATGGGCAAAAGACTTGAATAGACATTTCTCAAAAGAAGAAATACAAATGGCCAATGAGTTCATGAAAAAATGCTCAACATCGCTAATCATCAAGCAAACGCAAATTAAAACCACAATGAGCTGTTGCCTCGCACCGATTAGAATGGGAGGCTGAGGTGGGAAGATTGCTTGAGCCCAGGATATCAAGGCTGCAGTGAGCCAAGATTGCACCACTGCACCCCAGCCTGGGTGACAGAGACCCTGTCTCAAAAACAGCAGCAACAACAACAACAACGAAAAAAAAAAAAAAAAAAGGAGAGAGAGAGAGTTGGATGTACTGACATAGCAAGATTTCTAGGACTAAAGTGGAAAAAAAAGTTGTAGAACAGTTCATATATTATGATCCTATTTATGAACAAGTAAACCACCATAAACCACCATATGCACATATATGTATGTGAATGCATAGAAACAGGTGTGAAAGAATTCCCGCCAGCCATAAACTGTTTTGGGAAGGGGAGTGGGATTGGACGTCGTAGGTCAGTATAGGTAGACTTCCATATTTTACTTTAAATATAGTAGAACATCATTTGCACAGAATATCTAGTATCTGACCTATTCAGGATAAGCAATGTTTCTGGAATTCAAACATCTAACTATAAAATGATAAAAAGAACAAAAACAAAGTAGATGGGAAGTATATTAAACATTTGTTACCACAAGTAAAACAATTCATTTTACTTATTGATTCTTGCATGGAAATAGGAGTTGCAATATCTACTCATGGTCTTTAAAACGACAGAGTAGCTTTCTTAGAAAATATTATTAGTATTTTTTGATACAGAATCTCACTCTGTTGCCCAGGCTGGAGTGCAGTGGTATGATCCTAGCTTACTGCAGCCTCAACTTCCTGGGCTCAATCAATCCTGCCTCAGCTTCCTGAGTAGCTGAGATTACAAGTGCACGCCACCATGCCCGGCTAATTTTTAAATTTTTTGTAGAGATGGAGTCTCCCCATGTTGCCCAGGCTGGTCTCAAATTCCTGGGCTCATGTGATCCACCCGCCTCAACCTCCCATAATGCTGGGATTACAGACATGAGCCACTGCACCTGCCCAGAGTAGCACTTGACAATGATAAAAATAAAAATTTTAACTTGGCAGGAAATTGTTGGTCTGCTGTGTATGGAAGCAGCAATCGTTATCTGAGGTTGTTTTAGAGTTGAGGACGAAGCATCAACTGACTCATCAGTTCCAAGTTTGCTCATTCAGCTCACACTGGGTGAATTGCATGAATTGGGCCACTGTGACATTGTCATTTGGTCATTGCACCCAATGGCTCACACTATCAGCATGAGCTCTGCACTGTAGCAAATATTCCTCAGTCATTTCTATAGGGTTATATACTGTATTTAAGTTCGCCTGCATCATTAACATGTTTTTAAGTGCAAAGGAAAGTTTATAAATATCAGTAAGGTATTATTGACATATGCTTAGTCCACACCCATCTGACTGTATATAACAAATCTTATAAACTGTATACCTTCTTTTATAATATTTCTTAACTTTTCTTTCTGATTCTTTCTAGGAATTTACTTTGCAAAAGATGCCATCTATTCCCACAAAAATTGCCCGTATGATGCCAAAAACGTCGTTATGTTTGTAGCCCAAGTTCTGGTTGGAAAGTTTACTGAAGGAAATATAACGTACACGAGCCCTCCTCCACAGTTCGACAGCTGTGTGGATACCAGATCGAATCCCTCCGTTTTTGTCATCTTTCAGAAAGATCAGGTTTACCCACAATATGTGATTGAATATACTGAAGACAAAGCCTGCGTGATTAGTTAGAACCGATGAATACAGCGTCAGAAGGATGCCATAACCATTCTGTTCCTTTACAGAACTAAATTGCCGCAGACAGGAGTTAAAGTTTTATATTTTCCTGCTCAGTTATCTAATGTCTTAGATCAGTGGTCCCCAAATTTTGCTACATATTAGAATCATCTGGGAGGTTTTAAACAAATTCTGATGCCCAGGTTGCACCCCATGCCAATGAAATCATTTCTGGGCGTCAGCGCCAGGCAGTTGTATTTTTTTTTTTTTTTTTTTTTTTGAGACTGAATCTCACTCCATCGTCCAGGCTGGAGTGCAGTGGCGCGATCTCGGCTCACTGCAACCTCTGCCTCCCGGGTTCAAGCAATTCTCCTGCCTCAGCCTCCCGAGTAGCTGGAACTACAGGCACACACTGCCGCGCCCAGCTAATTTTTTGTATTTTTTAGTAGAGACAGGGTTTCACTGTGTTGCCCAGGCTGGTCTCAAACTCCTGAGCTCAGGCAATCTGCCCGCCTTGGCCTCCCAAAGTGCTAGGATTACAGGTATGAGCCACCATGCCCGGCTGGCAGTTGTATTTTTTAAAGCCCTTCTGATGATTCCAATGTGTTGGAAAGTTTACCTTGTCTCAGATGTAACTGGTAAAGGCTGATTTCTAAATTTTCTGTAATTGCAGCAACCTTTCTCTCCTGTCTACCCTTTTAGTTTACTGTATGCCATGGTTTTGTTTTGGTTACATTGAAAGAAAGTTAATTTGGAAAATTTGGGAGAAATCTAATCATGCCTATTAAGGATGTAAGACATTACAGCCTTAGAAGAAAGATTGTGAAAAGCTGGGGAGAAAATGCTTAAGGACATGCTAGGGGAAAAAAAAGTAAAATTGAAGTGCTATTGCAGACATGGCTGCAGTACTGTACCTTATCATTCTGATGAAACTGATTTGGAGCACCCTTTTCTTTATCGCTACATTTATTTAGGGGACAAACTCCATCCAGGTTGACTCTCTCTGGAATGCGGTAATAAGAGCTGGCAAGTAAGGCTCAGAGAGAAGCAACCAACTGGAGTTAATTGCCCATTTGGGCTCTTTGTATAATTATGGCAAAGTAGACATTTATGTTCTAATTAATATGATTACAGAGAAGGCTTTTTCTCAGGTCAGGCTTTTCATGAAAGTATTTTGAGAACAATGAATTGCAATAACCAGCTTCACACAAGCATAACTGATAAACGCGAGTGCTATTGTAGTCTTGGCAAGTGAGCCAAGAACCTAGGAGCAGGGCCATTCCTACTGAAGGACGGGCCCCCTACGGAGATGAAATTTGTTTCCTGGTGAGCACAGAATCAGAACAAAGAACAATATCCCAAAGAGGCCCTGTGTCTACCAGGAGCTTCTTTTTCCAAATGTAATGGATTATGTGGAATTGTAGTGCCATCGGTTTTTACTTAGAGCCCTTGACGTGCTTGGACCAATATTTCCTTCCTTCTTATGAACCAGGTTTTTCCTTCTGATTTTCCCTTTTCAACATTCCTTACCAGTCACCAAAGTTTCCTGTTATAATTTCTTTTAGCAGACAAGTTATAAGTCAGATTTAATTAGCATCAGAGTTGATTTTATATTAGTCAGATTTTGGATCATCACAGAGATCTCCACAACTCCTTGGCTTAAACAGCTCCACCGGTAAAAAAAAAAAAAAAAAAAAAAAAAAAAAATAGTTTTTTTAGAGTAGAGTTATTTTCTGGGAGAGTTACTACAAATGCTTATTCTCATTGACTTATTTCTTTCATGGTAACTTTCGTTTTGGAGTGTTCATTTTCTGAACTTGACCCTCACATTGTAGGGGTGCAGTTTGTCCAACTCTTTCCAACAGCCCATTAGACACCACTAGCTGGATATTTCACAGGCATCTTTGATTCAATATGTCCAAAGTGGAACTCTCCATCTACCTCCCTCACATGAACCTGTTCCTCTCTCAGGATCTGTATGTAAGTGAAAAGCATCACCATCTACCCATTGGCTCAAGCAGAAATCTGGAAGTCATCTTTGACTCCTTCCTCTCCCTCCTGATAAACATCTAAGCAGTTTCTAAGTCTAGTTTTACCTCTTAAATATCTCTGTTCCCTTCTAAGTTGTTTGCTGTGTTTTCTTCAGAGCAAGAAGGTTATATTTTTTAAAATTTACTTAGTAATGCACATTCAAAACACACATCAAGTCTTCAGGATAAAGTTCAAAACCGCTGTCATGGCCCCATGTGATCTCTCCCTCCCCTACCCCTCTATCATTTAGTTTCTTCTGCGCAAGCCACTCTGGCTTCCTTTCAGTTTTGTGGTTCCCATTTTTAGCTAGTTCAGTGGTTTTCAATGGGCATTTCTGCCTTTTTTTTTCTAAACGACAAATAGAAATACATCTTCTTTATTATCCTCCAAATCCAATTCAGAGGTAATATGCTCCACCTACACACAATTTTAGAAATAAATTAAAAATTAAATAAAACTAATATGAACATAAAGAGGAAATAAAAGGTACCTAACTTGGGCACAGCTGTAACTGAAGACCTAATGAAGTAGTCAGATGCTTACAACTATTTATAATGCATCAATTTGAACTTAGAAGGTAGGAGATCAGATCATATGTGGGAAAATGTAAAAGCAGGGATATCAGTGGGCATTAGAATAAAAACTAGGGATACAATAACTTCTTTGCATATGACAATACTTATTTGTATATAAGAGAAAGAACGAAATAACCTTTATTGAAATAAAGATACTATGCAAGAAAATGTACAGTTGTCGAAGTGGAGAAAATGAGGATATATTCTTGCAGACGAGCTATAGGTCATACATGAATGTCTAGTGAGACATTCAAAATTCGTATAGGGTGCAGAGTAATTTCTTATTGTGAGGAACTGTCCAATGTATTGCAAGATGTTCTGCATACTTGGCTCTCACATACTAAATGCTAGTAGCGCCCCCACCCCCACGCCCAGTCACGGTGACAACCACAAACCCTATCAGATCTATTCACCTTTTTCAGAGCAGATATTTTGTAACATTCTCTTTGCTGACCTGAAATGACTCATAGATAATACAATCTACTTACACACATGAATTTCTTAAAAAAATCAATTTAATGCCCTAACTCTCTTATTAAGGAGAAATAGAAAAGAAGAAATTTATAATGAAAAGAAGATGAATTTCATTATGTAAACGCTCAGGCATGACTACGCTGTTTGAAACAGACAGATGTTTACTCTTCCTTGTAATGAGTAGGTTTGGATTTAAGAGCCGATTAGAGGCTACTTCCTGTAAACAAGTACAGGAAAATGAAACTAGACGGGTGGGGGACACTAGAATGAAAACCAGTGTTAGGGTAAAGACAAAACAGACTATGTACATAATCTGTATATGGGAAAAGAAAGAGCGAAATTACCTTACTTAAGGATAATAGGACAAGACAAATTACAGATTGTCTCAGAGAAAACAAATGAGTTACTCTCTCGGACAAGCTGTAGGTCCTACCTAAATGTCCAGCAGGACATTAGACAGTCGTACAGGGTACAGAATAATTCTTCGTTGTGTGGCACTAACCCACACACTGCAGGACATCGTTCTCCCTGGCTGCATCCACTCAGTGCTGGGAGTAGTCCCCAGTTATTATGAAACCACCAATAACCCACTGACCACAGTGAGAACCACTGATTTTTTCCACTGACCTACTGAATATCTAGCATCCTTAGATTGGCTCAACTGTTACTTTCCTAAGGAGTCCTTCTACAGAATAGGTCAGATCTTGGCCTCCCAAACCCCTTATTTTTAAAATACTTTGCGCCTTGCTTTGATAATTTGTATTATGTATCCAAACTGAAATTATCTGCTTTCTGCATTAGAATGTAAGCCCCCTGAGGGTTGAGTCAGTCTGTCTTGTTTGCTGTGCCACGCCTGATGCCCAGCCCAGCAGCATGCTTTGTACACTGATATATTGGGTAAATTTTGTTGAATAAATTAAGCTCAACTATTTGTATTTCAATAGTTGAGTTGTATTGCTTCCTGTTCTTCAAGCTTAATTTGAACTGTCTAATAAAAAGAAGTAATTAATTTGGTTCTACTGCCTTTATTTGATCTATTTCTAGGTATCTCCCAAAACATCATCAACTGCAGACACCAGTTATTCAATGGGAGAGAGATGATGTGTTTTGCCCCTTCCAGCTTTATCATTCCAGGGTTCGATGACCAAGTCACCTGGGCAAGGCACAGTGGTGGTGATGGCCCCCACATCTTTTGTCTGGGGATTTAGAGAGGGAAGGGTTGAAAGCTGCTAACACACCTTTCTTCCTTTAGTCTCGGGGGTGTGAACAGGGCCAGGCTGAGACACAAAAGTTAAAAATATAAATGGTGATAAGCAGAATTACCCTATCAGCCATTCCTTCTCCAAAAGCCCTTCTCTACTCATTATTTTCTTCTCTTTTTTTTTTTTTTTTTTTTGAGATGGAGTCTCACTCTGTCACCCAGGCTGGAGTGCAGTGGCGCAATCTCAGCTCGATGCAACCTCTGCCTCCTGAGTTCAAGCAATTCTCCTGCCTCAGCCTCCTGAGTAGCTGGGATTATAGGCGCCCGCCACCATACCCGGCTAGTTTTTGTATTTTTAGTATAGGTGGGGTTTCACCATGTTGGCCAGGCTGGTCTTGAATTCCTGACCTAAGGTGATACACCTGCCTTGGCCTCCCAAAGTGCTGGGATTACAGGTGTGAGCATCTCACCCGGCCTCATTATCTTTTTTAATCACAAAGCTTTCAGTGGAGAGGGAGCAGGGAGGAGGGAAATGGAGAGGGAGAGCAAGTTCTATGGCAGCAGAGATTTGATAAAGTGAAGGTAAAACTACCATTTGACTTGGACCTCAATATAAATAAAGCAAGGTGTAGCAAAGTCATTGCTGTCAAAGCACCTGGATTGAAACACACAAAAATGCTATCAAACCAAGCATGAGCAGATCCTGGAGTTTTTTTATTTATTTTTTTTATGAGTTTGTTTACGTTGTCATAGTGCGCTAGTTTCCGGTGGACTCCTCAGTCCAGCATTTGGTAGAAATGAAGCTATGGCCGGGTGCAGTGGCTCACGCCTGTAATCCCAGCACTTTGGGAGGCTGAGGCGGGTGGATCACGAGGTCAAGAGATCGAGACCATCCTGGCCAACATGGTGAAACCCCGTCTCTACTAAAAAGACAAAAATTAGCTGGGCATGGTGGTACACACCTGTAGTCCCAGGTACTTGGGAGGCTGAGGCAGGAGAATCGCTTGAACCGGGTAGGTGGAGGCTGCAGTGAGTCAAGACTGCGCCACTGCACTCCAGCCTGGGTGACAGAGCAAGACTCTGTCTCAAAAAGAAAAAAAAAAAGAAAAAAGAAATGAAGCTAAATAACAACCACTTTCCACTCATACCCTCATACCTTAGCTACTATAAAGAGAACTGCCATGAAACGCAATACTTAGTTGAGTGCTAAGCATGTGTGTCTGGGGCCATGGGGCCATGTTCTGAGACATGTCTTGGAAAGAGTTCAGGGGATAACAGGCAGGTTTCATTTAGAAGGTTAAGACCAGAGCGGATGAATTTATAACAGTGATATCAGTGCATGTCCCCAGAGTGACTTGCTCCAAAGCTCGTGCTACAGATGTGTGCCTGAGTGACCATAAGCTTGAGAATGAGCTTCAGAATCAGAGTGGCAGGAGACATCAGAACGTTCCAGGAAGTGCTTAAGCCTTAAAAGCTCCAATCCTAAAATACCACCCCCAACCTCAACCTCCTGTTTTCTCTTTTTCATTCCCTTGTGAACCTGCCCGGCATCTAATGTCACCCTCTTCTTCCTGAAAAATCCACATGCTTCAATAAACAGTCTGCTCTGGGATCTTTCCTTTTTACCCCTCTATGCACTTCCCCATGAATGGTCTTATTTATTCCCAGATCCAAGTGTCACACACTCTGAATCCAGGATCTATACCTCTGCTGAGGAGTCAGATAAGCTGTGCAGTGTCACGGCTACTGAGTAAGAGAACCAAGATTCTAAACCCGGAAGTTCAGGTGCAGAGTCTGCAGGTTAAGTGTGTATCTGTAGGAACAGTCTCTACCTCTTCCCTCTCACCTCCCCACCCTTCCCCCATTAACTCCTGCATTTGCTCTTGGAGTCTTCTCCACACTCTGCCTCATAGTCTTCCTCTCCACTCAAAATCCTCCCTTTTCCTTCAGTGTTCACTGTGGTCAACCCATGCAACACCCCTAGCCTTAGATGTCATTAACACCTGTCTTCACTGTCCTCACTATTCGGGGTACCAATATCCATCACCCCACTGTCATCAGTCAGAATTACTCTAGAACTGCTTTTTTTTTTTTTGAGATGGAGTCTCGCTCTGCCGCCCAGGCTGGAGAGCAATGGCGTGATCTCAGCTCACTGCAACCTCTGCCTCCAGGGTTCGAGCGATTCTCCTGCCTCAGCCACCCAAGTAGCTGAGATTACAGGCGCCTGCCACCACGCTCGGCTAATTTTTAGTAGAGATTGGGTTTCGACATGTTGGCCAGGCTGGTCTTGAATTCCTGACCTCAACTGATCCTCCTGCCTCAGCCTCCCAAAGTGCTGGGATTACAGGCACGAATCACTGCAAATGGCCTAGAACTGCTGTTTCTGAAATCCCAAACCTCTATATTCTACCTCTGACCCCAGCCTGCTTTTGAGCTCTCTGGCCCTCCTACATTTCGTACGTCGTCTTTCTCTGCTCACATATAGCCCCTTGCTGTCTTCACTCCTCCCTTACCTAGTCTCCAGCCCATTGTTCAGCCCCTGACCACTCTTTCTTTTCTTCTTTTTTTTTTTTTTGAAACGGCGCCTCACTCTGTCTCCTAGGCTGGAGTGCAGTGGTGTGATCTCAACTCACTGCAGCCTCCGCTTCCCAGGTTCAAGTGATTCTCCCACCTGAGCCTCCTGAGTAGCTGAGATTACAGGTACCCACTGCCATCCTGGCTAATTTTTAGTAGAGATGGGGTTTCAATATGTTGGCCAGGCTGGTCTCGAACTCCTGACCTCAAGTGATCCTCCTGCCTCGGCCTTCCAAAGTGCTAGGATTACAGGCGTGTGCCACCACACCTGGCTAATTTTTGTAATTTTGGGTAGAGACAGGGTTTCACCACTTTGCTAAGGCTGGTTTTGAATCCCCGACCTCAGGTGATCCACCTGCCTCAGCCTCCCAAAGTGGCGGGATTACAGGCATGAGCCACTGCACCCAGCCCCCTGATCACTCTTTCAATTCATACCTCAATCATCTAGAACCTTTGACCTTAAGTCTCACCCACTGGCAAAACCTAAAAGTGAATCAATCAAATTCTGTTCTTACACCTTGAGAGCTTTTAGGAGAATTGCAGCACTGTTTGGATCAATGCCACTACGAATTTGTGGCCTTGGTAAGGCCCTGCCCATGCCCACTGGTCCTACCTGTCAGCCTTCTCCCCTCTCCACAAGTCAGCTTTGTCAAGCCTTTATGGTCTCCTGAAGTGACTCTCCACCATCCATTCTTGGTTTTGCCTTAAACTTAAAAAAACAAAACAAAACAAAGCCTACAAACTTGTCTTTAGATGCTCTAATCCTTGTCTCCTTTCCTGTTGTGTGAATGGAAGAAGCATCTCCCCTCCTGTCGGAGGTTAGTTCCTCTGACGTCTCCCATTCTATCTCACTGCCTATGGACATCCCCCGCTGATTACAATTCCCCTTTCCTTTATATTCTTTCTTTTTTTCTTCTCTCTCTCCTTCCTTTTCTTTCCTTTCCCTTCCTTCCTACCTTTTTCTGTCGCCCAGGCTGGAGTGCAGTAGCACGATCTTGGCTCACTGCAGCCTCTGACCTCTTAGACTCAAGCAATCCTCCCACCTCAGCCTCCTGAGTAGCTGAGACTACAGGCACATGCCACCATGCCTAGCTAATTTTTGCATTTTTAGTAGAGACAGGGTTCTACCATGTTGCCCAGGCTGATCTCAAACTCCTGGACTCAAGTGATTCTCCTGCCTCAGCCTCCCAAAATGCTGGGACTGCAGGCATGAGTCACCGCACCTGGCCTCCTTTATTTTCAACTTTCCATTCTTACTAGCTCTTTCTTTTCTCTTTGTTTTGTTTTTGAGACGGAGTTTCACTCTGTTCTCCAGGCTGGAGTACAGTGGCACGATCTTGGCTCACTGCAAGCTCCGCCTCCTGGGTTCACTCCATTCTCCTGTCTCTGCCTCCCGGGTAGCTGGGACTACAGGCGCCCGCCACCACGCCTGGCTAATTTTTTGTACTTTTAGTAGAGATGGGGTTTCACCATGTTAGCCAGGATGGTCTCGAACTCCTGACCTCGTGGTCTGCCCGCCTCGGCCTCCCAAAGTGCTGGGATTACAGGCGTGAGCCACCGCGCCCGGTCTTACTGGCTCTTTCTACTCAGCATGTAACTATGCTTGTCTCTCCTATAATAAAATACCTTTCTCAGTCTTGTGTCTTCCTCTTATTATCATTACCTTACTTACTTTTAGAAGTAAAGTCCTCGGTTTTTCTATTCTTCTTTTTTTAACCTACAGAAATCTACCTTTTCTCATTATTCCTCTGAAATAAACCTGCCTAGGTTATCACTGTCTACAAGCTTTCCCTTGTAGGAAAGCTCCTCCCTGTAGTATCTCACCATGCTGATCACTTTCTCCTTGAAACTCTCTCCTCTGCGTGTCCATGAATGACTCTCATTTTTCTCTAACCTCTCCTTATCAGTTTATATGTTAGGCTATGTTCTCTCAGGAGCAATCTGACAAGGATTGAATGCACACAGTTTACTTGGGAGGTGATCCTAAGAAACACTGGCAGGGGAATGGGGAGGTAGGGCAAGGAAAGGAAGGAAGACTGTATGGGGAGTGCTAATGAGCAGGTGTGGCTGTGGGCAACTGGGGTTCAGTTCCATTGAGGAAACATTGGGAGACCATGGAATGTACACCTCCAAGTGGTTCCACACGAGGAATGAGTTGGGCTGTTTGATCCATTGTTGGGGAGGAAAAACTTTTCCTGCACTCTCTTATGTTCAGTTCTGAGGGGCTGCAAATTTAACTGACAAGAGAAAAAACATATATGCATATGGCACTGCACAAAAGAAGTGATGATGATTTATTTACCTAACTTAATAGGGGAGAGAGGGGGGCAAAAAGGCTCCTATGGGAAGAACAAAGGGGTTTCTAGGGAACAAACAGGAGATAAGGAAGTTTGTGTTCATAGGGAAGTTGTTTATGCAGGTGCACGTGGTTTTCTATTTCATGTCCATAAACCCCTGGAGAGGGGATGAATGGCAACCTCACTCCCAGAAGATTCTGCTTTTACTGAAATAAAGGAAGCTTCAAGAAGGCTTCTTTTTGCCTCTATTGAATCTTACATGTCTTTAGTTTAAAATAATCCTCATGCCAATTTTAGGGTTGAGAGTGCATCCTCAAACCACCAATTCCCCAACATCCCTGGATGAAGGCTCTTCCTGGAGGTGTTGGCTCCTTGGTAATTCCAGCCTGCCTTTCCTGCTGGCTGCTTCCTCCTTCTGTTGGAAAAAGCTTAGGCAGAGAGTTCAGGAACAAATGCTGAGTGCCAAGGGGACGTAGGCTACTGCCTATTTTTCTCTTCCCCCACTTGCTTATTTAATGTGGGTATTCGCCAAGCTTCTTTCCCCCCGTCCCCCACCTTTTCACACTCTTCATTTTTGCCAGGTGATCTTATCAACTCTCAGTTACCTAATGCTCTGATGTCACGCAAATCTACATCCCTTCCCTTCTCATGTCCCTCAAGGTCTAGACCTGTATACAGAATACACCTGCCTGTTGAGCGTCTTACCTTGGGTTGTCCACTGCAAACTCTCAACATAAATAACACTGGGGTTATAGTCCCTCAAATCCTGTTTATTTTCTGTTATTCCCCACCTCGTCTTGCTTTTCTAGAAATCCATTCTTCTCATTGCTGCCAGGGGTCTTTCTAAAACACCTATCCTACAATATGGCCAGGTACTATTTTAGGTGGTAGGGATACAGCAATGAACAAAACAAGGTTCCTGCTTTCATGAGCCTGAATTCTATAGCTAAATATATAAATACACAATAAAGAAGAAAAATATCAGTGGTAAGTTCCATGCAGACTGGGGAGCTACTTTAGATTTGAGAGGTCAGGAAAGGTTTTGCTGAAGAGAAGACATTAAAGCTCAGAGCTGAATGACACACCTTGAGTGGCACTCAGGAGACATCCACACTTCCCAGATGAAAATCCTTTAGTGACTTCCCAAAGTTCTCGGGATATAAGTCCAAATTTCACAGCATGGCAGAGAAGGTCTTCTGGCATCTGGCCAGTTGTCTTCCTCTCTAGCTTCTTTACATTACATGACATTAATGCATTTAATCCTCACGAGCACCTTGCAAAATAGCAGCTAGGCTGGCTGAGTTCTCTGATGGTCTGATTCATCTTTGTACTGTCACTGCGTTAGTAGTTGGCTCAACAAACGTTCATGAAACAAGCAAGGTGTTGGACAAAAAGCATGGATGCTTAAGGCAGGTCTAGACTGGTGCTGCTCAACAAAAATAAGGTAATCCACATTTGCAATGTAAAATTTCCTCATAGCTACATTAGGAAAGTAGAAGCAACACATGAAGTTGTCATAACATTTTATTTATCCAAATATATCCAAAATATTATGTTTAACATGTGATTCATATAAAGTTAGTGAGATATTTTACATTCTTTTTCTCATTCTCAGTCCTCAAAATCTAGTGTGTGTATTTCACACTTATATCACATCTCAATTCGGACTAGCCACTTTCCAATAAAGCTCAGCAGGCCCCGCGGGGTGGCTCACGCCTGTAATTCCAGTGCTCTGGGAGGCTGAGGCAGGTGGATCGCTTGAGGAGTTCGAGACCAGCCTGGGCAACATGAGGAGACCCCGTTTCTACAAAGCAAAACAAAAACCAAAAAAATTAGTGATGCGAACCTTCGGTCTCAGCTACTCAGGAGGCTGAGGTGGGAGGATCGCTTGAGCCCAGGAGTTCCAGGCTGCAGCGAACTACGATAGCGCCACTGCACTCCAGCCTGGGCGATAACGTGAGGCCTTGTCTCCAAAAATAAAAATACAACAACAACAAAAAATCCCAGAAGTGCTCAGCAGCCACATGTGGCTAGTGGCCACCTCCCGCGAAGCAGCCCGGCCACTCACCTCCTACCACCTTTTACCTATTTCTCCTTCTCCGCAGGCCTCCCTAGCACTACCAGTTGTCTTGTTGGCGAGTCCTTTGTGACTCCCACTATACAAGCCCCTCAAGGCCAGGCTTCGCCCTGAACGGTGCCTGGGCGGAGCAGACGCTCCATCAACGCTGTCCCCGCCTGAGTCCACGTCCAGGGGATCCGCAGGCGCCGTACCCTGCTTCCACGCGCCGGGGCCGCCCCTCGCCCGGCCTCCCGCAGGCCCACCCCTCGCCAGGCCCAGGCCCATCCCCGGGCTGTTCGCTGGAAATCGTGGACGTGACTGGGAGGAGCCTGCCCGCCCCGGCTCGCTGCGCCGCGCGCACAGGGCCCGCGCCAGCGACCATGGCGGAGCCCACAGTGTGCTCCTTCCTCACCAAGGTGCTGTGCGCCCACGGCGGCCGCATGTTCCTGAAGGACCTGCGCGGCCACGTGGAGCTGTCGGAGGCCAGGCTCCGGGACGTGCTGCAGCGCGCCGGGCCCGAGCGTTTCCTGCTGCAGGAGGTGGAGACGCAGGAGGGCCTCGGGGACGCGGAGGCCGAGGCGGCGGCCGGCGCGGTGGGCGGTGGCGGCACCTCCGCCTGGAGGGTGGTGGCCGTGTCCTCTGTGCGCCTCTGCGCCCGCTACCAGCGCGGCGAGTGCCAGGCCTGCGACCAGCTGCACTTCTGCCGCCGGCACATGCTGGGCAAGTGCCCCAACCGGGACTGCTGGTGAGAAGGCGGCGGCGGGCGGGGACTGTGGGCGCTGGCCGCGGGCCTGGCCGTCCTGCTGGAAGCGGGAGCGACGGGAAGGGGGGCTTCGTCCTGCCCCGGGCCGGGGACGCGGGGCTGGACGACCCCCTCCCGCAGGCCTTTCCTGGGCGTCCTCCCCCGCGCTTCCAGCAGCTGGGCGGAAAGGCGCGAAGGTCCTCTCCATGGAGACGTCTCAACCGCCCACGCCAGAAAAGTTGCTGCCCCCGCCCGCCCCCCCGGATCCTGCGCGACGCGGCCGGGTTAAATCCGGACTGGGACTTCGGAGCTCACTTATTCTGGTGATATTTGGCGGGAGGTGGGGGGCGTGGGGCGTCTGAGGATCCCATGAGATCCCTGGACCCTTTAGCCGGAAATCGCTGCTCCCCCATATCCACACACTTGTGCAGAAGCGGGTCTGCGCCCTCTAGGTTTAACAGCGCTGAGCCAGTCTCACCCCAGGAAACAGGGCTGGATGGCTTGGGTGAGGCCCTGTGGTTCCTGACTGCCAGAGCTGGGGTTCGGGGCTGCCTCCTGACCCCAGGCTGTGCTTCACAGCCCCGAATTTTCCTTGGTTGTCTCTAGCCACACACCCCGCCAAAGCGGTGCTGGGGATAGGGGCGCTTTCTTTTTAACGTTGGTGGACTGTGGCAGCTGTTGCCGGGGAGAAGGCCAGGTGCAGTCGCCTACGGAACAGATGTGCATCCTCAGGCGAGGTGGGCGACCCTTGGCTTCAAAGCATCCCTACTGAAAATTCAAATGACCCTGGGAGAGGAGTTCCTTCAACCCAATTTTCTTATTTTCCATCAGTGCTTATTAGGCCATACTATCCCCGGTTTCATGAAAATTACTCAACTTCACATGTATTAAATACATTGAAAGCTGCTCAAGGCAAGGAATTGGACAGACTGGTCCTTCTTCACCTGGGCATCTGACCGAGGGCTTTGTTCTTTTAGGTCTACCTGTACCCTTTCCCATGATATCCACACACCTGTCAACATGCAGGTCCTGAAAAGCCATGGACTTTTTGGTCTCAATGAAAACCAGCTTCGGATCCTGCTTTTGCAGAATGACCCCTGTCTTTTACCAGAGGTGAGTCACCAAGGAGTCACCCTCATGTCACATTTGCTACAAGTACTTTCCCCATTTATTTTTCTTTTGGCTTTACATATTAATTTTAATTGCCTTCGAAGCAACATGATTCAGTTTCAAATGCTTTAAAGGTACCCTTTATAATTGCTATCATGGCGAAATAGTACGTTTGTTTCAGTTTAGCCATACACAAAGAAGTTTTAAAAACAAAATAGTACAAATCCCAAGAGAAAATTGGAACATCAATTAAGACCACCAATTAAAAGCAAGATTTTCTAATCTAGCACAGTGATGCTATCATAGACACCTCCACTTGGCCAGAAGAGGGATGGGAAGAAGGGGAGATGTTGAGAAAACAGAGGATAGTTCATAATTGTGGCCTGATTTTAACTCTAATGCATTTCAGCGTCTAGAAAGGAAGATAGCCACAAGACTAGAGGTAGGAGCTGGAGCCTTTGGTGCAGGTGGCAGAGGCTGCTCTCAAGGCAGCAGAATCTGTACCCAGAAGGCAGTCCTGGAGTTGATCTCAGGAACAAGCAGGTTTCTTCCTGACATGCATAACCTGTTTCATTTCTTCGAGCACTGAAGCCAAGTCTGGTATGTCACGGTTGTGAGCCAGAGGCATTCCAACCAACCATGTTGCCCAAAGTAGATGCAAGCAGTAGCTGAAGCAGGTTATTGGCAGGAAGGGAGAGGAGGGTGGCTGCACCTATGAGGCTGGGTCCAGTCCTTCCTGTCTCAGAGAGAAGGCGTGGTGCCGCTGCTATTTGCCTTTTAATTTTATAGTACTTTTTGATTTATAGAAGTTTAGTGTTTTTATTTTGTCAAATCTATCGAATGTTTTTTTGGTATGCCCTTTTTTAGGATGTATCTTGGGCCCAGCCTCACCTTGTCATATTAGACTACTTCAGTGTTTTGTGAGCAGCTGATGGGTTGGCTGCACTTACAACAGGAGCCTCCCCTGTGCCTCCACTTGTCCCCATCACCTGGGACTGGAAGTAGGTGACATGTGGCACAAAACGTGATCATGTGGGCAGCAGGGACTGTGGAAAAACACAGTGCATGAGGCAAGAATGGTGCCTCACATCTCTTGTATGAAATGCCTGATGATTGCTTTTACCACTCTCTCAATAAAAAAGACAATAGACAGGTAAAGTTTCATGCTGGTGCATTGATGGACAAATTTCTAGAAAAATACAGCTTGTCAAAATGGATTCAAGAAGAAACGGAAAGCCAAAATAGTGTCATAAAAATTTTTAAAATAAAAGCATTAAACAAACCTCAAAGCATTAGTTAGAAGGCTTGCACAAGAAAACATCAGACTTATATAGTTTTTTTTTTTTTGAGACAGGGTCTTACTCTCTCACACAGGCTGGAAGTACCTCGGCTCACTGTAGCCTCTGCCTCCTGAGTTCAAGTGATTCTCCCACCTCAGTCTCCTGAATAGTTGGGACTACAGGCACGTGCCACCATGCCCAGCTAATTTTTGTACTTTTTGGTAGAGATAGCGTTTCACCATGTTGGCCGGGCTGGTCTTATATGCCTGACCTCAAGTGATCCCTCTGCCTCAGCCTCCTAAAGTGCTGGGATTACAGGCGTGAGCCACTGCGCCTGGCCAGGCTTATATAGTTTCATAGTTGAATTCTATCAAATTTTTGTCTTTATTGAAGTGTAGTTGACAAATAAAAATTTTATATTTACAGTGTACAATGTGGTGTTTTAATATATTTACATTGTGAATTGATTGCAATGATTAAGCTAATTAGCATACCATTACTTTACATGGCTATTATTTTTTGGGTGTGGTAAGGACAGCAATTTTCAGGTATACAGTATGTTATTTTTTTAAATTTTATTTTATTTTTTATTTATTTTATTTTATTTTTATTTTTATTTTATTTTATTTATTTCTTTTTTTTTGAGATGGAGTCTCACTCTATCACCCAGGCTGGAGTGCAGTGGTGAGGTCTCGGCTCACTGCAAGCTCTGCTCCCGGGTTCATGCCATTCTTCTGCCTCAGCCTCCCGACAGGCGCCCACCATGATGCCCAGCTAATTTTTTGTATTTTGTTTAGTAGAGATGGGGTTTCACCTTGTTAGCCAGGATGGTCTCGATCTCCTGACCTCGTGATCCGCCCACCTCAGCCTCCCAGAGTGCTGGGATTATAGGTGTGAGCCACTGTGCCTGGCCATTATGTTATTATTAACTACAGTCACCTTGCCGTACAGTGGATTTCCAGAAATTCATCCTGTTTAATTGAAACTTTGTTCCCTTCGACCTACATATCCCTATTCTCCTTAATTTTAACAAATCTATAAGGAACAGGCTGTTCCTTATATTTGGAGTAGGTGTAGGATCTATTTTCCATGATCTCCAATTCTTGAACCACTATCATACTAATTAAAGTAGTTTATCTTTCATTTTTAAAGTTTATTTACTCTTTTAGAGACATGGTCTCGCTGTGTCACCCAGGCTGGAGTGCAGAGACAGGGTTTTGCCATGTTGCCCAGGCTGGTCATAGCTCACTGCAACCTCGATCTCCTGGGCTCAAGCAATCCTCGCACTTCAGCCTCTCGAGTAGCTGGGACTGCAGGTGTACACCACCGCACCCAGCTACTTTTTTTTGTTTTGTTTTTTTGAGATGGAATCTTGCTCTATCGCCCAGGCTGGAGTGCAGTGGTGTGATCTCAGCTCACTGCAATCTCCACCTCCCTGGTTCAAGCGATTCTCCTGCCTCAGCCTCCCAAGTAGCTGGGATTGCAGGCGCTTGCCACCATACCCAGCTAGTTTTTTGTATTTTGAGTAGAGATGGGGTTTGTCATTTTGGCCAGGCTGGCCTTGAACTCTTGACCTCAAGTGATCCGCCCACCTTGGCCTCCCAAAGTGCTGGGATAACAGGCGTGAGCCATAGCGCCTGGCCCCCAGATACTTTTTTTTGTTTTTGTTTGTTTGTTTTGTAGACAGAGTCTTGCTCTGTCGCCCAGACTGGAGTGCAGTGGCGTGATCTTAGCTCATTGCCACCTCTGCCTCCCAGGTTCAAGCAATTCTCGTGCCTCAGCCTCCCTAGTAGCTGGGACTGCAAGCAAGTGCCACCATGCCTAGTTAATTCGTTGTGTTTTTAGTAGAGACAGGGTTTCACCATGTTGCTCAGGCTGATCTCAAACTCCTGAGCTCAGGCAATCCGCCTGCCTTGGCCTCCCACAGTGTTAGGATTACAGGCATGAGCCACTGTGCCCAGTCCACTTTTTAAATTTTTCTGTAGAGACAGAGTCTTGCTGTGTTGCCTAGGCTGGTCTTGAACTCCTTGGCTCAAGCAATTTGCCATCCTTGGTCTCCCAAAGTGCTAGGAGTACAGCCATGAGCCACTGTGCCTGTCTAATTTTGTTTGTTTGTTTAATCAGTTCATGTCTCCTTTTCCAGATAAGCTTTAGAATCACTTAAATTCCTAAAACTATTTTAAAGGAATTCTTTGAGAAGGGTAGAAATTGCATTAAAGTTACGAATTTATTTTAGAAAATTGGCATCACAATTATAAATAGGATGCTATTTCATTTTAAACCAGGTCATCTGTGTCTTGTAGGATTTCCCATATTTTAGATTTGACTGATTACATTCCTGTAGTACTATTGAACATGTTCCTGTATCCCTCAAATTTTGATCAGATTTAGGATTTATTTCACTTTATTTAATTAATTAATTAATTAATTAATTATTATTATTTTTTGAGATGGAGACTCACTCTGTCGTCCAGCCTGGAGTGCAGTGGCGTGATCTCGGCTCACTGCAACCTCTGCCACCCAGGTTAAGCAATTCTGCCTCAGCCTCCCAAGCAGCTGGGATTACAGGTGCCACCATGACTGGCTAATTTTTGTATTTTTGGTAGAGACGGGGTTTCACCATATTGGCCAGGCTGGTCTTGAACTCCTGACCTTTTGATCCACCCACCTTGGCCTCCCAAAGTGCTAGGATTACAGGTGTGAGCCACCACACCGGGCCTTATTTATTTTTGAAATGGAGTCTCGCTCTGTCGCCCAGGCTGGAGTGCAGTGGCGCAATCTCAGCTCACTGCAACCTCCGCCTCTATTTTATTTTATTTTTAAGACGGAGTCTCGCTGTGTTGCCCAGGCTGGAGTGCAATGGCACAATCTTGGCTCACTGCAACCTCCACCTCCCCGGTTCATGTAATTCTTCTGCCTCAGCCTCCCCAGTAGCTGGAATTACAGGCGTGTGCCATCATGCCTGGCTAACTTTTGTATTTTTAATAGAGTCAGGGTTTCACCGTGTTGGCCAGGCTGTTATGAACTCCTGACCTCAGGTGATCCTTCTGCCTTGGCCTCCCAAAGTGCTGGGATTACAGGTGTGAGGCACCGCGCCCAGCCAGGATTTATTTTATAGCAAGAGTTTTTTTACGTGTGCAGCATTGTTAGGGTGACTCAGCAGCCCATTTGCCTGGGACTGAGGGGTTGCCGGGGATGTCAGACTTTCATAGTAAAACCTGGACAGTTCTATTTCTGTTGCATCACATCAGGAGGCATATAATGTCATCTTTGTGTGAGCGGCCAAGACTGATGCGTGGTTTCAGGGTCAACAGCCTGATCCCATCATTATAAAGTTCCCTATCAATGTGGTCTTGGTGTGTCTGGGATAGACCCAGTTTATATTAGTTGTCCCAGTGTGATTATTAATAGTGCTCCCTTGCAGCCTAAAAATGCCCTCGTCTGGATCATAAATTAGATCTTTGTGCCACCCGTTGAAACTGGTTTCCCTGGAAGCAGAGCCTGAGATAGAGACCCAGGTATGTGTGATTTTTTTGAGGGCGGGCTTTTCAGGAAAACCCAGTGTGGGAGAGAGGGAAGCAGGGTCTAAGGAAGGAAAAGCTACAAGCACATAAGGTCTGGCCTTGACTTCATTCATGGGGAGCTGTGGAACAAAGATCACGTTGAGTCTAGCTTTGAGGCACTCTAGCATTTTTTTAGCTTTATCTAAGTCATTCATTGGCTACAGGCTTTGGGGACAGAGGGCAGTTCAGCTGAGAGTGTAAAGTAAGAGGGGGCAGCTGTGAGTCACAAGCAGCCAGTGCCCACAGCAGCGGGAGTATGGTTAGCACCACTACACTATCATCAGGCTTTCCCCCAAAGATTTTAACAGCCACTGGTGATCAGAAGATGTCATTTAGTCTTCAGTTTAGCTAGAGAAGCTATAGTCTTTTGGCTTAAAAGATAGAGTGAAAACTAATATTGGCCGGGTGTGGTGGCTCACACCTGTAATCCCAGCACTTTTGAGAGGCTGAGGTGGGCAGATCACCTGAGGTGAGGAGTTGGAGACCAGCCTGGCCAACATGGTGAAACCCCGTCTCTTCTAAAAATACAAAAATTAGCTGGCTGTGGTGGTGAACGCCTGTATTCTCAGCTACTCGGGAGGCTGAGGCAGGAGAATTGCTTGAACGCGGGAGATGGAGGTTGCAGTGAGCCAAGATGGTGCCACTGTACTCCAGCCTGGGTGACAGAGCGAGACTCCATCTCCCCGCTGCCAAAAAAAAAAGAAAAACTAATATTTCAGGTGTTCCCTCATTTCTGTACCAGGTCTGTTTGCTCTACAACAAAGGGGAAGCCCTGTATGGCTACTGCAACCTCAAGGATAAATGCAACAAGTTTCATGTGTGCAAATCCTTTGTGAAAGGAGAATGCAAACTTCAGACCTGCAAACGGTCCCATCAGCTTATCCATGCTGCATCTTTGAAGCTGCTACAGGACCAAGGACTGAATATTCCAAGTGTTGTTAATTTTCAGATAATCTCCACCTACAAGCATATGAAGCTGCACAAGATGCTTGAAAATACAGGTAGGAATATCCAAGAAGGACAGAGAAGTATCAGCGATATGGTTTTGCGATGCTTCACTGTGAAGAAGTAAGAACAGTGACATGAAAGTGAGTCTGGGGGCAAAGCAGTTCCTATGTTAATTTCATCTTTGTTCTTGGGAAAGTTTAGAACAGGCAACATTGTATTGTATAGAACGGTGATCCTAACCAAAGGAGAGAAGGGATGGAGTTTATCTTTAGCACTGTCACTGCTAGCTACTAGAATCTACCCAAGTGATTGAACAGTAGCTTGTTGGTAAATTGGATGTCAGGAAGTAGGTAGAACAGGTTTTGTTTTTGTTTTTTTTTTTGAGACAGAGTCTCAGTCTGTCGCCCAGGCTAGAGTGCAGTGGCGCGATCGGGGCTCACTGCATCCTCTGCCTCCCGGGTTCAAGCGATTCTTCTGCCTCAGCCTCCCGAGTAGCTGAGACTACAGGCATGCGCCACCATGCCCAGCTAATTTTTGTATTCTTAGTCGAGGCGGGGTTTCACCATGTTGGCCAGGATGGTCTCAATCTCTTGACCTCATGATCTGCCTGCCTTGGCCTCCCAAAGTGCTGGGATTTCAGGCATGAGCCACACGCCCGGCCTAGTAGAACAGTTTTAATGGCATAGTTAGGAAAAAGAGGAAGGAGATGGGCCGGTGAGTGGAAAAGTAAGATTAATGTAGGGATGGCTTTCTTGTCATAAATATAATTTTTGGCTTTGTTAATTTTTAAGTAATTTTAATGACATTACAGAACAATTTGGAAAATAGCAACTGGAAATGAAAATTGTATATGATTTTGCTCACTCTAATCTACTATACTTGTTACAATTTTATTATAGGCCCTTCAGTTCTGTTATATACAAACACGAATCCAATTGTGCTCAAAGTATATGTTAATTTAATATCTTAAATTTCTACTTTATACAACATCATATTTTCCCATATTGCTAGGAATATTGCATATTCCCATTATAAATATATTCCCATAGTCTTTCAGTAATTTTTATTGTTGTTTTTGAAGACAGGATCTTGCTCTGTTGCCTAGGCTGGAGTACAGTGGCACAGTCATGACTCACTGCAGCCTCGAACTCCTGGGCTCAAGTGATCTTTCTGCTCAGCCTCCCTGGTAGCTGGGACTGCAGGCACATGCCACCATGTCCAGCTATTTTTTAAAATTTTTCTTTTGTAGGGACAAGGTTTTGCTATGTTGACCAGGCTGGTTTTGAACTCCTGGGCTCAAGCAGTCCTCCAGCCCTGGCCTCCCAAAGTGTTGGGATGACAGGCGTGAGCCACTGCACCTGGCCTTTAGTAGTTTTTTAGTCTACAAAGTGTGGTTTGGTGTTCTTTTAATTCTAATGCATTCAGTTACTTATTCTGTTACATTTGCTGGTACCTAGAAATCAGTGGGTGGTAGGCTTAGGAGAATTGCTGTTGGGAAAGGTAAATCACCAAAGGCGGAGTTGCTAAGCTTTCACCATCGAGTTTTCATGTGTTGGGATGTTAGTGTCAGACGTAGTGAGTGCAGACAGGGAGGGCTCTGCATATACCAGTGTCGGGCTGTTTAGGGAACTGTGAATGGTGGCAGGTACCTTCTACCCTATGCTGTGTCTAGGGCCTGTCATTGTCTTCATCTGGTTTCGTTTGGTGAGTCTCTCCTGTGACATAGTGACTTTCCGCTTGCTCTCTCTCTCTCTATTTTTTATACACACACACATACAATTTTTTAAAATCCAGAAGACATGAACTCTCCAAATCCATGTGTTGGGAGTCTTGTCTGATGGCTGGTTAGCTGGGCTGTTGCTCCCAACGTAAAATGAAACTTGGGGTATCGTAGGAAAACTTATCCCTTTCCTCTTTGTAGATAATTCATCACCTTCGACTGAGCATTCACAAGGCCTTGAGAAGCAAGGAGTGCACGCAGCTGGAGCTGCAGAAGCTGGTCCTCTGGCTTCTGTCCCTGCTCAGTCGGCCAAGAAGCCCTGCCCAGGTAAACCTTAAAGGGGGTCAGTGAACTAAGAAGAAGCTTGTCCAGCTTGGAAGATCTGAAAACAAGCCTTCTGTTTAGCTTTAATTTGTAACCATTCATTCATTTAATGATAGATTTGTAATGGTCATAATAATATCTACCTCACAGTGTCTTGCGAGAAGTAAAGAAGATGGAAAAGGAGAAAATGTCCTTTTGGAAGAATACATTTGGGCATGGGTGGTTGGGGATGGGGTGGGACATTGAACAGGCAAAGAGAGGCTAAAATTGAGTGCAGATGGGGCTAGTCCAGGGCAAGTGCTGAAGATGGCAGCTGCTATCTGCAGCTCCTAGGTGCTTTCCTCAGGCTGGGTAGATGGAGCTCTGCTGACTTCTGTGGTCCACCATTGTTTTTCTATCAATTTATATTGTGGCAATCCTAGAGTACTTTGCACTCATTTTTTTTTTTCACTTAATATTGTCTCATAAGCATCTTTCTATATTTGTTCACATCGTACATAATCATGTTTTTGCACAGATACATTAATATTATCATAGTTTGTTTAACTACTTGGCTTTTTCTAACAGTTTTTTTTTTTGAGATGGTCTTGCTCTGTTGCCCAGGCTGGAGTGCAGTGACGTGATCTCGGCTCACTGCAGCCTTGACTTCCTGGGCTCAAGTGATCATCCCACCTCAGCCTCCTGAGTAGCTGGGACTACAGGTATGCACCACGACCAGCTAATTTTTTGTATTTTTTTTTTGTAGAGAGGGTATTTTGCCATGTTGCCCAGGCTAGTCTTGAACTCCTGGGCTCAAGCGATCTGCCTGCTTCAGCCTCCCAGAGTGCTAGGATTACAGGCATGAGCCACTGCACCCAGCCTCTTAACAAATTTTGAATATAACTCCTGTCTTAAAATCTGCAGAATATTGAATTTTTCCAGCTATTTTTTACTTTTGCTTAGCTTATAGATGCTAAAGGATACTGTCATTTGCATTTTTAAAAATATATGTATGAGTGAATAGTTTTCTGGTGTCTGCTTTCTGATTGTTCTTATTTTTTCATTTTATATTTGGCCTTTTATTAATGGGGCCCTCATCTATGCTGATGTGGGACAGCCTTTAACGAGGCCTCAAATTTTCATGAAAGGACCTCAGCAATACTGTGCTTGGATGATATTCAATTTTTGTAGGTCCATCCTCAGCCAGTAGTACAGAGTATATAACCTTTGGGTTCTCTCCAGAGACTTCTACCTCACTCTGTCTACTCTTTTTTTTTTTTTTGGAGACAGAGTTTCACTCTTGTTGCCCAGGCCGGAGTGCAATGGCGCGATCTCATCTCACCATAACCTCCGCCTCCTGGGTTCAAGTGGTTCTCCTGCCTCAGCCTCCCAAGTAGCTGAGGTTACAGGCATGAGCCACCACGCCCAGTTAATTATGTATTTTTAGTAGAGACGGGGTTTCACCATGTTGGCCAGGCTGGTCTCAAACTCCTGACCTCAGGTGATCTGCCTGCCTCGGCCTCCCAAACTGCTGGGATTACAGGTGTGAGACTCTGTCTACTCTTCATTTCTTGCTGAGCTTTTACCAAAGCCCAGTCACAATAGTTTGAAGGATGAGCAGTATATCCACTCCTTTAAATTGTATCCATTCTTCCTGTGGCTCAGGATGGACCATCAGAAGTCTGTATACCTCACCCACTTCATGTTCCCTTTCCCCTTTCTCCCTTCTCCCTTCCTCCCTGCTCTCCACCTACCCAGCTGTGTTCATTGAGTTACATTTCAGTATTTTGTGGTTTATTTTCATCAAGGGGTACCACAAGAAGCAGCTTTATGCAATTAATTTTTTTGTTCTGTTTATTGTAGTCATCCTCAAATGTCACTGTGTAAAGTGTTGTTGTTGTTTTTAAATTCAACTGTCCTGCAGTAACATAACATTTGAGAAACAGAGACAATGTAATAAGTTTTCATAAAGCTAAATTAATGTAGAGAAATTTTTATCATGAAATGCTATCTTTTCAATTGAGGGAAAAAGCAAAAATGTCCTTTTTAAAGTGAGAAATGGCTGTGTTTTCTCCTAATGGATAATAAGAGTCATGCCACTTGTGTTGAGCTTTTTACTTTCATTGTCAACGATATTTCTGAAAGCCCTTATGCTCTGCATATTTTGTTTCTTTTTTTCTAGTCCAGATTTCTCCTGGTGATAATTAAAAAAATTTTTACATTTAATTATTACTATTATTTACACTTACCATTTTACTATGTATATTTTTGTAGTAAGCTATCTTAAATCTTTAATGGAAACAGTGTAGGGTATAAATGCATTTCCTTTACATTGAGAGACTTGCTGGACCTTTACTTGTTTATGTTCTGTTTTTATATCTTATCATTATGCTTTTATATGTGATGTTATTGGTCCTCTGTCATCTTTGTTGCAGTATTTTATTCAATTCTATAATAGTCTACTTTAATCTTAGTTTTGTTGGTATTCATTCTGTAAAATATTTTATATAACCATGCCTTTCTCTGATTTTCACTCATGATTAAGCTGTTAGAAAGTTATCGCATTATAGTTGGAAAAGAGTTTTCTTTGGTAATTTATCGGGGTTTTTGATGTCAAGTCGCATGTCTGTAGACTCTACAAATTCAATGTATTCTAAATTGAATTATGAATTTTCCTTTAGTCTTGTTCCTGCTTTTATTTCCTTATTTTTGAATGTCACCACTATCTACCTAATGACATAGACAAAAAGCTGTAAATTGTCCTATACTTTTTTTTCTCCTTGTTCCCTTTGTCAAATTGGTTACCCAGTGTTGGAGAGTTTCTTCCCCTCAAAAACCTTTCAAATATTTATCCTTCTCTGCCCCTTTCTTTCCACCCTGTACATACTGCCTTGTTTCAAACCCTCATCATCTTCCTGCATATATCCTACAGATGCATAAACTCAGTGGTTTTCAAGTCATCTGTTATGGGAGTTTTTGGTAAAAGGTGCCCTGTTCCCACTGCAGTGATGGTAGCCCTGTTTTAATCTTTAATAGAATAAGCGTTTGTGGATTTCACTGGTCTCCTTACCACTCTTCACTTCTCCTGCCTTCCATCTGGCTGCCTGACATTTTGAAAACAAAGCTAATCATATGGCTTTTTTCCTGCTGAAACCTTCCTTGGTCCTCATCATGTAGGGTGGTATTTGTAAACTCAAAACGCCTGCAGGGACTAGAAAGGTGAGTTAAATGGATGAAGTGAACTGGATGCAAGAGCAGTGGGAGAAGGGAGAAGTGCTGTGGCAAACTGTCCCATCTAAAAGGGACGCCTGCCTCTTGTATCCACGTGGGAATGTGGGCCCACTTTGTCATAGTGCCCAGTTTTTTAAAAAGAAGCCAGAAATTCAGATTGTTATGAGAAATGTTCTGATTGAATATTGACTTTAGTCGAGTTTTTAAAATGCAGACCAACATTGTATGTACTTGACCTACTTGGAATTTCTGGAATGTGCTATTTTGTCTTGTGATTCTCTGTAAATGATATTCCCTGTTTTTTTTTTTTTTTTTTTTCTTTTTTCCTTTGAGATGGAGTCTCTGTCGCCCAGGCTGGAGTACAGTGGCATGATCTCAGCTCACTGCAACCTCCGTCTCCCAGGTTCAAGTGATTCTCCTGCCTCAGCCTCCCGAGTAGCTGGGATTATAGGCATGTACCACCATGCCTGGCTAATTTTTGTATTTTTAGTAGAGATGGGGTTTCACCATGTTGGCCAGGCTGGTCTTGAACTCCTCACCTCAAGTGATCCACCCACCTCGCCCTCCCAAAGTGTTAGTATTATAGGCGTGAGCCACTGCACTCAGCCTGATGTTCCCTCTTTTATAAGTGCCATTCCTTCTTCCTACCTCACAACCTAGCAAAATTGGATTCTTCAAAACGCCAGGTTGGCCTTTCTTGACTCCAAAAGAGGTGACTCTTGTAGCATTCTTACAGGCCTAACATAGCACTTACTTTATGTTGCAATGCTGTGTGCAATGCTGTGTTTTTTTACTCACTAGCTCTGAGCAAAACATTATTTATTCTTGGTAATTGTAACACTTGGTAGTGAAGACATATTTTTTGCCATATAATGGATTATACTTTGTATTTGAATCCATGTGAATCAGTAGCATATTGGTCTTCATTGTTTTTCCTCCTTCTCCGACGTTTTTTTGAGACAGGGTCTCACTCTGTTGCCCAGGCTGGAGTGCAGGGCACAATTACAGCTCCCTGCAGCCTTGATTTCTCAGGCTCAAGCCATCCTCTTGCCTCAGCTTCCCTAGTAGCCGGGACTATAGGTGCATGCCACCATACTCAGCTAATCTTTTTAGGTTTTTAGTAGAGACAAGGTCTCACTATGTTGCCCAGGCTGGTCTTGAACTCCTAAGCTCAAGCAGTCCTCCCGCCTTGGCCTCTGAATGTGCTGGGATTACAGGCATGAGCCACTATGCCTAACCATATTTTTTCCAATATTAAAAAATCTTTTTTTCCCCCTAAGGAATGTGTTATATAAGGTCAACATGTTTTTAGTGCTTCAGTTTGACTTGTCTACATCTAAAGTTAACTCTTTAAGGCTTACATTTATGATTATAATTCTTTCCATCGAGGGATTTAGTCTCCATTATTGTCATGTTTCTTGATTTTTTTCATTATACTTGGTTCTTCTTTTTGTCTAGGTTTTATATATACCTTAATTAATTCTTTCTTGGCTGTTTTATATCTATGTTGCTGTCAGCATGGGAATCTCTATTATTAGAAAGCTATTAACTTTTAAAATATGTATCTTTTGGTGATTTTCTTTGTTCTAACAGTTTTAGATGGCCTGTTTGCTCTTTCTAAATATAAAATCATAGGTATTTCTATTTTGTTTTTGTGTTTCATAAAATTGTAATAAGTTTTTTTGATATTTTTTCATTACATATGAAGTTAATTGTTGGTTTTAAACAAATGTTCTTTGTTAGGATAACAGAAATAACATCTTCTATTCTTGTTTGTTGGAAGCTAAAAGCTTGATAAAAGGAATTGGTGTCTTTTGATACAATCAAATTTTTATCACTTAAATTGCCTAATATGATTATAATAAGGGTTTTTGTAATATTAAAACATCCTTAAATTCCTGAGATAAAACTCTACCTGGTTATAGTATATGTTCTTTTAATGTATTATCTTTCCTATTTGCTGTACATCTATACATTCATAAATAAAATTCATTTATATTTTATGTGTGTGTGTAGTAATTTCCTTTTTATTTTTACTGGCATATGGCCAAACTATAAATCTTTTTCTAAATACTGTCTGGAGCTTTTGTAAATTGGTTTGTAATGCCATTTTTATTTAAAAAATAATGTATTATTGTATTTTTAATTACCCTGTTATTATTTAGGAATATTTTCCCAAAATTATTTTTTGAAAATATATCATTGTGGAAATTTTGGAGAGTACAGGAATGTATGAAGGAGGTCATATTAATCATCTCATAATACCACTGTATAATCGCTCTTAATACTGTATTTTTTTCTTTCTTTCTTTTTTTTTTCTTGAGACAGGGTTTCTCTGTGTCACCCAGGATGGAGTGCAGTGGTGCAATCACAGCTCACTGCAGCCTCTGCAGCCTCTGCGTCCTGGGCTCAAGTGATCATCTCACTTCAGCCTCCTGAGTAGCTGGGACTGCATGCATGCATGGGCCATCGCGCCCAGCTAATTTTTTTTTTTTTTTTTTTTTTTTTGGGGAGACAGGGTTTTGTCATGTTGCCCAGGCTGGTCTTAAATTCCAGGACTTAAGCAATCCACCTGCCTCCGAGGTGGAGTCCTGGCTTCCCAAAGTGCTGGGGCTGCAGGTGTGAGCTGCCAGGCCCAGGCTTTTTTCAGTCTTTTTTATGCATATTTCCTTAAATATCGAAGGTATGCTATACAGACAATTTTATGCCATTTGGGATTGATATTATTGTGTAAGCATTTCCCTTTGTAATTGAAAGTATTTACAATTACACATGATGGTTTCATTATATTTTTAAAGTATTATTTAATAATAGTTCTATCGTTGGATATTTATTGTTTGTAACATTAATGGTACAAAAATCTTTGTCTGAATTTCTGATTTTTTTTTTTTTGAGTTGGAGTTTTGCTCTTGTCGCCGAGGCTGGAGTGTACTGCTGCAATCTTGGCTCACTGCAACCTCCACCTCCCGGGTTTAAGCGATTCTCCTGCCTCAGCCTCCCGAGTAGCTGGGATTACGGCATGCACCACCACACCCAGCTAATTTTTTGTATTTAGTAGAGACAGTTTCACCATGTTAGTCAGGATGGTCTCAAACTCCTGACCGCAGGTGGTCCGCCTGCCTTAGCCTCCCAAAGTGCTGGGATTACAGGTGTGCACCACCACGCCCAGCCAATTTCTGATTATTTTTTAGAACAATTTTTTAGATGCGATTATACTGTGCCAGAAGATAGGAATAGGATAAAGACTCAAAAAGAATTTCAAAACTCTCTTCCAGAATAGCTGCACCATATTACACTCATCGTCAGCATAGGAATTGCCTCTCTCAGTACACTCGATAGCCTGTGTTAGAAAGCACATTCCCAGGAAAGGCACAGAATATATTTTGTTTCCTAAGGGGTTCTTCTGGACAGATATTTAGAAAAATACATTAGTATTGATTTTGACTTACCCAACCACAGCTATAATTTAATGTTTATTATACAATAACATGATTAAATTATGTACATTTTCTGATGTTTTGTCTTTACTGAGATTTCCTTTTGGATTTGTGTTTGCATTGTCACTTTTTTTTGGTGAACTGATCACACATTAGCCTTCTAAAAGTAATATTTTATTCTCATGGTGCCTCATAGGTGCTCACTCCAGATATTTATCTCCTAGATACATTTTCAGTTTACTCAGAAGAGATGCTGCCTCGTCTGGCATATATAGCAAGCTCTCAGTTTAATGAAGGAATGAATGTCTGCTAACTTGAGTTGACTCTACCTACTTTGAAGATAAACTTGGGGACTGGGCGCGGTGGCTCACGCCTGTAATCCCAGCACTTTGGGAGGCCGAGGCGGGCGGATCATGAGGTCAGGAGATCGAGACCATCCTGGCGAACACGGTGAAACCCCGTCTCTACTAAAAATAACAACAAACAAAAATTAGCCTGGCGTGGTGGCAGGAGCCTGTAGTCCCAGCTACTCGGGAGGCTGAGGCAGGAGAATGGCGTGAACCAGGGGGGCGGAGCTTGCAGTGAGCCGAGATCGCTCCACTACACTCCAGCCTGGGAGACAGTGAGACTCCGTCTCAAAAAAAAAAAAAAAAAAAAAAAAAAGATAAACTTGGAAAAGCCTCAGATAAAACCTTCCTTTGGCTCAAACTTTTCTACAGGTTCATGAAAACAAACCAGAAAACATGAGTGGATTGTTCTGTTACTTGTTTGGGTAATGGAGACTAGAGGAGAGTCCCCATCACAGCTCCTCTGACAGTATAGCCTGCCATTCTCTCTGTCTTCTCCACTTAAGACTCAAAAGAGTCCCCTGATTGTCCACGCCTTTCTAAGTCAAAGATACAGGGACAATAAGGGCTCACACAGAGTGTAAAGGTCAAGATAGGTTAGGTTATTTGCAGCAATGAGCAACTCCCAAGTCTCGTGGCTTACAACAACAAAGATTTATTTCTTACTTGTGTTCATTATAGTCAATTTCAGCTTTGTTCCATGTCATTTTCACTTAAGACGCAGGTTGAGCATCCCCCACTGGGACCAGTGCTGGTGTCCTGCCAGGGGAAGACTACAGCTGGCTCTTCAACTTCTATTCTCACTGCATTGGCCAAAGAAAGTTGTATGGCTACCCTGTGTTCGACAGGGTGGGGATGTGTAATCTTACATGGAGGGGCACTGCAGGTTACATGACCAAGTTTAATGTCAATTGACAAGGACAATAATACGTCCTCAGGAAGGGACAGTGAATATTTTCAACATAATGCAGTCACCAAGGAGGAAGCTCAGGCAGGTGGCCTTTCTTGTGCTGCTGCCTTGGGGAGGCAGAGTTCCCTTTAAGGTTGCTGTAGAATTTCTGATGGTAAACTTTTATTGTCTCAACCAAAAAGCGGCAAACATTGCCAATGTGTTGACAACAGAGGTCAACCAAGACAGCACAGAGTTCTGGTTTCTGGCCAGAGGGACCCAGACCAGCACTAAGCTCCTAATTTAAGAACAGCATGGGTGAGGGGCAGAGCCGACAATCCTTCAGACTGGGGTATGGCTTAGGCCAGGGTGACCAACTATCCCCGTATGCCCAGGACGGAGGGGGGTTCCTGGGACAGTATGGGGCACAGCTGAGGCATTCTTTGTGCTGCCTCGTTTCTGCAGTAATGCAGACTTCCTTTGAAGCAGAGTTGAAGAGGTGAGCTGATGCACTGTGGCAAACATTTATAATCCCTGACTGAATTAGCAAAGCCTGGGAAGTGGTGTGTGTGTGTGTGTGTGTGTGTGTGTGTGTGTGTGTGTGTGGTGTGTTGGAAAAGGAAAAGCTCTTTTTTTTTTTTTTGAGATGCAGTCTCGCTCTGTCACCCAGGCTGGAGTGCAGTGGCACGATCTTGGCTCACTGCAGCCTCTGCCTTCCCAGGGAGAAACTCATTTTTCATTTTCATTTTTTCATTGTATTTAGGGAATAATTTTTATTTGATTTGATGTTTAATTTTTTTTTTTTTTTCTTGAGACAGAGTCTCGTTCTGTCACCCAGGCTGGAGTGCAATGGCACGATCATGGCTCACTGCAACCTCCACCTCCCGGGTTCAAGAGATTCTTGTGCCTTCGTTTCCCTGGTAGCTGGGATTACAGGCATGTGCCACCACACTCAGTTAATTTTTTTATTTTTAGTAGAGATGGGGTTTTTCCATGTTGGCCAGGCTGGCCTTGAACTCCTGACCTCAAGTGATCCGTCTGCCTCAGCCTCCCAAAGTGCTGGGATTACAGGCATGAGCTACCATGCCCAGCCAGAGAAGAATTTTTTAAATGTTCATTTAGCTCCGATAACTAGAAATAATGTGTTTCAGAATATACTTGATGACCTTAAGGACAATTAAAAACAGGGTGCCACTGCCTAAATGATTATAGAAAATCAAATACAATTTGTCTAATAAATCACAAAAAGAATAAGCAAGCAAACAACAACAACAACAAAATGGAGCATCCAAAACAAAGTAACAGAAATAGGGCTAAACATGCCAATCATATACTTTCTCGGTCAATGGTTGTAGTTGCAGGCTGTAGAAAGCAATTCTGGTTTAAGCAAGTCAAGGAATTTGTTAAAAGAATATTGGGTGGCTTATAGACTCTGAAGAGCAGTAGAGGAAAGCTCGGAGGCCGTGCTGCTGGAACCAAGTTGTGCTTAAGAACCAGTCCATTAAGACACCCAACGGGATGCTGCAGGCAGCATTGCCAGCAACAGGGATGTTACATCCTGAAAGCTGAACTGCTGCCACCCAGTGTCCAAATGATTCTGTACAGTCTTTGTTTCTCTGGATTATCAGCTTCTGATTTCAAAGTGAGGCTGTTTGGGGTACAGCATTGTGGCGTACAGCATTGAGGGGTAGAATCTATATCATGTCACTCTGCCCCAGCTGCGAGGAAAGATGAGAAAGTCTCTGGAATTTCCAGCTTCTGTAGTGGGAGATGGGCTCCACTTCAGAGGAGGTGAACTTACTCAACACATGAGGATTTACAATGACAAATGCCTATGCCGTTTCATTGCTTTGGCATGCCAACATCTTCATACACACTTTTCCCATTCTTACTTTAAAAAAGAAGTAGGGGTTTTCTAAACACTCTTAGATTTTCTTTTTTGTTTTTGGCCAGGCGTGATGGCTCACGCCTGTAATCCCAGCACTTTGGGAGGCTGAGGTGGGCAGATCCAAGGTCAAGAGATTGAGACCAATCTCCTGGCCAAGATGCTGAAACCTCGTCTCTACTAAAATACAAAGAATTAGCCGAGCGTGGTGGTGTGCACCTGTAGTCCCAGCTACTCGGGAGGCTGAGGCAGGGGAATTGCTTGAACCCGGGAGGTGGATGTTGCAGTGAGCCGAGATTGCGCCGCTGCACTCCAGGCAATAGAGCAAGACTCCGTCTCAAAAAAAAAAAAAGAATGCTTTTTTTGTTTTTGAGATGGAGTTTCGCTCTTGTTCTCCAGGCTAGAGTGCAATGGTGTGATCTCAGCTCACCACAACCTCCACCTCTCAGGTTCAAGCGATTCTCCCGCCTCAGCCTCCCGAGTAGCTGGGACAACAAGCACGCACCACCAGGCCTGGCTAATTTTTGTATTTTTAGTAGAGACGGGGTTTCACCATGTTGGCCAGGCTGGTCTTGAACTCCTGACCTCAGGTGATCCACCCGCCTCAGCCTCCCAAAGTGCTGGGATTACAGGCATGAGCCACTGCACCCAGCCTCTTAGGATATTTTTAAATGGGGCAAAGAAAACCAAAATAAATCATATCTTCAATATGACTTCAAATAATAATTGAATAGGAAAAATATTAACAGTGTTTATTTCTGGATGGGGTGTCTCTTCACACCCTTCTGAACCTTCTAGATTTTCTGCAATGAGCATGTGTTATTTTTAGCAGGAAAACCATTCAAAAGAGAAGATGCTCAAAACATAAACAGAAATCATGTCCTTTTCCTGGTATGCGTCAATCCAACTTGGCCTTACCTTGTTGAAATCAATGCCTCCAATGCCTCCAATGCCCTGCTGGGGATGATCCCATCCTAAGAGTCCACTGCATGGCTGATCTATTTTCTAGTGCCCACTTCTCAGGAAAGATGCCATCCACCTCCTGTGGGAATGGATATTACTTATTCATGTGATGAGGATAATGAGATAATGAAGAAATAGATGCTTTTTTTTTTTTTGAGATAGAGTCTTACTCTGTTGCCTAGGTTGGAATGCAGTGGCGGGTTGAAACCTCCCAGGTTCAAGCAATTCTCCTGCCTCAGCCTCCCGAGTAGCTGGGATTACAGGCGCACGCCACCACACCCGGCTAATTTTTTGTGTTTTTAGTAGAGACGAGGTTTCACCGTGTTAGCCAGGATGGTCTTGATCTCCTGACCTCATGATCTGCCCGTCTCGGCCTCCCAAAGTGCTGGAATTACAGGCATGAGCCACCTTTAAATCACTGCAGGATGTCCTATAAAGAACAGAGTCCTATAAGGAACCATAATATGAGGGACGGTCAATGCCACCCACATGGAAGAGGTGGCATTGATCCCATATTATGGCTCACTATAGGGCTTATGTTTCCATTTCTGAGTAAGAAAGTAGGGCAGGGACGCTGGCAGATGGCGGGTCAAGATCCAGAGCTTCTTGAGACACCGTCTTCTTCATCACTGCTGAATGCCAATGGTTCAACATCAAAAAGACTTCATCATGGACCTGTGCAGCGGCCCCTCCCCAGCCCCTGCTCTGTCACCAGCTTTGTGATAAGCATTCTCTTCCATCTTGTCCTGAACCTCCATGTGCGCCAGCCACTGCCGTCTACTTTTTTGAGAAGGTTTGCACTTCCAAGGACTTCCTAGCCACCGCGTCACTGACTATGGTGCTGGTCCACCTGGCCCTGCCCACTGTTCTATGGCAAGAAGGAAAATATTAGCTGAATTTTAGAGGTGAACTGCTGCTGCTACATGATCTCTACATAAGAGAGTTGCTTTGTCCATCTCCCACTGCTCCACATTGGAGTTTGTAAATAGCAAAATCTGGCACTTCTTCCGTTGAGAACATGTTTGCTGCTGCCTCTCCTATCAACTTGGATGAAGATAGTTGTTCCAGCCCTGTGAGTTACACCAAGCAAGGTCAGCCTCCCTGAGGGGTGGATTCCAACCACGGTGGCTGATACACCAGGAGCATCCCATACATATGGCTGGGAGAGGTTGGAGCTAAATCATCAATTTACCCGTAGTGTTCCCTTTTTTTTTTGTCTCTGGAAAGAGGCAGAAGTTTATGTTTGCCCTAAGAAATCTGTACATTTGACAGATGAAAGGCTTATGTTTGCTACCAAAACTTCTACTACAAGTGAGGAAAAAAACAAAACAGAGAGATTATATGTCTTATAAACATCTGAGTATTTTACCCATGTAGCAATCAGAGATTGTTCAGAACCTCCTCTCTGCACCTTCCTCATGATAACTCTACATTACAAAATAACTGTATACACTTTGTATATGCTGGGTGTTAAGACAATCAAACTCCATTTCCCCCTATTCGGAAATGTTCTATTTTTATTTTTATCTGATCTTTGGGATTAGTGTGTGTTGAACATATTCGTTTTAATTTCCTGTGTCCCATGGCCTCCCTGTCAAGCAGCTAGTGATCGATAAATACATAAGAGCCTTGAAGGTTCTCATCATTGGTGGAACCGTGTTATGAATTTTTCTGTAATGGGAGCAGTCATAACCTGAATTACCTATTTTGGGAGTTGGAAGTATAGATGCACATATATGCTGCTCATCTTCCTCCCTGTCTCCCCTCTGGATTATCTTGATTCCACTAATATGCTAAAAATATCTGCCCCCAGTTTTGCTTACCTGTGAACTCCCTCCTTATATTTTTTGCTTCAGTCCATGTTGGCCATTCTGCTCTAATTCTGACAGCTTTGGCATCACAGTACAAGTTGCTGATAGCCATACCCAATTTTAAGCCTCAAGGGAGAAGGAAGCAACTCACAAGAATAAGTTAAATTACTCTACAGCGAAAACCATGTCACTGCCCCCTGATGCTGTACAGTACTCTGCTTCTCCAGCCTAAGCTTCATTCCTGACTTTTGGCTTTGGATGACTTTTATTCAAACTAGTGACTACTGGTTTAATCCTGTCCGTGGTTCCTTGTGTCAGTCTTGAGTCTGCCGGCGGATCAAACTTGACCCTGTTTGCCTTCTGTGCTCAGCCCTTATTCTATCAGAAGTGACCGTCTCTTTCCGTTATCCACAACTGAAGTCTACTCATTGGCCTGCCCACCTGAAGACCTAACCAGCCCTATAACTCTTCCTGCGTACAAGGCAAGCAGTATTTGTTTTAACATGTAGATGTAGGTTTTGTTTTTATTCAGAGTTGGTGAGGCCAAAAGATTAGGAGATGATTGCCACGGAAAAGATAGTTTATTACAGCTCCCAAGAGGAGGGGAGCATGTCATGCTGTGCAAGGTCACACAAGGGAACACTAAGGTCACAGGCATGAGAGAGACAGAGAGAGAGAGAAGAAATGGGTGAGTCAGGGTAAGCAGGCTAGGCAAGTTTAGGATTGGCTAGTTTTAGCGAAAAGAGTCAAACTCTTTAAAATATTCAAAGAGATTTATTCTGAGCCAAGTATGAATGACCATGGCCAGTGGCACAGCCCTCGGGAGATCCTCAGAACATGTGCCCAAGGTGGATGGGGCACAGTATAGGGAGGCACGAGACCTCCATCAAATACATTTAAGAAATACATTGGTGGCCGGGCGTGGTGGCTCATGCCTGTAATCCCAGCACTTTGGGAGGCCGAGGCAGGCACATCACGAGGTCAGGAGATCGAGACCATCCTGGCTAACACAGTGAAACCCCGTCTCTACTAAAAATACAAAAAATTAGCCGGGCATGGTGGCGGGCGCCTGTAGTCCCAGCTACTGGGGAGGCTGAGGTGGGAGAATGGCATGAACCCAGGAGGCAGAGCTTGCGGTGAGCCGAGATTGCGCCACTGCACTCCAGCCTGGGCAACAGCGAGACTCCGTCTCAAAAAAAAAAAAAAAAAAAAAAAAAAAAGAAAAAGAAATGCATTGGTTTGGTCCAGAAAGGAGGGATAATTCAAAGAGCGGGGGCAGGCAGTGGGCTTCCAGCTTCCAGGCTATAAGTAAATTTTAACATTTTCTGGTTGACAATTGGTTGAGTTTGTCTAAAGACCTGGGATTGATAGAAAGGAAATGTTCAGGTCAAGATAGAAGACTGTGGAGACCAAAGTTCCTTTGAAGTTGTTGTTTTGAGACAGAGTTTTGCTCTTGTCACCCAGGCTGGAGTGCAAGGGCATGATCTTGGGTCACCGCAAGCTCTACCTCCCAGGTTCAAGTGATTCTCCTGCCTCAGGCTCCAGAGTAGTTGGGATTACAGGCGCCTGCCACCTCGCCTGGCTAATTTTTGTATTTTTTTAGTAGAGATGGGGTTTTGCCATCTTGGCCAGGCTGGTCTACGAACTCCTGACCTCAGGTGATCTGCCTGCCTTGGCCTCCCAAAGTGCTGGGATTACAAGTATGAGCTACCGAGCCTGGTCCCTTTGAAGTCTTATAGTGGCTGCCCTTAGAGACAATAGATGACAAGTGTTTCCTATTCAGATCTTTTTCTTCCAGGCCCTCCCAATTCTAAAGAGATTAACTAAAGTCTAGAAAGGTGCTAGAAAGGTGCTAGACTTTAGTTAATCTCTTTAGAATTGGGAGGGCCTGGAAGAAAAAGATCTAGCTATGTTAATAGAGATTCTTTACAGATGCAAATTTTCCCCCACAAAGGACAGCTTTGCAGGGCCATTTCAAGATATGGCAGAGAAACATGTTTTGGGGTAAAATATTTTGATTTTCTTCCTTGTCTTGTAATGTTATGCCAGAGTCAGATTGGAAAGTAAGTCACGATATATAGGGTTAAATAAAACCCATCTGATATGGTTTGGCTGTGTCCCCATCCAAATCTCAACTTGAATTGTATCTCCCAGAATTCCCACATGTTGTGGGAGGGACCCAAGGGGAGGTAATTGGATTATGCGGGTGGTATTTCCCGTGCTATTCTCATGATAGTGTGTAAGTCTCATGAGATCTGATGGGTTTATCAGGAGTTTCTGCTTTTGCTTCCTCCTCATTTTTCTCTTGCCACCACCATGTAAGAAATGCCTTTCACTTCCTGCCATGATTCTGAGGCCTCCCCAGACATGTGGAACTGTAAGTCCAATTAAACCTCTTTTTCTTCCCAGTCTTAGGTATGTCTTTATCAGCCGTGTGAAAACAGACTAATACAGGTTAAATAAAACCCATCTGATGAGAACTTACGGTCTGTAGAGCATGACTCCCCAGACCCCTTATATAGGAATTTGGACTAGATGAAACAACCAAAGCTTAGTCCTCACTAGTTTGAATAACAACTGTGGGCTCTGTGGTATAGCATCTGCTTCAAGCTGTCTGTTGCTTGCTTTGGGATGATTAGGGCAGGGGAATAGTGTCCTGCAGTATAAGAGCCCAATAATGTGACTGGAAGGAGCTGGGGGCTGGAAAGATTGGTTAGTCTGATGAAAGGTGCTTTTGAAGGAGTCATTTTCTATCACTAGGAATCCAATAACCCTGAGAGGGGCCGTCCTTTTCTAGTCAACACGGCCTCAATGATAAAACTTTAGGTACAGAAACTTTTTTTTTTTTTTTTTTTTGAGATGGAGTTTCGCTCTTATTGCCCAGGCTGGAGTGCAATTGTATGATCTTGGCTCACTGCAACCTCCACTTCTCAGGTTCAAGCGATTCTTGTGCCCTAGCCTCCTGAGTAGCTGGGATTATAGGTGCCTACCACCACGCCCAACTAATTTTTGTGTTTTTTTGTTGTTTTTTTTTTGAGACGGAGTCTTGCTCTGTCACCCAGGCTGGAGTGCAGTGGCACAATCTCTGCTTACTGCAAGCTCCGCCTCTCGGGTTCACGCCATTCTCCTGCCTCAACCTCCCAAGTAGCTGGGACTACAGGCGCCCGCCACCACACCTGGCTAATTTTTTGTATTTTAAGTAGAGATGGGGTTTCACCGTGTTAGCCAGGATGGTCTTGATCTCCTGACCTCATGATCCGCCCACCTTGGCCTCCCAAAGTGTTGGGATTACAGGCGTGAGCCACCGCACCTGGCCAATTTTTGTGTTTTTAGTAGAGACGGGGTTTCACCATGTGGGCCAGGCTGGTCTTGAACTCCTGACCTCAGGTATCCGCCTGCCTTGGCCTCCCAAAGTGTTGGGATTACAGGTGTGAGCTACCGTGCCTGGCCACAGAAACCAATAAGACACTTAGTTAATACAATGTTTTAAATACCTCAGTCCTTCCTGGGCAGGGCTTAGCATTAGCTATCTGCTCAAATCCAGTACCAGGTGATATGCTGGTGGTCGCTTGGCTGTGGATTTGCTGCCTGGCCATCCTTTTGTATGAGACACCTGTAATAATAGCAGATTGGTTGCAAAAATGGCTCAATACCTCTCCCCATATCCACATCCTTTGCAATGTGACTTTGCAGCTCCTCCCATCAAAAGACAGAGTCTCTCTCCTCACTCGTTGAATCTGGGCTGGCCACGTGACTTCTTTTGACAAATTAAATGCAGGGGAAGTGAAGGTATACCAGTTCTCAGCCCCTCTGAAAATCTTTGCACACTTCCAGTCATTCTCTTGAATCCCATATGAAGAAACCCAGACTAGCCTGTTGTGGGATATGAGATCCTGTCAGAAGCATTTGAGCCAGAACAACTCCATCTTGAATAGGGGCTGGGTAAAATGAGGCTGAGAACTATGGGGCTGCATTCCCAGACAGTGAAGGCATTCTAAATCACAGGATGAGATAGGAGGTCGGCACAAGATACAGGTCATAAAGACCTTGCTGATAAAACAGCTTGCAGTAAAGAAGCCGGCCAAAACCCACCCACCAAAACCAAGATGGCGACCAGAGTGACTTCTGGTTGTCCTCACTGCTACACTCCCACCAGCATCATGACAGTTCACAAATGCCATGGCAACTTCAGGAAGTTACCCTATATGGTCTAAAAAGGGGAGGCCATAAAAATGGGCAACCAACAGCCCTTGGGGCCGCTCTGTCTATGGAGTAGCCATTCTTTTATTCCTCTACTTTCTCAATAAACTTGCTTTCACTTTATGGACTTGCTTTGAATTCTTTCTTGCACAAGATCCAAGAACCCTCTCTTGGGTTCTGGATTGGGACCCCGCTCCAGTAACAATCCCATGGAGGAGAGTCCAGTTGTCCCAGGGGAGGCCATCCTATACCAGCCTCTTGCCTGTTGTCCCCCTAACATGAGAGAGAGCAGCCAAAATTACCAGAGTTGCCTACTCAGCCTGCAATTGACCATTTTGTGCATGAACAAGCCCATCCAAGAGCAAAAGAACTGCCCGGTTGACCTGTAGCTTTGTGAGCAAGGATAAATATTAATTGATTTAAGCCACTGAGTTTTGGGGTGGTTTGTTACACAGCAAAAGCTAACTGATACTATATATATATCTCATTTAAACATGAGAACCCACCTGGTATAATAGGTACTATTAGCATTATCCCCATTTTACAAATAAGAACACTGAGGCACAGGGTACTGTTGACAAAAAGTCAAACTCTGTAAAATACTTGAAGAGATTTATTCTGAGCCAAATGTGACGATCATGACTCATGACACAGCTTCAGGAGGTCCTGGGAACATGTGCCCAAGGTGGTTGTGTTTCAGCTTAATTTTATACATTTTAGGAGGACAGAAGTTACAGACAGACATCAACTAATACACTTAAGGTGTACATTGGTTTGTTCTGGAAAGGTGGGACAACTCAAAGGGTTGGGAGGGGCTTCTGGGTCACAGGTGGCTCTAAAGATTTTCAGATTGGCAATGTTTTTTCGCGGGGGGGATAGGTCTCGCTCTGGTGACTAGGGTGGAGTGCAGTGGTGCAATCATAACTCACTGCAGCCTCTAACTCCTGGGCTCGAGTGATCCTCCCACCTCCTCCACTGGAGTAGCTGGGACTACAGGTGTGTGCCACTATGCCTGGCTGATTTTTCTTTTTTCTTTTCCTTTTTCTTTTTTAAGTAGAGATGAGATCTCGTTATGTTGCCCGGGATTGTCTCAAACTCCTGGGCTCAAGTGATCCTCCTGCCATGGCCTCCCAAAGTGCTGAGATTACAGATGTGAGCCACCATATCTGGCCCTGATTGGCAATTGGTTGATAGAGTTATTATTTAAAATACTGGAGTCAGTAGAAAGCAATGTCTAGGTTAAGATAAGGGGCTGTGGCGACCAAGGTCTTATTATGTAGATAAAGTCTCATAGGTGGTCACCCTTAAGGGCAATGAATAGATGGCAAATGTTTCCTATTCAGATCTTTAAAAAGTGCTAGACTCTCAGCTTATCTCTTCAATATCAGAAAAGACCTGGAGAGGGAAGGGGATTCTCTACAGAATGTAAATTTCCCCTGGAAGAGACAGCTGTGCAAAGCCATTTCAAAATAATCAAAGAAATATATTTTGGAGGCTGGGCACAGTGGCTCACACGTGTAATCCCAGCAGCTTGGGAAGCTGAAGCGGGCAGATCACTTGAGGTCAGGAGTTCAAGACCAGCTGGCCAACATGGTGAAGCCCCGCTCTACTAAAAATACAAAAATTAGCCGGGTGTGGTGGTGCACACCTGTAATCCTAGCTACTGGGGAGGCTGCACGAGAATTGCCTGAACCCGGGAGATGGAGGTTGCAGTGAGCTGAGATCATGGCACTACACTCCACACTGGGCAACAGAGCGAGACTCCATCTCAAAAAACAAAATATATATATGTGTGTGTGTGTATATATATATATATATATATATATATATATATATATATATATGTAAAATGTTTTGAGGTAAAAAAATTCTTTTCAGGGCCTGCTGTCTGTCTGTCATATGATTATAGTAGAGTCAAGTTGGAATTTGGTATCTTATTGCTACAAAGAGTCTGTTTTGTCAGTCTTAAAATCTCTGTTTTCAAGTTAATGCTGGTCAGTTGTGCCTGAGTTCCAAAGGGAGGAGGGTATACTGAGGGATGTCTGATCCCCCACTCACCTTACTTACCATCATGGCATGAACTGATTTTTCAGGTTTACTTTGGAATCCCCTTGGCTGATAGAAGGGGTTCATTCAGTCGGTTGTGGAGGGGGGTGCTTAAAATTTTTTTTTTATGTTTATAGTACATACAAGGCCACATACCTCATGTGTGATAGAGATGGGCTTTGAACACAGAAATCTAACTTCAGTGCCTGCTTTCTTCACTACTGTCTTTTTCTGCCATTCCCCTATTGCCAATGAGGCCTAAGTCACTCTCAGCAGGCTCTAATCCTATTTCTTTGCCTGTCTACCCTATGCCAAGTACCTAGTCCCAAGATAAGTCTGTTAGTATCATTACCCATCTGACCCAGTCCATAGCACCTTCTAGAGATTTCCATATTCCTTTTTCAGAGAATCAGATAGTTCAAGTATACATTAAAAAGTCTCTTCTGGTGCAATACTTTAAGTTTTAAAGTAAGACATTATAAAAATTCTGTTACTCTTCAAACTGTCACCCATTAGTTTCAGCATCTATTGATGATTCCTGCCAGAATCAGTTATTATGATGATGGCTACCAACTGGTAATTTTCCAATTCCATACTTTATTCTACTTTTATTGGTTGGCTTTCTACTATAAGAGAATAATTTTCCCTTTTTATTTATTAAATATCAGTGTGGACTCATGGATTCCTTATTCAATGGTTATAATCCTTTACTATTGTACAGGAAAGGGGTCCTGATCCAGACCCCTAGAGAGGGTTCTTGGATCTCATGCAAGAAAGAATTCAGGGTGAGTCCATAGAGTAAAGTGAAAGCAAGTTTATTAAGAAAGTAAAGGAACAAAAGAATGGCTACTCCATAGAGCAGCCCCGAGGGCTGCTGGTTGCCCTTTTTTATGGTTATTTCTTGATTACATGATAAACAAGGGGTGGATTATTCATGCCTCCCCTTTTTAGACCATATAGGGGAACTTCCTGACATTGCCATGGCATTTGTACACTGTCATGGCCCTGGTGGGAGTGTAGCAGTGAGGATGACCAGAGGTCACTCTTGTGGCCATCTTGGTTTTGGTGGGTTTGGCAGGCTTCTTTACTACCACCTGCTTTATCAGTAAGGTCTTTATGACCTGTATTTTGTCCCGACCTCCTACCTCATCCTGTGACTTAGAATGCCTTAACAGTCTGGGAATGCAGCCCAGTAGGTCTCACCCTCATTTTACCCAGCTCCTATTCAAGATGGAGTTGCAGGCCGGGCGCGGTGGCTCACGCCTGTAATCCCAGCACTTTGGGAGGCCAAGGCGGGTGGATCACGAGGTCAGGAGATCGAGACCATCCTGGCTAACACGGTGAAACCCCGTCTCTACAAAAAAATACAAAAAAATTAGCCGGGCGTGGTGGCGGGTGCCTATAGTCCCAGCTACTCGGGAGGCTGAGGCAGGAGAATGGCAAGAACCCAGGAGGCGGAGTTTGCAGTGAGCAGAGATCGCGCCACTGCACTCCAGCCTGGGAGACAGAGCAAGACTCAGTCTCAAAAAAAAAAAAAAGATGGAGTTGCTCTGGTTCACACACCTCTGACATTTCTCCCCTCCCTTTTATAAGAGAACCCTTAATCCTAAGGGTTGCAGAGGAATGAAGATCCACTGGGTCCCAATCCAGATCCCAAGAGAGGATTCTTGGATCTCACGCAAGAAAGAAATCAGGGTGAGTTCATAGAGTAAAGTGAAGGCAATTTATTAAGAAAGTAGAGGAATAAAAGAATGGCTACTCCACAGAGAGAGCAGCCCCCTGAGGGCTGCTGGTTTCCCATTTTAAAGGTTATTTCTTAATTATATGGTAAACAAGGGGTGGATTATTCATGCCTCCCCCTTTTTAGACCGTATAGGGTAACTTTCTGTTGTTGTCATGGCATTTGTGAACTGTCATGGCACTGATGGGAGTGTAGCAGTGAGGACGACCAGTGGTCACTTTTGTCATCATCTTGGTTTTGGTGGGTTTTAGCTGACTTCTTTACTGCAACCTGTTTTATCAGCAACGTCTTTATGACCTGTACCTTGTGCTGACCTCCTATCTCATCCTATTTCTTAGAATGCCTTAACCATTTGGGAATGCGGTCCAGTAGGTCTCAGCCCCATTTTACCCAGCTTCTATTCAAGATGGAACTGCTCTGGTTCACACACCTCTTGACATTTCTCCCCTCCATTTTATAAGAGAACCCTTAATCCTAAGGGTTGCAGAGGGACGGAGATCCATCTTCTGTAACTTCTTCAGGCTGAATAGGGGTGATGACACTCCTGCCTAACTATTATGGTCTCTTGTATTCAGGGTAGAGAGGAGCTCAGTCAGAAAGCATCAGTATGGTGACGGGCATTCATAACTCTTGAGTTCTGACAAGGGTTGATATCTGGAAGATTAATAAGTGTTCAGTTTAAGAAAACATTCAGTAAGCTTGTCCTGCATTCCTACACAAAGAGTACAACAGCAATGTATTCCACAAAAGTTAAGTGAAATAATCCCAAGTAAATTAAATTATAAAGCTTTCCATGAACTGGGCAACTATTGGAACCAAGCTGATATGGCGTTGCTAGCTAATTCCAATATGTGCCCAGAATTAAAATACTGATTCAGATTTTTACATTACCCATCCCTCTTGTTTCTTATGAGCAGCAGCCAGAGATCGCTAGTTGGTTCACAGGAATAAGCAAGGTTAGCCTAAATTGCAGAAACAAACTGAAAAACAACTGATGAGACTAGAATTTAATAACAAGTATACCATAGTTTTTGAAACATAACTTTTCTCTCTCCAGTTTCCCATTTTTACTAAAGATAAATTATGGCAAGACTGATTTGTTTTATTATCTTGGCCTGATTATGTGTATAAAGTACACCAAGGGTATTTTTCACATAATCTCTTTTTAAATTGGCTTTGATGGAACTCTGTTACATAGAAGGAATCTCAGATAAGACTTTTTTAAAGCCAAGCTCAGCCATGGGTGTGTACTCTCAAATACCTGTGAGTTGAGTAAATGTCTCTCCTTTTGAGGTCCCAAGATAACCTGGGGGCTCCTGGACCTGTGAGAAAGTGACATTCTTTACTTACCACAGGTCAGAAACCCTGTACAGGGACTGTGTAGGCAAGGTACAAGGCCAGTTTCCCAAGGGGCTTTTATGGGCTCTATAAGTCAAGTTTAATTCCTTAAATGAAAGCACACCATTCCAGTCAAAGCCTTGGTAAAATAACCAATTTTTCCAATTGTGTCCTATTACAAAAGAAAACAGATTCTTACAGCACTTATGCAAATAACTATTGCCATAAATTAAGAATACTCACAAATAGTTTCTAAATTCTGGAGAAATTAGGGAGAGAGAAACAAATATGCTCCAAATTTTGTTCATAGCAGTATGCTTTATTCAATTGCTAAAAGCTGTAAGTAGCTCAAAAGAAAAGTTTCCTTGACTCTGAAAAAACAAAGCAAAGATCAGCAATGTTTTAAGCAAAGTTAAAAAGATTACTTAAGTTTTATTGGTTCAGTAAATTTAGTTAACTCCTGTCTTGCTTGATATTCATGAACATTTTAACTCTCTATGAGAGTTCTGAAAGTTGTTTCCTCTATTCTAATGTCACAATTTCCAAAGTTATTAGAAATCTGCATTCAAGAACACCTATTAGAGTCCAATAGCCAATTATAAACCACCTTCTAAAGAGGATTAAAACAAGTCAACAATTGTTTGTGGATGACAAAATGTTTTAGGAAGCCATAGTCAAAAACATGATTGACAAATAAATTTTGTTACCTCTGTAGCATACAATGATTTTATGTAACAATTATAATTATTAATAACATACACTAAGTCATATCAGAATTAGGAGTTTCCCATAATTTGGGAACATATGCTAATAACACATTTATACAAATATAGCCCAAAGAAAGCCAAACACCATTTCATATTTGATAATGCTCCCTGTATAATTTTTATACCAAATAAGCCAAATGTCACTGTTCATTAGTGCACTGTTGATGTCAAACTCCATTCTTAATGAAACCTTATAGACAAATGTATTCAATCTTAATCAGTTTGATGATAAAGTAAGATTTTCATAAATCTTTTATAACTCTTTACAAGTTTTTGTTAAAGAGCAGATCATAAGCAAGTTTTTGCACTAAGAAAAAACCTGTTGTGCTTTTATTCCAATGTTCAATTTATGAAAAACTGAATAATACCCCTTTAACTTTAGCCAACATGTTCACACACAGAATTTCTTTCACAAGATTAATTTTTCAGAAACCTTTCACAACTGGCCTAAACCTTTAGATTTTTTCTGTCTAACTTAAAACAATCCTATAACCCTTTTAATCTAGGCAAGAAAAAAAATCCACATTCCCATGACTTTTTATAATCTTTTACCAAAAACACATTTCACTTTCTTTACACACCTTGCACGTAAAACTGTTTCTTCACTAGTTCAATTATGTGTTATAATATTAACCCTTAGTGACTTTTTACTGTTGGTAACAAACGTTGGTAAGTAGCAATTTTAATTTTGTACTAGGTGTGGAGCCTAACCTAGGACACACCAGGCAGAAGTGCAGATAAGGGCTGAGTCCAGCATAGGTAGGGGTCGTGGCTAACTCTACATGTCCTAGGCCTTATATCTAGAATCTAATGCTCGAAAGTTAAAGAAGCAGTTTATGACCTTAAAGCATTTAGCAAACTTAATATCGGACCTGCATAATTTAGACCAAATGTTTACATTTTGAAGATATTTTAATTTTACCAATAATCTTTAAAATTATCTTTATTTCCCAAAGATTACTTAAGTCACATGAACTAAAAGGCATTACACTTTTTACTTTTCTGACAAAATATTTGATTTAAGCTCTTATTATTATTAAACCAATTAATTAAAGCTCTTTTATATTATACACACAACACATACAAATACACAGACAGACAGAAGGCAAAGGATCATTCCCTAAGCTGGGAACTGAACCCCAAACCCAGGCCACCATTGTGAAAAGAGAAAGCATGGCCACATGGTTACAAGGTCAAGTTCCCAAGGACATACAAGACAAGAAGGAAACCTCATCTAGTTTTTTTCAGGGACCTGCAGCAAAGTTTGTAACTGACCAGTTTGCTGGGCTGTTTTGCAAAGTGGGCTTACAGGTGTCCTAAGCCAGTGTTCTATCCTAAGTTACCCCTGTTTAAGACAGAACAATACAGAAAAGACACACAACAGATTTGCTACGGCTTAAGACTAACCTCATAAATCCTTTTTTTTTTTCATTAATCAAAACTTTACAGCAGAGGAGATAAACAGTGATTTTTTTTAACCGTTTATTCAACCAGTGTGCACAGAGAGAGAGAGAGAGAGAGAGAGAGAGAGAGAGAGACAGAGAGGAAAGCATTGCCTGAGGCAAGGTGGGAAAGGCAGGTGCTCAAAGAAGCCAGAGAAAGACCCACCCATTGCAGTGACACTGAAAAGTTCAGGCGGCTGCTTGTCGACAGTGAAGGGATCTTTTCCAGCAGTCCCACCAGCTCTCAAGTTTCCCCTTTTAGGGAGGAAAAAGCTCCCCATGTCCCATGATCCTGTACATGCCTAATCCTGTCACCCATAGCCATTTGCAAATAGTACAAGGCAGATTAATCCAAGGAGAATAGCAGTTAACATCCCATAGTGCCAAACCTGTTCTTAGCCAAAAGGGACTTTACCTACTGAGAGGGACTTTACTGAGAGGGGCCTCTAACCCCCTAAATCTTAGAAGGGGCTCTAACCCTCCTAAGTCGGACCTCTAATAACCTAAGGTCAGTCAAGCATCCTTGCCTTTTATTGAGAGGAGCATTTAACCCTCTCTGTCTTAGGAGACACTCTAACTCCCCTAAGTTGGGCTTCTAACCCAATCCTGTCCTTTATCCGGGTACCCCACCACTCACCCAGAGTCGTCCAGTCAGTGCTGCAGTCTATTTCCTTTGAGTCGGGGGGTTCTCCTCAGTATCATCCCTTCAGGGTTCACCAGAAAGGTGTTACCAGACCCCACCACTTACCCAAAGTTAGCCATTGGGTTGGGGGTTTCCTTACTGTAGTTGCTTCTATGGTCACCAGAAAGATGTTACAGGACACCAACACTTACCCAGATTTAGCCTTTGGATCAGGGGTTTCTGTACTATAGTCCCTTCGTGGTTGCCAGAAAGATGTTACATGAAAGAGGTCCTGATCCAGACCCCTAGAGAGGGTTCTTGGATCTCACGCAAGAAAGAATTCAGGACGAGTCCTTAAAGTGAAAACAAGTTTATTAAGGAAGTTTATTAAGGAACAGAAGAATGGCTACTCCATAGACAGAGCAGCCCCAAGGGCTGCTGGTTGCCCATTTTTATGGTTATTTCTTGATTACATGCTAAACAAGGGGTGGATTATTCATGCCTCCCCTTTTTAGACCATATATAGGGTAACTTCCTGACGCATGGCATTTGTAAACTGTCATGGTGCTGGTGGGAGTGTAGCAGTGAGGACGACCAGAGGTCACTCTTGTGGCCATCTTGGTTTTGGTGGATTTTGGCCGGCTTCTTTACTACAATCTGTTTTATCAGTAAGGTCTTTATGACCTGTATTTTGTGCCAACCTCCCATATCATCCTGTGACTTAGAATGCCTTAATGGTCTGGAAATGCAGTCCAGTAGGTCTCACCCTCATTTTACCCAGCTCCTATTCAAGATGGAGTTGCTCTGGTTCACACGCCTCTGACACTATCATTATTTTTTTGATGCATAGATTATCTTATATTTGTCCAGTGGAGTCTCTCCAAGCTAGCTCCTGTGTCCTTTTGACAGGTCCCCATCATTCTTTGAGCATGTCTTTACCTTTTTTTTTTTTTTTTTTGAGACGGAGTCTGGCTCTGTCACCCAGGCTGGAGTGCAGTGGCGCAATCTCAGCTCACTGCAAGCTCCGCCTCCCAGGTTCACGCCATTCTCCTGCCTCAGCCTCCCGAGCAGCTGGGACTACAGGCGCCTGCCACTATGCCCGGCTAATTTTTTTTTTGTATTTTTAGTAGAGACGGGGTTTCACCATGTTAGCCAGGATGGTCTCGATCTCCTGAACACGTGATCCGCCCGCCTCAGCCTCCCAAAGTGCTGGGATTACAGGCGTAAGCCACCGCGCCCGGCCATGTCTTTACTTTTTGACATAAGATGTTTCAGGCTCATTTATGCTTTCCCTGTACCAGCCCTGGAATGAATTTTTTCTTAAAAACAACAAAACACTACTGTCCCCTAACTCACTCCTAAACCACCTTGTTTTCTTTTTGTAGAGAATGGTAATTTTTTTTTTTCTGTCACCCAGGCTGGAGTACAGTGGTGCAATTATGGCTCACTGCAGCCTTGACCTCCTGGGGTCAAGTGATCCTCCCATCTCAGCCTCCCAAGTAGCTGGGACCACAGGTGCATGCCACCACGCCTGGCTAATTTTTGTATTTTTCGTAGAGATGGAGTTTCGTCATGTTGCTCAGGCTGGTCTTGAACTCCTGGACTCAAGCAATCTGCCTGCCTTGGCCACCCAAAGTGCTGGGATTTACTTCTTTCCTTTTTTTTTTTCTTTTTCCTTTTCATTTAGTTTTATTTTTCAAAATAGAGATGGGGTTTCACCATGGTGCCCCAGCAGGTCTCAAACTCCTGGGCTCAAGTGATCCTCCTGCCTTGACCTCCCAAAGCATTGAGATTTTGTAAAGGCGTGGGCCAGCATGTCTGGCCATACTTATTTTCACTTAACAATTTATCCTGAAAATCATTCCACTTGAGTTCGTAAAGTAACTAGAACAAAGAATAAATATTAGAGCCAGATGTCGTGTTTCATGTCTGTAATCTCAGCTACTTGGGAGGCTGATGTGGGAGCATTGCTTGAGGCCAGAAGTTTAAGACCAGCTTAGGCAACATGATGAGACCCCCATCTAAAAAAATATATATATTTTTTAATTAGCTGGGCGTGGTGGCAAGCACCTGTAGTCCCAGCTACTTAGGAGGCCAAGGTGGGAGGACCAACTGGACACAGGAGTTCAAGGCTGCAGTGAACTGTGATTGTGCCTGTGAGCAGCCACTGCACTTCAGCCTGGGTGACAGAGCAAGACCCCATCTCTAAAGAATAATAATAGTAATAATTCTCAGTAGGTGAAAACTTAGGGAAATGACTACTTTTGTGCAGTGTTTGTAGAAGTAAATTACCAGATTCTTCCTTTTCACATAGATGTGGGTTGAAGATCTTTAGAATTCAAGGAATCAACCGTGAGAGTCTTTTGAAAAGCCTCTCTGTGGTTTGTGTGCATTTTCCGTCTCCCTCTGGTTAGGACAAACTTAGTAAAGATTAAAGAAAGCTAACTTCTCTGGTGCAGCGCAAGTTTGATACTTTCACCTACCAAGGAATCTAGGGGGTAGAAGGCAGTATAGTTATATATAATGACCACTGGACTGGAAATCTGAGTTTAGGTTCTGGTTCTGCCTTCAATTTATTCTGTAACTTTTGATGGATCAAGAAATCAGCTGGGCATGATGGCTCACGCCTGTAATCCCAGCACTTTCGGAGGCCAAGGTGGGCAGATCACCTGAGGTCTGGAGTTCGAATCCAGCCTGGCCAACACGGTGAAACCCTGTCTCTACTAAAAATAAAAAATTAGCCAGGCAAGCTGGCGCACCCCTTTTGTTCCAGCTATTCAGGAGGCTGAGGCAGGAGAATCGCTTGAACCCAGGAGGTGGAGGTTGCAGTGAGCCGAGATAGCACCACTGCACTCCAACCTGGGCGACAGAGTGAGACTGTCTTAAAAAAAAAAAAATTCTCTGTAAGGCATTTTGTCATCCATAAAACTGGATAAATGCCACCTGCTCTCAGAAGACTAAACTATTTTAATATTGCATAGGAAATAAGTGGTCCAAGACAAAGTAGAGATGTCATGGGTTATAGTTTATATAAAAGAAGGTATGTTTTTGCCCAAGAATATCATGTGAGGTAGAGAGACAATGCAGTATTGACTATCTGAATAAACAAAAAGATTTTAGAGCTAGCAAGAGGGCTGTGGGGAGGAGGCTCTGGGCTAGAAGTATTAACGAAATATTAGAGTTGGGGTATTGGCAAGATGAACTCATTATGTAAAAGAGGAGGGAGAAACAGATTAAAGGAAAACAATAAGTTTGAGTATACCCTAATAATAATAAATTGATGGTGTACAGTTATAAAAATGTGTTTACATGGTTAGGAAATGTTTAAACATGTAAAATCACATAGAATAGAAATATATTTAGAAAACCCATGCAAAACCAAATGAAATAGTAACAGGGATGGAGGTTGCCCAAATAACTTTGGACCGACAATGCTAATAGTTGATATTAGAATACAGAAATGGGTCACAGCGCAATCAGAAAAGCTGTGACCAGAATGTTTCCGCAACGTAGCTGATGAAAATCAATGGCAGTGCTAAAGACTGCTCCTCACTGTTCTGACAATATCAATGGCCTTAAGCAAGAAACAATGAAAGAGCCCGGGCGTGGTGGCTCACACCTGTAATCCCAACACTTTGGGAGGCTAAGGCCGGTGGATCACTTGAGGTCAGTAGTTCGAGACCGGCCTGGCCAACGTGGTAAAAACCCGTCTCAACTAAAAATACAAAAATTAGCCGGGTGTGGTGGTACGCACATGTAATCCCAGCTACTTGGGAGGTTGAAGCATGAGAATAGCTTGAACCTGGGAGGTGGAGGTTGCAGTAAGCCGAGATCATGCCACTGCACTCCAGCCTGGGCGACAGAGCCAGTCTCGGGGAAACAAACAAAACATTAAAAAAAGGAACCTGAATACATATTTTTAATTTTTGAACTTTGACAATAATAAAGAATACTTTATACAACTAAGAAGGGGATGGTAACATTTAAAGAAATACCAAATAGTATTATTTTGGACCTTGGAATCCAAATAAAAGCCAGAGGGACTGAAATCAGTATCTTCAAGATACTTCAAGCTAATAGTCATCAATGATAAGAAATAATGACATGTATAATAGCTTTCCCCTATTGTAGCTTTACTGGGAGACAAGTACTGTGTGACGTTTTAGATATACTACTTCGTTTAATTATCAGAACAGAGATGAGTTAGATCAATACTGCCCTTAGACCTGGGCAAGAGGGGCCCCTGACCTGTGTCCCTGCTTTAGAGGGCCTTTGCTATCAGGATTTATACCATTCAAGCCTCAGGGAAATGCTTCTCCACTCTGCTTATCCTGTGTCCTCAAAACCAAACGTGACTGCTTCTGAACACTCTGTAGCTCTGTGGGCTATACCGCTGCCAGCGTTGGAAACAGACATGGTTTTGGACTTTGCAGAGGATTTCAGTGGTGGAAACATGTAGGTTGGCAAAGGCAAATTGACTCGTCAAGTCATGCCTTTCAGATACCATAGATGCAATAGATTCTTGCCGAATGAAGTATCTTTCTCCAGTAGTTTCCAGAGTCCATTTTCCTTTCTTCTTTGTGTGTTTGAATTGGTAGTTCGGGAGGTAATCACAAATTGAACAGTATTCACTGCAAGTGCACACGGTGTCTGGGAAACATTTTTCACTAACAAACAATTCATATGACTCTTCAATATTTATATAAGTAGTTTTCCACGTAACATGTGAGAGGCAAGATATTAATTTCTTCCATTAGCAATTACATGCATATTGAATGTGGAATCAAATATAGTTCTGTGTTTTATTTTTATTAAAATGTTCACATTTAATTGCATGTTCAAAAAATTAAATGGGAAGTTTTACTTCAGCTGTGAATGTAGGAAGTCACAAGAAAAAGCCAGATAACCGACAAAATCATAGCTTTTCTTGAATCCATCAATGAGCTGTGGTTACAAGGCAACCAAGTTCGCTGAAATCCAAAGAGTGACAAAGCCTTGCAAGGAGAGATGTGACACATAAACGGCTTCACCTTTGGCAAAGGGAGGGGAAGAAGAAGGCCCAAGTACAAATAAGTAAGATAAAATCAGCTAACATTTTAATGAATTATTATTCCTATTTTTGAGACAGGGTCTCACTCTGCCACCCAGGCTGGAGTGCAGTGGCGTGATTATGGCTCACTGCAGCCTCTATTTCCTGGGCTCAAGCGATCTCCCTGCCTTAGCCTCTGGAGTAGCTGGTACTACATGTATGCACCAATATACCCAGCTAATCTTTTTTTTTATTTTTTTTATTTTTATTTTTTGAGATGGAGTTTCACTCTTGTTGCCCAGGCTGGAGTGCAATGGTGCGATCTTGGCTCACTGCAACCTCTGCCTCCTGGGTTCAAGTGATTCTCCTGCCTCAGCCTCCCGAGTAGCTGGGATTACAGGCATGTGCCACCATGCCCGGCTAATTTTTTGTATTTTTAGTAGAGACGGTGTTTCACCATGTTGGTCAGGCTGGTCTCGAACTCCTGACCTCAGGTTATCTGCCCGCCTTGGACTCCCAAAGTGCTGGGATAACAGGCGTGAGCCACCGTGCCCAGCCCCAGCTAATCTTTTTATGATTCTTAGTAGAGACGAGGTCTTGCTACGTTGCTCAGGTTGGCCTCAAACTCTTGAGATCAAGTCATCCTCCCACCTCAGCTTCCCAAAGTACTGAGATTACAGGCAAGAGCCACCATGCCTGGCCAATTTTATTGAATTCTTAGGGGCCAAGTATGGGCTAGCATGTCAATTTGTAATAGCTCATAGCAGAGGAAAATATTGAGAAAGTTACGCAAGAAACACCAAAAAAAAAAAAGACTGCGATAATTAATAGGTAATTTTCCCTCCTACACACACTTTCAGAGATGAGATGAACCCTGTATTATAGAAATGTTTATGAACACAGAAAAAGATGAAAATAAAATTTTTAATACCTAGTTTGGACACGGGGCCTGACGGCTGGTGCTGTCATACACTGTTGGAGGAAGGTATACTGGAAAACAAGTTGGCTATATTAGAAAAGGTTTTAAAAATACACATGCTGTGTGATCAAATAATTCCAGTTGCAGAAATGTATTATATGCTAATAGCAGAAGAAAGGTAGAGAAATTTACTTACAAAGTTGTTTATATTTTCCAGCAAGAAACAGATGGCACACTTAAACTAGAAAATGAAGTGAATTTAATGAAGGACTATTTATAAAGGTGTGGGCAGGATTAAGGGAAATCAACAAAGGATGGTGGAGTACTCTGGGGCTAGGAACAGGAGGGACACCTTACCACCCTAAGCATGAAGGTGCAGGGTAGGGAGCTGTTACAGGAACCCAGGGAGGGTAACAGTAGGAGAGAACCTCCAACCGGGTGCGGTAGCATCTAGTTCAAGGACACAGCCAATCAGTAGCCCTTTGGGGAGCAAGCTTGGGGCAGAAATATCCTGATCTCCCTTTTTTCCTATCCTCGGATTTCTTGCTGGTGCCTCCCATTGGCCAAACCTACTGGAAGCCAGAGGGCAAGGAAGCCCAGTGATGTAAAGATCAGCCTCCCCAACCAAACAACATGGTGGAGAAGGGGAAAGGATGGACCAAAAGCTATTCAAAAGATCCAGCACAATGTTTGCCATGGCATTGCTTATAATGGTGAAATATTGGAAACCACCTCAATGTCTAACACTTGGGAATTTGCAAAACAACTTACATTGGGTTCATATCTTGGAATACATGCCACCATTAAAATTTAAGTTTTGGAAGTATTATTTATTAAGATGAAAAGATGTTCATAATATATTGTTGAATGAAACAAAATTTTATATACAGTCTGATCACAGTTTTCTGTCAGCATTTTGTGTGTCTGTGTGTGTGTGTGTATGTGAATTTATACATTAAAATGTCTGGGCGAATCTAATGTTAACAATGCTTCTTTGGAGGTGGTGAGGTTACAGATCATTTTAATATTCATAATTTTGCTTCTCTGTATATTCTGCTTTTTCTACAATGTGTAATAAAAAATTAAAGTTCCTTTTTAGAAAAACGGGAGAGATGGCATGATCCCAAATTAATTCTGTGAGTTAAATAGGTGCTATTATTAACACTGATAAGGAAGATTCCTTATAACTTCTATTAGAAGCCAATTTCATTTACACACACAGTTGAAAAATTCTTAAAGAAAATTTCAGCAAAGATTTGAGCAATAATAACCATCATTGTATATTTAACTAGATGCCAATTACTGTATTGGGAAACTTAACTGATTATCTAACTTATTTCCATACAACACTATGAAGAAGGTATTAACATTTCCATTTTAAGGTGAGGAAATCAAAGCTTAGAAAAAAAACTATGCCTAAAGATACACAGTTAATAAATAGTAAAACTATATTCAAAGTCAGGTCTGTCTTCATCTAAATCCAATGTTTTCAACCCCTACACTGTATACCATACCATGACTCGGTGGAACTTATCTCCACATACAGGACTGGGAGATCAAAAAGAAAACTTTGGATGTATTACATCATGTCAACAGAGCGAATAGTGAACATCAGAAGAATACTTTATAGATACTGCTAAGGCACGGTGCACGGTATTCTTTTTTTTTTTTTTTTTTTTTTTTTTTTGAGACAGGGTCTCACTCTGTTACCCAGGCCGGAGTGCCGTAGCGTGATCTTGGCTCACTGCAATCTCTGCTTCTTGGGGTCAAAAAAATTAAATTCTAGTAAGCTCTAAGAAAGAAGAGACCAACAAAAATTACTTATTTGGATGGAGCGGGACAAACAGGGCAGGCTGGGGTGAGGACGAGCACATCAGGTGTAGAGTAGGTGAAGGGAGGACGCGGGGCCTCCAGGGTGGGTGAAGGGGGAGGGACACGGGGACACCCGGGGCAGTGCCTGGAAGGACAGTCCCACCAGCTGGCCTTCCCTGCAGGAGTCTGAGAACCTTTGCCTGGCACGCTCAGCAATGCATTTTATCTGATGGGTGAGTGGGGAGCTTTGGAAGTTTGCTTTTATATTGATGAAGTGTTCGTTTTCACTGTGGATGTTTTATCTGCTGATGTCTTTTATTTTGTGGACTTTCTCAGACATCTGCTGTGGCCACACATGATGGTGGCTGAGTTCGATTTTGGCCCACATGTCAGGCAGAGACTGCCCAGCAAACCCAAACTGAATTTCAAGTTGATTCTCAGAAGGCTACAGGGACACAGTACTGGTTAAGCTGAGGTGGGTATGAGGTAGTTACTATTATTTGTATTATTCTCATTTCACAGGTCCGGTCTAGAGAGTTGTGTTTGCCATAGATATCAGTGCCTATCATGAAACAAGTCCAGCAGTTGTGATCGGATCTGAATCATGTGTCATATGTTGGCAGTTTCTGTATTTAGTTTTCCACACGGCAGCCATCATCATACTTTTTTCATGGTCTAGAGTTACACTGTCCAATATGGTAGCCACTACCCACATGTGGATATTTAAATTAAAATTAATTAAAATTAAATGACATTAAAAATTCAGTTCCTCAGTTGCACCAGCCATACTGCAAGTGCTCAATAGCCATTTGTGGCCAGCGGTTACTTCATTGGAGAGCACAAGGTTATAGAGCAATTTCACCAACTCAGAAAGTTCTTCTGGGCAGTGCCAGTCTAGAAGTTTCTTAATTTTCTCTTTAAAATGGTGGATGACTTCCATACAGAGTTGTTTGTGGGCAGATAATTTTATCATTCAGCTTCTCACGATTTTTATCCAAGAGCCTATAAAATTCAATTTTGGTAAACACACTTTATTGTTTGGAGATTGTCATTTCCTAAAGGGCAGAGATGTTCTTCCTCTATTTTTGTGAAGAGCCTTAGTTCACCAAATTTAATAAGTGTTTGCTGGTGCCAATTACCGTAGCATACTGAACTCTGCACAAGGCCAAGCAAATGTCATGTCTGAGGCAGCCTTAATATTTCTCAAGCAATCTCTGGTTGGTTTCATAGCATGTAGCAGAGGAATCCAGCATTTCTTGGCATTCCTTGAAGTTCGAGACGTTATACTGTGTCCGTGCCAGGATGGATACGCAGATGCCACAGTACTTCCCTCCTGGCCTTGGTAGCAAAGAACTATGGGCAAGCTCAGGCCCCCCACTTAAGTTAGTTCAGCACCTTAGCCGGCAGGGATTGGTAGGATGAGGGGTAAGAGACCAGCTTGGAGCTTAGTTCTTATACGTACTTCCATTTATTCATTCAACAAGTATTAATGGAACCCTATGACCGCCAAGCATTGCGGTAGGCACTGGGGAATGAAGAGATGAAAATGACAAGGTCCCTGCCCCTGAAGAACTTATAATCTAGTCGGGAGCAGACAATGAAGATTTAATTCCACGCGGCCAATTTTAACTCCATGTGGTAAATGCAGTGACAGGTGTCACGGGCAATATGAGGAGATCAGGGATGGCCTCCTGCAGAAGTGATGCCCACAACTATAGGAGGCCCGAGAGCAGACATCTCCATACTAGGAAGACTCTGTCTCTGGGGATTTGGGTGAGAAAGGGGTGTTCTAGAGAAGCAGAGAAGTTGCGACAGATGTATAGTTCATGTGGGTTTGGCTTTGTTCATGTAATTGATGGAAACTCATGACAAGATGGAAGAGCAAGAAGACCTAGATTGTTATCATTCTTCTCATTCTGAGTTTGAGCCAGAGTCGATGAGTTTTAGAACACAGTCATATGTGAGTTGGAGTAAGTATAATGCCAGAGAATGAGGGTGACTCTAAAAATAGCCTTCACCAACTGTTGCCGTGATTCTAATGTGGATTTTTGGCATGCCTCGGGAGAGCTGCCCGTGGGTTTGGGGCTATAGCAGGAAATGACCATAGAGAATGTGGGCAGAGGATTGAGCCAGTTGATCTGCGGCAGCTTGTGTCTTAGGGGGCGGAGGCTTAGAGACAAAGGAGGTGAGAAAAACTGCAGTAGACAGGGAGGCAAGGCGTGGGATCTGCCTCAAGAACACTCTTATTTGCCATTATTGCTACCAAATTGTGCAGGAGGAGTAGACGTCTCCAGCCCAATTCATCCAACCAAGGATCCTGGTTTAAATGTTTTACCCATGGTCATGGGCACTCAGGATGTGTCTCTCTCCATGGGCTTCCCTTCCGATAGGCAGAAAGTCTTCCCTAGTGATTTAGGTAGACTGAGGTAGTTATTTAGTTTAGATCATGGCAGTCTTTGGCATGGTCTAACTCATGGCAGGTCTAAATCTGACCTTATCCTATTTATTTGCTCTTTTGTCTTCAAATTCCTCCAAATAGCTTTTCCTCTAGTTAAGCAGCCTTGTCTGAGGTCACATTCTGTCCATTTCTGTCTTCTTGCCTTTGCTTTCCTCTACAATACCCCCTCCTCTCCCTTTTCTTTTTCCTTCCTTTAACAAATGCTACCCATTGTTCTCATTGTTCAAGACCCAGGTTAAGCCCCACGTACTCTGTGAAACCTTCCATACCTACTCTAGCTCATGCTATCTTTTCCTCTTTAGGATTTTTGTGTTTTAGTCCAAATACTGCCACCTGACATTGAGACACTGATGTTGAAAAGGAAGAAATCACTTTATTTTATTATTTATTTATTTATTTTTTTAGACGGAGTTTCACTCTTGTTGCCCAGGCTGGAGTGCAATGGCGTAATCTCGGCTCATTGCAACCTCCGTCTCCCAGGTTCAAGCATTTCTCCCGCCTCAGCCTCCTGAGTAGCTGGGATTACAGGCATGCACCACCACACCTGGCTAATGTTGTATTTTTAGTAAAGACGGGGTTTCTTCATGTTGGTCAGGCTGGTCTTGAACTCCTGACCTCAGGTGATCCACCTGCCTCGGCCTCCCAAAGTGCTGGGATTACAGGCATGAGCCACCAAGCCCGGCCGGGGAAGAAATCACTTTAGAGACTACTTAAGGCCTTTACCTTGATTAATCTGTCCTTTCTCTCTTCTTTTGGAAGAAGATTGTTCGTTCTTGTAAACATTTTCTATTGAAAAGACAAATACAACATCATCATCAAAGGAGAGGATGAATGCCCATAATCCCATTACCTCAATACAACAATTTTAAGTATGCGCAGTTCTTTCTCAGTCATACACATTGTTTTATATCAGCTCATAAACCATTTTATATATATTTTTTCCTCCACTTAACATTATAACCCAAACACTTCCTATGTTTTTTCACAGAAGTATAACATTTCCATGTGTTACTGTATGGTGATTTTATCAAGCCATTAAGCCACTCTCCTGACACTGGACATTGGGCTGCTGAAGCTGCCATATCTTTTTTTTTAAGATGGAGTCTCGCTCTGTCATCAGGCTGGAGTGCAGTGGTGCAGTTTCAGCTCACTGCAACCTCCGCCTCCCGGGTTCAAGCAATTCTCCTGTCTCAGCCTACCGAGTATAGCTGGGACTCCAGGCTTGTGCCACCACACCAGGCTAATTTTTGTATTTTCAGTAGAGATGGGGTTTCACCATGTTGGCCAGGATGGTCTCGATCTCCTGACCTCATGATCCGCCCGCCTCGGCCTCCCAAAGTGCTGGGATTTCAGGTGTGAGCCACAGCGCCTGGCTGAAGCTGCCATTTCAAAAGAATGACCTGTTGCTGTTGATTCCATCTGCTCTTAGCTCTGAGAATTTGCTCTATCGATGATCCCTCTCTTGGATCTTATTCTCTCGTTGTCTTTGGACACCTCTTAAATCTACAAGGATGTTCAGTCTTACCTATCCTAAAAAATATCTCAACCCTGTTACCCGCCATCTTCTGTGGCCTCCACTACTTCCTAACCCACTCATTCTTTTACCCCTTTTTGTTTGCCTCTCCTCCCCTGCCACCCCCTCACTTCGACACAGTATGAAGGGTCCTCAAAAAATTCAAAGTAAAACTATCCTATGGTCCAGCAATCCCACTATTGGGTATACATTCAGAGGAAATGAAATCAGTTGAAGAGGTATCTGCACCTCCATGTTCACTGCAGCTTATTCACAAAAGCCAAGATATGGAATCAACTTATATGTCCATTGTGGGATGAATGGATAAAGAGAATGTGGTGTATACAGACACAATGGAATACTATTCAGCCTTAAAAAAGAAGGAAATCTTGTTATTTGAGACTGCATGGATGAACCCGGAGGACAAAATGAGCCAGGCACAGAAGGAAAGTCTCTTTTTAACAACTGCATCTGCAAGTCCAAAGAGGTCTTCTCAGTCCTGTTGTCTTTGACATTGACTGTCCTCTCTATTTTAAAACTTGTTTCCCAGGCTGTTGGTGACACCACATTTCCATTGTGCTTCTCCGCTTTCTTTCTAGATCTTTCTCTGCCTTTTTCACGGACTCCTCTTCAGCCTTTCCAAAACGAAGGTCTTTCTCCAGGGCTCTCCTTGGCCCTCTTTTCTTGCCTTCTCCCCTCCCTTTCTAGGCAGTCATTTACTCTCTCATCTTTAGCTAATGACGCCGTATGAATGATTCCATATCTGGAGTCACATCTTCCAAGCCCTCAGCTCACCTTCGCCATCGCTGGCGTCAGCACAGCTCCCTGGTATGGGTCCAGCACCTCACAGCCAACACACTCAGAACCCAACCCTCCATCTTTGCTTCTCACCCAGGCTTTCCAGCTGAATTCCTTTTTTTCCTATCCTTCCACAGATGGTCCAAAATCTCTGAATCATCTTTCATTCTTTCCTCTCCTCATATCTCACCGACTCATTTAGCATCCAGAATGTGTCTCATCCATTTTCTAATTTCCATTCAAACCCACAAAGTTTTTATTTAGAAAAATTTTGAAATACAAAAGCAGTATATGCTGGTGTCAAAAATTCAAATGCTATCTAATCTGTCACAGGAGTGGAGTTAAATAAATGAAAAATAAAGAAAAAAGTTCAGATGATATGATGTGTATTAATCACAGGTAAGATTATTGTAATCAGGTGTATGATTATATGGAGCAAAAAGTGAATTTTCCCCTTCATACATTCACTTCCCAACTCCTCTCTAAACTTGATTTCCTTTCCCAGTAGTAACGACTGTTTACACTCATACTTTTTTAAAAAGTGGGTTTACAATCACAATCCCACTTTTTTTTCATTAGTGGGATTATACTATACAGTATCTTACTCCCCCATGCCCATGTAATATGTGAGTCTTCCATGGAAGAGAATACAAAGTCTAGAAATAAATCCACACATACCTAGTCAATTAATTTTGAGAAAATATAAAGTCAATTAAATGGCAAAAGGATAGTCTGCAACAAATGGTGCTATAACAACTAGACATCACACCCACAAAATTAACTTCAACCCTTTAATCTCACAAAATACATCAAAGTTGACTCAAATGGATCATAGACTGAAACATAAGAGCTAAAACATTAAGTTTCTGGATAGAAACATGAGAGAAAATATTTGTGACCTCGAGCTAGGCAAATATTTTTTAGGACACAAAAAACATGAAACAAAAAAGAAAAAAATAATAAAAAAGTGTATTTCACCAAAGTTAAAAACCTCTTCTCTTTGAATATCTTAAGAGAATGAAAAGACAAGTTATGGACTAGGAGAAAACATTTGCAAAACACACATCGGATAAAAGATTTGTATTTAGAATACATAAATATACAATTTGGTAAGATTTGAACAGACATGCCACCAAAGAAGACATATTGATTGCAAATAAACACATGGAGAGTGTTCAATATCATTAGTCATGAGGACAAGGCAGATTAAGTGCACAATGAGATATCATTAGACACTTGCTAGAATGGTTCAAATTAAAAAGGCTAACAAAATCAAGTGCTAACAAGGGTATGGAACAACTAGACCTTTCATACATTGCTGGTGGGGATCTAAAATATATCCCACCTGGGAAGACAGTTGGGCAGTTTAAATTTACATTTATCACGCCACCCAGTTAAATTTACATTTATCACATGACTTAGCAGATCTACTCCTAGGTATTTACCCAAGAGAAATGAAAACATATGTTCACACAAAATACCTGAAAACAAATGTTTTTAGCAGCATTATTAATAATGACCAAAAACCTGGAAACAATCCAAATGTTCATCAGTTGGTGACTGGACAAATTGTGGTATATCCATTCAATGGAATACTACTAAGCAATAGAAAGGAACAAGTTACTGACGCATGCAACAACTTGGATGAATCTCAGACATTATGCTAAGTAAAAGAAACCAGACACAAAGTGCTACATACTATATAATTCCATTTATGTCAAATGCTGGAAAAGGCAAAGCTGTAGAAACAGAAATCAGATCAGTGGCTGTCAGAGGGAGGGTATGGGATAGACTGCAAGCTGGCACAAGGGAACTTTAAGGGCAATGTAAATGTTCTTTACCTTGAATGTGGTGGTGGTTATAGGATTTCATAGAATTGTTGAAACTCACTGAACATTTTTAAAAGGTGAATTTTCATCAAACTGCTTATGATTGTGGATAGCTTTGTTCTTTGCTTCTTGTGTTTTTCAGTTTCCTGAATTGTACATATTAACTTTTAAAAAATAAAGATTATTTTTAAAACCTGAAAAAAAAAAGGCGAACTTTTATTTATTTATTTATTTATTTTTTGAGACAGAGTCTCGCTCTGTCACCAGGCTGGAGTGCAATGATGTGATCTCTGCTCACTGCAACCTTCGCCTTCCGGGTTCAAGCTATTTTCCTGCCTCAGCCTCCCGACTAGTTGGGATTACAGGCACGCACCACCACACCTGGCTAATTTTTGTATTTTTAGTAGAGACGGGGTTTTGCCAGGTTGGTCAGGCTGGTCTCAAACTCCTGACCTCGTGATCCACCCATCCTGGCCTCCCAAAGTGCTAGGATTACAGGCATGAGCCACCACGCCTGGCCAAAAAAGGTGAATTTTATCTGATTAAATTACCTGACTAAATTTGCCAGCTGAATTAAACTTGACTTGAAAAAAAAAAAAGGAAAAGGAAGTGAGCTGATTTTATATTTTGATAGATAAGGTCAAATTATCCTCCAAAATGGCTACACCAGTAGAATTCGAGAGTGCCTATTTTGCTATACACTTGAATATACAAATGAATATAATCAAAATTTTAAAAGTTTTGTCTGTTTGATGGTGAAAAATATTTTGATCCTTGATATTCATGCAGCAGCATTAAGATCTTGTTCTGGCTAGGTGCAGTGGCTCACGCCTGTAATCCCAGCACTTTAGGAGGCCGAGGCAGGCGGATCTCGAGGTCAAGAGATGAAGACCAGCCTGGCCAACATGGTGAAAACCCGCCTCTACTAAAAATACAAAAAAATTAGCTGGGCGTGGTGATGTGCGCCTGCCGTCCCAGCTACTCGGGAGGCTGAGGCAGGAGAATCGCTTGAACCGGGGAGGTAGAGGTTGCAGTGAGCATAGATTGCGTCACTGCATTCCAGCCTGGTGACAGAGCTAGACTCCATCTCAAAAAAAAAAAAAAAAAAAAAATCTTGTTTTAATTGGTCTCCTCTTTAGTCTTTTCTCTTTCCAAATCATCTTATATAATGTTAATAGAGTAATCCTTCTTGTGCTTAGTTCTAATAATATCTGAACAAATCTTTAATGATCCACCGTCACCTACAAAATTAAGTCCAAACCCTTCAGCCAGATCTTTAAGCTCTCCTTGTTCTATATCAGCTTCCCTTTTCTCTCTTCTCTGCTGCGCCTCTCTAGGTCTGGTATGTCTTACCACTTTCAGTAAGTGATTATAAAGTCTCACTCTTAGACATCTAGCTCAATGGTTCTTACACACTGGAATCCTGGGAAGCTTTTAAAAGACAGGGCTGTCCAAGCCTGGTCTGCAGAGATTTGGATTTTACTGGTCTGAAGTGTGGCCTGGGGGTGTTCTGTTTTGTTTTGTTTGTGGTGTCCAGGTGATTTTAATTTGCAGTCAGCATTGTGAACCACTGCTCTAGCTGATCTGGCCATCAGCTAGATAAATTTCATGCATTCCTGCCTTTATATTTTTGTACTGTTGGTTCCCTCCACCTGGAACACCTGTCCTGTTCTCTTTAGCTGTCCAAGTCCTCTTCATTTTTTAGGCGCCCCCTAACACCCAGCTTCCATGCAACACTACACTGAAGCTTTGCTTGATCTCTTGTGCCAAATATGATTTCTACTTCTTTGAACTTTTTTTTATAACTTCCTTCGGACATCTGTCATGTTCTACTTTGCAATATGTAGGTTTTTAAAATTTGTTTTTTTTTTTCCCGTAAGACTGTAAGCTCCTTGAAAAAACTGTAGACAATTATTATTTTTTTTTTTTTTGAGGCAGGGTCTAGCTCTGTTGCCCAGGCTGAAGTGCACTGGCATGATCACGGCTCACTGCAGCCTTGACCTCCTCAGGCTCAGGTGATCCTCCCACCTCAGCCTCTCGGGTGGCTGGGACTACAGGTGCACGCCACCATGCCTAGCTAATGTTTTGGATTTCTTCATAGAGATGGGAGTCTCACCATGTCGCCCAGGCTGGTCTCAAACTCCTGGGCTCAAGCAATCCACCTGCCTCAGCCTCCCAAAGTGCTAGAATTACAGACGTGAGCCACTGTGCCCGGCCTAATTAATCTTACTGATCATTTAGCACATGACTCTACGGGGCGCTTACTTAGTAGGGACTCAGTAAATATTTTTTGAATGTTTATTCTGGCTACTTCTCCACTTTGCACAGTTGTTCCCTCTGCCTGACACCCTCTTCCCCAGCTATCCCCATGGCCCAATGTCACCTTAGTAGGGTGATCATCCCTGACTATTCTATTTAACACAGTAACACTGACCCTTCCCTCACTCCTTTTCCCTCTTTGTTATTCTGCAAATTGTTGTCATCAGCCGAAGGCTCACTTACTGATTGCCTGTCTCCTCTCACTAGAACATAAGTTCCACGAGGAAGGGCCTTTGTTTTGTTCACCGTTATACCTCCAGTGCCCACTGCACTGCCTGGCATATGGTACATGCTCAAAAAATATTCATTGAATTTAATGAATGACCTTTGTGAACATTCATCTTATTTTGTATAATTCTCTTAAGAACCGAACCCACAGCTAAGCAAGGTAGGCATGTGAAGCCCATCATCAGATAAGAACATTTGAGGTTTGAGAGTAGGGTGAAGCATTTTGTTCAAGTTCATAAACTTTTCTGTGACAGAGCAGAACGCAGAACTCAGCTGTCCTGATTCCTATTCTAGGACTCTCACACTACCCTCTACCGACTTCCAGCCATCCTCTAACTTCAGTCCCTCTGTCCCATCCTTATCCAGACCCTAAGAATTGAGGGGCCCAGGTCAAGAGTGCAAATAGGGGCTCACGCAGCCCATTTCACATTTGGCCATTTTGGCCATTTCACATCGATGACCAGATTTTCATCAGCAAGTTACATGCCAAGCAAGCAAACTATTAAATATGTCTGTTCTACCTTAACAAACGTATGTCTTCAGAATGGTTAGGCTGGTTCACAGGCAGGATTCGCAGACTTCCTGCAGTTGTGAGCAGAACATCGCAGCCAGGTTGCCATGTGAATATGGGCCATGCCCGATCTTCTCTTCCCATCCCTGGTCCTCTGCTTCATTCCTATAGGTTTCATGTGCGCATCTTTAGAGATGCCTCCTGCGTAAGTTTTGCCACTCCCTAGCAAACAACTACCCCGTGGGACCAGACACACCCTTGGTGCAGCCTTGGGAGAATGGACTTGAGGAAGAGGCCACATAGGCCTGAAGATGAGCCTGGGGTGAAATGGGCAGGATTCTGGGGTCCTGGGCACCTGAGCATGGGAAGATGGGCTGCTGGTGAGGGTGCTTCCTGGGCTTCACAGACTCTGTCCTGAGGAGAGAGGTGCAGTTTGAGAAGGCCAGAGTGGGGCCCGCTTCGTCTAGGTCTAAGGATAGTACTGAGCCTACCTCTCCCTGTCTCCAAACCAGATTGTAAGCCTATCGAGGACCCAGGTTAATTTTCCCCCTCCCCTGGAGGGTGTGTGGTTTAACTGGAGACGACAATTCCAGTTGGAGTTGAGCCTTATGGAAATAAACTAACCTCTCTGGCTTGTTTCTTTATCTATGAGAATTGGATGAGATGATCTCTAAAATCGATTTTAAAATCTTACACACACACACACATTTGCACACACTCCCCTACCTCCAAGGACCACTCATCCCCTCTGAGTCTGCAGAGTAACACCACCTACCAGCTGGACTGTCAGAGCCTGGTAGACATTTTCCCAGACATGGAGGCAGAATGCCTTAAATCCTAACAGAGGTAAGATTTTGTTTTATGCCTTCAGAGCTGGGAGACTAAGGGACCCTAGGGACCTCACTTTCCACGGACACTTTGGTGTCCATGAGTCATTTCTAGTATCTCAGGGTTCCAATTTTTATTTTTACTTCCAGCTGATCAATCTCTTAATGGCAGGGCAAACACTATTGTCTTTGAGTTTGCAGAGAATGGAGAAGGAGACTCCTTTCTTTTTTCTTTTCCTTTTTTTTTTTTTTTTTTTTTTGAGATGGAGTCTTGCTGTGGCACCCAGGCTGGAGTGCAGTGGCGTGATCTTGGTTTACTGTAACCTCCGCCTCCTGGGTTCAAGTGATCCTCCTGCCTCAGCCTCCTGAGTAGCTGGGATTACAAGCACGTGCCACCATGCCTGGGTAAATTTTTCTGTGTTTTTATTAGAGACGGGGTTTGCCATGTTGGCCAGGCTGGTCTTGAACTCCTGACCTCAGGTGATCTGCCTGCCTTGGCCTCCCAAAGTGCTGGGATTATAGGCGTGAGCCACCGCGCATGGCCGAGGGAGGCTTTTTTCTCTGACACCAACGGGTCTAGTGTAGATGGCAGCTTGCAGGAGGCTGAGGCCAAATCTGAAGATGGAACCTCTTCACGGGCGGAATGCATGCTCTGGCTCAAACCAACGATTGTCTACTGAGGGCTTACTGGGGCTATGAGAAATCCTAAGCAGGATAGCACCATATTTGAATTTCATATTAATTTATTGGAGGTGGGGTGGGGGCTGTGTGTGCAAAGCATAAATTCATAAAAGATAAAACAACACAACAGGACAAGACCATTCAAGAGTTGCACGAAGGCAGTGGTTTGTGGTCAAATGTGCTGTTATAGAGAGTTCAGAGAATAAAGATAAGTGTGTGAATAAGAGGTCCCAGATCTATGGCCATGGTGTCCTGGGACCAGACATATCTGGGCAGTTTCTCTTAGGTACTTACCTGGGTGTGCACGCAGAACCCTCTTTGGGAGACAGGAGCAGTTACTGTAATAAACATAGGGGCTGTATGATGGGGGGTTACAATAACGTGTAAAAACACCAGGAACATCAACAAAAGCTTTTTTTAACCTTTATTCTCATTTTCCTTGAAACTACCAGGTTTCAAGTACCCACCTGTAAGGACCAGGTGTGTACCTACAGAAGAGTGCCCCTGTCCTATTCTTAGGAAGAACTATTCGCCAAGGGCAAGGAGTCCAGAAGAGTTGGAGCTGCAAGGCTGGGCAGCCCCTTCAAGGGCTGGGCCTGGCAGGGGAACCCGACTGAATAGCCGCGAGGATCCCTCTGCCAGTGTAATGATTCACCTTTTCCGCTGTCTGCCATAGTTTTTCTGCACGAGATAGTGTCCCCCACACACACCGTTAATATCTGCTTGATGCAACAATGCCAGTGGGATGCAACGATTCAAAACTTCCAATTCCTCCTCCCTAGACCCTGAAGCCACGGGGCGTCTTCAGAGTGACGTGCCTGGCACACAGTAGGTACTTGACAGATGTCAACTCCCTTCTTCCCGTTCCTCATTCCCCCCGCGGACTCCAACCCTCAAACGCTCTCTGGGCATTCTCTCCACCTCTCAGGAGCGCCACTTTCCCTAAAACGGCCTGGCCTTGCGGGTCTCCCCAGCTCCACGCCCATTCGCTTCAGCAGCCGCCTGCTCAAGGCCTGCTAAGTGCAGGGTCCCGCGGGCCTCCCAGGCCCTGAGCGCAGGGTCGCTTCCCGAAGACCCGCAGAGGTGGCCGCACCTTCTTAAGGCAGGAAGGCGGGGGAGAGCTGCGTGCGCTCTGCTCGCCCCTGCCTTGCACGCTGAGCTCTAGCGCAGGAGCCCGACTTTGTCTGGCTTTGTCCCCTCCGCGGCCCCGAGGCTGTCCTGAGAGCGCGGCGCCCCACACACCTGCTGCCCGCAAGGAGTCGGCGGGAGAGGAGGAGCGAGGGAGGCGAGAGGACCCCTCCCCCGGCTTGCCGGCCTACCCTGATCCGGGCGCCCCGGGGAACGCGCGGCGGGACCCGGGGTTGGGTGCGGGTCGGGGCGGCACCGCCCGGCCCAGGCCCCCCGAGCCCCTCGCGCTCCCTCCGGAAGGCGGGTCCTGGGGGAGGGCTGGGCCGCGCCGCCTCGCCGCCCTTGCCGCCTCTGCCGCGCCGAGCCCCGCGCACGCTGCCCCGGCCGCCCCGCAGGCAGGCAGGCAGGCAGGCAGGCAGGCGTCCGGCCGGCCGGGAGGGGGTGCTCGCCGTCCCGCGCCCGGGCCCGCGCGTTGCCGGGCAGCGGCTCCGAGGCTCCGAAGGGGGCGGAGCGGCAAGGCGGGCGTGCGGCTGGCGCCCCTGTCCTCGGTTCCGGCCCGGCCCGCCCCCGCCTCTCCGGCCTCCCTCCGCGCCGGTGCGCGGCGCCCCGTCCCAGCCGCAGCCGCAGCGGCCGCCCCTCCCGGACCCGAGAGCCGCTGAGCCGCGAGGCCGGGCCGGGGCGCCGGCCGGGAATGCCGGGGGCGCGGCGCCGACGCCGAGGCGCGGCCATGGAGGGGAAGCCCCGCGCCGGGGTCGCGCTGGCCCCGGGGCCGAGCGGCCGACGGCCTTCCGCCCGCTGCGCCCGCCGCCGCCGCCCGGGGCTGCTGCTTCCTGGCCTCTGGCTGCTGCTGCTGGCCCGGCCGGCCTCGTGCGCCCCAGGTAAGCTCCGCCGAGACCCTCGGAACGCGGCCGCGACCCCGCCTGCCTTTATCGCTGCTGTTTTCAAAACCCCGGCTTTCCCCGCCCATCCTCTTTTATTCTCCAGCTCCCTCGCCGTCCTTTCTGGAAGATGCTTTGCCATTCTTCTGGGGCCCAACAAATAAAGGCACGGGGGAAATAAATAATTAAAACGAACAAGCGAGCGGCTTCTGGCCGGTCTTGCTAAGGGGTCTGCAAAGCTGTTCTCTTGTCCATGGAACCCGAAGCGGGTCTGGTGGCTTCATCTCAGAATGTGCCTGGTTTTTCCTGCAGAATGCAGGCACCGGCGTGCTTTTTTGTCAAGGCTGTATGATGTGGCATATCGAATGTTTTGAGATACTTTATTGTCGGGGCGAAGAGGTGGATTCGAGGTGTGCTTTAAAAGAGTATTGCATTACCGGGACAAGCCCAGCGTCCCCCAGATGCGGGCAGGCCGGCCGTGTCCCCCCGTACAGCAGGACACAAAGAACATTCAAAGAAAACCTCTTGGAAAGCGCCCTGGCCACGGATCTTTCCAGGGAAATAGCTATTGGTATTACTTCTGCAAGGCATTATTAGTACAATGGAGTGTGAAAATATTTTGATTCTTAAGTGTCTGGGCATGAAAGGAGTAAGGGCTGTTTTTATAACAGATGCAATTTAGTGACTGTTCATCAGTATGGAATGAAGAGGCATGATTTATGAAGAAGCATAAGGGTTTTGTTGTGGAAGAAATGATTTAATTCCTATTGCTTCTCCAAAATGTTTATTTGTCCACCCTGAGCCTGTACACAGGATGGTCTGGAAACCGTCTCTGAGCTGACACTGCAGGCCAGCGATTGCCCCTGCACAGGCACTTGACCACTTTGAGGCGGAAAAGGAAAGGTGGAAGGAGCAGCTAGGGGTGGAGAGCTGCTGCACACAGAACAAAAACCAGAAAGCCGTGAACGCTGCTCCGAATCCTCCTTTCTCGTGGGAGCAGGGCCAAAGGGCTACTCAGTGGCTGGGAGGAATTGGAACACATTTGAAGGTGTCCCTTGGACCTGTGAGAATTATAACCAGTGCCCTAGAGGGGATGGTACAATAGAAGCACAGGGAGGACTTCAGGGATCATGGAACAGGTCCACTCTGCTTACCAAAGAGGAAACTAAGGCAGAGAAGTGCCTTGCTCAAGGTCACAGTCATCACTTTCCCTGCCTCCCACCCCCGCTCTTGGCCCATAGACATATCCACACCTGAAGCCTCTGCAGAGATTTCCCATAGCTGGGTGGAACCAGGGTTGGGGTGACAGAATGAGTCTCTTTTAGGCAGTATACAGCTAGTGCAAACACCTTACTCTAACCTAGGACCTCCCGTCTCAGTCCTGCTCCTGCGAGTTCCAGCCCTGTGTGTCCAGAGGAGAAGAGATCATTGTCAAGGGTCTCTTGGCTTTAGTCAACAAAGAGAGCCCATCTGATACTCGTGGATTCATCTGTCATAAGACACAGCAGATAAATGGTTTCCATCTCCTGAGTGCTTTTTGTGTGCCAGATGTTGAATTTTATATACACGATCCAATCACGTTGTGAGTTAGGCATAGTTATCCCCATTTTACAGATGAGGAAACTAAGGCTTTGAGTTTAGGTTGGTTTGGCTTCAGACTCTATGACATGCTTCCTTTCTGTGCCTGATGGCTTCCCCATATGAATGTGGCCATCTGGGTGTACTGCAGAGGTTGTGGAGAATATAAGTGCTTCTGGTAACTTTAAAATAAATAGTGAAGCTGTTTGCACTGCCCATCCCTAACCTTCTCTTCTTTGGAAGTCCTTTCCTGCTTCCCCTCTACCCCCAATACAAATATTCAACCTGGAGACATGAAATTAATAATATTTCCATTCTAGACCTGACATCATGGAAAGAGACTTCATCCTTTCACTGGTTTGTATATTGGCTTCAGCCGCTGCCAGGCTCATAGACTAGGAACTAAGAAGTGGAGGGCACAGCCCCTGTGCTCCAGGATCCAGCTGGAAACACAGAGCAGTGAAGGAAGTACAAACCCTTGCACAGACCATTCCCGGACAGGAAAGGCAGGATTCCTTATGGATGACCTGCTGGAGGTGACCCCATCTACTTGAAGACTGTGAGGAACGATCTTGGTGGAGGGTGGCTTCCTGATGTAGCTAGGGTGTGTGTAGGGTGCCTGGGCGGTGCTGTTGATCCTGGGAAGAGGGTGCGTTGCAGTTGCTTGGGCTGCCCTCCCAGTCCTGAGTGTGGTATTTTCACCAGGAGATTTGGAATGTAGGAGAGCTTTGCTGAACACTGCTGTGGTGGTTGGTTCTCTTTCTAAGGAATAAGCAGTGGTAGTCAGAAAATGGCATGGCTTAGACCTGTTTTGGACTTCCTATGTGAGGCAGCATTCCCTTCCGTGGCTGTCTGAAAGCTATCTCCTCCTTCAGCTGGCTTCTCTTGTTAACTTTTGTTCAATAGAGTCCACCTTCCAGGTGGTCCCCTTATTACAGTCTTTGGTTAAATCTCTATGTTAAATCGATTTCTTGTCTATTTGTATTTCATTCAGCATTTTGAGTGTGTTTTTTTAAAAAAAAAATTTACAAGTTTGGTCTTAACCATTGACTGTTGTGGAAACAACTTGTAATGCTTTGGACTTACTTTTGAATGCATTGCTCTTAAGTGATTAGCCATCCACAGTATAAAAACAAAGAATCATGCCCAGTTTCTTCACCTTATTCAGAGATAAGTTTTTAAAAAGTAATAGTTATTATGAAATAGATTGCTTTGTAGGGAATTTGGAAATTACTGAAAGGTACAGAAACCAGTCACCCATAATCTCACAGCCTGTAGGTAACACTAAGTAATTTTATCGTTTTTTTGTTGTTAACATTAAAAAAAGAATTATATGCACAATTGTATTTACTACCATTTCCACTCTACATTTAACTTAAGCATTTTTCCATTCATTAAGTCTTATTTGAAAACTATTTTCTATCCTAATGATTTATTCTTTTATTTCCATTTTTTGGGTTGCTGTAAGTAATGCTGATGAATAGCTACATAGAGAAGGCTCTGCTGGCCATGCGCGCTGGCTCACGCCTGTAATCCCAGCACTTTGGGAAGCCGAGGTGGGCGGATCACCTGAGGTCAGGAGTTTGAGACCATCCTGGCCAACATGGTGAAACCCCGTCTCTACTAAAAATACAGAGATTAGCTGGGTGTGGTGGCATGTGCCTGTAATCCCAGCTACTTGGGAGGCTGAGGCAGGAGAATTGCTCGAACCAGGGAGGCAGAGGTTGCAGTGAGCCGAGATGGCGCCATTGTACTCCAGCCTGGACGACAGAGCAAGACTCCGTCTCAAAAAAAAAAGGCTTTGTGCATGTTTCTTTCCGTGTGTGTGTGTGTGTGTGTGTGTGTGTGTTTTCTTGAGTATACATTTGTGGAAGGGGTATTAGAGTGTGATTAAAATGTAAGGCCCACCAGGCTGGATTTCTGCATCTTTTGTTCAAAATGCTGGGCCCCTAGTAGGTACTCAGTATGTGATTTTTGAATGAAGCAATTTTTGAAAGTTATAATGCTGACATAAGCCCTTGAAGCTTACGCAGGGGCCTTCCATTATCACTTGCATTGAGTATTCACTTCATCACTGGCATTGAATGTTACTTTAAAAGCCCTTGTTAAATAAATTTGTAATACATTGTTTTAACCTGCACGGTTTTATTGCTTTAGAATTGAATATTTTTTATTTTGTATTTGTATTCTGTGAATTTTCTCTGTATTTTTATTTATTTACCTGTTGTGGCATAGATATGTATTTAAATCTTTATGTATTAGAAGGATAGCAACCATTTTTCCTTCTATATGTTGCGTTTTCCCCTTCCAAAGGAATTTCTTTTAAATTTTACATAATTTTGAAATGTAGAAGTTTTTGGTTGTTTTGATTAGCAAGATCTGCCATTTGTTCTTTTAATAATTTTTTTATTGCATTTATGCTTATGGTGTGTGAAATTTTTTTCTTAATGTGCTGTTTTATTATTGGCCATTTCTAGGTGAATATTTATGCTTTGTGAGTCGTTTAGGATATTATAAACAAATACTTAAATGTTTCAAAAGTGTGGCCCCTAGGCCTCCTGCATCAACATCATTTGGGGATGTGGGGGTGCTTGTTAAGAATTTAGATGTCTACGACTCACCCTTAGCCTCTAAATTAGACTCTTTGGTGGCAGTGCCTGGGAATCTTCATTTTAACAAGTTGACAGCTCCGTTTTAGCCCCTGAGCATTGGAACCACTGATCCGGATATGGTAAACCCAGTAACTGAAAATTAACAGTATTTTGAAGATATAGTAGTCCCTCCTTATCTGCAAGGGATGTGGTCCAAGACCCCCAGTGGATGCCTGAAACTTTGGGTAGTACTGAAGTCTGTATATACCATGGTTTTTTCCTATATGTACATACCTGCAATAAAGTTTAATTAAAAAATGAGGCACAGTAAGAGATTAACAATAATAACAAAACAGAACAGTTCTAACAGTCTACTGTAATAAAACGTGAATATGCTGTATCTCAAAATACCTCAGAATATCTCAAAATATCTTCAAACTGCAGTTGTCCTCCGGTATCCGAAACCTTGGAGGAGGGGGACTACTGTATACCATTGGTATCTTGCAGTTGTCTTTTCACTGTTAGAACAGCTAATTTAAAATCGTTATGTTGAGGCCGGGCGCGGTGACTCACGCCTGTAATCCCAACACTTTGGGATCACCTGAGGTCAGGAGTTGGAGACCAGCCTGGCCAACATGGTGAAACCCGGTCTCTACTAAAAATACAGAAATTAGCCGGGTGTGGTGGCAGGTGCCTGTAATCCCAGCTACTTGGGAGGGTGAGGCAGGAGAATTGCTTGAACCCGGGAGGCAGAGGTTGCAATGAAATGAGATCGCGCCACTGCACTCCAGCCTGGGTGACAGAGCAAGACTCCATCTCAAAATAAAATAAGATAAAATAAGATAAGGTAAAATAAAATAAGCATTTTTTGTTACATGTTTTTGCTTGGTTTTGTTTGGGTTGGGAGTGAAAGGGTGCAGAGGACTGCATTTTCAATGCTCACTCCTGCCCGTTTGGGAACAGCTGCTGCAGTGCTTGTCAGGAAGTGCCTCACTTAATTCTGAAAACAGAACCCAGCCAGGGAGTTGTTACAAGTCACTAGGGACGTGGGAGCCACAGGTTTTCTATCAGTGCCCTGAATGATAGAGGCAGCTAATTACCGTCATTATAATTACACTAGGTTGATTTTCCCAGATAGGAAGACACTGTTCTAACTGATCTAATTTGTTTTCAAGTTGTGACCACCCACCTTTCATCTGGAGCTCACAATGATGTGATTTCTTTTTCTTGTTGTTAGGCAGCAGGATTTGTTAAAAGGTGAGTTAAAAAACCTGGGTGTGTGCAAATGCAAATCTGCCTGTAACTTTGTGACTATGGACAAGTTACCTTGTCCTGGGTTTCCTCCTCGGTGTAAGAAAGGGTTAATGAGATTAGCGCTAATCTCATTAACCCTCTAGCTCCTTGTAGCTCATTTCTCCCTGTAGCTCCTACATATCAAGTCAACATCTTGGATGTCTTGGAATGCACTTATAAGCAGCATCTGTCCTTTTTCTGTTAGGTTGTTTTGTCATTTCTCCTTGCCTGGTAGATGTTCTAGGCCCATGACCTGCTGAAGGCAGCTCACTCTCACCATTGCAGATGGCTCTTCTTTTTAAAAACTCCCTTTATTCTTCCCTCTTGCATCCACACACTCAAGACCCATACTTTGCTTTCTCTTATTCTTTCTCTTTGTCTCTTTCTTTTTTCCATCTCCTTTGTTAGCTTCAGGCAATTACTTCTCATTAGTGAAATTCTAATCTTGTGGTCCCCACACTCTGAGCATCATCACTGCCTCTTAGCTCGCATCATCACTGCCTCCACTGCCTCGTAGCTTGTTAGAAAATGCAGAATCTCAGGGCCCACCCCCGACCTTCTGAATCAGAATCTGCATTTGACAAGATCCCCCTGGTGATTTTGCATGCACAATTGAGGTTTGGGAAGCACTGGGCTAAGAGGTAAAGTGCCTTCTGTTCTAGCCTTCTGGGAATAGGTATTGTTGGAACATTGAAGGCTAAGTCAGCCTGGACTAACTCTGGAGCTATGTAAATCTCCAGAGACCTTGAGAGACACCTGCTTTTGGGACTGAGTCTGTGTAAATAGTGTGCAAGAACCATATTTTATTTGACCAGGCAACTAGATTAGAATTGTCCCCTAGACCTGCTGTTTTCATTCATTGCGAGCATTTGACTGGTTGTAAAAACACTGAGATACAGTCTGGATGTGGTGGCTCACGCTTATAATCCCAGCACTTTGGGAGGCTGAGGCAGGTGGGTCACCTGAGGCCAGGAGTTCGAGACCAGCCTGGCCAACATAGTGAAACCTCGTCTCTACTAAAAACACAAAAAAATAGCCAGGCATGGTAGTGGGTGCCTGTAATCCCAGCTACTCAGGAGGCTGAGGCTTGAACCCGGGAGGCAAAGGTTGCGGTGAGCTGAGATCGCGCCACTGCACTGCAGTCTGGGCAACAAAATGAGACTCTGTCTCAAAAAACAAAACCAAACCACTGAGATACTACCATAGCAGTTGGTAAATAGCTGCTGTACTGAATATTCCTTGCTCCCCACCCCCAAGTACCCTGAGCCTCCCTGCCCTCTTTCAGGACTCTTCTCCCAAGGACCACCGCCACCCTCCACCTCACCGAGATCCAGTGACTGAAGGGTTAATGCTCAGCACAGCAGGTGCCTCAAGGACTCTGCTTTAGTTTTTTGGCTGAAGACCATTCTGGCAGGTTTGAGGTGCTATCTCATTGTGGTTTTAATTTGCATTTCCCTAATGATTAGGGATGCTGAGCAATTTTTCTTTACCTGTTGACCATTTGTGTGTCTCTTTTGAGAAATGTCTGTTCAGATCCTTTACCTGTAAAATTAGAATAGCTCCCTTTCCGACTGTCAGTGCTCGTGCTCCACTGCTGTTAACTGTGTTGACTATCACCTGTACATTCATTCATTGATTTTTAATCTATCCCAGATCCAGTACTTAGAAAAAAAGTTAGGCTGGGTGCGGTGGCTCACGCCTGTGTTCCTAGCACTTTGGAAGCCCAAGGCGGGAGGATTGCTTGAGCTCAGGAGTTTAAGACCAGCCTGGGTAACATAGTGAGACCTTGTTTCTACAAAAGTACAAAAATTAGTTGGGCATGGTGGCATGCACCTGTAGTCTCAGCTATTCGGGAGGCTGAGGCAGGAGGATTGCTTGAGCCCAGCAGGTTGAGGCTGCAGTGGGCTGGGATTGTGCCACTGCACTCCAGCCTGGGTGATAGAGCAAGAACTTAAAACAAAAAAAAAGCTTGTTAAATGTTGTACTTGATGGTAGTTGAAGTCATAGATATGGAAGACACTAGTGAGGGGGGAGCATGGAGAGTTAGTAGACAAGGCAGCTGAGGACAGAAACCCTGAAACTAGCGTGAAGGAGAGGGGAAGACAAAGAGGAGCATACAGAGGAACTGACCATCATGACAAAATAGTGATATGAGAGCCAGGAGAGGAGGAGAGAGTTTTCCTCTAGGTGAGTGATCCATCATGTCAAATGCTACTGTACCAAACTGTTTCTTGAAGGATGGGATGAGGGCCAACTGATCAGAATCACCTGTTAAAAACCCAACTCATGGTCAAGCCAGCTCTACTGAAACAGGTGATGCCTGAGGATTTGTATTTTTGAAATGTTCCACAAGCTCTTTATGTTATTCTTAGGCCTGGTGAGGTTTGAGTTATTCCCTATAACTTAATGGTGGCAGGAGGGTTGGTGGAAGTTTTAAAAACATGTTTTAGACTTGATTGTGTTTGTAGGCTTCAAGAGTCAGTAAAAATACAGTGACTGGGCTGGGCGCGGTGGCTCATGCCTGTAATCCCAGCACTTTGGGAGGCCCAGGCAGGCAGTTCACTTGAGGTTAGGAGTTTGAGACCAGCCTGGCCAACATGGTGAAAACCCGCCATTACTAAAAATACAAAAATTAGCCAGGTGTGGTGGCGGGTGCCTGCAATCCTAGCTATTCGGGGGGCTGAGGCATGAGAATCACTTGAATCTGGGAGGCGGATGTTACAGTGAGCTGAGATTGTGCCACTTTACTCCAGCCTGGGTGACAGAGCGACACTCTATCTCAAAAACAAAACAAAACAAAACAAAAGCAGTGGTTGACAATTTAAGGAAGTAGAAGGAAGGACCTCATGGCTAATTTACCAAAAGTGAGGAGGTTCACCTGGGCAGGCAGGACCACCCTAAGAAGAGTTAGGAAGAAGTAATGTTGGGAGAAGGAATCGGAGGGACTGGTGGAAGGTTGGGAGTGAAGTCCAAGGTAATGGGGGTATCTGTGGTGATGTTAGGGAACCCACCGTGTGATTTTTGTCCTCTAGCACTTGACGTTCCAGTGTGTCTGGGAAAGGTGAGCCATTGGCCCGAGTCAGGGATGGGGAATCACAGGGCAGGTGTGAAGAGCCAAAGGGGATTGAAGGAGCTGGCAAGAGGTGGTCTGGATGAGGTAGGAGGTGAACCGTGGCTGGAGCAGTGGGAAAGGGACTGGGAGGAGGGGGTGCAGCTGAGATCCCAGGGCAGGTGTTGAGAGAGAGGTGGGGGAGGGCGGGAGGGATTGGGGTGTCATTGTGCCGAGTTTCAGAAGTGGGTCATCTCTAGTTTTGGTCTTGGGTAATGAACAGGGTAGGGTGTAGTGGTGGGAATGAGTTGTTGAAGTGGAACATGGAGGAAGGCTTTGGGGTGAATAACTTCTGTGGATGTTGAACTTGCCTGGAGAGAGGAAGAAAGGACTGTGAGCCAGGCACCAGCCCCTCAGTGAGTGAAAGAAAGTTCCCAGAGGACTGTGAATGGGAGGGGAGGAAGTCCGTCTTGAATGTTTCTGCTGTACCATCGCTGCCACCACTGCCCTCATTCAAGCTCCCATCCTCTTTTCTCCAGGTGACTGTCACGACCTCTACTTCTCCTCTCACTTCCTCCAGTTCATCCTCCACCTTCAGCAGGAAGGGCCTGCTAGGAACAGGTCACGTCCCTTCCTCCTTGCTTGACTGTCTGCAGTGGCCCCCATGGTTTTCATTACGCTCCACGTCTGAGTCAAAGCCTGTGTGCTCAGATAGCAGGTGTACAGGGCAGGAGTTGGGTGTCTAGGATGTGGGAAAATGGGCATGGAAGGTGCAGAATATTCCACATATTGGTACTGAAAGGGACCGAGAAGATCTTTCCAGCAAGAGAAGGGAAGTGATGTGATTTGGAGGCTGAGTTTTGCCCTCTCGAGGTTGAGGTCCAGCTGTAAGACGGTTTCTCAACCCTAGGGGGTGGGTTTTGTTGTGACAGCCGCTGACTGGGTAGGACCCAGCCCCTCAGAGGGCCAGCTTCTGCGGCATGAAGGGTGCTGTGTGTGTGCAAGGAGTGAAATAACGTAGGAAGAGGGAGTGGTAAGGTGGAGGCCATCTGTGCAGGTGAGGGCTAGGAAGAAGCCAGTCTGGGGTGGGGTTGGAAAGGGAGGCAGAGAGGGCAGGAGTGAAAGCTCCTGGGGGCTTGGAAGGGATGGGATCTAGGGCAAGAGTGGAGGCATTCATTTGAGAGAGGAGGAAAACAGAAGGAGAAACAGGTGGCTTGTCTGGGGACAGAGATGTATGGGGGAGTATGGGTCTATTGGTGGAGGGTGGGAGGCGAGCAGATCTGGAGAGAGGACAGCAGCGTGGGGGGATCAGGAGCTTGAGCAAACACAACTGGCTTCCAGAGGAGAGTGAGAAGGGATGAGTGAAAGAATTGCCAGGCAGTGGCAAGGGCCCAGTTGAAGTTGGAAGGCCAGTCTTGGTCGCAGTCCAGGCAGACACTCTGCTTGTCCCTCCAGCAGCCTGGGTGGCCCAGAGCCTTGGCGGAAGATAGGCCACAGCGGTCCTGGGGTGTTGTGTCGAGGGCAGGGCAGCTGGGAGGGCTCCTCACTCCTAGTGGTTTCCTGGTGCTTCCCAGTCCTTTGGAGTCTCTTGGAAACTCTCCTGTCACTTCTTTCTTCTTTGTTCTCTGTTTGGGCCTGAGGAAGGAACCCTTCATCACTTACTGTGTTGGGTGCTAGGATTAATTGTGGAGCCGGACAGTCTGAAGAGCTGCTTTGAAACACTGGGTAAATACTGTTGGGGAGCTTTCAAAGGGGGAAGCCTCAGACATACAAAACAGATGATCTTATGGAGCCAGCTTCCAGGGGAACTTGGGCAAAGCCCAGGAGACAGGTCTGAGCAGGTGGGAGGTTGCCAGGTCCTTGCTGCTCCAAGTGTGGTCCCCGGATCAGCAGCATCAGCATCGCCTGGGAGCTTGTCAGCAATGCAGAAGGTCGGACCCCACCCCGGGCCTACTGCATCGACTTTTTGAAAGCACCTCCAGGTGACTTGTGTGCACACCAAAGCTTGAGAGGCTCAGAACTGTGCAGTTTCTCATTGAAGTTGGGTGTACTTCAAAGATTGTTGGTTATCTAATTAGTGGAGAGTCCATAGCGCATAAAAATGCAGCCCAGATCTCAAGCCATCGGGCAAAACTGAGGGTAGGAGCAGTAGCGGGTTCGGAGCTGAGCTGGTGCCTGGCTGGCTGCGCTGCTCAGAGAACTGCCCCTGCCCTGAGCACGGTCACAAGCCTTTAGTCCAGTCCTGAGTTCCCTGAGCTGGTGTCAGCAGGTGTTAGGGTGGTTGACTACCAGGAATTACAAAAGCACTTGGAGATAGTTGAAGCAAAAGGGTGTCGAAGCTGAGATGGAGGCAGAAGCAACCCACATGTCTGTGGACAGATGAATGAATAAACAAACTGTCGTCTGGGAGGAAGTGGGGATGGCTAATAGGTACAAAAAAATAGAATGAATAAGTTGCTTTTATATAGGAAAGGAAAATTTTTAAAAAAGGAAAAGAGTTAAGAATGAGTAAGACCTAGTATTTGCTAGCACAACAGGGTGACTATAGTCAAAAATAATTTAGTTGCACATTTAAAAACAGCTAGTATAATTGGATTGTTTGTAACACAAAGGATAAATGGTTGAGGGGATGGACGCACCATTTACCTTGATGTGATTATTATGCATTACGTACCTGTATCAAAGCATCTCATGGGCTGGGCACAGTGGCCGGCCCTTTGGGAGGCTGAGGTGGTCAGATCACCTGAGGTCAGGAGTTCCAGACAAGCCTGGCCAACACAGTGAAACCCCGTCCCTATTAAAAATACAAAAATTAGTCAGGCATGGTGGTGCAGGCCTGTAATCCCAGCTACTTGGGAGGCTGAGGCAGGAGAATTGCTTGATCCCGGGAAGCAGAGGTTGCAGTAAGCTGAGATCGCATCACTGCACTCCAGACTGGGAGACAGAGCAAGACTCCATCTCAAAAACAAACAAACAAACAAAAAACAAAACTCATATAACCCATAAATATACGTACCAACTATGTACGCACAAAATTGAAAATAAACAAATTTTTGCAAATGTGGTCTAGCCATTCAGTGGAATATCGTTCAGCCTTAAAAAGGAAGGAAATTCTGACACATGCTACAACATGGATGAACCTCAAAGACGTTATGCCAAGTGAGATGAGCCAGTCATGAAAGGACAAATACTGTAGGATTCCACTTACGTGAGGTCCCTAGAGTAGTCAAAGCCATGGAGACAGGAAGTAGAAGGATGGCAAGGGCCTGGGAGGAGGGGGGAATGGAAAGTTTTTGTTTAATGGGGACAGAGTTTCAGCTTTGCAAGATGAAGGAGTTCAGACTATCAGTTGCACGACAATGTGAATATACTCAACACTGTGGAACTGTACACTTAGAAATGGTTGAGATGGTCAATTTGGGGGAGCTAAATCGTAACTTATGAACACAAAGAGTCAACAGACACTGGAGCCTCCTTGAGTTGGATGGTGGGAGGAAGGAGAGGAGCAGAAAAGATAACTATTGGGTACTGGGCTTAATACCTGGGTGATGAAATAATATGTACAACAGACTCCTGTGACACCTGTTTACCTGTGTAACAAACCTGCACTTACACCCCAAACCTAAAATAAAGTTAAAAAAAGGATGCTAAAGAAAATATTAAGAAGAAAATATTATTGGAGCACAAGGTGTTTTTTTTTTTTTTTTTTTTTGAGACGGAGTCTGGCTCTGTCGCCCAAGCTGGAGTGCAGTGGCGCGATCTTGGCTCACTGCAAGCTCTGCCTCCCAGGTTCACGCCATTCTCCTGCCTCAGCCTCCCCAGTAGCTGGGACTACAGGCGCCCGCCACCACGCCTGGCTAATTATTATTATTATTATTTTGTATTTTTAGTAGAGACGGGGTTTCACCGTGTTAGCCAGGATGGTCTCGATCTCCTGACCTCATGATCTGCCCGCCTCGGCCTCCCAAAGTGCTGGGATTACAGGCGTGAGCCACCACGCCTGGCCTTGGAGCACAAGGTTTTTAGCTTTTTATACTTGGGATGTACTAGATGGATTGAAAAATAAAGCTCTGTTGACTATCTGACCTCTAGTTTGTTTCCGTTTAAAAATATATATCGCTGCTGCAATGAATTGCCTTTAAATAAAAATTTCTGTTTAATATTAATACAAGATGGGTAAATTTTATGTTACGTTTTTAACCACAGTTATTTTTTTAATTTTTATTTTTAGTTCTGGAATACATGTGCAGGACGTGCAGGTTTGTTACATAGGTAGATGTGTGCCATGGTGATTTGCTACACCTGTCAACCCATCATCTGGGTATTAAGCCCAGCATACATTAGCTCTTTTTCCTAATAATCTCCCTCCTCCCACCCCACCTACCGAGAGGGCCTGGTGTGTGTTGTTCCCTTCCCTGTGTCCATGTGATCTCATTGTTTAGCTCCCACTTATAAGTGAGAACATGCAGTGTTTGGTTTTCTGTTCTTGGATTAGTTTGCTGAGGATAATGGCTTCCAGCTTCATCCATGCCTAGTGGAGTGGGAACTAGCTGGTAGGGAAGCAGGAGTGGACATTGCTCAGAGCTGGGAGCCTCAGTGGTCTTGGTGCAGAGCAGGAGCACGTGACAGGTGCTCGCTTTGGGAACTGGCAGTGGAGGCAGATGACAGGCTGGGATGGAGGGGCATCTGTGCAGGCCAGCACAGGCCAGATCTGGATGGGGATTGGGGGACAAGTCAGCCACTGGTGGCTAGGATAGTGGTCAGGATTGTTGCCCTTGGCTTGTAGCACCAGCACAGATCTTGGGGCCTCTCCACCTTGGGGCTGCTTCACCTTACCTCACCTCAGCATCCTTGCACTATTGAGTGTTTTTTTTTCTCCTGGACAGCTGTTTAATGGAGGATGGGCTGGGAGACTGGGCTGGGGAAGGCGGCTCCAGGAATGGGTTGGAGTTTTCAGCCTGGGCCTGAAGAGAGTCTTAGGAATTTGAAAAATTAGGTGGTTTTCCTAGCCCCTAGAATTGGGCTTTTAAATATCTTAATGCCTTTTGAGAGTACAATATCTTTATTGGCTTTTTCCTGATTATAAAAACGATATGCATTCATTGCAATCATTTGTACTTGCTGTTCCCTCTGCCTAGAACTTTCTCATCTCAGATATGATCAACACAGTTGACTCCCCTTCCTTCAGGTCTCTGCTCAGATTTCCTGTTATCAGGGAGGCCTTCCCTAACCCCGATGTGAAAAATTAGCAACCGCCTCCGTAATTCCTCTGCTCCTGCTTGCTTTTTTTCTTCATGACACTTATCATTGTCTTCTACATATTTGTCTGTGCATTCTGCCTTCCTCCACTGGACTGTAGTCCCCACCAGGGCTGACTTTGTGTAGTTCAGTGTCATTTGTCCATGTATTCCACAAATCTTTGCCTGCTCTGTGCAGGCACTGTGCTGGGCCCTTGGGATACATCAGTGGACAAAGTTAATGATATCATGTGTTACTCCGCGGTAGGTGTCATGTGTAAATGCAGCAGATAAACAGCTTGGACTGACGAGTTGCAGTTTTGATCTGGGTGTTTAGGGAGCCTCGTTGAAAATGGGGCTGGATTCATTTGCTCAGGCTGCCGTAATAACGTACCACACACTGAGTGGCTTACACAACAGAAGGTTATTGTCTCATAGTTCTGGAGTCCAAGATCAAGGTGTCAGCAGCACTGTGCTTCCTCCAAAGGTGCTAGAGAAGGATCTATTCCAGGCCTATCTCCCAGCTTCTGGTGGTGCAAGGTTAATATTGAGTGTCAACTCGATTGGATTGAAGGATGCAAAGTATTGATCCTGGGTGTGCCTGTGAGGGTGTTGCCAAAGGTGATTAACATTTGAGTCAGTGGGCTGGGAAAAGCAGACCCACCCTTAATCTGGGTGAGCACAATCTAATCAGCTGCCAGCATGGCTAGGATAAAAGCAAGCAGAAGAACATGAAAATACTAGACTGGCTTAGCCTCCCAGCCTACGTGTTTCTCCCATGCTGGATGCTTCCTGCCCTTGAACATCGAACTTCAGGTTCTTCAGATTTGGGACTCGGACTGGCTTCCTTACTCCTCAGCTTGTAGTTGGCTTGTTGTGGAACCTTGGGATTGTGTGAGTTTAATACTCCTTAATAAACTCCTCTGTGTGTATATATATATAGCTATCCTATTAGTTCTGTCCCTCTAGAGAACCCTGACTAATACAGGTGGTTCCTGGCTCATGGCAGTGTGACTCCAGTCTTTACATGGCGTTCCCTCTGTGTGTGTGTGTGCGTGCAAATTTCCTCTTTTCATAAGGACCGTGGTATTGGATAGGGGTCCACCCTACTTCGATATGACCTTATTTTAACTACATCTTTGATGACCCTGTTTCCACGTAAGGTCACATCCTGAGGTTCTAGGGTTAGGACTTCAACATGTGAATTTTGGGGGCACACAGTTCAACCCGTAACAGTGATAAACTAACATTTGAAAGAGGCAAGGGGGCAAGACAAGCAGGTATTGGGGGGAACAGTGTTCCCAGCAAATGATGTGGCCAGTGCAGAGGCCTTGAGGCAGGAGTGTGCCTGGTGTTGGGGGAGGCACAGGAGGCCTGTGCGCCTAAAGCAGAGGGTGGAGGCTGGAGGCAGCAGGCACTCAGGTGTGGAGGGAAGTGGGTGCTAGGGGTGGAGGATCATAGAGGGTTTTGATCAGAGGATGATGTAAAATTTCTTGCACATTGAATAAAGTCAGGTGGTACAAAGAAGGTATAAATTAAAAAGCAAAAATCACCCCAAATCCTACCTGTCAGACAACTGCTATGACATTTTAGTATCTCTCCTTTCAGACTGTTTTCACATGTACAGGCGCATACACAGAAAGCAATGGTATCATATTCTACATGTTGTTTGGCAGCTTGCTTTTTTTCGCTTCACACTTTATCACGGAATCTTTAGTTGTCAGGAAATACAGATCCACACCATGATTTTATTCGACGCTGTGGATGTTCCACACTTCATTTATCTGGTTCTCTGTTGATGGGTAATTGTATTGTCTTCAGCTTTCAATGTTATAAGAAAACGTTGCCGGGCGTGGTGGCTCACGCCTGTAATCTCAGCGCTGTGGAAGGCTGAGGTGGGCGGATTGCTTGAGCCCAGGAGTTCAAGACCAGCCTGGGCAACATGGCAAAACCCCATCTCTACAAAAAATACAAAAATTAGTCAGGCATCGTGGCACGCACTGGTAGTTTGAGAGTACAGTATCTTTATTGGCTTTTTCCTGATTATAAAAATGATATACATTCATTGCAATCATTTGTACTTGCTGTTCCCTCTGCCTAGAACTTTCTCATCTCAGATACGATCGACACAGTTGACTCCCCTTCCTTCCGGTCTCTGCTCAAATCTCCTGTTACCAGGGAGGCCTTCCCTAACCCCGATGTAAAAAATTAGCAACCGCCTCCGTAATTCCTCTGCTCCTGCCTGCTGAAGGAGGCTGAAGAGGGAGGATCGCTTGAGCAGAGGAGGTTAAGGCTGCAGTGAGCCGAGATCGCACCACGGCACTTCAGCCTGGGCAACAGAGCAAGACCCTGTCTCAAAAAAAAAAAGAAAAAAAAACAAAGAAAAAAAACACTGCTATGAGCATCGTTGTGTATACATCTTTACACACTTTTCCAATTACTTTCTTAAGATAAATTCTCAGAAATAGACTTGCTGGACTAGGCAGTATGCACATATTAAATTTTGATGCATATTGCCAAATCGCTCTCTAGAAAGGCTGAAGCAATCCACATTCTCTCTAGCAATGCACCAGAGTGCCAGCTTGCTTCTCTCCTCCATAATACAGGCTGTGACCAGTCTTTATTGTCTTTGCCCAACTCATAGGTAAAAAATATCTCCATTAAAGGTGCATTTCTCTGATTGTTCATTGGCATTTGGGCCTTTGAATAAGGTTCTCTTTGCACTTCTTTCTCTGGTCCTCTCCTGCAGCAGTCTCAGGGGCTGAGCTGGGAATAATAATAATACCCAACAATTATAGAGTGCATGCTGTGTGCCAAACATTGTGTGAGGAGACGGCACAGTGTCTCTTGTTTAATCCGTGCAACAATTGCATGAGGTAGGTACTGTAAGGATCCCCATTTTACAGATGAGGAAAATAAAGCTTAGAGAAGTTCATTGACTTGCTCACACAGCTAGCAAGAGTTTTTCCCACCCTGGGGGTGGGCATGTGCACCCCCAGCCACGGTCTCCTCTGTTCTGGGTCTGGGTTAGAGAATGACTCTGTGGTCTCTCCCACTGAAGTGCCCACTCACAGGCTTTGCTTGCAGGGCAGAGTGAGCTCTGTGGACAGAGCCCCAGTCAGAGCCACCTGTGGCCCCTGGCCAGCTCCCTGTCCCTGTTAGAAGCCCTGACTGTGAAGTCACAGCCTGGCCTAGCCCATAGAAGATGCTCACCAAACGTAGGTTAAGAGAAATGAATGAAGCAGGCTTTCAAAACCTACAGTGTTGTGTGGTGGTGCATTTTACTTTATTTCGGCAAATTAAACATTTTAACAATAAAAAAACTCAAAAAGTTAAAATTCCATGATGAGCCATATTCCATTTTCTCCACCAGTGAGGATAATATTTTTCTTAATACTGAGTGACATTTTCTTGCCGCATTTCCTCTTTTATCACGTCCTGGATCATTTCCTTGTGGTTTTGATACCATTTTTGCTTTGTGTTGACTATGCTGTTTTTCTGTTGTTTGTTTCTGACAGCCAAGTGTGTGGTTGTCATACATCTCCTCCGTTAATTAAGTTAGTGTATACCACTGGTTTAAAATCAATTTCTTATTTACTTTGGAATTTTGGTGGGAGGAAGTCGATGCCTTAAAATGAGTACTTTGTTCAAAAACTAACTGGTACAGCCGGCTGTCCTACTTCGTTTGTTTTATATGCCCCTTGAGCCTTTTTGGTTCTTCATAAAACACAGTGTATTAATGCCTTGAGTTCTTGCCTAGATCTGGTATAAAGTTTAACCTTCTGAATACTTCCCAGAAATCCTGAACCTGCAACTGTTCTATTTTGTTCGTTGTAGTTTATATTGACTTTACTCATTGACAGCCTTCAGGTTCCTCTACTCCCTCTTCCAATTGTGTTCAGTTCCCCGAGAGGAAAACAAGATATACCTGTAGAATGTGTACCCTATCAGGCTGGGTAAACCAGCAGTGCTGTGGAAAGTTTCCAAATCTCAGTGGCTTTCCGCATGTGACTTCTGCCTCCCACCAGCAGATCTTGCCCTTCATCTCTCTCCTGCACCTTTTGCATCTTGTCTGGTTCTGGGAAGTGTGCTTGCCTGGGTCCTGTTTTTCATTCTTCCATCTTTGTTTTGGGTTTGCCAGTGCCAGAAGGCATGCCTGCAGGCAGGCCAGTTGTGTGGTAGTTCCATGCCCACATGTCTGCATGACTCAGCCAACATTGATGGAGCACTCACTGCCATGTGCTGAGCACCGTGCTGGATGTTGGGATACTAAGAGAAATACGGCAGTCAGTCACAGCCCTCTAGCAACTCCGTCTACAAGGGGAAGTTGTTCTGTACGTAAGTGACTATCCAGTGGCATGTGAAGTGCTATTGTAGAGGACTGCGGTGGTGATACAAAGAGGGCAGTAACTGTTGGTGGATGTAGGACCGCAGAACTGTGGGGGATGTTTGAAGATGGATATGAGATGGAACATTCTTTTAAAGCTAAAGGGGAGCCTCATTTTGGTTATCTATTGCTGCATAACAAATCACCCTGAAACAGAATGGTTGAAAACAGTAATGGTTTATTATTTCTCATGATTCTGCGGGTCAGGAATTCGGACAGGTCTCGGATGGATAATTCTGCTCCATGAAACTCAGCTGGGGTCACTCACTTGGCTGTGTTCGGTTGGCTCCAGGGCTGGGCTGGAAGGCTGAGGCTGTTTCACCCCCTCCTACCTTCATGTCCCACCACATTCCCTCCCTCTCTCTTCCCAGGTGACCAGCTTGGACTTCTTATAGTAGGACTTCATATGGGGCCGCTGGCTTCTAAGGGGAATGAAGCAGGAGCTAGCGGCCCTCTTAAGATCTGGAGCTCAAAAGTTGTCTCTGATGCATTCTGCTGGTCAGAGAAAATCACAAGACTAGTCCACAAGGGGCAGGAGGAAATAGGGCTACCCACTGATGGGTGGTGAAATAGCCTAGACATTGACATTGATGGTGGTCGTCTTTGGAGATTAGCAGCTACCATAAGCACAAAATGGTTGAAGGTAATGGAGAGAAAAGATACAATTACTTGAGAAAGCTCTCAGAGAAGACTAGGATAAATGATGATGATAGTAGACATAATAATAGGTAACTAAAATCGAATGTGCACTTATGTCAGGCATTCTTCTAGGAAGTTGATATGTATTAATTGTATTAAGCCATGTAATCCTGATAACCCTATCCAGTACAATTATAAGGAGATGAAGTAACTCACCTCAGGTCACATAACTGATAACTGAGAGAGGAGAGATTCACACTCCAGTGCATCCTTGCACAGGGAGAATGGCGCCTCTTCCACTGAGACAGGTGGGAAGGGGGAGTGATGGCTACAGGTTTAGGTGCATGCAGGTAAAGGGGCGGGAGGATGATGCTATTGAGGAAGTTGATGTCTGATAGCTTTTTTCTTTTTTTATTTCTTCCTTTCTTTTCTTTTTCCTTTTCTTTCTTTTTTTTTTTTTTTCTTAAGAGACAGAGCCTCTATCTGTCACCTAGGCTGGAGTGCAATGGCATGATCATCTCTCACAGCAGCCTTGAACCCCTGAGATCAAGCAGTTCTCCTGCCTCAGCCTCCCAAAGTGCTGGGACTACAGGCATGAGCCACTGTGCCTGGTCGCATTTTTCTTTTTGATAGTGGCATCATCATCACTTAAGTGAGATGGGGCAGGAGCAGGTCAGGTTCCATGAAAAAAGTAGTTTATAATTATAGTATCTGTGGATCACAGAAGAAGGAATAGAGCAGGAAGCTGTGAAAGGATTGTTGAGTGGGCCAGGCCTGGAGGAGGTGAGGACCTTTTGTGTACAGCAGCAGCCTCCCGTGGTCCCTGTGGGGGGTGATAGCCTCGTGGCAGGGTAGGGAAAGCGCATCATGGGGCCGATCCCAAAGCAGCTCTCTCAGCCCACGGTAGGAGCCTAATAGATCTATTTTCTGCCCAGCTGCTGTGTTTGCCTCAGTCTCACAATGCTTCCCCCAGTAGCTTTCAAAATGCAGCATTTCCGTCATAGACTTCAAAAGAAGAACGCCAAGATCTCCTGGCATGGAGCCCTCCTATGTACTTTGACCTTTAATTGGGTGCCTTCCAAGTGCCAAACTTCAAGTCTTGAGACTGCTCCGAGGACAACAGGAGCAACTTAGAATGGGGTTTTAACCTCCCAGTGTGTGCCTAGAGGAGACCCCACTCTTTGGTGGGCAAGAGGTTGTGGGCATTGGCCGTCACCCGGATCCAAGTGCAGGACAGATGGCTCCTGCTCCTTGGCTGTGCTGTCCGATGGCCTGCAAGGGGCCCTTCTGTCAGAACTGCACAGGGAGAGGTTATGAGGGCATGGGGGAAAGACACATTTAGTGTCCCATTCATCTCTTTTCATGTCCCTTATTGTGTGGAGTTTGCAGTGCTTTTAGAATTTCCCAGCATTCTTATCATTTATGTTCCTGGAGACTTTGCTTCATAATAGTTTGATCTCTTTGGAAAATCCGGAAGACACCACCGCTTGTGTTTCTAGTCCTACAGGGCATTAGAAAGCGTTTCTTGAGAAAAGCACGTGCAATATGGAGAGAGCAGTTTTACTCTCTGGCCGCAGATACGCTTCTGTGAGGTGCCTGCCGTGGCAGCCTGGGCTCCAGCCTGGGGTGTCTGGGAGGTTCAGCCCTTTGCTGGTGTTGGAAACACTGTAGCATGTATTTAAAATTTTTTTATTTTTGTGGCTGGTCACAGTGGCTCATGCCTGTAATCCCAGCATTTTTGGAGGCCGAGGCAGGTGGATCACCTGAGGTTAGGAGTTCGAGACCAGCCTGGCCAACATGGTGAAACCCTGTCTCTACTAAAAGTACAAAAAATTAGCCAGGCATAGTGGCGGGTGCCTGTAATCCCAGCTACTTGGGAGGCTGAGGCAGGAGAATCGCTTGAACCGGGGGGCAGAGGTTGCAGTGAGCCGAGATAGTGCCACTGCACTCCAGCCAGGATGATAGAGTGAGACACCATCTCAAAATAAATAAATAAATAAATAAATCAATAAATCAATAAAATAAAATTTATTTTTGTAGAGATGAGGTCTCACTATGTTGCCCAGGCTGGTCTCGAACTCCTGGCCTCAAGTGATCCTCCTGCCTCAGCCTCCCAAAGTGCTGGGATGACAGGTGTAAGCCACCATGCCCAGCCTCATGTATATTTTTTGACACAGTATTTACACTATCTCCTCTGCCACAGAGCTCCAGGGCACAAATTCTGTTTCTCCTGGACCTCAGTGGCCCGGTCAGCCTTTGACCAATTGGAGTTGGGCTGTCACTCTAATTCCTGTTTGATTCACCCTATCTTGGAGTAATTTTTCGACACATTTCAGAGCTTGTTTGTGTTAAGGGACCAGTAGTCTCTCTTTTGCTCTCCAGTCCTGGGAACTGACCTGATCCCACATGGGTGTGACATTTGGAATTGAAAATTGTTAGTCCTTGAGAGCACTGTTTAAAGAGGGGTCGGGTCTGATTAAGAGGCACAGTTGCTCTCTGATCCTCACAAATGAAGTTAGGTTTACACCTTTTGGCCCAGTAGTTCAGCTCTTAGGAATGTATCAAGTTACACCTCTTTGACAGTTAAATCTACATAAATTTATAAAGGGATTTATGAATGGATCTTCTAATCCAGAAAAAGTAATGCTTCTAACTTAATGTAAATTTAAATAAATTTTAATTATGACCAAACTTCGCTGACATATTTCATGCTGAAATAATTGATAACCAACAGTCAGGGTTAAAAATGATCATAACAAAGATGACATTTTTCTCCATTCGTAAAATGCGCGTTAGGTTAATTGCAGGCTTTTTATGGGAAATAAACATAAAGACCCTTTGTCCTATGCAGGTTGGGCCTCTCTGCCATAAGCCCCCACTCCCTTTTCCTAATGATGGGAGCCCCGTTAGCGTCATCTTTTTATTCCACAATGTCCAGCACAATGTACTGCGTGAGAGATGGATGCATGAATATGTAGATAAATGGGACTTTCCCTAGTTGTGTATGGTCGTGATTTGTGGTGCTATTTAAGTCTTGATGTTTAGTTGATTGCCAAGAGGGAATGAATTAATGTATAGCAGATTTTTGGAGTTATATTAAGGTCATTTGTTTAAAAAAGGATGTATGAGAACTTTTGTCTCAGCACTTTGGGAGGCCGAGGCAGGTGGATTACTTGAAGTCAGGAGTTGGAGACCAGCTTGGCCAACATGGTGAAACCCCGTCTCTATTAAAAATATAAAAATCAACCAGGTGTGGTGGTGGGCGCCTGCAATCCCAGCTACTCGGGGGGCTGAGGCAGGAGAATCACTTGAATCTGGGAGGCGGATGTTGCAGTGAGCCGAGATTGTGCCACTGCACTCCAGCCTGGGTGACAGAGCAACACTCTATCTCAAAAACGAAACAAACTAAACAAAACAAAAAAAAAACCTTTGGGCTATAGTGCAAAAACAAATCTGTATATCTCGAATTGTGTAACTGGTACGTACCTGGACAGGAACAACTTCTGAATCATACTGGTTTGTTTGGATCATCTTGGATTGTTGCTGAGTGACCCTGAGGAAGTATTGCCGTCTACTGTTCGGGGTTGCTAGGAAGAAACCAGTCCTCTCTATACCAGGGAAGAAGAGTAGCTGATGTGAGACAGTGGGATAGTAATAAGCTAAACGAGGGGGAGAGAAAGAGATTTAAATGACAGTCCCAGGCAAGGCTGTCATCATGGGATGTAAGTGAGACTGTTAAGCTCCTGAGTCATAGAACTTTACAGCTGGGAAGTTATATAAATATTCATATATATGTCAGTTTCCACTTCTGTGGCCCTGACAAGATGCCTCAGGGCCTGCAGCTTGGGGATCCAGGCTGTAGGAGTTGAAGACTGTTCCTTTAGGGCATAGCCAACAGGATGAATTTCAGCCTTTTAATCATTCTGTTTGAGATTCAGATTTTGGGGAGAGAGCCTGGGGCTTGGGATAGTTGCCCGTCCCTTGGTCAGGAGAGAATGAGCATCGTGGGTGATGGTGGCACCTAGATCCGGTGCCATGGTGGAAGGAGTGTTCCCCAAGGCAAGACTGGGGTGGGCGTGGGCGCCAGGCAGGCTGAACCCGCAGATGGCCCCTCTTGTGGCCCGCGCATGTGGGTCACATGCCCACTTATGCTCAGCATACACACACAGGCACACGCATAATCATTAACGTGCATGTATCCAGAGGATAACAGTCGTGCAAAGACGAGGAAAGACAAATATGTATTCACAGACGTTGTCAAAGGAAAATTCAAAACGTAGATGCATGAGTACAAGCATATAGATTAATAGCAATATATGCAGAGATGCACATACAAGGAAATGCATGCATGAATACAGACACACTGACTCATGAGTATGCACCCATAGCGAAATGCACGGTTGCTTGGAGAGGAAGGAAGGCTGAGTAGAAGAAGTGGACAAAGAGAGAATAAGGGACAGTAGAGATGAGGTGGCAGCAAGTGACCCTGGGATACCAGTTGGGTCCATAGGTACATGTTTTTAGGAAAGTTGACTGGGTGCAGTGTCTCATGTCTGTAATCTCAGCACTTTGGGAGGCTGAGGTGGGCGGATCAGCTGCGGTCAGGAGTTTGAGACAAGCCTTGCTAACATGGTGAAACCCTGTCTCTACTAAAAATACAAGAATTAGCTGGGTGTCATGATGCGAACCTGTAGTCCCATCTACTCTGGAGGCTGAGGCAAGAGAATTGCTTGAACCTGGGAGGCAGAGGTTGCAGTGAGCTGAGACCATGCCGCTGTGCTCCAGCCTGGGCCAAACAGCGAGACTTCATCTCAAAAAGAAGAAGAGGAAGAAGAAGAAGAAGAAGAAGGAGAAGGAGGGGGAGGGGGAGGGGGAGGGGAAGAAGAATAAGAAGATAGTGGGCCAAGATTTAGGATTTGACTTTGGGTTTCTGTTTGTTCCCTTATTGCTGGGCCCTCGGCTCAGTTCCTTGCCAGTGTGTTCACTACATTCACTTGATTAGGACCATGTGGTGCCTCACATGGCAGTGTCTCTGGTTTGTTCAATCCTTGTTTTTCTTGATTTGCAACAGCCTCCTCCTCTCCCCTCTCCTACCTCATTGCCTGCCTCTCCTGTTAACCGTATTGCTCTGGCAGTATGGTCATTCCCCATATGGGGAACTGCGTTGAACTGTTTTATGCCCCTGTGCCTTTGCACATGCTGTTCTTTCTGCGTGGAATGCACTTCTCTTCCTCATTTGCTTGATTCTGTACTTCCCTCAGGAAGACTTCCAGAAATCCCAGAATGATTTGGATGCTCATTGCCCCTGTGCGTCCCTATTATAACTCTGACCACTGTGTTATGATTGTTCCTAACTAGTTTTTTGAGGACAGAGATTGTGCCTTAGCCCCTCCACCTGGCACTGGGCCTGGCAGAGAGTAGGCCCTCAATAAATATTTGTTAAATCACTAAGTGGGTGGGTGTGTAGGAAGGAATGCTTCTATGAGTTAACAATTAAATAGGTAAATGATCATATGAATGATTGAATAGATCAGAATTAATAGCAACTTGGTGTATTAGTCCGTTTTCACAGTGCTGATAAAGACATACCTGAGATTGGGTAATTTATAAAGAAAAAGAGGTTTAATGGACTCACAGTTCCATGTGGCTGAGGAGGCATCACAATCATGGCAGAAGGTGAGAGGCACGTCTTACATGGTGGCAGACAAGAGAGAATGAGAGCCAAGCGAAAGGGGTTTCCCCTTATAAAACCATCAGATCTCGTGAGACTTATTCACTACCACCAGAATAGTATGGAGGAAACCACCCCCACGATTCAATTATCTTCCACCAGATCCCTCCCACAACACATGGGAATTATGGGAGCTACAATTCAAGATGAGATTTGGGTGGGACACAGCCGAACCATATCACTTGGTGAATTCAGTACCGTGGCTTCTCCCTGGATTTGTAAGCTGCTTCATAAAGCTGGGCTTCTTTTTATCTTTCTCTTCCCCTTAGCTGCTTTCTCCTCCTGAATCCTAACTCAGAATGCCTTTTCACACCTTCTCTCCTTTCTTGAAGATCACCTGGAACTACATCTTCATTCCAGACCTGTTCCATGAACTAAATCCCTGTGGGTGATTAGCTGTCATTTTAAACCCAGTGCTGACTTTGGGAGGCTGAGGTGGGCGTGTCGCTTGAGGTCGGGAGTTCAAGACCAGCCTGGCCAACATAGTGAAAACCCGTCTCTACTAAAAATACAAAAATTAGCTGAGCTTGGTGGTGCACACCTGTAGTCCCACCTACTTGGGAAGCTGAGGCAGGAGAGTTGCCTCAACTCAGGAGGTGGAGGTTGCAGTGAGCCAAGATCGCACCACTGCACTCCAGCCTGGGTGACAGAAGCAAGACTCCGTCTCAAAACCCCACCCCCCAAAAAACAACCGTCAGTGCCTCAGTTCCCTGCATGTTGATTCCCTCTCTGTTGGGATAAAAAAAGTTTGTCTCTGATTATAAATGGTCCTCATTTGTAGGTACTTTGGAAAGTACAGAAGTATATTTAGTAGAAAATAATCATCTTTATTTCTGCCACCTAACAATAACTATTATATAAACAGTTTGATATGCATCTTCCTAGTGTTTCAAAATATGTATATGAGACTTTACTTTTTTCATAAAATGGGATCATGCTATGTATACAATTTGCATCTTGCAGTTTTCATTATATTGTAAACATTTTCATGCCATGATATACTTTCACCCTGCTGTGCCATCGTCACCACCATCCATCTCCACGACACTTTTCATCCTGCAAAATAGAACCTCTGTACCCATCAAGCAACTCCTCATTTCCCCTCTCCCCTATCCCCTGGCATCCACCCTTCTACTTTCTGTCTCTATGAATTTGACTCCTCTATGTACCTCCTGTAAATGGAATCATCTAGTATTTCTTTTTGTGCCTTTGCATAATGACCTCAAGCTTCACCTGTGTTGTAGTGTGTGTCAGAATTTCCTTCCTTTTTGAGGCTGAGTGATATTCCATTGTGTGTATGTGCCACCGTTTGTTTATTCATTCATCAGCCAGTGGACAGTTGGTGAGTTGCTTCTGCCTTTTGGCTATTGTGAATTACAGTGATTTATTTTTCACTTCTGTTTTTAATACCAGACTGTGGACAGTGGGGGTCAGGGACAGTGTTTGACTCACCTCAGTTTCCTCGAAATCTAGTGGTGTCTCTGGCACATAGTAGGACACTGATCGGTGTTTGAATGAAGACATGGCAGAGCCAGTAGAGGGTGCTTCAGAGGAGGGCTGTGTGTGCGGGGACTTAATCCGAGGCCTGCTGCTGTCTGTGGTGCCAGCAGCCTCTTGGGCGGTGTGGCTTGCTTGCCCCAGGATGTTACTGTCTCCCTGTCCCCCTTATCCTCAGCCCCTGGGTCCCCCTTCCAGATGCCCCTCACATCTGCTGCTTTTCTTTCCCTGCCTTCTCTTTGGTCCTCCCCACCTGATCTGAGATCATTCAGTTTCTTCTGCAGGACGGGAATCTTCCTGCAGTTCCTGCACAAGCACCCTTCTCTGGAAGCTTCAGTCACTCTGCACGGGCCAGGTACCTCTCCACGAGCGGCAGAGGCTTCCGTGAGCCTGGAGGGTGGTCTGAGACAACATCCGGAGGGGTGATCCAAGTGGAAAACTGCTTATGGCATTGTTGTGGGGGGAGGGGGGTGCCACGGAGGCAGAGGAATTACCTGACAGACGAGGAGGAACCAGACCATTTTTGGCCAGAGAACAGGAGCCTGAGGAGTTCTCCCAGGCTATCGTAGAGAGCCTGCGCTTTGGCAGGGGGTGGCTGTTAAGGATGCCAGCTTGTTAGATAAAATCCACACTGCTTAGTTTGGCAGTTCAGGTCTTCTGTAGTCTAACCCCAGTACCCACCCAATCTCCATCCTGTCCCTGCAGGAATGGCCCACAGTACGACTTAGCCATGCCCCGTGAGGCCTTCTGTTCTTTCTTTAGTATCTTACTCATGCTCTTTTCCCCAAAGGGAGTGCCTGCCCAGGTTCCCCAATTTTCTAAATTCTGGCCATGTCCAGAGCAAAGTTTAGCTCTTATTTTTACCAATAGAATTAAATTGCACGAATGCGCTCTGCTTCATATTCTTCTAGCAATTTCTGTCTACCATCGTATATTTATTTGCTGTTGTTAGAAGCCAATTTTTATTACTAATCTAACTTCTTGTGCGTATATCCTTTCTCCTTAAATAGCTTACTAGCCTAGCGCCTTGCTAGCATTTTGCACATAGAAATATGACTGTTGATTACTAAACATAATATTTCATTGAAACTAAGATACCATCAACAGTGTGATGCACCATTTATTTTCTGTACCTCTGAGAAAGATCATGAAGAAAAAATACTGCCATTTAAACCGTACGTACCAATAACTAGATTCACCCCGATTTCAGATATCTTAAAATGTGAAAGAACAGGTCTTAGAATGGATGAATCACAGTAGATATGAAATAAGTGCTTGTTTAGTTTATTTTATTGTGTATGTATTTGTATTGTATGGAAGATAGATGAGAAAATTTATAAACATGGCAAGAAAAGGCCTTAACATTTTATTACTTAAACATTTCCAATTAAATTCTTGTCGAGTCTCTGCTTGGGAATATGGATCACATAGCTTTCCCTTTTGAATTCAGCATATTTACTTGTAGTATGTATTCTTTCTTTAGGAAGCTTCCCTTGTTTTATTTCACCTGTTTTCTTTCATATTTTGTTTTTTCACTGTAGATTTACGCTTTTTTGTGTACTATTTTTCTGGCAGTGTTTTATATAGGAGGGATGACCCTTCTTAAAAATGTATCTTTTTATAATTGCTTATTTTTATCATTCCTTTTTCCTATTATTATTGTGCTTAAAAAGTAGAGATGAAGCTGCACTTATTTATTATTTACATTTTTTTGTTTTTGTTTTTGAGACAGAATCTTGCTCTGTTGTCTAGGCCGAAATGCAGTGGCCTGATTTCAGTTCACTGCAGCCTCCACCTCCCGGGTTTAAGTGATTCTTGTGCCTCAGCCTCCTGAGTAGCTTGGACTACAGGTGTGCACCACCATGCCTGGCTAATTTTTGTATTTTTAGTAGAGATGAGGTTTTACCATGTTGGCCAGGCTGGTCTCGAACTTCTGGCCTCAGGTGATCCACCTGCCTCGGCCTCCGAAAGTGCTGGGATTACAGGCATGAGCCACCGTGCCCAGCTACAGCTGCTTTTAAGACGAGTGATTCAGAACAGACTTTTGAAGCAACAAAATTTGATCACTTCTCATCTTAAAAGAGAGCTGACTCATTTGTCCTTACGGGTAAATCCATCACTTGGTGATAGGAGAATGGTGATAGGAGAATATTCTGAATATTCAGTCTAGACTCACTTGCTCCTTATTTGCCTCCAGGCCTCTCCTTGCCAGGCTTTCTCCTTACTGGATGTTATTTACCAAGGGTTTCCACTCATTAGGGGTGGTGATGCTTGTTTTAAAGGTCTTCTAGAACCTTCTAGATAGAACACCTCCTCAGGATCTGAAAATCTCAAGATATCACAAAGTAACAAGTAATCAGAGCCAGAGCTAGTGTCTCCAATGCCAAGTTGCATGAAAAATACATTTTTAGACTTGAGTATGCAACTTTTGTTAAAGATTCCTCATTAGGCGGTTATTGTATTAGCAGCTGGTTAGAACTTCGTGCCCTGGGAATTCACGTCAGCCCTTCACAGCTCCTACTGTGTAGAGATGAGTGACCTTTATGAACACCATTTGATATGCAGAGTCCTCACTTTATTCCTGGGAACTACATTTTTCCTGATTTTTACTGGCTGAGAAGAACAGGAACAAGAAAACATGTTTGTTTGTCTGTGCTCTCAAACTCATTTCCCCTTAGGGTTCCTGATTGTTAGAATACTGCTCTCTTGCCTTAGCCTGATTTCTTTGATGTGCCTCATCTTGTTTAGATCCAGAATCCCGGATTCTTATTTTTCTAGGCCATGTTATTAATAATTACACGAACAACTGGCATTGTTTTTGAAAGCTTTGCCACATGTCAGTCCAGTGGCTCTTGACCTTGTGCAGATTATAATCACCTGGGAAGTTTTGAAATCCCAGACCATCCTCAGCCACATTGAGTCAGAACCTCTGTGGGTGGATCCAGGCACGGGTAAAGTGCCGGGGGCTCTGACCTGCAGCTAGAGTTAGTGCCTTCCGTGCGTTCACCCGTGCAGTCCACGTAACCACCCTGTGTGTTCTTTTCCTCATTTTATAGATGGAATCACTGAGGGCAGGATTGGTTAACCCAGCATTCATGGAGATTCCAGTCCAGATTGTTCGATTCCAGAGGCGATTCTTTTAGTATTTCTTTAGTTAACGCACTGGAGCCAGACTATTTGTTAAAACCAAGCAGTTGCTTTCCGTAGTTTTTATAAAGGTAACTTTTTAATGGTCATTTATGAAGTGCTTTTAAATTCCTGGATGTTGCTTAGACATATGTATTATGTTCTTTTCTTGTATAGTTTTCTCATCATGATGTATAGAATTTCTGTTGGTTCAAGAGTATTTGCCCCATTAGCATTTTTATGAACTCAGATTGTCCCTGAGTGATCTTAGAGGAGTGACTGGTTAAGTTTTGGGTACTTTATAAAAATCTGTGCTCATTTTAAATCACTAGTTTTATGGGGAAAGCAGGTGTCGTCATCTGACAAGTGGGTTTATAGCTTAAGCCAGCACGATTGGGGAGCAGCTCACTGAACTGCAGAGACAGACATAGGCAGTGCCAGGGCCAGCCTGTGTAAGCAGACCATTCAGAGAGAACGTGCGGGGAGAGGATGGCAACTGTGCACTCAAGGAAACACCCAGGGAAGGGAAGGGAAAAGAAATAGTGGCAGGGTGGCAGCAGAGTCAAGGAGAAACTGTGCTAGGGAGAGAGGACCACTGATGTTTGAAGGTGAGAGAGATCTAAAGAAGTGGGAGAGGCGAAGACACGGGTGGAGGGAAGTGTCCGTGAACCCTGAATCCTGTGATGCCCTGTCCGGGATTCAGGTTCCTCCAGAGGGAGGATGCGGCTGGGCATGGTGGCTCATGCCTGTAATCCCAGCACTTTGGGAGGCTGAGGCAGGAGAATCGCTTGACCTGGAGAGGCGGAGGTTGCAGTGAGCCGAGATTGCACCACTGCATTCCAGCCTGTGCAAGGGAGTAAGACTCTTATCTCAAAACAAAACAAAACAAAACAAAAAAACCAGAAGAGAGGGTGCAAAGGATGGGGAGGGTTAGGGCGGGCCTGACCTTGGGGATGAAGGAGTAGGTAGGGAGGTAACTGGTGACAGCTGGGCCGAGGTGAGGGCGAGGTGGTCGGGGACCTCATGTGACATGATGCTGATAACCTCAGCAGGGTAGAGAGAGCGTCTGATGAAAGTGTGGCGAGGTGGTCGGGGACCTCGTGACATGATGCTGATAACCTCAGCAGGGTAGAGAGAGCATCTGATGAAAGGTTTCAGCCCCCGGGGAGATCCAGAGTCCTGGAGCCACAATGAGGTGGGAACCCCCATACCAAGACATACATGCAGGATTGGGCCAGAGCTGGCGGGCCTCGGCCACCTTTGCTGTCAGTGGTGCCTGGGAACAGTGCCTGGAAGCAGCATGGAAGATGCGTCCCTTTTGCAGCAAACCGAACTTATGTGAGGGTTGCCCTGAGCATGGAAGATAAATCTGAAGTGATTATTCTTGTACCAAATAGTCTTTAAATGACAAGAGTCCCCTAAGCCACCTTAATAGAATGAATTTGTATTCCAGAGGTGGGTTTTCACACAGCTCTTCAGGAATTCATCTCCCTGCACGCTTAAGTGAAGGCTCTCAACTCCTTCTCCTTTCTTGAAAGACAAGGAAGGCTGGAAGGGAAATTAGAGGCAGGCTTTCCTTTTCTGACCAGCTTAGTTGAGTGGCTTTCAAACTTTGTTAGGGCGATCTGTTAGTTGTGTGTTTGCAAGTTTGATAGATATTTAGTTTTTGAAATTTTATATATATTCTGAAATTTTTTACGATTATAATAAAAGATCTAATGTATTAATATATGAGTATTTGTAAGTATACAATGAATTTTCACAAACTGAATGGCTGTATAACAACACCAATATCAAGAAACAGAACATGACCTGCCCTTCAGAAACTCTCATGTCCCCTTCCAGTTACTACCATCCCCAGCTGAAATATTAAGTCAGCACATGGCAATCCTGCCATACACACGTTTTAACACAATGGAGACCACGAAGTGTTAGCTCATGGTGCTGGGATAACTTGTTCCTGTGCAGATCTGAAATAAGGTGGCCTCAGCCATCTTCTTGAAAATTTGGCACCGACTAGGAAGATTGTGGGGCTTGGCACCGACTTGAAGTCAGGTGTACTCGCTGCTCTCGTGATATTGCGTGAATTGCCCCGGCCCCTGCTGGGGTTGGCTCAGATGTATTAGAATGTGTGACCCACCTGTGGGTCTCTGAGAGTCTGGCGTGTCATAGCCAGTCCTGGGTTCTGTCATAGGTCCTCAGCACTCCTGGGGTCTGCAGTCATGTGAAGCCACACTACTGTTTGGTGACTTTAGGAATTTTTTAACCTTGAGGCAAACATTTCCTGGTACTCTCCTGTTAAGCTTGAGCCAGATTGGACCTTTGTTCACTCAGGTGGTTGGCGCTTGAATACTGGTTTAGGTGTTTGTGGAGTCCTACAGGCTGGCATTGGAACCCCATCTCTTCATTAGCTGTATGCCGAGAGACAGCAGAATAGGCTTTCGGTCTCCACAGTTGGGCATGGGAAGAAAACATCAGAACTTCCATTTACTTTAAAAAAATACTGATTTTTTATTTAAAAATAAAAATTAAATTTTACTGATACCTAATATGCGGGTCTATCCTGACATTATCACTTCGTCTATATGACAGAACATTTTGTGTCACATATGAAGAGTAAAGTGTCCTGAGGACAGACAAATCCCATGACATGGAGGGGTTGATGGTGAGTTTGTCACTTTTTTATCTTTCAGCGACTTGGGGTAGATGAGGGTAATGACTGCTTTGTTAAGTGAATTTTCAAATTACAGAAATAATTCCAGGTTTTATATAAACAAATTTTCCCTTGGTAGACAGATGTCTCAAAACGATTTTTTCGAGAGTGTGGAGACTTGTAGATTAGAGATAGTTTTAACAGTGCAAACACAAGCAGGTAAGAAATGACAGAGCTGTTACTCCTAGTATGAGCTCCTTGTCAACCTCATGACCCCGTAAAAACGGTATAAACCCTGGCCGGGCGCGGTGGCTCACACCTGTAATCCCAGCACTTTGGGAGGCTGAGGTGGGTGGATCACCTGAGGTTGCGAGTTTGAGACCAGCCCTGACCAACATGGAGAAACTCTGTCTCTACTAAAAATACAAAAAATTAGCCAGGCATGGTGGCACATGGTGGCACATGCCTGTAATCCCAGCTACTCGGGAGGCTGAGGTGGGAGAATCACTTGAACCCAGGAGGCAGAGATTGCAGTGAGCCGAGATCACGCCATTGCACTCCAGCCTGGGCAATGAGAGCGAAACTCTATCTCAAAAAAAAAAAAAAAGCCACAAAACAAAAAAACAGTATAAACCCCATAAACCACTGCACTGTCATGGAACAATGACTCTTTTGCTTGGCTGTAGGGAGAGGTCAACCTCATTACCCCATAAAAACAGTGACAGTATCTATTGGTTTGCAAGGGCCACGTAACAAGATACCACAGACTGGGTGGCTTAAATGACAGAAGTTTACTCTCACGGTTTTGGAGCCCAGAAGTCCAAAATCAAGGTGTTGGCGGGGCCATGCTACCTCTGATGGCTCCAGGAAGGATTCTTTCCTGCCTCTTGTGTTTGTCTGGCTAGCCTGGGCATTTGCTGGCAGGCCTGGGCACTCCTTGGCCTGTAGCCGCTTCACCCCAGCCACATGGCTGTCTTCGTCCTGTGTGTTCACACCATCTTCCCTCCATGTGTGTCTGTCTCTGTGTCCGAATTCCCCCATTTTCGTGAGGACACTGGCCATGTTGGATTATGGCCCACCACAGTGACCTCACTTTACCTTGATTGCCCCTAGTAAGGCCCTATTTCCAAGTAAGGTCACATTCTGAGATAGTGGGGGTTAGGACTTCAAAATATCTTTTTTGGGGTACACAGTTCCTCCCATGAGATTAATCAGATGTGATAAGAAGCTGGTCCCTGAGGCCGGGTGCAGTGGCTCACACCTGTAATCCCAGTACTTTGGGAGGCCGAGGCAGGTGGATTGCTTGAGTCCAGGAGTTTGAGACCAGCCTGGGCAACGTGGCGAAACCCTGTCTCTACAAAAAATATGAAAATTAGCTTGGCTTCGTGGTGCATGCCTATAGTCCCAGCTACCTGGGAGGCTGAGGTGGGAGGATTGCTTGAGCCCAGGAGGCAGAGTTTGCAGTGAGCCGAGATGGTGCCACTGTACTGCAGCCTGGGCAACAGAGTGAGACCCTGTCTTAAAAATAAAAAAAAAAAGTTGGCCCCTGAATATTGAGATTCAGTTGCATCAAAATGACTGAAAGTGTAGTTTACATCTGCAGTTATTATCAAGGAATCTCAGAAAAGTTTGGTTTTGCCTTCAGATGTTAGCAAGTGTAATTATGAGGTTAGTTATTGCACGTTTTCTTCATTCTTTTAAAACTTGGTATTGTATATGTTTTGTAAGATTCTTCATATCAAAACAGGAGTCTGTGTGTATAATTTCAAAACAAAGTATATAGTGGAGGTGTGCTTGGGAATTTTTTTATTAATGGAGTGTGGACCCAGGCAGTGTGAGACTACCCCCTGGGCTGGCTGCTTGGTGAGGTCAGGTGCATACAAACCCCAGCTCCACATGTTACTAACATTCAGCGTTTTCGGGTTTTTCAGCCTCTGTAGCTTCAGTTTCCTCATTTGTAAAGGGGTGGTTGGGGAAATTAAGTGATGTACTGACGGAAGGTGCTTCTCCCAGAATTTGGCATATAGTAGGCATTCAGTACGTAGAAGCCATCATGGATGCTAGTAAGTTAACTTGTTTTCCATCATATTTTATTTTATTAACGTTTCATCTTGGGTCAGCTGGTCAACATGGGACTGCAGATTACCCAAGAAACTCAGCTGCTCAACTGGATGAACAGTGGTTCTATACTAATGGACTTAAAATGGAAGGGAGCTAGATTTTACTTATTATCCTGCTTGGTGAGAACGTGGAAGTAGATAAAATCCCAGTGAATGCTCTACTGTGGTTTTTCTGCACCCGTTGGCAGTGGGGGCTGCTGGGAGACCAGGGGTTGTTTACCTGCTCCCATCAGCCTCTCTCCCTGGGCCATGCAGTAAAGCTGCAGTGAGTCTCAGAGGGTTCTCAGTTGGGCAGTCTCACCTGCAGAGGCGCTGGGCAATGCCTGCGAGCATTTGTTGTTGTCATCATAGTTTGGGGAAAGGCATTACAGACGGGGTGGAGTCAGGGATTCCAAAAAACTGGGGGTCTCTAGATGCCTCCATTGCTCAGGCTGGAGTCCAGTGGCGTGATCTCGGCTCACTGCAACTTCTGCCTCCAGAGTTCAAGTGATCCTCCCACCTCAGCTTCCTGAGTAGCTGAGACTACAGGCGCACACCACCTCACCAGGCTAATTTTTGTATTTTTGGTAGAGACGGGGTTCTTCATGTTGCTCAGGCTGGTCTTGAACTCCTGGGCTCAAGTGATCTGCCCGCCTCAGCCTCCCAAAGTGCTGGGATTACAGGCGTGAGCCACCGTGCCCGGCCAGGCCTTTTAAAAAAAAATTCTGTTTTAGAATATCTTTAGTTTGTGAGACTTTTCCTCCTCTCCCCATAGCCAAGCGAAAGAAAGAGTAATTGTACCACGACAGTAGAGTGGTTTAAATTTTCACTGAAGATGCCCTGTGTTTCTTATCTAAATAGGGTCAGTAATCAAGAGTCTTTTTCTCTTAAAGGCCACTGGTTCCTCTGCAGAAATCAACTAAGGCTTACATACAAGCAGAAAACAATGTTTTAAAGAGAAAACTATAACCAGTGTTTAAAAGCAGAGAATAACAAGCCTCACTCAGTAAATGTAACAACGAACATAATATATTATGCGACTTCATATTATTATGATATGTTAAACCAGTTAAGGAGAAAAGGGAGCAGATGAGAGGCAGTAAGAACGTGGGACTGGGGAGAGGCAGGCAAAGGGTGGAGAGAGCTTAGGGGTGGGGAAAGAGGGAGGGGAGGAGAGAAGGGGAAGGGGAACTTGTAAGCTTAGTTGAGAGAACCCTCTTGAACATACTGCTTTTCAAGCTTCCTGTTGGCCTCAATTGTGGACATTCTATTTTGTTGATAGGGGTTCTCATCCTGTTACTCAGGCTGGAGTGCAGTGGCACAATCATGGCACATTGCAGCCTTGAACTCCTGGGCTCAAGCCATCCTCCTGTCTCAGCCTCCAAACTACTAGGATTACAGGCGTGAGCCACTATGCCGAGCCGTGAAAAGAAACCAATCTTTTATAATCTACTTTTAAAGTGGTCTGTGTTAAAGGATGATTTTAATATGCCTATAAAAAAAGTGTTAGCGTTCTGGTTTTAAAGTACAGGTGGTCAGAAGTCACAGTCTTGGGCAGGATGGCACAAGTAACTTCATGCTTTAAATACATAAAATTGATAGATGAAATATGAGTGCAGAGAGCCAAAAAGTCTCAACTCAAAAGCGAATAATCACCTGTGTGGACCAGAAGTGGTATAGAGCTGCAAAGTACTTAGTGGGGTCAAGGTCACCTTCTGCCAGGTGAGGGGCTTGGTTTGCAAAGTGCAGCTGAGAGCTGAACACAGCAGATGCTAACAACCCAGAGGTAGTACTTAGACAACAGCTGTCAGCATGCCTGGATTGGAGCATCAATAAGGAGGTGATTAACACCCTCCTTTCAAGAAGCTCTGAGAACTGCCTGGAAGGACGGGATGAGATGTCTTAGACAGTGGCTGGCGCTAAGGCACCTGGGGTGAGTGTTACAATATGCGTTCCTGGGCCTCACCCCCTCAGAGAGTCTAGGGAAAGGCCTGGAGATCCATTTTTTAAAAAGATCCCTGGGTGATTCTGAGAGCAGGACTCCTCTGTGAGAGACACTATACTGGTAGAAAATAAGTGAACTTTAGAAAAATAACAGCTTCCCCAGTTAAACTGGGATAAGGGTATTTAACTGGACCTAGGAGGTTTTTGTATTTGACCCCTTAAGTTATTTTTTGGTAAAACATGCATAACATAAAATTTACAATTTTAGCCCTTTCAAAGTGTTCAATTCAGTGACAGTAAGTACATCCACAGTAGTGTGCAGCCACAGGACTGGCTGGACAGTGGGCAGTGGACAGGGGTCCATTGCACCCTCCTCGCCCCTGGCAGCCACTAACTGCATTCTGCCTCTGTGGGTTTGCCTTTTCTGGATATTTCATGTAAATGGAGTCATACAGTATGTGTTTGTGTGTCTGGCTGCTTTCAGTTAGCATAATGTTTTCAAGGTTCATCTGTGTTGAACTATGCAGTGGTCTTCCATTCCTTTCTGTGGTTGAATAGTATTGCATTTTATGGATATATCACCTTTTTTTTTTTCCATTCATTAGTTGGTGGACATTTGGGTTGATATCATCTGTTGGCTTTTGTGAATAATGCTGCGTTCAAGCAGAAGTTTTGGTTTGAACGCCTGCTTCCAGTGTTTTTCTGGGGACATAGCTAGGAGTGGAATTAGTGGGTTGTGTGATAATTCTATGTTTAACTTGTTGAGAGACCAGATCCCCGCCAAACTCTTTTCCACAGTGGAAGCACCAGCTGTGTATAAGGGTTCCAATTTCTCTATATTTTCACCAACACTAATTTTTCACTTTAAAAAATATAGCCATCCTATGGGTATGAATTGGTATTTTATTGTGCTTTTGATTTGCATTTCCTTGATGACAAATGATATTAAGCATCCTTCGATGTACTTCTTGGCAATTATGTGGCTTTTGAGTGAAAAGTTATTCAGATGCTGGGGTAGTGTGGGGGCTGGGGTGGCTGGAGAGATGTTGGTCAAAGGATGTAAAATTTCACTTAGGAGCAGTAAGTTCAAGAGATCCATTGTACAATGTAGTGATGATAGTTACCAGTTAATAACAGTATATGGTAATCTTAAAAAATGGGGCCATAGACAAAAAAAAAAATGCTAAGAGAGGCCCGCTCAGTGTAATCCCAGCTTGTAATCCCAGCACTTTGGGAGGGCGAGGTGGGAGGACCACTTGAGCCCAGGAGTTCAAGGCCACCCTGGGCAACATAACGAGACCCTGTCTCTATTAAAAAAAAAAAAATGCTAAGAGAGTAGATTTAAGTGTGCTTACCACAAAAACTAAGCTATGTGAGGTAATGCATTTTTTTTTTGTTTTGTTTTTTTCTGAGATGGAGTCTCACTCTGTCGCCCAGGCTGGAGTGCAGTGGTGCGATCTCAGCTCACTGCAAGCTCTGCCTTCCGGGTTCACGCCATTCGCCTGCCTCAGCCTCCCGAGTAGCTGGGACTACAGGTGCCCGCCACTACACCCGGCTAAATTTTTGTATTTTTAGTAGAGACGGGGTTTCACCATGTTAGCCAGGATGGTCTCGATCTCCTGACCTTGTGATCCACCCGCCTTGGCCTCCCAAAGTGCTGGGATTACAGGCGTGAGCCACTGCGCCTGGCGAGGTAATGCATTTGTTAATTAGCTTGATTTAGCCATGCCACAATGTATATATATTTCAAAACATTATGTTGTACACAATAAACATATACAGCTTATTTTGTCAATTATAAAAAGAATAAGGGAAATAAATAATTTGTGAAAAGTTATTCATTTGGGTGGTGTTTTCTTCCACAGGCATGAGTTTCGTGTGCTGTGACTGAGACTGCCGGCGCTGGGGGCAGACAGCCCAGGGCTCTAGTCCAGATTCTCTGGCAGGGATTTGGGCAAACCAGACCTCTCTGTGCTGCCTGCCCTGCTGTAAAATGGAGATGAGAACGGCGCCTTCACCATCGGCCTTTGTGGGACTCGAGGGGGACTCGTGACGCATCTGGGCACAAAGCAAACACTCTGGAGTCATTGTTGCCACTGTTGTCACAAACAAGAAGATCTGTGATTATTTCCCTCCTTCTCTCATGTGGGTCTAGCAGGCTGCCTTAGCTTCCTCGCGGTGGAGGGCAGACTGTCTGCAGGGGCACACATTGGTTGCTCATCGGTTGTTTGAGGCCCAGGCAGCCCTTAGTAGGTTGCTGGAGACAGCAGAGAGGTCTTTGGTCCTTTGTGTTTGTTGCTTGAATTTTCTTGCTTCTGGTCCAACCTCCAGCTTACTTTTTTTTTTTTTTGAGACGGAGTCTTGCTCTGTCGCCAGGCTGGAGTGCAGTGGCACGATCTCGGCTCACTGCAACCTCCACCTCCTGGGTTCAAGCGATTCTCCTGCCTCAGCCTCCCGAGTAGCTGGGACTGCAGGTGCCCGCCACCATGCCTGGCTAATTTTTTATATTTTCAGTAGAGATGGGGTTTCACCATGTTAGCCAGGATGGTCTCGATCTCCTGACCTTGTGATCCGCCTGCCTCAGCCTCCCAAAGTGCTGGGATTACAGGCGTGAGTCACCGTGCCCAGCCTCCAACTTACTTTTGCGGGTAAGGGAGCGCATGTATCACCAGTGCAGTGCTTGAGAAGGCTGGTGCCTGGGACAGTTCCCAACTTCTGTTACCTCTCCTCTTTGGGTCTCCCTGTGGGCCTCAGCCACCGGATCCAGGTCTTTCTGTGGCAGCATCCCCATGCGGTCATGGTGCAGAGCTGATTGCAGGAGCTAGCCTCATGCCTCTCTGGCTTCAGCATCCGAGATATTATTTTCACCGTATTGCTCTTTTACATGTTGTTTAAACCTCCTGAAGTTGATAGGCCTGTGTTGAAATGCAGTGAGCAGAGTTTTCAAATTGGGAAGTGGTTTTTAATACTTAGAATTCTCGTTTGCCTTCAATTATGAAAATTTTTGTACAGAGCTGCTCAAGAATGATAATCTGGAAATTTCTTTCAGAGAGACAGTGTGGTGCTGTGCCCAGAGCAAGGGGTTTTGGCAGCGGATAGATCCGGGTTCAAATACTGGGTCCACCACCTGCTAGTTGTGGGACTTGAACAAGTTACTTAATCTTTTGGAGCCTCGGGTTTTTCACCAATGACGTGAGAAGGATAATGGATCATAGCACCTGGGAGAGGGTGGCTATTGGCCACATGAGCTTATAAAAATTGAGCATTGTGACTTGTAATGTGGTAAAATATACATAACATAAAATTTAACATTTGAGTCACTTTTAAGCATACAATTCAGTGGCATTCATTGCAACGTTTTTTAAGATTTCCTTATTTCCTCTTTGGAAGAGTTTAGGCTCCCTCATCTTACTGGTCCCTGAAGGTTATCCCTGATGTCTCCTGCTTCCCTTCCCTACCTTCTTGCAGCAGACTGGGCAGTTCAGTTCAGCAGAGCGCTAATTGCTCTCCTGAGTGGAAGTGCTCTAACCCAGGGGGAAGTGTAGGTACCTGTGAGGCTTGGCTATTAATAGAGGGTTTCTCAGGGTCAGTAAGTGATTATGCGGAAGGCATTAACTAGCCTGTGTTTTTGAAGGGAGGAGGATTCTTCTGTCGCACAGGTATTTTACTGTTTATTAACACTTCTCTGAGTAAGGGATAGGGAGAAAAGGATTCAGATTATTTTTTGCTGTTTTGTAGAAACTCTAGTACAGGAAGAAGAGGAATTTGAAACTGTTTAACCATCGTGTCTTAAGGTTATTTTAGTACTTCTTAATCTGTTCTTTGGAAAGGTGCTGTAATAAATGCACTGCTTTGAGATATTCTGACGTTTCTATTTCCTCCTTCCCTCCTTCTTAAGTGTCATAATTTCCAAGATCTGCCTTATTCTTTACTATCTTTATGGAACGGTGAACTTTGGCAGGGGAGGGGGACTTTAATATATTCACAGGGTCAATGATTTGTGTGTAATCTTTTTAAAGAATGGTACAGAAATCAGCATCTTTGTATTGAACTCCTAATCAGGTGACTTATTAAATGTTCTTACAAAACACAAATAACATTATTGTTCCAGACCCCAAATTATTATTATTTCTATAATTTGAGTGTTGGAACATCTTTTTAAATTATTTTTTAATTTTTTTTAATAAAATTTTTTAAAAGCAATGGCAACAAAAGCCAAAATTGACAAATGGGATCTAATTAAACTAAAGAGCTTCTGCACAGCAAAAGAAACTACCGTCAGAGTGAACAGGCAACCTACAGAATGGGAGAAAATTTTTGCAGTCTACTCATCTGACAAAGGGCTAATATCCAGAATCTACAAAGAACTCAAACAAATTTACAAGAAAAAAACAAACAACCCCATCAACAAGTGGGTGAAAGATATGAACAGACACTTCTCAAAAGAAGACACTTATGCAGCCAAAAGACACATGAAAAAATGCTCATCATCACTGGCCATCAGAGAAATGCAAATCAAAACCACAATGAGATACCATCTCACACCAGTTAGAATGGCAATCATTAAAAAGTCAGGACACAACAGGTGCTGGAGAGGATGTGGAGAAATAGGAACACTTTTACACTGTTGTTGTGACTGTAAACTAGTTCAACCATTGTGGAAGTCACTGTAGCGATTCCTCAGGGATCTAGAACTAGAAATACCATTTGACCCAGCCATCCCATTACTGGGTATATACCCAAAGGATTATAAATCATGCTACTATAAAGACACATGCACACGTATGTTTATTGCGGCACTGTTCACAATAGCAAAGACTTGGAACCAACCCAAATGTCCAACAACGATAGACTGGATTAAGAAAATGTGGCACATATACACCATGGAATACTATGCAGCCATAAAAAATGATGAGTTCATGTCCTTTGTAGGGACATGGATGAAGCTGGAAACCATCATTCTCAGCAAACTATCACAAGGACAAAAAACCAAACACCACATGTTCTCACTCATAGGTGGGAATTGAACAATGAGAACACATGGACACAGGAAGGGGAACATCACACACCGGGGCCTGTTGTGGGGTGGGGGGAGCGGGGAGGGATAGCATTGGGAGATATACCTAATATAAATGACGAGTTAATGGGTGCAGCACATGAACCTGGCACATGTATACATATGTAACAAACCTGCACGTTGTGCACATGTACCCTAAAACTTAAAGTATAATAAAAAAATTATTTTTAAATTAAAATTAAAAAAAAAATTTTTTTTGTAGAAATGGGGTCTTGCTATGTTGCCCAGGCTGGTCTCAAACCACAGGCTTCAAGCAGTCCTCCTGCTTGGGCCTGCCAGAGTGATGAGATTATAGGCGTGAGCCACCACGCCCGGCTGGAATATCTTTAATTAATGCAGGCTTAAAAAACCCAACCTCCTTAGTGAAATAATGGATGGAGGCAGTGATCATCAGTGACTGCCTAGTCATTATGTGAAGAGTTGATGAGGAGCCTTGTAATGGATGAAAAGGGCTGTCACCTCTTAAGCCCTTGATAAATTTTAGTATCACTCAGAATAGAACAGCCAGAAACCAGGCGCTTCCTGCCGTGATACAGTGGAAATACAGAGGACCACCTAGGGAGTATTCTTGCCAAAAACATTGATTCTGAATCTAATGAAGCCTCTTGATCTAACTACCAGTTTATAAGAAATTTGGGGGAAGAACACGTTAAATGACACCATGAGAATATAGTCAGCCAAATATAGAATGTGGACTGTCTACAGGGACAAATGACCTTTCTTTAACAAGTAAATAGGGAGAGATTTAAAAAGGGGGAAAAAAAGAGGAGAAAACTGTTATAAAGTAAAAGAGACCTAAGAGACACATGAACCAAAAGCATTGTATGTACCTTGTTTGGATCCTGGTGTGAAAAAAGCAACTGTACTGTTATACAAAAATATTTTGAGGCCACCAAGGAAAACCAAGTTTGAAATGCATAATTAGATGATATTAGGAATTATTTTTAATTTTGTTGGGTGTGATAATTATATTGTGGTTATAATTTTTTAAAGTCCTTATCAGAGATGCTGAAGTATTTACAGAAATTAATGATGTCTGGGATTTGCTCTATTTGTGTTTTAAAAAAAAGTTTATGGGATTGAAGCTGAGTAATGGGTTCCAGTCTTTCAACTTTTGTGTATGTCTGAAAATTTTATAATAAAAAGTTTAATTAATTAATTTTTTTTTGAGACAGAGTCTCACTCGGCTCACTGCAACCTCCGCCTCCCAGGTTTAAGCTATTCTCCTGCCTCAGCCTCCCAAGTAGCTGGGATTACAGGCATGTGCCACCACGCCTGGCTAATTTTTGTGTTTTTAGTAGACACAGGGTTTCGCCGTATTGGCTAGACTGGTCTTGTACTCTTGTCCTCAGGTAATGCACCCGCCTCAGCCTCCCAAAGTGCTGGGATTATAGGCGTGAGCCACTGTGCCTGGCCTATAATAAAAAGTTTAAAATGCCAAAATTGGGTTGTTTGGCAGCATTTAAACAATTTATTGTAATAGCAAAAACAGGCATAGAACTCTACATGGAAGGGACTGCAGTTTTAGAAAATTGCTTTCTGGGTTATCTATAGATTTGATCTGGTTAGTTTCTTGTCAAATTAGTATTTACATTAACTTCATGTCATTCCCTATCATGGAGTCCCACAGAACCCTCAAATAAACCGAGATAAGTTATAATTATAGACACTTAGAGAGTTAATGCTATGGATAATTGCTAATCAGTAGGCTCTTCATACCAATAAGCAGGCAGAACAGGGGGTTTGGGAAAGATTACCAGTGAATGGAAATAAATTAAGTAAGGATGAGAATGAATAATATGTGTGCTTGACTGAATTGGATTCCAGAAGTATATGTAACCAGAACTCAATTTGATGTGTGTCTTAGTCCATTTGGGCTGCTATAACAAAATACCTTGGACTGGTCACTTATAGACAATAGAAAATTATCACTCACAGTTCTGGAGTGAGAAGTCCAAGATGGAGATCATAGCAGGCTCGGTTTCTGGTGAGGGCTTGTTCCTCATAGACAGCGCCTTCTGTGTGTCCTCATATAGGAGCTCTCTCTGGCCTTTTTTAGAGGGACACTAATCCTGTTCATGAGGGTGGGGCCCTCATGACCTAGTCACCTTCCAAAGGCCCTACCTCTTAATACCATCACCTTCGGGTTAGGTTTCAACATATGAATTTTAGGGGGACACAAATATTCAGACTATAGCAGTATGATTCCTAAAGGTGGCCCCTCCTGACTGCGGCAGAGCACCCGTAAGTGAACATATCCCTGGAGGGCTTGGAAGTCAAACTCCCCCCACCTTCCTTGATGGTGTCATTTGACCCCAATGATCATCTTTCTGCAGATTATCACCAATCTCTATCATTGGCCCAGATTTCTCTCTCAAACCCTAGAGTCACATTTCCATCCACCCCGAGTTGGCTCCTCACCGTCCATGTGAGTCTCAAACGACAGGCTCCTCTTGGTGACCCCGCACCATTCGTATGAGCCATTTCCACATCTGTGAATCTCCTTCCTGCTTCAGGCCACTGTGCTCGCCACCCCCTCTGCCTGGAGCAGCCTTCCTGTCTCTCTCTCTCGGCTCCTCATCCTTTCCTGAGGTTCCTTGCTGTCCATCACAGCATCTTGCTTATTTCCTTACCAGTCTTCTCTGTTCATCATTATTGTCTGTCTCCTCTTCTCAGCCATAAAGTTGTGAGCAGGGGACCTTTCTATCTTGGCTAACACTTCACACCCTGCACTTAGCTCACATGACCGGTAGGTGTTTGTTGGACTCATGAATGAATGAATGGACATGTTAGTCTTTGGGCTGGACATGGGAGGCACACTGATAAGACACAGCCTCTTCCTTCAAGTAGCTCACAGTCTGGGGTAGGGTGGTGGGGCAGGTGAGTAATGAGTAAATCAAGAATGCAACCTAAGTGTCAAGAGAGAAGCACATGCAGGGTTCTGGGGAAGATGGAAAAGGGGGTTCTGGGGTGTGATAGTTACGGGAAGGAGGAGGGGCATGGTGGTCAGAGAGCACGTCGAATAGCTGGGGCATGGGCTGGTTGTAGGGGAGGGTAATACTAATGGCACAGGCGGGAACGGGGAGCTGAAGGCTCTTGTATCTCAGCTGAGGGCTTTGGCTTTCTGAAGGCTTTTAAGAGCCACTGGAGGATTTTGAGAATGGGGTGACATAGTTTGATTGTTTCTTTCCTTTTAGATGAACTTCATATATACAGAATTGATTGATCAGCTCTGCACGTTAGAAAACTCCAGATGGATTGGAGGGGATAGAGGAGGCTGCAGAGCTTAGGGTGGGTTATGGCTCGTAGAGAGAGACCACAGCCCTGACTGATTACCATGGCTAGGAACACACACCTCTAATCAGGGCCGGGGCAGTTACAGGGTTTCTTAGCATACCTTCCCTTGGCCCACAGTACCAGCGTTTGGGGGGTGTGTTTGTGTGGGGGTGGGGGGGGTCACACATCTCTAGTTCTCTAGTGACACTGTTTGGACAAGGTGGGAACTTGTCATGCTGGAAGTGCTGCCACCCTTTGCATATGGGGCTTAAGACACCACCCAGGAAACAGAAGCCATTTGAAAGGATGTTTGTGGATGCTGTGGCCTCTCCTGGTTCCCAAACCAAACCCAGAGTGAGCGAAGAAGCAGGCAATGTCCATGGACTCAGAACATCTCTGCTTCCTGCACTTCAGTGTCCTGGAAAGCCTGTCTCTCACAGAAGTTGTGCGAGGCAGGGCTCTGAGCGGGTCATTGTAAGGCCTAAATTAATTGGTGGCGGTGGGAAGGAAGATGTGTGAGGGTCCACAGTGCTGGCAGGACCTGGCTTACAGGCACGAGCTATTAAGTGGCATATGGGGGAGGGTCAGGGTTTTTTTAGGAGCCTGTTGGATACTCAAGTGGAATTGCCTAGTGGACAGTTGTAACTGTGACTTAGAATCACCTTTGACTTTTTGTTCTGTCTTCCCCATCCATTCCACTGGCTGCTGAATTTGATCATCTTTTTTACCTTAGTGCAGTCTCTCTGACATGGAACTTCTTTTCTGTTCCCTTCACCGTCCTGATCACACTCCTTGCCACATCAACCATGCATATCTGTGTGTATGATGGAGCACTATTTTATGCTTCTTTCCGCTCTGCCAGATTGATTTTTCTGCAGGATAACTTTGGTCAAAAAGCTGCTCTGCTCAAAATATCCTATTCCTTCCTATTGTCTGCCAACATTCTCACACTCTTGGGCCAACTTTTCTAGTATTATTCTCTCCAACCACTGCAGACACATCCCACTTTGTCCAGACATGGTGCCTTTGTCCTTGCTGCTGCTTCCAGCCGGCGTGACCCCTCTCTCTCTTAAGCCTCCTGATCCCTTGATATAAAATAAAAGCTTAATTTAGAGCCGAATTAAGGCATTGAGCCTGCCACATAAGCTGTTTACTGTTTGTTGGAATTAATACCCCCCAGGGAGGCAGTGGTGTCTCCTGGCAGCTTGGACGTCGGTGTGGATGTTCATTGCTGCTGGCTCCTGCTGTTGGGAGGGAAGGTGCCTGCTCATGCTTAGTCATGGGATGTCGTGTGCCACTCCTGCTCTGAGTGTAATAGGAGACAGAAGATTATCTGGAAGCTGATGGTGTCCTTTTCCCTGTTGTTACAGGACTGTGTTTTAAATTAAATTATTTTAGAAACAGATGGCTGACAGAAATTTTTTTGCCTTTGTTGTTAGTGAATTGAGTAGTTTAGTTTGTTTTGGTTACTCAAAGTGCTGACAGTCTTGCTTTCTAGGTTGGTGAAAGAGGATTGCATTTTATTTAGGAAAGAATAAAGCAAAACAAAGCAAAACAGAATATCTTTTGGTAAATACTCTGGACCTTGCCTTCAATTAAACCAACATTTTAATATCCTTAGCTCCTCAAATGAGAAAGTCATGCACAGAAATAGAGTCCCCAAACCCCACCATGAAGCCTAAACTGATGTTTTAGCTAGAATAGTTGAATTTTTAAAAGCCTTGCAGTATTAGTATTTCAGTATTGTTTGGTTGCAGTCATTGTTTTCTGAAGTTCCACATGAGTTCTCTTTATGTTTGGGTGAGGTCACTAATTGTTATCTGTGTTCCATCTTTAGAGGAGGAAATGGAAGGGGTGACTAATTACGAGGGATTTCTCCGGGGGGCACTGAGCAAGTTGGAGATAGAACAGCGCCCAGTTCTGTTTTCTGTGGAATGTTCTGGAGACTTTGGCCCCATTATCCCTCTCTGGATGGGATTGTATTTTGCCAGTGCTGAAGAGCTGTGCTTTTTATGAGCTGGTGTTTTTCCAGCTAAACCTGAAGCTGCCCACTGCCGGTATCATGGCCATTCATCATTTGGGGGCTCCCCTTTCTCTTTCTGGGGAACCCCTTATGGTTTGAGGGTTAGAGAAAACCTCATAGCATATACATAGGGTCCTATTTTCCTTCCACTTGGGAAGTCAGATCTCAACACCCATTTTTCAGGTAGTGATTTTCAGGGACCACGTATCTTGTTAGAGGATGAAGGACCTGAGACCCAGGAATGTGAAATGGCTCCTCCAGGTGGGCGGGGATGCGGCCCGAGGCCTGCAAGCTCTCATCTCCGGCACTCTCTATTATTACACTATGGTGTCTCTTATTTGAGTCAGGAATCAAAGATGTGACATATGGCAATTCAAACATCACGAATTCTCCGCTCTCTTGGTGTACTCCGCCCCATCCCTCAACCACTCCCTATTTTCAGTGGATGTTCTGGACTTGTTTTTTTTTTTTTTTTTAGTAGCAAATACTGTATTCAGAGAGGCCCTCTAACCAGAATTCCCACCAATTCTCACAAGTAAATCTGTAAAGTTTCCTGGTCTCTGGACTCACTCTCTCAGTCTGTCCTCCATGGTAGTAATTTTCAGGTACCCTGTGTCTTGTGGAGGATCAAAGCCCACTTTCTCTGCAGGTTCCGTTCCTTCCTTCCTTCTCAACCCCATGGGCTCCTCGCTGGTCCTTTCGTCTTCGGTGTTGTCATTACTTTTGCATTACTCCATCAGCAGTGCTCTCGCCCTTTTGATGTCATTTGAGTCACCCTTCGGTTCCAATTATAGGTTCCAAAACAACAGTAAGAACGACGACAACAACAAAAACCCATACACTACTTCCTGATGAGAACCTGAGTTATTTTTATTTTGCAAGAGTTGTATTTTATTTATTTTACTATTATTATTTTTGAGACAGAATCTTACTCTGTCACCCAGGCTAGAGTACAGTGGCACAATCTCAGCTCACTGCAACCTCCCCTTCCTGGGTTCAAGTGATTCTCCTGCCTCAGCCTCCCGAGTAGCTGGGATTACAGGCACGTGCCGCCATGCCTGGCTAATTTTTGTATTTTCATTGAAGATGGTTTTTCGCCATGTTGGCGAGGTTGGTCTTGAACTCCTGACCTCAGGTGATCCGCCTGCCCCGGCCTCTGAAAGTGCTGGGATTACAGGCATGAGCCACTGCGCCTGGTCTATTTTGCAAGAATTTTAGACATAAAGTTGGCAAATTAATGCACAGAGTTCCCATATACCCTTCATTCAGCTTCCCCTAATAATAACATCTTACATGATCATAGTGGGGTTACCACAATTATGAAGTTTGCATTTGTTCAATGCCATGAATGAAACTACAGACTTTACAGGGTTTCACCAGTTCTTCCACTTCTGTTCTGGAGTCCAGTCCAGACTTGCACATCACATTTAGTTGTCACAGCTCCTCAGTCTGCTCAGTTCCTCAGTCTTTTCTTGCCTTTTATGACCTTGGCATTTTTGAAAGTCAGGTCTTTTGTACAATATCCCTGGTACTGGGTTTATCTGATGCTTCCTCATGAGTAGAGGAAACATTTTGCATTAGCTGCTTTGCCTTTTTAGAAACTTGCGTCTTTAACCAGCTCCTCGGTGATTCTTCTCTCTCATCTCAGAACCAAGTGACTTCCCCAGACCCTCCAGGTACCATCTCCCTTCCCTGCCTCATGCAGTGAAACTGCTCATGAAGTTGACTGCGTGGAGCTCCTGTTTCCTCATCTGCCCTTCACTAGTCAGCCTGGCTTCTGCCACCACGAGAAACGTGCATGCCAGCAGGGCCTCTCCAGCCTGCACGTGCCTGGTCTCTCGGAGTCATTCAGCACAGCGACCCTTCCCCAGTACCGACCGATTTTCTGTTTTCTTGTCACCTCCCGTTCCTGGTTTTCCCATGTCTCCCTGGCTTCTCCTCTTCACGTTTGCAGGTTTATCTCAGGCTCGGATTATCCATTTGCATACTTGATATCACCATGTGAATTTCCCTAAAGTAAATCCCAGGCTAGTGCTTCTGAAACTTGAATGAGTGCATGAATTACCTGGGGGTCATGGTAATAGCAGTTTCTGACTCCGTAGGGTCTTGAGTGGGCCTGAGATGCTGCATTTCCAAAACACTCCCGGGTGATGCTAAAGATCCGCTGACCACACTCTTGAGGAGCAAAGTGCTAAATACACCACTCTAAGCCGCTGTCATCTCAAGTTCAACTCTAGTGACCTCATAACTGATTTCTCTACATCTCCTCTTGCCCCCATTAGCCTGTTCTGCACACAGCAGCAAGAGGTATTTTTGAAAACCATTTTTCAGATCCTGTCATTCCCATGCTTTTAAATAGCTTCTTCAGTGGCTTCTCACTGCATTTGCTCAGTGTCCTCAGCATTGCGGCTTCTAAGCCTTGCATGGTCTGGTCTCCTACATTTCTCTGACTCTACTTTAGAGTTTAAAAATATTTTTTTTTTCTGTTCCTTTCCAGACATGCTGTCTTTCTCTGTGTTCTCCAGTGGGCTGCATTCCTAGTACTGCCCCTCTGCCTCCAACCCCAAAACCATGTGCAGATCCCACATCCTTTGCCCACATAGTGCCACAGAATGTGCCACTCTGCAAACGCTTGTTTTCCAGTTAAGACAAAATAAAGAACTTACACGAGCATGTGAATTGACTGTTCATAGAGCATGCTGTCTAGTTTTTATAATTTTAATTTTTAATTTTAGCATGGCCTATTCTCTGAAAAGGGAGTATGTTGATTTCCATACTGGTTCAAGAACCTTGTCTCGTTGCAGACCCATAACAAAAAGCTTGTGGACCACACTGTGAGTAACAGTGGGTTGGGACACTCTTGTCTGCCTTCATGTCTCCTGCACACATACACACCCCACGCCTCCCCACCACACACCTCCAGGAACACATGGTCTTAAATGTGAAAAACAAAACCTTAAAACTATTAGAAGACAACATGGAAGAGTAACATAATGCCTTTTAGTGACGGGAACAATTTCTTAAATCTTCCATCTTAAAATATATACACGTGAATCTCAAACAATAACAAAAGACTGATAAATTTGACCATATTAAAATCAAGACCTTCTTTTTTTTTTTTTTTTTTTTTGAGATGGGACTTTTGCTCTGTCACCCAGGCTGGAGTACAGTGGTACAATCTTGGCTTACTGCAACCTCTGCCTCCTGGGTTCAAGAGAGTCTCCTGCCTCAGCCTCCCGAGTAGATGGGATTACAGGCACCTGCCACCACGCCTGGCTAGTTTTTGTATTTTTAATAGAGATGGGTTTTCACCATGTTGGCCAGGCTGGTCTTGAAGTCCTGACCTTAGGTGATCCACCCACCTCGGCCTCCCAAAGTGCTGGGATTACAGGCGTGAGCCACCACGCCTGGCCAAAATTGAGACCTTCTGTTCATCAAAGATGCCATTAAAAATATCAAACAACAAGTCATGAACTGGAGAAGTTATAACTGACATAAGATATGAGGATCCAAAACACAGGTGTACGCCTGCCCCATTTTATTGCACTTTGCAGATACTGCGCTTTTTACAGATGGAAGGCTCATGGTAGCCCTCCTTAGGTAAGTCTGTCGACACTTTGTGTCCCTGTCACAATTTGGTAATTCTCACATTTCTGATGTTTTCATTATTATTATATCTGTTATGGTGATCTGTGATCAGTCACCTTTGATGTCACTATTGTAATTTGTCCTGGGGTGCCGCAAACTCTGCCCATATACAAAGGCAAACTTAATAAATGTGCGTGTCCTAACTGCTCAACTCACCAGTCGTTCTCCTGTCTCTCTCCCTCTCCTGAGGGCTCCCCATCTGCTGAGACACAAGAATTTTGAAATTAGTCCAGTTTATAACTCTGCAGTGGCCTCTAAGTGCTCAAGTGAGAGGAAGAGTTGCATGTCTCTCACTTGCAGTCAAAAGCTAGAAATGATTACGTGAGGAAGACACATCAAAAGCCAAGGGAGCCTGAAAGCTGACCTCTTGCAACAAATAGATTGCCAAGTTGTGAATGCAAAGGAAAAGTTCTTGAAGGAAATTAAAAGTAGTACCACAACGAACACATGAATAATAAGAAAGCAAAACAGCCTTGTTGCTGATACGGAGAAAGCTTGAATGGTCTGGATAGATTAAATCAGCTGCAACATTCCCATAAGCCAAAGCCTAATCCAGAGCAAGGCTCTAACTCTGTTTGATCCTCTAAAGGCTGAAAAAGGTAAGGAGGCTGCAGAAGAAAAGTTTGAAGCTAACAGAGGTTGGTTCTTGAGATTTAAGGAAAGAAGCTTCTCCGTACATAGAAGTACAAGGTGTAACAGCAAATTATCCGGAGGATTTAGGTAAGATCACTGGTGGAGGCAGTTAGACTAAACAACAGATTTTCAGTGTGGATGAAGCAGCCTTCTAGGAGAAGATGTCATCTAGGACTTTCACAGCTAGAGAAGTCAATGCTTGGCTTCAGAGCTTCAAAGGATGGCTGACTCTCTTGTTAGGGGCCAATGAAGCTAGTGACTTGAAGTTGAAGCCAGTGCTCATGGACCATTCTGAAAAGTCTGGGGCCCTTAAGAATTATGGTAAGTTGGCTCTGCTTGCACTCTGTAAGTGAAACAACACAGCCTAGATGACAGCACATCTGTGTAAAGCATGATTTACTGACTAACTTAAGGCCACTCTTGAGACCTACCGCTCAGAACAAAAGATTCCTTTCAAACTATTACTGCTCATTGACAATGGACCTAGTCACCCAATAACTCTTATCAAGATGGATAAGGAGATTAAAGTTGCTTTCATGCCTGTTAACACACATCCATTCTGCAACCCATGGATCAAGAGTAATTTTGACTTTCAAGTCTTACTATATAAGAAATACATTTCATGGCTGGGTGCGGTGACTCACTTTGGGAGGCCGAGGCAGGAGGATTGCTTGAGGCCAGGAGTTTGAGACTAACCTGGGCAACATAGTGAGACCTTATCTCTACAAAAGAAAGATAAAATAAATAGCTGGGCATAGTGGCACATGCCTATGGTCCCAGCTGTTTGGGAGGTTGAGCTGTGGGGGATTCCTTGAGCCCAGGAGTTCAAGGGTGCTGTGAGCTATAATTGTACCATTGTATTCCAGCTTGGGAAATAGAGCAAGGCACTGTCTTAAAAAACAAAACAAAACAAAAAGATAAAAGAAATATATTTCATAAGGCTATATAGCTGCCATAGGTAGCGATTTCTCTCATGGGTCTGAGAAAAGTACGTCAAGAACATTCTGGAAAAGGTTCACCATTCTAGATGCCATAAAGAATATTCGTGATTTATGAGAGACAGCCAAAATATCAACATTAACAGAAGTTTGGAAGAAGTTGATGCGAAACCTCATGAATGACTTTGAGGCATTCAAGACTTCAGTGGAGGAAGTCACTGCAGATGGAATGAAGAACCTGAATTAGAAGCAGAGCCAGAAGACATGACGAATTGCAGCACTCATGGTCAAACTTAAACAGACGAGGAGTCACTTCTTATGGATGAGCAAAGAAAGTGGTTTCTTGAGATGGAACCTAGTGCTGGTGAAGATGCTGTGAATATTGTTGAAATGACAACAAAGGATGTAGAATATTCCATAAGCCTAGTCGATAAAACAGTTGGCAGAGTTTGAGAGGATTCACTCCAATTTTGAAGGAAGTTCTACTGTGGGCCAAATGCTATCAAACAGCATCACAGGCTACAGAGAAGTCTTTCATGAAATGAAGCATCAATTGATGAGGCAAACTTCATTGTCTAAGATAAAGCCACCCTAACCTTCATCAGCCACCCACCCTCATCAGCCAGCAGCCGTCAACACTGAGATAAAACACCACCAACAAAAAGATTGCAACTCGCTGAAGGCTTAGACAATTGTTAGCATTTTTAACAATGAAGTATTTTTAGTTAAGATGTGTACATTTTTTTTAATGTATTTTTTATTATACTTTAAGTTCTAGGGTACATGTGCACAACATGCAGGTTTGTTACATATGTATATATGTGCCATGTTGGTGTGCTGCGCCCATTAACTTGTCATTTACATTAGAGGGATAGCATTAGGAGATGTACATTGTTTTTTTAAGACATAATGCTATTGTGTACTTAATAGACTACAGTATGGTATAAACATAACTTTTATATGCACTGGGAAACAAAAAAATTTGTGTGACTTGCTTTATTGTGATATTTGCTTTATTAAGTTTGTCCAGGACCAAACCTGCAACAAAGGTGTATTTATACATCAAGAATGCCTTTAGGCTGGGCATGGTGGCTCATGCCTACAATCCCAGCACTATGGGAGGCTGAGGCGGGTGGATCACCTGAGGTCAGGAGTTTGAGACCAGCCTAGCCAACATGGTGAAACACTGTCTCTATTAAAAATACAAAAATTAGCTGGGCGTGGTGGCACGTGCCTATAGTCTCAGCTACTCGGGAGGCTGAGGCAGGAGAATTGCTTGAACCTGGGAGGCAGAGGTTGCAGTGAGCTGAGATTGCACCACTGCACTCCAGCCTGGGCAACAGAGTGAGACTCCATCTGAAAAAAAGAATGCCTTTAAATCAGAAAGAAAAAGACAGACAACCCAAAAGAAAAATGGGCAGTAGGATTGAAAAGACAATAGTAGGCCGGGCGTGGTGGCTCACGCCTATAATCCCAGCACTTTGGGAGGCCGAGGCAGGCGGATCACGAGGTCAGGAGATTGAGACCATCCTGGCTTACACTGTGAAACCCCGTCTCCACTAAAAATACAAAAAAATTAGCTGGGCGTGGTGGTGGGCACCTGTAGTCCCAGCTACTCGGGAGGCTGAGGCAGGAGAATGGCGTGAACCCAGGAAGCAGAGCTTGCAGTGAGCCAAGATCGCACCACTGCACTCCAGCCTGGGCGACAGAGCAAGACTCTGTCTCAAAAAAAAAAAAAAAAGACAAGACAATAGCAGAGGCAACATGAGTGGCCCGCAGATATTGAAAAGGTGATCCATCTATTTTAATCAGGGAAATGCAAATTAAAACCACAAGGTTTCACACCAGCCAGATTGGTAAACATGTGGACATCTAGGGCTATCAAGTCATAGTGAGGATTTGCGGCCATCAAGCTCTCATATATTGCTCATGGAAACACAGATTGGTTCAACGACTTTGAGAAATTTAGTGAAGTTACAGGTGAACATATCCTCTGATCTGCGATTGCATTCTTTTTTTATTTTTTTAAGACGAAGTCTTGCTGTATTGCCAGGCTGGAGTGCAGTGGCACAGTTTCGGCTCACTGCAACTTCTGCCTCCCAGGTTCAAGTGATTCTCCTGCCTCAGCCTCCAGAGTAGCTGGAACTACTGGCATGCGCCACCACACGCAGCTAATTTTTGTATTTTTAGTAGAGACAGGGTTTCACTATGTTGGCCAGGATGGTCTCGATCTCTTGACCTTGTGATCTGCCCACCTGGCCTCCCAAAGTGCTGGGATTATAGGCGTGAGCCACTGTGCCCAGCCAGTTGCATTCTTATGCATACACATATATACATATCTACACATGTACATAACACACACTTTAAATATGTGCACCAGAAAACAGGTAGGAAAGTTCGTATCAGAAATGTTTGTAATAACAAACATTGGCAGTAGTCCAAATCTCCATCCACTGTAGATGGATAAATTTTGGTCTATTCATATGGTGGAATTCATGTTGAAGTGAAAATGAAAAAATTATGTACAAAAAAGGACATAGATTAGAAAACCAATACGGAGAGAAATAAGTTGCAGTAGATTATGTACAATGTGATTCCATTTTGATAAAGTTTAAGAACATACAAAGCTGAAGAATATATTCTTTAGGGCTACATACATGTAGTCAGACTATAAAGAATAGCATGGATTTGAGAAATGCCTAATTTAAAATAGTGGCTACCTCAGTGGGAAGGAAGGGAGTTGGGAAGGGTTACACTGGGAGCATCACTGGTAAGGGTAGTACTTTTCTTAAACTGGGTGATCGGTACTCAAGTGTTCCTTGTATTATTTTCATAACATATATATATATTTATAAATAGTATTATCTACTTAATATTTGATAATAAAACCAGTACCAGTTGGAGAGGTAACTTGGTAGAAGATATTGGTGTACATTTTGCGGTGGAGAAACAAGGGGAAGACACTTTTTTCTAAACCAGGAAGATAAATGGAACATGGAGAAGGGGAAAGGATGGTTTTTGTAACGGCACTAAAAATCTGCCTAGGACAACCTGAGAACTAGAAGAAGAATAAAAAGTTGGCCAGGTGCAGTGGCTCATGCCTGTAATCCCAGCACTTTGGGAGACCGAGACAGACGGATCACTTGAGGTCGGGAGTTTGAGGCCAGTCTGGCCAACATGGTGAAACCCCATGTCTACTAAAAATACAAAAAGTGGTTTGGTGTGGTGGTGGGCGCCTGGAATCCCAGCTGCTCTGGAGGCTGAGGCACAAGTCGCGTGAACCTAAGAGGCAGAGATTTCAGTGAGCCGAGATTGCACCTCTGCACTCCAGCCTGGCTGACACAACAAAACCTGTCTCAAAAAAAAAGAAAAAGAAAAAGAAAAAGGAAAAAGTTGCTGGAGATTGCGAAGTTGGGGAGTGGTTTAATGATCAACTGCTTTTGTTGGTAAACTCTTAGAAATCCTGGGGGCCAGGAGCCCTTGTTTTGTAGTAGATTTCATAGCCACAGAGACTTGAGATGACTCATCATGTTTTAGAAACTCCACAATTTAGCAAAGAAGCAAAAGTAATGTTTCTGTCTGGATGAAAGCTCTTTAGAGACACTTGATACTGCTGTCCCTTGGGCCTCCCAGGCCAGCCCTCAGAGGAGGAGGTATTTTCCCAGCGTCTGTGCCTGCAGTTGTGAGCTGTCCCCAGGTGGACTGCGGGGCTTCAGAGTCCAAAACGTGTGCCTGCCCATAAGTTTTAGTAACAGAATTTAGCAAGTGCTTTCAACTCAATTGTACTCTAACATAGTTTAGTCTTTTTTTTTTTTTTTTTTTTTTTTTTTTTTTGAGACAGGATCTGGCTCTGTTGCCCAGGCTGGAGTACAGTGGCACAGTCTTAGCTCACTGCAACCTCCATCTCCTGGGCTCAAGCGATCCTCCCACCTCAGCCTCTCAAGTAGCTGGGACTACAGGTGGTCGCCACCATGCTCACTTAATTTTTGATATTTTGTAGAGACGGGGTTTCGCCACGTTGCCCAGACTGGTGAACTCCAGGGCTCAAGCCATTCGCTCGCCTCCCACCTCCTGCCTCGGCCTACCAGAGTGCTTGGATTATAGCGGTGAGCCACTAGCACCTGGCCATTTAGCATGTTTTTTAACTAAATTTCCTTGCCAACAACTTTAATTTGGTGGCTTGATTTGACAAAACACGCTGTGGTATGAAGAGCCTTCAGCCCCTGGGAAGGCAGGAACCTGTTTCTTTCTGTGTTGGCCCTGCGGGTGCTATTTTGAGCTTTATTTGCACCATGAGGGATTGGCCTAGGTCTTAAAGGATCTATTAAGCTTGAAAAGTACATGATTCCATGATTGACTACTATGGTTCAGGAAGATTTCCAGATAGAAAAACATGACTTAAAAAAAAAATGTAAGGGTACCACTTCGTCTTGCTTGTGAGAGTCTGAGACAGACAAGTGTTGGAGACAGCTGGGCATCTTCCTCACTACTGTATCATCATGGAATTGGTGTGGCCTGGTGGTGGGAGCGCAGGGCAGTTTCCCGCTGTGACGTCCAGCATGGCCAGAACCTGGCCAGGGCGAGGTGCAGGTGCCTGGTAGGCTCCCAGTGAACAAGGGTTTGTTGCCTAAATGGAGAAAAGGCCTCAGCGCTGGCTACTTGGAGTGGGTGGCAGGCCCGGGTCAGCTGGGAGCGGTGCAGGAGTCCGGGGTCCAGCGTCATTCAGGCGGGTGTCACAGTCTGAGAAGCACCCGTCTCACCCCAACCCCTTTCCTTTCTCTGTCATCCAAGAGAGAACCTTTCTCTCTTTTGTGAACCTATGCTTTAGAGCTTGAAAATTGATCTCCAGGGCTTGAAATTAGAGTCCCTGACGCCTTTCATGCTGTGAGAGAGACTCGCCTGGGTTTTCTAGTCTCCTCCTGAGTTAACTGCAGAAGTGATTCCCTTTGGCACTGCAGCCGCTTTGTCCCTCCTGGGGCTTGGCAGAGAGAAAGAAAGAAAAAAAAGCATCCCAGCTTGGCTTGCCTTCCATTTCTTAATACGAAGTTTTTGTTCCCGTCATTTTCTAGTCAGGAGAATTTTTGTGTCCCTTTGGCCACTTTGCCCTCCCCGTACCCTGTCCTTAGAAGGCCTAGTTGATTTAATTCTAGCTTGCATCAGATACCCAGGTTCATAAATTAGCCACTAAACGTTGCTCTTCTTCGTTATTTTATCTCTTGCAGTCTTCCGGTTCACTTCCAAATATAGTTGTGATTTTTTTTAAAAGGGAATTTGCTCCTTGTTCAGATCTAATATTTCAAAGCAAATTATATCATAGCAGTTTTAAAACAGACACATAAAATGATTTATCCTTAGGAAAACATTCAGATTTATATGATACACAATTTGACAGAACCGTGATTTTATTACTTCTTACGTTTATAACTTGTAAGCCTTCATTGTAGAAAAGAACATCCAAAAAAAAAAAAGAAAAAAAAAAAAGAAAAGAAAAGAACAGCTGCTATTTTACTGTGGTCATAATAAGTATCGTGTTTTCTTTTACCTGTGCTTGGGATGTGACAGGTAAGTAACACAAGCACTTAGGCAAGGAATCCTACAGCCAGGTTGTATGGAAGACAACAAATGCTGTATAATATTGCTATGAAACAACTTAAAATATCGATTAAAAAATCTTTGTATTATTTATTCATTTTAAAAATTCATATGATAGAGAAAGGAATATAACCCTTTAAGCATTTTATATGTGGTTTAAGTTGGTGACTTTCAGATGCTAGGAGAACCAGCTAGAAATATTTTATCTATGGCACTAAATATTATTTACAAATTTTGGTATGTAGAAACAAAAATCTATTCACAGAATTTTGTCTTAACTCTTGATCTCCATCTCTGCTAGTGAGTCAACAATACCTCTGGCTGTCCCTCTTATAGCTTCTATGCATAACTTTTAATTCCATATAATATGTCTTTTGTAAACTCACCAATTACATAGGAGTATTACTGTTCATTTATACCATCAGTATTTGTTTAGATTTAACCATATATTTATCTTTTTTTTTTTCTTTTTGAGATGGAGTCTCGCTCTGTTGCCCAGGCTGGAGTGCAATGGCATGATCTCAGCTCACTGCATTCTCCACCTCCCGGGTTCATGTGATTCTCCTGCCTCAGCCTCTGGAGTGGCTGGAACTACAGGTGCATGCCACCACACCCAGCAAATTTTTTATTTTTAGTAGAGACAGGGTTTCACCGTGTTGGCCAGGCTGGTCTCGAACTCCTGACCTCAGGTGATCCACCTGCCTTGGCCTCCCAAAGTGCTGGGATTACAGGCGTGAGCCACCACGTCTGGCCTTATGTTTATCATTTATTCTCTATTCTCAGATCTTCCTGCTGAGGCAATAACCCTTCTATTTGAAGGTTATCCTTATTTAGAAGCTCATTTACTGTGGGTCTTCTTTTGGTATAACCACTGTTAAGCTGAAAATGTCTTGATAGAGATTTTTCCTGGTTATTCACCTCTGAGATGTCAGAGAGTTTCTCTCAGCACTTGAGGATTTTGTTTCATTGTCACCTGGCTTCTAATTCTGTCAGGCAGTTATTTTTGCTTAAGTTTAGCTGCTGTTTCCTTTTTCTCTGACTGCTTTTACAATTTCTCTTTGTCTTTGGTCTATGGTATCATGATGTGTATAGGTTTGGATTTTTCTTTTTTTTTAATTCACCCTCCTTGGGATTTTTTGGTCTTTCTGAATTGCATGGTTCGTTTCTCATATTAATTTTGGCAAATTCTTAGCACTATGTCTTTGAATATTGTATCTACCCTATTCCATTTTATTTTTTTCCTAAAACTTTGATCAAATGTATGTTGGACTGTCTTATTCTGTCTTCTATGTCTCTTAACTTCTTTTTTTAATATTTCACATTTATTTGTTTCCCTGTTCCCTTTTCTGAGTAATTTCTTCAGACCTATCCCCCAGTTCACTAAATCTTGTTTCAGCTCTGTCTAAATTGCTGTTTTACATGTATATTGAGTTTAAAATTTATTAATTATAAAATTTTTATTTCTAAATGTTTTAAAAATATTTCTGGCCAACTTTTATAGTCTCTTGCTCATTACTCATGTTTTCAGTCTTTATTATTTTAAATGAATTAAATATAACCTTAAAAAATGGGTCTCATAATTCCAATATCTAAAGTTTTTATAGATCTGATTCAATTTAGTTGGCCTTTTAAAAAAATACTTTCTTCATGGGATTTCTCTTGACTTTTGTTCATGGTACTTTGCTTTCCTATGTATTTTATAATTTTTACTTCTGTGCTCTGCAACTCTAGCTGCAGGAATACTTTGAAACCAGACTGTGAATATGTTCTTCTGGGTGTGATTTATGTTAGTTTCTGACAGGCGCTGGAGACCTGGTCCACTTTAAATTATGACTCTAAGCATACAGTTGTTAGGACTATACAAGTAGTATAGGTTCCACACTCGGGATGACGTTTCGTACAATAGCTATACAAAGTCAGAGCTGAGACATATACTTTTCCCTTGTTTGGCTTAAACAGCAGAAATTGATTGTCTCACCGTTCTGGAGGCTAGAAGTCCAAGTTCAAGGGTGGCTTCCTTCTGAAGCCTGTGAGGGAGAATCTGCTTCAGGGCTGTCCCCTAGCTGCTGGTGATTTGCTGTCAATCTTTGCTGTTCCTTGACTTGTAGACGCATCATCATGCTCTCTGCCTTCATCTTCACATGGTGTTCTCCTTCTGTGTATGTCTGTGTCCAAATTTCTGCCTTTTTTTATTTTTATTTTTTTTTGAGACGGAGTCTCACTTTGTCTCCCAGGCTGGAGTGCAGTGGTGCAATCACGGCTCTCTGAACCCTCCGCCTCCTGGGTTCAAGCGATTCTCCTGCCTCAGCCTCCTGAGTAGCTGGGATGACAGGTGTGTGCCACCATACCCGGCTAATTTTTGTATTTTTAGTGGAGATGGGGTTTTGCCACGTTGGCCAGGCTGGACTCGAACTCCTGACCTCATGATCCGCCCTCCTCGGCCTTCCAAAGTGCTGGGATTACAGGCCTGAGCCACCGCGCCTGGCCCAAATTTCCATCTTTTATACGGTCACCAGTATATTAGATGAGGGACCCACCCTACTTCAGTATGACCGCATCTCAGCTAATTACATCTACACTGACCCTGTTTCCGAATATGGTCATATTGTGAGGTCCTGGGATTTCAACATAGGAATATTGGGAGCACGTAATACATAAGCCATAGCAGTGTCTTAACCTGGGTTTTCCGCCAGAAAGCAAAGTCTGAGACGTGGGTTTATGTGCATATTTTATTCTAGGACATGATCCTGAGGAACAGAAGTGAGAGACTGAGGAGAGTTCAACAGGGAAAAGGGAAAGTCAGTCCAAGGTGTTCTCAAGTCAGACACTATTAGAAACCGATGCCTGTTTTTGCTGTCTTCTGAAAAGTGGATATTTTTCTTCCTAATTCACTCTTTCCCTGAGATTATGACACTTCCTGGGCCTCCACTTTTGGAAAATGGTCTTCAGTTGGGTTCTTTCCTTATCTAGGCTAACACTTGTCCCTCATCTCCGTTGTGGCCTAAACAACAGGCCAGCTGGTCCAGTACCTGCCTTGGGTCCCCAGTCACTGCCCTTGAGCAGCTCCTGTTTTATTCCTGGATTCAGCACGTTCCCCTTACTGTCTTGCAGGCCATCCAGTCACTTAGAAGATGGTTTTTAAACATTTATTAAGCAATCTTAAATGTTCTGAAGTAGACAGTTTCAAGATCTCTAGTCTGCCATGTTGCTAGAAACAGAATAGAAATGACTTACTTAAAAAAATAGAGTAAATTCAAGACTGTCCTTATACCATTTCACACAGGTATGTTCTGATAGACTGTTGGGATTAGAGAAACGAGGTGTTGTTATGCATTTTGATAGTTGCTCAGTTCTCAGCCTGGGCTGCAGAGGACAGTCCCTGGGCCCTGGGCTTTCATCAGTGGCTGGGCCATCACTTGTCCTTTTTCTCTAGGCTATGTCATACCTGAATTATCGGTGGAGAGGCCTCAACTTACTAAATGATAATGACAGCAGTCACAAGTTAAGGAATACAAAAGTTTGAATGGATGATGGGATAATGTTGGCTTTTGTTGTCAGAACTTGGTATCCTTGGATTTCATTCATTCATTCATTCATTCATTCATCAATCCAAGTGATGTCAATTGAGCTCCTAGCACTTATTGTGCTAGGCACTGGGGAGACAGGTAAACAATGCCTGTCCTTAGGAAGCCCAGAATCTAGTGATCAGATAGTTCATTTCAGTGGGCATGATAAGGACAGGGAGAAGCCTAGGGAGAGGCACGAATCCAACTTCAGAGCATCGAGGATGAAGCTCATATCTGTGCTGCATCTGAAGGGCCAGAAGGAGCCATCCATATAGAGAGCTGGGGAAGGGCATTCCAGGCGGGGGTGAGAGGATCCATCCATGTAGAGAGCTGGGAAGGGCATTCCAGGCGGGGGTGAGAATGTGCACAGCCATGGAGGCCAGAGAGTGTTTGGGTTTGGGGCACTGCAGGTGCCAGAGCATAGCTGGGAAGGCCTAGAGTGGGGCAGGAAATGGTGAAAGCTGAGGCTGCAGGAAGCCTGGGGCCTTCATGTGGAAGCCTCAGCAACTGTGTTGGGGAGCACAGCTGAGGAACTGGGGAACTCTCTTACTTGGGTAGTGAGAGATGCAATGAGTTGTCATGTTCATTTCTCGTAGCAGCCAGCTCCTATCACTGAAGAGAAAACACACAGGCCTTGGAGTCAAGGAAGCCTTATATTCAGATTCCAGTTCCACTCTGTCTGGGTGGTCTTATAATTGATTTATTTACCTTCTGGAAACCTTTCTTTACTCATGTCATAAATGAGAGAAAATGGACTGAACAGCCCCCTCTGTTTCCAGTATCCTACGGTTCTGTGGGAAAAACTGTAAATATGCCCTCCCCACCCCCACACATACACAGCTTAGGTAAAAACAGTGCCCAAGTTTAGGAATATTTGCAGATATTGTCCTGATGGTAATTCTGTCAATTTCTCGTTTCCAGCTAGCTGTTTAACTTCTGACGGTGATTCATGGATATTTATGGTGAATGGATGTTTGTTAAATGAGTAAATTCTCATGCCTGAAACAAAACGTTAGCTGTGTGACTTCCAATGCATTGCACTAACCCAGCTCTGATTTTCTTGATAGATGAGCTCTCTCCGGAACAGCACAACCTTTCTTTATACTCCATGGAGCTCGTGCTGAAGAAAAGCACTGGGCACAGCGCTGCACAAGTGGCCTTAACAGAAACTGCTCCCGGCTCCCAGCACAGCAGTCCTCTCCATGTCACAGCCCCGCCGTCTGCCACTACTTTTGATACAGCCTTTTTTAACCAAGGAAAACAGACCAAAAGTACAGCAGATCCCAGCATCTTTGTGGCAACTTACGTGTCAGTGACGAGTAAAGAGGTGGCCGTCAATGACGATGAGATGGATAACTTTCTGCCAGATACTCACTGGACCACTCCACGGATGGTTTCTCCAATACAGTATATCACAGTCAGCCCACCAGGGCTGCCCAGGGAAGCATTAGAACCTATGCTCACTCCATCATTACCCATGGTTTCTTTACAAGATGAAGAAGTGACATCGGGCTGGCAGAACACAACGCGACAACCAGCGGCATATGCTGAGTCCGCCAGTCATTTCCACACCTTTCGGTCAGCTTTTCGCACCTCTGAGGGCATCGTTCCAACTCCTGGCAGGAATTTGGTGCTTTATCCTACTGATGCTTACAGTCATTTATCAAGCAGGACTCTGCCAGAGATTGTGGCTTCCCTAACAGAGGGTGTGGAAACCACCCTTTTTTTAAGCTCCCGGTCTTTAATGCCACAGCCGTTAGGCGACGGCATTACTATACCGTTGCCCTCCTTGGGGGAGGTCTCACAGCCTCCAGAGGAGGTTTGGGCCACAAGTGCAGACAGATACACTGATGTGACCACTGTGTTGAGTCAAAGCCTAGAAGAAACCATCTCTCCAAGAACATACCCCACTGTGACTGCATCGCACGCAGCCCTTGCATTCAGCAGGACACATTCTCCATTGCTTTCAACTCCTCTTGCATTTGCGTCCTCTGCTTCACCAACTGATGTTTCATCTAACCCCTTTCTCCCTAGCGACTCCAGCAAAACATCCGAATTGCATAGCAATTCAGCCCTCCCCGGTCCTGTGGACAACACTCATATCCTGAGCCCGGTGTCCTCATTCAGACCATACACTTGGTGTGCGGCCTGCACTGTGCCTTCACCTCAGCAAGTTCTGGCCACGAGCCTCATGGAGAAAGACGTGGGATCAGGGGATGGTGCCGAGACTCTGTGCATGACCGTGCTGGAAGAAAGCAGCATCTCTCTAATGAGTAGCGTCGTAGCAGACTTCTCTGAATTTGAGGAAGATCCTCAAGTATTTAATACGCTTTTCCCCTCCAGACCTATCGTCCCACTTTCTTCTAGATCCATGGAAATCTCAGAGACGAGTGTTGGCATTTCTGCCGAGGTGGATATGAGTAGTGTTACAACCACACAGGTTCCCCCTGCCCACGGCCGCCTCTCTGTGCCGGCGTCACTTGATCCTACTGCTGGCTCCTTGTCTGTTGCTGAAACCCAAGTGACGCCATCCAGCGTGACCACTGCATTTTTCTCGGTCATCACCAGCATTCTCCTTGACTCATCTTTCTCTGTCATAGCAAACAAAAACACACCGTCGCTTGCCGTCAGAGACCCGAGTGTTTTTACGCCTTATAGTCTGGTTCCTTCAGTGGAGTCTTCACTTTTCTCTGACCAAGAACGTTCCAGTTTTTCTGAGCATAAACCCAGAGGTGCTTTGGATTTTGCATCCAGCTTTTTCTCAACACCCCCGCTGGAACTCAGCGGCTCCATCTCTTCGCCTTCGGAAGCACCTGCGTCTCTGTCTCTGATGCCGAGTGACTTGTCCCCCTTCACATCTCAGTCTTTTTCTCCCTTGGTTGAGACATTTACATTGTTTGACTCTAGTGATCTGCAGTCATCTCAGCTGTCTCTTCCCAGTTCCACAAATCTTGAGTTTTCGCAGCTCCAGCCAAGTTCCGAGCTGCCTTTAAACACCATCATGTTGCTACCTAGCCGTTCTGAGGTGTCACCATGGTCAAGCTTCCCTTCTGATTCTCTCGAGTTTGTTGAAGCGTCTACGGTTTCACTGACGGATTCAGAAGCTCATTTTACCTCAGCTTTCATTGAAACTACCTCCTATCTTGAGTCTTCACTCATTTCCCATGAATCCGCAGTCACTGCACTGGTGCCCCCCGGCTCTGAGTCTTTTGACATTTTGACTGCCGGGATTCAAGCAACATCACCATTGACCACTGTCCACACAACGCCCATTTTAACTGAGTCTTCTTTGTTCTCAACTCTGACACCTCCTGACGACCAAATCAGTGCTCTAGACGGTCACGTGTCTGTCCTGGCCTCTTTCTCCAAAGCCATTCCCACTGGTACGGTGTTGATCACTGACGCGTACCTGCCATCAGGATCCTCGTTTGTTTCTGAAGCAACCCCCTTCCCTCTGCCCACAGAGCTGACCGTCGTGGGCCCATCACTCACACCCACAGAGGTGCCACTGAACACCTCCACGGAAGTGAGCACAACCAGCACCGGTGCTGCCACTGGTGGTCCCCTCGACTCCACCCTGATGGGTGACGCCGCAAGTCAGAGCCCCCCAGAGAGTAGTGCTGCTCCTCCCCTGCCATCCCTGCGTCCCGTGACTGCCTTCACTCTCGAAGCAACAGTCGACACACCAACACTGGCTACTGCCAAGCCGCCATATGTTTGTGATATCACAGTCCCCGATGCCTATCTGATCACAACTGGTAAGGCCCAGCTTCCTGCCGCCTCTCTGGGGTGGGCAATCTTTCTAAGGAGCTTGTGTGCAGTGCCTGTGAGGCTTGGAGCTTCATGGTTAAGAGCAGAGGCGCTGGGCTCAGTTAACTCCCAGGTAGTACTCCTATGCTTACCTCCTGCGAGTTCTCAGAACAGTTATTTATCCTCTCTAATCGTCTGCTGCCTCACCCATTAAACAAGGAGCTTAGTTAAACCTGCTTCATTGGGCTGTTGTTCAGATGTAAATGCGTTAGTCCCTGCAGAACGCTCAGCCCTTGCCTAGTACATCAGAGGCATGCACGGGATGGTGCATATTAGTCAGCAGTCACAAGGAGAATAAATATTAGAACAAATACAAGAACTAAACAAGCCTTGGAAGTTCTTGGTAGGATCTTTGTCCTACCATAACCCAGTAGGTGCATGGATGACATAGTTTAAACAAAATACTTTTTTGTTTAATTCAAGCAATGAGTTGGGCAACTATGTAAGGGCAACCCTTGCAATTTCTTACTCATTTACTCTTCTTACTTTTCCTTGAAAGGAGACTGCACTTTGCTCTCATAGGTCCCTGTAAATGCCCCTTGGGTCCCGAGGAAAGAAAAGTAAAGTGACTCTTTGCTCTTATAGGTCCCTGTAAATGCTCCTTGGGTCCCGAGGAAAGAAAAGTAGTGACTAAATATCCTCTGAATCCAGTATCAGCCTTTGGTCTCCTCCCCACCACAGCCTGGGTTGCTAGCAGACTGGCCAGCAGCTTCCCTTGCAGTTGCATGGCTGCTGTGGCCGCGTGAAGCTGGTGCCCACCTGAGGGCATGCCTGAGAGGTAGACTGATTTCAAGGGTCATGTCCCGCGACGGTGGCCCGCTTGGTCAGGGTCTCTGCATTTTTCCTCATGAGACATGACAGGTGTATGTGGTCTCGAGGGTCATGACTGTGTGCTGAACCACAGCCTGGTGGTGACGAGCAGCCTGTCCTCTGTTTTGATTTTGGTAGGAGTGGAGGACAGAAATGAAAAAGGGGACGAAAACGGCAGAAGAGGTAGGGAGGAGTGGGGTGGAGTGGACCGGGAAGGAGAGGAGCAGAGAATGTGGAAGGGGGAGAAGGAGGAGAACACGCTGGGTCTTTTCCTCTCTGTGGTCGGGGTTGCTGGGAGCCTCTGCTCACTGTGACAGTGCCACATCCCTCTGGGCAGGTGGGAGCGAGGATCCTGATGGCAGGTACACGTCAGTGATCAACACCCTACCTGTGGGAATGGCTTTGGAGAATGAGTCCAGGACAGCCTTTGCTCCCCACACGCCAAAGGGAAACATTCGTTATTCCACATGGCAAGTAATGATTGAGCACCTAGTATGTGTGAGGTGCTTCTGGAAGCTTCTAGGGATATACAGATGGGTAAGACACGGCCCTCCTGTGAGCAGCTCAGGGCCTAGAGGGTGGTACTGAACCACAGAGTAATAGCAGTGACTGTGGAATTCTCCAAGAGTGGCTATTTGGGATAATCAGAGACGGGTTTGGAAGAATGTGAAATTGGGGATTCCCACAAAAGGAAAAGTAGAATTGTCATCTGGGGATGAAGAGAAAGTGTCTTCTGGGGGAGGAGACTGTCATCATGGCTGGAGATTAGGCATTGTGATGGGAGGAGCAGGTAATTATGCTTGGAAATGTGGTTGGAGCAACATCATGAACTTGAATCTGAAGATTAGAGCAGTCCAGGGAGGAGGGAAAAGAGTTTCTCATGCTCATGATACTTTTCTTCCTTCTTACAAAATTATTACAAAGTAGGTACAAAATTGTTACAAAGTGGTCAGTTGTAAGCAGCTTATTTAAAGAGTCACTGAAAGCTTCTTTAGGAGTCCTCATAGCTGGATTTAACTTTCATATGTGGTGTACACTTAATGACATTTGGTGCCTGTATTAGGTATCCATGTATTTTTAACAGCTCTTTGGAGTAAAATTCAGCCATTGTTAAGTACACTTGAACAGTTTTTGTAAATGTCCAGAGTTGTGTGTGAGTGTCCATGCTGTTAAATTGTGTCTTTTAGCGGAGATAAGTGCCATTTTTGTTCCTGGTGATACCTTTGACCCAGAGGAAGTATCGGCTCATTTCTTACCTTTGCTTAGGTTGGACCTTGCTGTCCTTTTCATGGTTGTCCGTTAGTGAGAGAGTGTGGTGAGGGGGTTGAGGTGACTCCGCGTACCCCTGAAAGGATTCTTCCTGTGTGCTCTGTGATGATGAAGCGGAGCCACTCTGGGTGCTGGGGGTCTGCGATGGCGGAGGAAGCACTTGCCTGCACGCGCCCTGGGAGGCATGAGCCGCGCTTCCACCCAGGGCCTTTCTGACCCTGTGCTGCCTCTGGAAGTCTCTGTCACCTCTCTTCTCTTAGCTCTGGGAAACATTCATTTAGGAAAAGATCTGTAAGATATTTGTTTGCTGATGATCCCTTTTCCCAAAGACTGGTGTCCTCATATCCTAATGTTGCAGTTTTATAGCTTTCTCAGATTCTCTGGAGAAAGTGGAGGTCATGGTGGTGGCTGTGGGGACTTTGCAGAGTGGCATTTAGACCGATGATGTCTTTAGCTGTGTGGGGCTGCTTACAATGTGTTCTTCCTGCTTTCCTATTTAGGGATTTTCTGTTTCTGACTTCCCATTCTGCCTCTGTTTCCCCCGAGTTTAGCTCTTGCCTCCCTCCCTCCCTCCCTGCCTTCCTCCCTTCCTTTCTTCCTTCCTTCCTTCTTTCCTTCTCCCTCCTCTCCCTCCCTCCTCCTTTTCTGTCCCCTCCTCCTTCCTGTCTCCCTCCTCCCTCCTGTCTCCCTCTTTCCTCATTTCTCCCTCCCTCTTCATTTCCTTCCTTAAATAAGGCATCTTTCCTTCTTGCCACTCTTCCCCCTTTCCTTCCTCCTCATTTTATCTTTCCCTTTCAGATCTATAGCATAGTCCAACCCACTTGGAGCCTATGTGGGCCATGCGGAGTTGGCTGCTGGTGTGACTCAGCAAGGTGGTTGGGGCTGTGGATTTGTTCCAGTGGTCTCATAAACTAATAAAGGAGCCTCCACTCACCTTTAAAAAAACTTCAGATCACTGATTCCTAGAAAAAAACAATCAAATATAAATTAAACATTTTTGTTTTAAAGAATGAAGAATACAGAGTGATTCTGTCTCTACTTTAAAAAATTAAAATCAGGAAATGGAAAACAATGATAATATCAAGTGTATTCTAATTCTGCATTATGGGAAGTTGATGGAAGAGGAGAGAAAAAATAGGAAAAAGAAGAACACGCTTACTAAATACTGAGAGACAGGCTTACTTATTAGTATAGATTTTTAAATGGAACTTTTAAAATATGAAAACAGTCAAACAGAACTAGGCTTTGGTTATGAGAAATATTTTATTTCCTACATAAAATTTTAATATGTGGGAATTGTGGAATTCGTTTTTCCCCATGATTAGTGGTAAAAACTCTTCACCTTTGCCTTGAAACATTGGGGTAGGAGACCTCATTTTACAGAGGAAGATGTCATCTGGTTTTGTTGAGTAACATCTTAAGGCCTTTAAAAATGTTACTTCTGGCTGGGTGCGGTGGCTCACGTCTATAATCCCAGCACTTTGGGAGGCTGAGGCAGGTGGGTCACAAGGTTAGGAGATCAAGACCATCCTGGCTAACACGGTGAAACCCCATCTCTACTAAAAGTACAAAAAATTAGCCGGGCGTGGTGGCAGGCACCTGTAGTCCCAGCTACTCAGGAGGCTGAGGCAGGAGAATGGTGTGAACCCGGGAGGCGGAGCTTACAGTGAGCCAAGATTGCGCCACTGCACTCCAGCCTGGGCGACAGAGCGGGTCTCAAAAAGAAAAGAAAAGAAAAATGTTCCTTCTGAGAGCTTTTAAAGCCTCATGTTTTGTTGTCAGGGACATAGCCGAGAGACAGCCTGGAATTTGTCCAGGTGAAAATGAGAACTGGAAGCTCCTTGTCCCCTGGCTGGGTCATCACTGCTGATTCCTGATCTAACCTATCTGGGGCAAAGAGGGTTTTCTTAGTGTGTTGAGCTGATGCTATGCAGAGTTGACCTGGTGTCTTCAAGGTCCCCACTGCTGTTCTTCTCCAGGTAGTTAGCAGCAACTAGATCCTTAACCCCTGTTCTGTCTTGGTCTGGCCTTTATTTTACAAAAAGACTTTTGGAACTGCTAACACATTTTGGCACAGTGCTGGGGTCCAGAAGTCTGGTGTGTTTGTTATTCATAATGACATGAAAAGGCATTTGGTGGTTTGCTTTCATTTGCAGTGCTGGCCAGAAGAGCTGTGCAGGAGTACATCATTACAGCAATCAAAGAAGTACTGAGGATTCACTTCAACCGTGCAGTGGAACTGAAGGTGAGTCCTGGTGGCTCAGGAGTGTGATGTCTGGTGAGACTGGGGCTGATGTGAGAGCCCCAGGTTAGAGGCAGGTGATTATGGCCATGGAATCATTCTATTTCATCTCTTCCCTCTTGTCTGTTCCTGGTTAAGTCCTGCTCATCCTCTGGATCTCCATTCCACCGTCACTGCATCGAGGAGGTCTTTCCTGATCCCACATGAGGTCAGGGTTAGTCCTTTAGGGGATGTGTTGGCAGAGTTGGAACAAAGGGCTCTCAGACCAGAGGCAGCAGTCTGGGGTGACAGCCTTCGTGATTTTACTTCCCTTGATTCACATGAAAGGACTTGGATTCGTGTTTAAATTAGACGTTAGAGTGAGTACAGGTGCATCTTTCTGGACATTTGGTAGGATAGAGATGGAGATCCAAATCTTTTAGACTGAATGATCCTAGAAAGCCACAGTCCATCTAGAGCAGAGCCATCCGGAACCAGAACCGCGCCCCACGCATGGCGATACAGCAGTGAAATGGGGCTCGTCCAAACGGAGATGGGCTGTGGGTGGAAAATACATACCAGACTTGAAAAATGCAGTGAAAAAAGGAGGGTAGAATATCTCATTAATAGTGTTTTGTATTGACTTCATGTTGAAATGATATTTTAGATATATTAAATAAAATGTATTTAAAATTAATTTCACCTGTTCTTATGTTTTTTAATGTGGCCACTAGAAATTTTTAAATTGCATATTTATTTTGGACAGTGCTGCTCAATAGGATAAGTACTCTTGTCTATGTGTTTTAAATACAACAAACAGCTTGAATGCCCTATAACTCATTATTCAGTTCATATTTCTGACTGTTCTTTCTTGCTGCTCTTATAATTTTGTGTTGTTTTTGCAAAGGTTGGCAGAGAGTAAAAGCAGTAACTAAAATAAAATTTTGATTATCCGTGATGCACTACCCCTTCATTCAAAACTACCAGTTTTTTTAGTTTATAATTTTTTATTTTTCTGTGTAACACAACTTCCTTTAAGTTTGAATTGTCTTTGTATTTCTTATTTCCCTAGGTTTACGAACTATTTACTGACTTCACTTTTCTGGTAACATCCGGTCCTTTCGTTTACACGGCAATATCCGTCATAAATGTGCTTATAAACAGTAAGCTTGTCCGTGACCAGACTCCTTTAATCCTGTCTGTGAAACCTTCTTTCCTTGTGCCAGAGTCCAGGTTCCAAGTTCAAACAGGTGAGACAGCTCAGCATAGTTGTTTTTATTTGTAAAAAGAATTTCATTTTTTTTTTATCTTTCTAAAATATTGGAAATCATTTTTAGAATTTATTATTATGATGATGATTTTTAGAGACAGGATCTCAGTCTGTTGCCCAGGCTGGAATGCAGTGGTGTGATTATAGCTCACTGTAGCCTTGAACCCCTGAGCTCGAACAATCCTCCTGCCTCAGCCTCCTGAGTAGTTAGGACTAAAAGTGTATACCACCATGCGTGGCTAATTTTTTTTTTAATTTTTTTTTAGGCCAGGTATGGTGGCTCACACCTGTAGTCCCACCAGGTGGGAGCTGAGGCAGAGGAGGTTGGGAGGCTGAGGCAGATGGATCACTTGAGTTCATGAGTTTGAGACCAGCCAGGGCAGCATGATGAAACCCTGTCTCTACAAAAAAAAAAAAAAAAAAAATTAGACCAAGTGCGATGGCTCATGCCTGTAATCTCAGCACTTTGAGAGGCTGAGGCGAGCAGATCACTTGAGCTCTGGAGTTTGAGATGAGCCTGGGCAACATGGCGAAACCTCATCTCTACTAAAAATACAAAAATTAGCCAGATATGGTGGCATACGCCTGTAATCCCAGTGACTTGGGTGGCTGGGGCAGGAGAATCACTTGAACCCAGGAGGTGGAGACTGCAGTGAGACGAGATCGTGCCACTGCACTCCAGCTTGGACAACAGAGTGAGACCCTATCTCAAAAAAAAAAAAAAAAAAGAATTTAAGAAACATTATGTTTTGTAGAGATGGGGTCTTCCTAAGTTGCCCAGACTGGTGTTGAACTCCTGGGCTCAAGCGATCCTCCTGTCTTGGCCTCCCAAAGTGCTGGGATTACGGGTGTGAGCTACCACACCTGACCTTATTATTTAACTTTTAAAAGTGTTTATAATTATGGGAAATTTCAAGCATGTACAAAAGTACGTAGAATAGTTTAACAGACCACTGTGTACTCATATGTCTTCAACCACTTTTCCGTTCCTAGCCAGTCTTGTTATAGCCACACCCCCATCTACTATCTACTTCCCCTCCTCTTGTACTATTTTAAAGTAAATCTCAGGCATCGTATCATCTCGCCCACACATATTTCAGCCTATATAGCCTCTAAAAGATAAAGACTTTAAACATGTATATGAAGTTAACAGTGATTTCTTTTCTTTTCTTTTTTTTGGAGCTGGAGTCTTGCTTTGTTGCTCAGGCTAGAGTGCAATGGCGCGATCTCTGCTCACTGCAACCTTTGCCTCCCGGGCTCAGGCAATTCTCTTGCCTGAGCCTCCTGAGTGGCTGGGATTACAAGCACCCACCACCATGTCCGGCTAATTTTTGTATTTTTAGTAGAGATGGGGTTTCACCATGTTGGCCAGGCTGGTTTCGAACTCCTGATCTCAAATGATCTGCCCGCCTCAGCCTCCCAAAGTGCTGGAATTACAGGCGTGAGCCGCTGTACCTGGCTGTTAACAGTAATTTCTAAATATCATATTTAACTTTTCATTGTGGACATGTTCAAACATTTACAAAAGTAGAGAGAGTACTAAGTCTACATATACCCATGGTTAAGCTTAAAAAAAATTTATCAACATCACCAATTTTGTTTCATCTATCCCCTGTGAACGTTTTTGTGGACACTAGAGTGTTTTCAAGCAATGCCAGGTATCATGTCATTTCACCCATAAATATTCAAGAATTCATCTACAATGAATTTATATATGTTTGAAATGTTTCCATCCATTGTGTCTTTTGATACTCAAATTCTTATCTTAGATATTTTTCATTTTAAAATGATACCAGTCACCGTCACATTGCATGTCTTCATTTACTGCAAAGTTACCTTTTACATTTCCGTGAGAAAATACGTAGAAATGTTACATCACAGTACTTAATCCCATACTATGGATGAATTGGTTGATTTAGATACGATGTTTCTCTCTCTTGATTCCTTAATACTTCAGAAGCACAAACACCTCATTTATGGGACTTTGATTGCTTTTCTTTTCAGTACTTCAGTTTGTGCCTCCGAGTGTGGATACTGGCTTCTGCAACTTCACCCAGCGCATTGAGAAAGGCCTAATGACAGCTCTCTTTGAAGTGAGAAAACACCACCAGGGAACGTATAACCTCACGGTGCAGGTGAGAATATCACTGAATGCAGAGCAGAAGGCTTTAGCCCTTGAAGGGGAAATTGTTCCACATTGTTTAAGATGTGCTTAACTCTTATTCCCTCCAGTGGCGGAAACCCAGTTTATGTGAGTCGGGATTGATCTATTCCTGTGGCGTAAGGTCGGCATAGCGTGCACAGGCTGAGCATCTTTGAGGGTTGCAGAGTAGCTGATACCCAGGGAGCTCAGATATGGTGAGCTGAAGAAACATGACCATATTCAGGAAATTCAAGAATTACCTAGAAAGGAATGGTATCAACCTAAATATCCAATGGGGGAATGCCTACCCATACTGTTGTTTCCATATAGCTACTAAGAACGGGTGTTGTACGTATCATATGGAAACTGCTGATGTTTTTATGTTTCTTTGATTTTTTTCCCTCTACATTCTTTCCTCTCTCTTTCCAAAATGGATGTTAAAATAGATTTTGGTGCTCCTGGATCCACTTTCCATGTTTCTTATTTTTTCCTCATATTTTCCATCTCTTTATTCTCTGTTTTTACAGATTTACTAAATGTCGTCCTCCAAGTCATGAATTTAGTCCTTAGCTGTGTCCATTATGTTATGCAATCCCTCTACTGAATTTTTAAGCTTTTTGTTCATTGTTCTTTGCTCCATTTTCATTGTAGGCTTTCCTGCGATGATGCAGTGTCACCTTAAAAGTCTCTGAGGACGTTAATTAGAATTGTTAAAATGCGTCTTCTGTTTCCTAAGTCATTCCTGTTTTCTCTGCAGTCCTTGCTCTGCATGTTGATCTCGGTGCTTTGCTTTCGTGCTGTTAGTTTCTGTAAATCTGGAGACTGTTGGTTTGTTGTTAGGAATGAAGAACCAAGTTGTTCATTTTAGTAGCTGGCACAGCTTTCCCCTTGAGCTGTGGGGATCTCTTTCTACGTCAGCTCCATCTCCTGGTGGGAAAATTCGTCGGAGCGCTGGGTCTGGGGCAGAATATGTCAGCGTGGGCTTCTCTCTGGGTGCAGTGTGTGGTCAGAGACAAGCAGACAGGGAACACCCTCCTTCCAGCATCTAGATAAAGAGGTTCTTCCTAGGGGATGGGGCACTTTAGTGTGTGTCTCAGGGCAGAGCTAGCTGCGTTTTCATTCATTTTCTTTCCTTCTTCGGTGTGCACAGGAGTTATCTTAGCCTCTGCCCACCTTCTTGGTTAGGGCCCAGACCCACCATAGTCCTCTTAGGCAGGAGTTTGTTTTCCTCAGGAGGCAGTCTTGTTCTGGGTGAGGGCCTGGCTGCTGCTAGCACCTCTGTTGGCCTGGGTGTGGCAGTTAGGAAGGACGGAGGAGGAAGGCAATACACTCAGCTCTTTGGCACAGCCTTGTAATTAATTATACTGATTACCACTGTGTAGCCTGCTCTTGGTCTCATTCCTGCTGATCTCTGCCACAGAGCCCCTCCTGGTCCTCTTGGAGAGCGTGGCCCTTGGCTCTGCTGCAGCCCATGCTTGTGTATGTTTTGGATTCTGGCTTTCTCTGTTCTGGTTTATATCAATCCAATCCCATCCTTTCTTCATCCCCCAGAGGTTTGACGGAATCTCTAGTTTTCTTCCATTCTCAGTGCTGTTGTGGATTTATTCCCCTGTGTTCAGCTTATTGTTATTTCAGTGGCATTTGGGGTGGGAGGAGCTGTACATGTGCTCAGTTCATCACTTAATGTAAGAAACATTTTCCATAAACTGAGCAGTTAAACTCTTACAAAAGGGAACCAGGTTAGAAAGCCAGTTACGTTTCCTTTAAAAACTTTACCTCCTTTAAAAAAATCGGTGAGAGGACCTGTGAGAGAGAAATCATGGTTAAGCTTTCAGCAGAATGTTTTATTATAGAAGCTTATTCTGACTTTATTCTTTCAGATCTTGAATATCACCATCAGTTCCTCAAGGGTGACTCCTCGGCGGGGCCCGGTGAATATCATCTTTGCGGTTAAAAGCACACAGGGATTTTTGAATGGGTCGGAAGTGAGCGAGCTGCTCAGAAACTTGAGTGTGGTGGAGTTCAGTTTCTATCTGGGATACCCAGTGCTGCAGATCGCAGAGCGTGAGTACAGCCCTCTTGGACATGCTGGGGAGGTGATGGCGGGCATTTTTGGTGGAAGACCTCTTCTTAAAATTTTTTTAGTTTTTTAAAAGACTTGATTTTTTAAAAATTATTTTTCCATAAGGCGTTGGGGTACAGGTGGTATTTGGTTGCACGAGTAAGTTATTTAGTGGTGATTTTTGAGATCCTGGTGCACCCATCACCCGAGCAGTATACACTGCTCCACATTTGTAGTCTTTTATCCCTCCTCCCGCCACTCTTCCCCCCAAGTCTCCAAAGTCCATTGTATCATTCTTATGCCTTTGTGTCCTCATAGCTTAGCTCCCACATATCAGTGAGAACATACGATGTTTGGTTTTCCATTCCTGAATTATTTCACTTAGAATAATAGTAAAAGACTTGAGTTTTTTTAGTGAAGTTTTTGGATTCACAGCAGATATGATCGGAGAGTTCACAGATTTCCCATATACCTCCTGCTTCCGCACATTCATAACCTCCATTATCAGCATCCCCCAGCACAGTGGCCCATTTGTTACAGTGATCAACCTGCATTGGTTGATCCTGCATCATTGGTTGAACCTGCATCATCATCCATAGCCCATAGTTTACATTAAGGTTCACCCTGGGTGTCGTGCATTCTGTGGGTTTGAACAAATGTGTAATGACATGCAAATGGCATGGATTCTCCATTTTAGTATCATACAGAGTATTTTCACCTGGACCACTTTTTTCAAATGAAATATCTGATTTGAGTGCCAGAATATAAATCTGATAAAACTGGATTCAGGCCAGATGGGTCTGCAGAGCCCTGCTCACCCACCGTGCCTGACTTTATTATTTGGAGAGTAAAGGGGTGCTATCAAAAAGTACACGAATTCTGGAAAAGGCATAATTTAGGGAGGACGAATCTGTGGTTGTCAGAGCTTAAGGGCCGCAGGAAAGTTTGACTACAAAAGGGTAGCAGAAGGCAGTGTTTTGGGGGTTGTGAAACTGTTCTATATCTTCATTGTGGTGATGATTATGTGAATATATACACATTTATCAAAACCCATAAAACTGTATACTGAAAAGAGTGACATTTACTGTGTAAATTTTAAAATAAAAACAATAAGTGAAAACATGAAACCTTTCTTCCTGACTGAAGCAACTAGCTTCACAATGCCAATGGAGGCAGTGGGGGAAAGGGGAGACGTTTATTTAAAAAAAAAAAATAGTAGATTCCAGAGTTGAAATCAGGCCAAAAAATTCCAATTCTTTTTCAAAATGAAACAACCAAATGGCCTAATGATTCGTAGTGTATTTTAGTGTATTGTTAATTAAACTAAAAAGAATAACTTTACAGAAGTTATTCTATATGAAAGTAGACAGAGATAAAGCTGTTATTTACAAAGAGCCGCTTTCAGTTGTGCTCAGTGTGTGTATGGCTAAAATGAGGATGCCGGACGGCGGGGCACACTGGCTGGTCCTGGGCAGGTCAACGCATGTGGTCACTTTACCCTGAGACCTTGCTGGGAAAGCCAGGGCTCTGAGGGGCACGGTGTGAACATGGATTGCTGTGGAACAGTGACATTCAAAGGAGAACTTGCCGGTGACCTCTCTGTGAAGCAGTGTCCTGTGACATAGCTGGAGCGGCCCTTCTTTTCTTTTTATCTCTCTCTTTTTCCTTGAGACTAATGTGTTCAGAAATGGCTACTGTCCACGTCCTCACGCTAATCTGACATTTTGTTCTTTCACATTTAGAGCTAAATAGTAAAGACGATGTGTTGGGACTTTGTTGTAAACATGGCTTTGTTTTTACAGATATTTTTCTCCTTCCCTAATTCTTTCCCTTTTGTAGCCTTCCAGTATCCACAGCTCAACTTATCTCAGTTGCTGAAGTCCTCTTGGGTCAGAACAGGTATGTTTAACTTATGTAATATTTTGGGAACTGTAAGGAGAAGAAGTCTATGCAGGCGTATTGAGAATGATGCTGCCTTTCTTGTTTCCTAAATTTAGGGCAAAATGTACCTTACATTCTTGGCAAAGAATGAATGGAAAGGGATTCAAATTTGGCTGTGGGAATATATCCCACTGAGTTATAGAACAAAAAGGACTGACTTTCTTTAAAATTCATACATCAAGTTCAGGGCAGAGTCTAACAGGAACTGACAATCTTCTGACCCAGAATAGGGTGAGGTTTAGAAGCAAGGATCTCTCTCTTGTTTTATTTTTTTTTTTCTAAAAGTGTTATTTGTTTAGTTTAATAAGGACAAGCAGGGTGGCTTGGCACCTGGGAAGCTTTTTTTTTTTTTTTTTTTGTCTTAGGGGAGTGGGTCAGATATTTAGAGGTATGGCATTGCAGTTGAAGGCCTTTCTAACCTAGTGCACAAAAGTCTGAACAGTACTTACGTACTCACCAGCTGTCCAGTGTGCATGCAGCACAGGAACTAGCTGGGCACGAGAGAGCATGTGGGGTAGTGATAGTTGCCATTCACGGGGTTCCTGCATCTTGCAAGTTCTCCTTGCCGAACACACAGCATCCCACGTCAAGGTCCTATCGCTTTGCATGGTGCCATCCGCGGTCTTTTCCAGATAATTTCTATAGCAATTAAGTAACTTGCCCATGGTTGTATCTCAAAGAAAACTTAAACCAGTTCTGGTTGAAAAGCACATGCTCCTTCCTCCCAGACCACACTGGCAAGTGATTGTCTGTTGAGATCATCTTGTCTGAAATAGATAACTAAAGATGGGCAGGCTTCCTTTTTTCAAGTTAGTTTGTGAGTCCAAGTCTCAAGGCAAGACAATGAACTCACACCAATTCCAGAAGTGTTGAGATAAGTGCAGACAAAATGTTTGATCTTGCGTAGGCGCCCTTTGCGCCAAAGCTCCTGCAGTGCTGAGTTCCTGGGACTTCTGGCCGCCAGTCTGGGTAACACTGAGAGCTTGGAGCTCTTGTGGGCTGCATTTCCTGGACTCTCCCCATTCATGATCACTTTTTCTCCTTTTGATGTTTTCTGTCTAGGAATTGGCATTTTATGGCAATCTTGCATTAATTTCAAATACATATGTGCGCGCGCGCGCGCGCGCACACACACACACACACACACACACACACACACACACACACACACACACACACACACACACTGTTTTTTTACTGCTGACTTGTTTTGGGTGCCACGTATGTTTTCATTTAAATGTAGTTCTCCTGGGCGTCATGGAGAAGCAACTCCAGAATGAAGTGTTTCAAGCCGAGATGGAACGCAAGCTGGCCCAGCTGCTCAGCGAGGTTTCCACCAGAAGGCGGATGTGGAGAAGGGCCACTGTAGCTGCAGGGAACAGTGTGGTGCAGGTACTCCACATCAAAGGAGGAGGGGAAGGAGAGAGAGGGAGAGAGACAGCGCTTGCGTGTGAGTGCACACTCCATCTAAAACCCTGTATTTTTATGCAAATGAGAAGTGCCATGAGAAATTTCTGATTTCCACTGATCGCTATATTGGGTAGCCACTGAATCTGGCAGCTTTTCAGTTCAACTGGAGTCTAGACAAATATTTACCAAGCCCATAGTAAGTAGTAGTATAACAATAGACCTTGCAGAGCAGAGCAGAATTGTCTTACTGGGTTGCCATATCATCACAGGACCTCATTTATCAAATAGTAGTTTTTAATTAACAAAAATGTAGCCTGTTTGATAGAATGGTCAGTGTTATTGATAGCATCATAGCGATAAATCATTCAACTGGAAGAGACCATAGGAGAGCAGATAGAGGGAGACGTGCTGCCCTCTGCTTGAGCATTTCATCTTCTCGGCTTCCATGGTATTATGGAGTCATCACTTTGGTTAACATTTTCAATTTCATTTTAAAATTTATTTTCTGAGCAAAATCGCCTCTCTCTAGAAATTACATAGCCAATTAGAGAAATTTTGAAAAACACATTAAAAAATGTGTAAAGAATAAAGTGAACATCACCTAAAATTCAACCAACCAAAGAAGATCACTGTAAACATTTCAGCATATTTCCTTCCATTCTTTTTTCCCCATGAATTCTCTATTAACCTTTGGATGACACTGCATACATCCTTTTGTAGCCTCTCTTCACTTGAGCTTTTTTCTTTCTTTCTTTTTTCTTGAGACAGAGTCTCGCTCTGTCGCCCAGGCTGGACTGCAGTGGCATGATCTCAGCTCACTACAACATCTGCCTCCCAGGTGCAAGCGACTCTTTTGCCTCAGCCTCCTGAGTAGCTGGTACTACAGGTACCCGCCACCGGAGACACCTGGTTGTCTCATATTATCCTAAATCTTCTTTACTTGGTAAACTGGCAGACAGGTTACAAAAGACAGATTTGTTTGAATTGAAATGCGACCCATTTAAAAATGCCCATACTCACAGAAAGTTGGAGGTTGGGGCTGTCATTAATTTCCATCTCCATATGAATTATGTGGATTTTTTTCTTTACCAACTGCTGACTTGTTGAACTATGAAAATGGGATATTTAGAGCTATGACATTTCAGAAACAGGAAACCAGGGTAGAACTCTGAAGCAGGGGGTGTTGGCTGGCAGGCAGGGTAGGGAGGTGGGTGGATTAGAGGCATTAGAGAAAAAGACGCAAATGACATTGGCTGTGGGTTGGGGGCAGGAGCCGGGAAGTGTTGCCTAGAACTGCATCATCGTCCTCTAGCCCTTTTACCAGTGTGTCCCTCTCATCATTACCCTTTGTCCCCCTCCCAGAAATGTAGTCCTTAGGTTTCTAAAATAGTTCCTTTGCCAGATGCAGTAAGTTACAGAGAAATTTAAAAACTAATCACAATTGAGAGTAATCATTAAACGAATAAGTATCAACAAAGAATAAAAATTAGAATGAATTATAAAAGCTTTGCCTTATTCAACAATCCCTGGCTTCCTAGAGCCCAAGGTCTAGGTGTGAGTTAACTTCTGCACATGAAATAGTTATAGGACACCGTGAAAGTATAATACAGTGCTAAATTTGACATGCAAGCTCTCTTAGTAGGCATGCAGGTTTGTAAAAGTGGCACATCCAGGCTAATGTGCCATCTGATAGATTGCTTATAAGCCATGCTCTGCTTCTCCTCCCCTTAGAGTGACCAAACATGAAGATGTAGACAAGGATTTGTGTACAGTGTTACATGGCTGTTTATCAAAACTTAATTTGTAAAAGTGAAAATGTTGAAACAACTACATGTCCAGCAATTGGGGAATGGGTAAATAAAATTATAGTAAATCTTTATGTGTTGGAATTTTATGCAGTCATTTAAAAAAAAATTAGTGAGTGGTATAGAAAAATGCTCAAGTGGGCTGGGTGCAGTGGCTCACACCTCTAATCCCAGCACTTTGGGAGGCCGAGCAGGTGGATCACTTGAGGCCAGGAGTTCAAGACCAGCCTGGCCAACATGGTGAAACCTCATCTCTACTAAAAACACAAAAATTATCTGGGCATGGTGGTGTGTGCCTGTAATCCCACCTCTTCAGGAGGCTGAGGCATGAGAATCACTTGAACCCGGGAGGTGGAGGTTTCAGTGAGCTAAGATCACACCAATGCACTCCAGCCTCGGGGACAGAGTGAGACTCTGTCTCAAAAAAAAAAAAAAAAATAAAACTCAAGAGAGGCTACAAAAGTATGTATGCCATGTAATCCAAATGTTAATACAGAATTCATGGAGAAAGAATAGAAGGAAAATGCTAAAATGTTTACAGTGATTTTCTTTGGTTGGTTGAATTTTAGGTGATTTTCATTTTCTTTATATATATTTTTTGCATGTGTTTTTCAACTTTAATTGGCTGTGTAATTTCTAGAGAGATGTGATTTTGCTCAGAAAATAAATTTTGAAATTGAAAATGTTAACCAAAGTGATGATGACTCCCATGGTTATAAGGGTTCCAGATAGGAATCTCATAGGCAGTAGTCTAGAAAGGATACTGGGATTAGATTTTCTTGGCTTACATTCTGCCTGGACATCTTAGTCCATTGATGTTGCCGTAAAGGAATACCTGAGGCTGGGTTTGTAAAGAAAAGAGGTTTATTTGGCTCATGGTTCTTCAGGCTATACAAAAAGCATGGTGCTGGTGTCATGGCGAGGGCCGCAGGCTGCTTCCCCTCTTGCTGGAAGGCGAAGGGAAGCCAGTATAAAAATCACATGGCGAGAGAGGAAGCGAGAGAGAGGGAAGGGAGGTGCCAGGCCCTTTCTAACACCAGCTCTCTCAGGAACTAGTAGAGCAAGAACTCATTACCTCGAGGACAGCACCAAACCATTCATGAGGGATCTGCTCCATGACTCAGATACCTCCCATTAGGCTCCCCCACCACCATCGGGGATCACATTTCAACCAGAGAGTTGGAGGGGGTCCAACATCCAAACTGTAGCACTAGACAGACTTGTAGAATCTTTAATCAAGGTGGGTATCACTGGATTTTGGGGACTGTGATTTCTAGAAGAAGAAACTATACTTTTTAAATTTATTAGAACTTTTAAAATGGAATAAGTAGGTACATGGGTAGAGAGACAGATGGATATAATCTACTTCCTTTTCAGTAGCCCTTGCATAGCATTCCATTCTAAAAGCTAATAAAAAATTAATCACCACTGTACCGTTGTCAGGGAGGGAGTTCTCAGGACGAAGCATAAAGAACAGATTGTTGAGGGAAGAGGGTTTGGACGTGTGTTGTTAAGGATCTTTAGACACGATCTGGAAGAAGGAGTTCACAGTGAAATCGTGAAATTGCTGATCTGCCAGAAGTTTCCCGTGGTGAAGGAGGGGTCCAGCAGCTGTGTCCAGAGCACAGGGCAGTGTTACAAACCCATACGTGTGGACAGAGAAGTAGCAGCTGCATGTTGCCAATGGCAAATGTAGAGACCAGCAATTTAAATGGCACATGTAAAATAAGGAGCTCGGAGCCCTCGCTGATCCTTTTCTCAGGACAGAAGCTCAGAGTTTTGCTGGAGTCTAAAGGGGTAATCACATTGTTGCATATTATTAGAGAAATAGAGTGAAATGAAAAGGTACGATATGTCAAGTGTGCTAGATTTTGAAATAAGGGCATAAAAAACTGTCTTTTAACACCAGAAAGAGAGAAGTTTTGGGATGAATCAAAGTATTATTTGACCCACAAGATTATGAATTTATGAGGTTTATTGTCCATAGACCTGTGGTGGGTGGGGGTGATTTTGTCCTCCAGGGTGCATCTGGCAGTGTCTGGGGATGTTTTTGGTTGTAACTTGGGTGGTGCAGGATGGGGGTACCTGGTGGGTAGAGGGCAGGGATACTACTAACCATCTACAGTGCACCCCATGTCAAGGGATTGTCAGTAGAGCTGAGGTTGAGAAGCCCTGCCCTAGCAGAATGAGGAGGAAATACCAATAGGCTGAAGAAAGGATTGGGTAGAACCATTAATAGTTTCAGAGAACCAGGGATGTACCTAATCCTACAGTTAATGTTGGGAGGATGATGCTCTCTTATGACGTGGTCAGCACATCAGAGATTGTGGGGATGATTTTAGACCACCTGGACTCGCCAGCCCTGGTTCTGTGCAGCCTCCCTGCCCCTTGGCCCCAGAAAAGATGTAGAGCGAGATGAAGCAACCTGTTACTCCACACAAAGGAACTCCCCACTGTCCCTCTTCCCATCAACAGAGAGCACCATGGTGATTCTGGGCCCCTGAATGGCTTACGGAGCTTATTATGAGGATTGGAATAAATCCTGAGTGACACAGCCAGGATTCAGCAACCTGAGAGAGGGCATCTAGAAACATGAGCTTCTGCAATGTGAATGGTTTCTGCTATCTTTCAGGTGGTAAATGTGTCGAGGCTGGAGGGAGATGACAATCCGGTACAGCTCATCTACTTTGTGGAGGATCAAGATGGAGAAAGACTCAGTGCAGTCAAGTCTTCGGACCTGATTAACAAAATGGACCTCCAGAGAGCAGCCATCATCTTGGGTTACCGAATTCAAGGTGTCATTGCCCAGCGTAAGTGCCTGAGGTGTTGTCGTCTGTGCTGTGCTGTGCTGGGCACCAAAGCCAGGCTCGTTCTGACAGTGAGCTCTGAATGTAAAGCATTCCGATGTGTGTATAACCCTGATGGTGAAGTGCCAGTTGTTAAAATTCATTCACCAAGACCTTCTTTATTTGGATTTCAATTGCTTGTAGGTTTAGCCTCCACTGCTGTTTTTTCTACCTAGCATTTTGTAGGTGGGGTGTTAATAATGATTTATAGTACATCAACTTTAATATCTGTCCCTCATTCCTGTACTACTACTTTTTTTATAAATTTTGTCTAAGGCAAAATAATGTGTTTGCTCTGTATTTATTCCAAAATCTTCTGTGTCATATTTTGAACATTGGCGGGGACAGTGAGTCATGCAGGAAGCTGGGAGGTGCACCCTGAATTTATTGGTTTCCTTCAGGGTCTTTTAACACAGAGAAGTCCTTGATCCTTCCCCTTTTCAGTCCTGTTTCTCTCCCACCTATCCTCACGTCACTCCACAGTGTAGACAGAGGTATTTTGAAGTTTCTTTATTATTGTTGGAAGGTTTCACTCCTGCCTGCCTGGCCCTGGCTGCTGTCAGTAGTTTCCTTTCCACCTCACAGATTTGTTTGCTTTTTTTTTTTTTTTTTTGAGATGGAGTCTCACTCTGTCACCAGGCTGGAGTGCAGTGGTGTGATCTCGGCTCACTGCAACCTCTGCCTCCCGGGTTCAAGTGATTCTCCTGCCTCAGCCTCCCAAGTAGCTGGGACTACAGGAGCACACCACCATGCCCAGCTAATTTTTGTATTATTAGTGGAGACGGGGTTTCACCATGTTGGCCCGGATGGTCTCGATCTCTTGACCTTGTGATCTGCCTGCCTTGGCCTCCCAAAGTGCTGGGATTACTGCAGGTGTGAGCCACTGCACCCGGCCCCACCTCACAGATTTTGAGTATTTAAAATTGAAGAAAAAGGAGGCACATGGAAGAGTGTATTTTTCTAAATAGTCCTTTACGGTGTGAATCAGATTCCTCTTTTTTTTTTTTTTTTTTTTTTTTTTTTTTTGAGAAAGGGTCTTGCTCTGTCACCCAGGCTGGAGTGCAGTGGCTTGATCGTAGCTCACTGCAGCCTCAAACTCCTGGGCTCAGGTGATCCTCCTGCCTCAGCCTCCTGAGTAGCTAGGACCACAGTCACCACCACTACACCCAGCGATTTTTTCTTATTATCTGTAGAGACAGGGTCTTGCCATGTTGCCTAGGCTGGTCTTGAACCCCTGGCTCAAGCAATCCTCCCACCTTGACCTCCCAAGGTGTTGGAATCCCAACCATGAGCCACCACACCTCTTTTAATGTCAGTGTTTTTCCTTTGTGATCCTGCAAGCAGTCTTGGTAAGAGAATGGTGAAACTTGCTCCCAGCAATAAAAGGAGAGGTAAATGTTTAGAGGGAATTCAGCATCAGAGAATACAGAAAAATCTTTATGGAGAACATGTAGGAGATAAAGACAATTTTTAAAAAATGATAGCTTTTAAATTATCCTTGATAGTAGAAGGTTTTTATGAAATCTGTACTTGTCCCTGGAGACCAACCAAGATGAGAGCTGATGGGCATAATTTCTCTATTTTATGGAAGATGATGGGAGGGTTTAAGCAAATAACCATTGGCAATTTGTGTTTGTGTATGTGAGATATGATCACATATTGATGTGTTCTCCTCCAAAGCAGTGAGCAAAAAATAGCAAAAGCACTTCGTTACAGTTCTTCATATATGCGATTCCTGATTGTAGGAGACGTGCCCTACTCCAGCCAAGCACTTGACATTTTAAACAGCTAATTGCAATAGAATATGGGCACCTTTCAGATGTGATCTTGCACCTCTTTTCCTCAGTTTTGTACCGAAAACCACGTGGGTAAAGATCCTGGGATCTCAGGGATGGCGATTGAAGGAAGCCTCAGCCAACACCAGGGATAGCCCAAAGGCAGCCCCAGGACACTGGTGTCAGGGTCCAGTTTGATCAACCTCTGCCTCATCAGGGTTTTCCTAGGTTAGAGTAAGAAGAGGGCAGGTGTGGTGGCTCACACCTGTAATCTCAGCACTTTGGGAGATAGAGGCAGGAGGATCAGTTGAGCTCAGGAGTTCAAGACCAGCCTGGGAAACATAGCAAGACCCCATCTCTACAAATAATAATAATAATAAGCTAGCTGGGCATGGTGGGGCATGCCTGTGGTCCCAGTTACTTGGGGGGTCTGAGGCAGGAGGATCACCTGAGCCCAGGAGGTCGCGGCTGCAAGTGAGCTTGATTGTGCCACCACATTCTAGCCTGAGTGATAGAGTGAGACCCTATCTCAAAAAGAAAAAAAAAAAACAACCACACCCACAAAAGAACTAAGAAGAGTGTCCAGTTGTCTCAGCTTCTCAGTTTGATTCTGTCCGTACTTCTATATTGTCCGTTGCTTTTATGCAAAATGAGCTACATATATTAACTATATTCAGCCCAAATTAAAAAACACAAGTTTTTCACTTTGTTGCTTTTTACCACATCCCATGCAGCCTGTGCTCTAATCTGTGCTTTTTTCCCTGGTGCATTTGATTTAGAATGCTTGCTCCCTCCCTTGCCACTCCCTTAGGTGTCTAAACCCAAAGTTAAACCAGCACCAAGAACCCTTTTTGTTATTACGTCTTTGAGCAGATACCTTTTGATCCCATAGCAGGTGTTAACCATCATAGGGTATGAAAGGAGCATAAGACTTAGTCCCTGCCCATGAAAACTAAGATGTTTTTGAAAAGACAAGATTTGGCGTCAAGACCGGATGAATGAGTGCAGAAGCGTAGCACTTCACGGATTATCCATTTATATAACAGGAAGCATTTTAAATGAGCAGTAAGGCACCATGTGCAAAACAAAGAGCTAGTGAAGGACATGAAGTGGCCGAGGAGTTGAAGTGCAACTGTCCTATGCCGTGAAAGAGAAGTGGGGGCCGGGTGGGGTGGGTGTGGCAGCAGGGTGGGGAGTGGTGGATCCAAAATGAGTAAGATATGCTTCGTGTAAAAGTGGACAACTGGTAGCTTAAATAATGCCGTTTCGATGAGTCATGTTTCAAAGGTTTAGGGAGAGACACAGGTGGGGCAATGAAGGCAGTGCCTATGGGACGCTTATTAGGACTTCAGTTTCCAAATTAACACAGTGAAGCTTCATTTTGGAAAACATAAGGATCATCTTCCTTCTTTTTTTATTGCAGTAAAATATACATCAAGAAATGTACCAATTTAACACTTTTAAATGTATACTTCAGTGGCATTCAGTACGTTCACAAGGCTGTGTAACCATCACCACTATCCATTTCCAGAATTTCTTCATCATTCCAAGCAGAAGCTTTCTATGAGTTTTTTTCTAGATACCTCATGTAGGTAGAATCATACATTTTGTCCTTTTGTGACTGGCTTGTTCCATTATCATGATGTTTTCAAGGTTCATCTGTGCAGCAGCATGTATAGAATTTCCTTCCCTTTTAAAGCTGAATGATATTCCATTGTATGGCTATACTACATTTTGTTCATTCATTCATCTGTGGATGGGCATTTGAGTTCTTTTCATCTTTTAGGCTGTCGTGAATAGCGCTGCTACGAACATCAGCATCTCTTTGTCATTTTTCATTGCTGAAGGGGAAACGACCAGTTGCACTGGTGCACATGTCGTATCTCCTTACTCTGTTTTGCTTTGTGTTTGGCACTAGTGCAATATGAAATTATTCGGTGATTCATTTACTTGATCATTTCTCCTTTCCCCCACTAGGACTTAAGCACCTCAAGGGATTTCGCTTGTTCATGGTTGAGTCCCAGCTTACAAACTGTGTCCAGCACACTTAATAAACATTTGTGAACATGAGAAACTTGGAGTAGTGAGGGAAGGGAGAAAGAGATGAAGGGTTTTCTTCCATAAACTCCTAGTTGAGATGCATGTGCTTTATGTGATCTAGGAGGGTGTGAGTCCTGCGGTACTTGATGGAGCGGGCAGGATTATGTTCTGGAGACACAGCTGTTTTTCTCTCCACTTTTGAAGAGAACTGCCTTTGTACAAAGTTGTGCAGAACCAGTTTTGGTGTGGAAATATCCTGCAGTGATAAGTTACGGGTGAGCTAGTAGAATAAACTGGAAATCAGGAGACCTGGAATTAACTGAGCTTTGCCATTAATTCAGCCATGTACCTTTGGATATATCCATATGTCGTTGTGATCCCTGATGTATTCTAGATGTAACATTGTATGTTGTGTTTCTCTGCTGGTCACATTTCCTGTCATCAGGAGATTAGAACCTGGAACCAGCTATCTTGAGCTGGAATGTCAGGGACTTCTGAGTTTCTCATAGAAGACACGTGCAATCTAGTGCATGAGTGAAGAAGGAATTATTGAAAGACCTTTCTTCCTTGTCTGCAGCTGTCGACAGGGTGAAGAGGCCGTCTCCGGAATCCCAGAGCAACAACTTGTGGGTCATTGTTGGCGTGGTCATCCCAGTGCTGGTGGTGATGGTGATTGTTGTCATCCTCTACTGGAAACTATGCCGCACAGACAAGCTAGACTTTCAGCCTGACACTGTGGCCAACATTCAGCAGCGTCAGAAGGTAACGGGCAGCCTCTTCCCCCAGTGTTCCTATAAGCAGTTTTGTGGGGCAGGGATAGGATGAGTTTGGGCTCTTGATACTGAAAGATGAGGAAGAGGGAGGGCTATTATGGAAATCTTCTGGCTTTAATAGTGGTATCACTTTGCCTTTGTTTCTGCTTCCTGAAACCCTCCTTCTGTGGTAGTAAATACAGTCCAAGAATGTGAAACTGTATAAAAGCCTAGCCATGACATGCCCTCCGGGTTCTACTATGATTTTATTTTGTATTTTTTGAGACAGAGTCTGGCTCTGTCACCCAGGCTGGAGTGCAGTGGCGTGAGCTTGGCTCACTGCAGCCTCCGCCTCCTGGGTTCAAGCGATTCTCCTGCCTCGGTCTCCGAATAGCTGAGATTACAGGCGTGTGCCACCACACCTGGCCAGTGTTTGTATTTTTAGTAGAGACAGGGTTTTGCCATGTTGGCGAGGCTGGTCTCGAACTCCTGGCCTCAAAAGATCTGCCTGCCTTGGCCTCCCGAAGTGCTGGGATTACAGGCATGAGCCACCGCACCAGGCCGAATTCTGATTTATTTTATCCCTGGATATTTTCAGAGGATAGGAGCCAAGGCAGACTTTCTCAGATCTGTTTATCTATTTTGTGTACAACTCCATTGGTCAGTTGCTTTATTTTCTGTTCACCCTATTTGGAAGCCCACTTACCCACCTTGATCATTAAAAACGAACAATACATACCTTGAACATTTTAACTTAAAATATATGAATGGACATTTATTTGCCAATCCTTCAACATATCCCAAGTCTTGTTTTGTTTTGAGTGTTGGTCTACTGAGAGGAATTGTGTTTGGTCTTTCTTACAATAAACAACACCCATGACGTGTCAGTTTCAGGTTCCAGTTTGGGTTTCTTTAGAGAAGAGCAAAGCTACCTGAATGCAAAGTTCTCTCGATTTTTAATACCTCCCCCCACTCCCTATCTTAGAGAAGAGCAAAGCTACCTGAATGCAAAGTTCTCTCGATTTTTTTAATACCTCCCCCCACTCCCTATCTCCTAATTTTGCAGACTTTTGAGTTAATTCACTCACACCTAATTTGACAGCAGATTTTTTAAGTAACCCCTCTTTCCTATGTCTTTCCAAAGCATTCAACTTAAGTGTTTATAGAAATAGCAATTTTCTTTTCCAACGTATGTTTCAACAGTTTCCATAGTATTCGAGGGTCACATCAGGTTTCAGAGCAAAGACATTGACTTTTGGTCAACATTGAGCTCACCTGGTGTGAGCAAAAACATGCCAGGCCTAGAGGAGCACTCACTAGTACAGCATAAGTATCAGTCAGCGTGTTTACCAAGGGAGTGGAACGTGGTAGTCAGTCCACTGTTACTAACAGTCTGCTGGATTAACATGCACTTTCCGTGGGTCTCCCAGATTTGGAGGACTCATCCTGCTTTAAAAGCTTGATAAAAACAAGCAAAAGTCAAAAAACAAAGAATAAAAGATTGCCCTATTTATTTTTAAACTTTATTTTGGTTGTCTTGGGTATGAAAAATTCTGCATATTACAAACCTAGACCTGTCGAATGGAAAAAAAATATGCATTACTTTAAAATTTATTTTACTTTTGTAAAAGCAAAGAAAGAGTATTTGTCTTTTCATATGAATTAACAAAAAAATGCAAAGTATTTATTAAATTGCAAGCTTATGGCTATCAAGTACATGAAAAGCATTTTATACATTAATGTTATGTTTGTTGCCTATCTTTGTTTATTATTTACACAGTCTGCTAAGGTTCTTTTGTTGTTCTTGTTATACTGGTGAATGGCATGGGGAAACCTGGAAAAAAAGTGCTGGGTATACTAAATGATTCATAGTGTGAATTTCACTGTAATAAGATCAACAATAGGTTTGGAAATGTTTTTGTTCTGTTGAAGAGTGTTGTTACAGAGGGAGTTAACCAGTGTAGACGGTTATGTATTTAGGTCTTTTATGGGCCACATTTCCTAACGTATACACTGCCATGGAAGTCCATCTATTATCTGTAACTTCAGTAAATTATCAGAGCACAGCGTCTCTTGGGGTCAAAATGGAATATTCCCCAAGCTTTCTCCTTCTCTCACTTTTACTTCCTAAACATTTTCAAGTCCCAGATGTGGCTGTAAATCAAATGGACAGAGTTTCAGATGGAACTTCCAGCCCTTAGAGCTGCTCTTTTTCCTTCAGGGCTGCAAAGACCTGCCCATACATCCTGACAACAGGTTTACAGAAAAGGTCCTGCAGGGAGGATTCCCCAAAAGAATAACTGTCTTCTGACACTGTTAGGAGGGCAAAGCCTTGCCAGTGTTGCAGAAGCTCAGTCGTGTTTTGCTGGCACAGGAACCCACCCTATAGATTTTGTCGTGTGTTTAAAATGGGAAAATGATCTCTTCATTTAGTTTAAAAACAAATGTCTTTAGTTCATACGTGTTTCTTTTAAGGTCATGTGGCCATAGCAAAGGGCCTCTAGCCTCGTCCTCAGGGTAATGTGCAGAGATGTCACCCTCCCCTATGACTTCAAGAGCTCTGTCTCCTGCTCATGTGGCTGTTGTCTCTCTCTCCGTTCTGCTCTCCCCACCTCCTGATGCGCCTCACCATACTCTCGGAAATCCTTCAGCAAATCCCAGAGCTGCAAACATCTGGAAACAATAAATCTGCTGACCTAAAATCTGCACCCCCCTTCCCCTCGTAACGAGAAGGAAACCTCTTCAGATTGTCTGGGAGTAGATTAATTTTGAAATATGATAGGAGGGAGAGGCCATTCTGTCTTGTTTTGAGGCACAGCCTTTGCTTATTTTCAGTAATAAAGAAGAAAACCCCATGCTTTCTTTTATCTGTATTCTCTATCTGTAGACTCAAGTCATCATTTGTTACTGTTGCCTAAAAAACTCCAGCCCGGATCCTCTTCATCATGAATGGCATTGGCTGGATGCCACTGGCCTCATGGAAACTTATTCCTTCTGATGGGGGATAGTCCACACCTCGTTACTGGTGTCAGACCAGAGCTCCTGACTGCCCTTGGTTGCTTCTAAAGGGCAGCACTTTGGGCAACCGGCTGGAGCTGCCTCAGGCACTGGGTGTCACTCACCAAACATTGAGCATTTGCTGTGAGCCACACCAGATCCGGCTCAGTTACCAACACAAATAGCACGCGATCTCTGCATTCCAGGGCTTTAGCAAGGGAGAAGGACGAGCCATCCGAAAGCAGACATCCAGGAGTATAAGGATGTCTGGAGAACACAGAGGAGGGGGGCACCCCATTTGCAGTGGTGGGGTACTTCTACCTTCTTCAAGGAGGTGACACCAGGGCTGAAGCTTCACGGTGGAGATGAAGGCGGGCCCAGTGGGGGAGCGGAGGGCAGCTCAGGAAGCTAGAGCAAAGGTCATAAAAAAGGGCACAGCCGAAAGCCAGGTGGCAGAGAGCCAGGCCCTGGGGGGTTTTCAGGACATAGAAGGGATTGCAAATTATGCTGTAAGCAGTGGGCAAGCATTGAAAGGTTTTCAGCAGGGAGAGCAGCTTGAACACATTTGCTTTTGGAACGATCCCTTTGGGAGGCAGTATGGACAGTGAATTGAAAAGAGGCTCTGTGAGCATATCGTTCCATCTCAGCCAAGGTCAGCTCATTCCCTATGGTTGCTGTTTGATTCTCTGCAAAGGTCGCCTGTCACACCTAACGTGTAGGTGGTCTCAGTTCACCCACAGCTGGCTGACCGTGCCGGGTGTCACCTGTGGGTGGGAGAATCTGGGAGCCCTGCTCTCCCAAACTCCGGGACCACAGGGTTACGGGAGTGCCCGTGTGGGGCTGCACTGAAGACAAACAGATGGCAATAACTTTGCCTTGTCTCCACTTCCTAAATGGAAGCAGCATGGTGGTTGTGGTGACGTTTCACAAATGACATCAATCAGGTAATAAATGCTTTCAATGGCACTCGCTACATGATGGCAAATTTTTGTTCAGACACTTTTGGGATTTGCTCTGTGTTTCTATTGTCATCTCAACTCCTTCCCAGGGGCTCAGGCTAACCCGAATACTGTGGGCTTCACTGCGTTTTGTGCCACCTGGGCTGTACTGTATTTATGGCCCACGTGTTCACATTCATCAGGCGTCTCTCTCATTACTTGGCTGACCTGCCCACCAGTCAGTCTCCTGGGCTTGTTGGTGACGTATTCCGGTGGGGCACAGACACTGTGGCCTGTTCCCTCTGTGATATGTTAAAGAGAGAAAGAACAAAAGAGCCATCCTTCTTCAGAAATAACTCGGTCCTAATATGAATATTGAACACTCTCATTAATCTTGATTCTTCTTTTATAAAATACTGATTAAACCTATGCTGCATGTGGGAGGGAGCTGGAGACATTGTATACCAGCCAGACTGAACTCTAGGTTCTATTTTAAAAGAAGTGGAGAAACTAGAAAAAGTGATCTGGCAAGTAGAGATGAGACAAAAGAAGGTAATTATCTAAGGGAGGAGGGGCAGTGTTCCCTCTAGGTTTTCCTTCTGTGTGTAGATGGCTTTTGTTTTGTGCATAATACGCACAGACTGGTTGCCAAATTTCTATTGGTATAGAAGGTGATGACTCACTCAGTTTGTGAGAAGTGCAAGGATCTAATGGATGTATTTAAAGACTTTGGTCAGAATCAACAGTAAGCCAAGAGGACTTGTATATTTCATTTATGACACGTGCCGTTTTCTTGGTTACCCAGAAAAAAACCAGTCAGTTTGGTACTTCAGTTGAGCGTTTTGAAATTCATCTGGTCATCAGCTATTTCTTGAGGGACCCTGTGTCGCATCTTGTTGTTGACTTAACAAAATATTGTATCTAAATTCTTATTTATAACTCTGATGCCTTAGAATTCTTAGCTGTATATTAACTGCTCGATGTTTCATCAATCAACAGTAATAATAATGCTGTCAGCATCATTTGTAGGGTACTTTGGCATTTATGAAGCATTTTCATGAATACTGTCATGTTTCTTTCCTACATGGGCCCTGAGTGTACGTGAGGGAAGACATTTAGGTGCCTAGGCTTGGGCTACGTAGACCGCCCTATAGAGGCAATACTGTTTGTATTTTTACGTTGTTGACTTTGGAGACCTCCACTTAGGGGAGGCCATCTGTAGCTCCTTTTCCAGTTTTGGTAAAGCAAACCACCTAATTTGTTAAAAACAAAACAAAACAGTTGCCCAGTCATTAGAGGCATTCACTTTCTTAATGGGAAGTATACCAAAAAGGATTTCAGCAAGGTTTATTAAATGATGGAGGTGATGATTAAATGACTGTTTAGTATATCTGTTTTCTTTCGCTTAGAGGCACCTTGTATGTAGTTAAATGAAGTGCTGCTGGGGTAAAAGCAACCCCATAAAATTGGAAATCGCTCCTGTTAGGATTTTTATCATCAGCTGTGAATAAGTGGCATCCAATATCAATTTTCTCAGGCATCTGAAAAAGGCTTGACAGATGGACATTTGAGAATTATATAGATGGATTAGTATTTCATTTCAAGATGAAAATAATATTTATAATTATATATTTCATAAATTAGGACCGCATGTCAAAGTCTGAGAAAGGAATCATCTTAATCACACAGAATGGATTTTTTAATGTGCAGGAGGGTTACCTCTTAGCCTGCCTAATTTTTCATCTGCCCATACATACATCAATGATTTGCTTTCAAGAGAGCAGTTGAATCTTTGTGGAAATTTACAACAAAAGGAAAAAATATTCGACTAGTAAGTGTGGGGTTTAGAAAAGACACATAGATGATTGCTGTTAAGTACATTATGGTAGAATCCAAACGTGTTGCTGTGTAGTTGATCTAAATCCAGTAAGTACACAGGGACAACAAATAAACCAGCAGAGAAAGGGGTCATGGACCAGTGAACAAGTGACTTGCATTCAAGCAACCTGGACACAGATGTGCAGTATCCAGTAATCAATCATTTGAAAGAAGTGAACGAAAGTATCCTGCAAGTCTGAGTAATTGTGCGGGAAAGTATACAGTATTAACTCAGCTCTCCCTTATTTGTTCTTTTGAAGTTGTAATTTTGATCTTTCGGAAGTAAACATGGACCTTTTCACCCCTTTTTCCTTTTAATACAAAATATGTTGTTAAGACCCCAACTGAGTCCCCGTGGACAAGGGTGCCTGCCAGGCTTTCATTCCTGAGGATGGTGAGCTCACGGAAAGCATATGCATTGTGGCACCTTGGGTTTCCCACATGCTGCTGAACAGATCTTGAAGATTACAGTTGTCACATAGACAGATAAAGCACAGAGCCCTGCCATGAGTTTGTCCCCTGGATGAAATGAGACAATGCCCTTGGCATTTCTCACTGCCGTCCTCTTCCCTGTTCTCCTTGTATTCTTCTGCGGGAGTGAACTGTTCTTCAATGGCTGGGAGATGGTCGAGGGGAAGCTATGAAATAAAAACCTCACTGCTGCTGCTGCTGCTGCTGCCACCTCCTCTACAGAATATCTAAGTTCACAGTTTCCCAACGTGGAACGAATTGTCCTATTTCATGGCTGTATTTCTCTCTCAGTTCTTTAAGAGAGAAAGCAAACCATACCACAAATTTATTGTGCCTTGATTGACCAAGACCAGCATTTTGAATTGTGATTTTATTTGATGTTCCCGAGGTTTCTACATCTCTGGGCAGAGCACCGCAGGAAGCTGCTGCATGGATGACAGGCGGGCCTCTCTTCTGTAAAGTGGGAGGACTTGGGAAAGGGAAGGTGGGAGGGGGAGCCAGCATGCTGCCCGGACCACAGGCACATGCTGGACAGCTCTCAGGAAAATCACTAGTGTAGGGAGGACTTGTACAGAGGTGTGCATCTGGAATGATCCCTGTAAAAGGGCTGCCTGCTCCTAGAAAACTGTGTGTCTGCTCCCCGGGGTTTGGGTAGACCAGTTGAAACTCAGGGTGCTAGTCCATGGGTCACAGATGAGAAAATAAACGCATTTTATTTAAATACGTTTTAAATACATGTGTTTAAAGAAACATCTAATGATGAATTTATTTTATGTAAATAAATATTTAATAATTAATTTAAATAATTTACACAAGTGCTTAATAAATTTACTTTAAATAAATATTTAATAATAAATAGGCCAGGCGTGGTGGCTCATGCCTGTAATGCCAGCACTTTGGGAGGCTGAAGCAGGCGGATAACCTAAGGTCAGGAGTTTGAGACCAGCCTGGCCAACATGGTGAAACCCCATCTGTAATAAAAAAATATGTACATAAAAGTTAGCCAGACGTGGTGGTGCACGCCTGTAGTCCCAGCTAGTTGGGAGGCTGAGGCAGGAGAATTGCTTGAACCCAGGAGGTGGAGGTTGCAGTAAGCCGACATCATACCATTGTATTCCAGCCTGGGCAACAGAGTGAGACTCCATCTCAAAAAAAAATCATAATAAATACATTTACTTAAATAAATCATAATAAATACATTTATTTAAATAAATAATAATGGGCATGCAGTGGAACAACAGGTTTGGGTTTGTCATTTGCAAAAGGCTGAGGGGCTGTTATGCTCATGAACTGCTGAAGTGGTGGAGTGGTGTACTCCTGTAACAGGAGCTCTTTAATCAGAAAACAGGAAGTCAGCTTTTGCCTTTTGTTTCATTTTTGTAAATTGTGTTTACTGTAAGTTTTGTCCCCCTCTGCTGGCATAAATCATTATTGCAGATGACATTCCTTCTACCCATTGATCCGAGAATTTCAGCTTATAAAAGATCTTAAGGCCGGTCTCAGTGGCTCACGTCTGTAGTCCCAGCGCTTTGGGAAGCTGAGGCAGGAGGATTGCTTGAGCCCTGCAGTTCCAGATCAGCTGGGCAATGTAGCAAGATCCTGTCTCTACAAAAAAATTTTAAAATATTAGCCAGGCGTGATGGCACATGTCTGTGGTCCCAGCTCCTTGGGAGGCTCAGGTGGGAGGATTGCTTGGTCTTGGGAGATTGAGGCTGCAGTGAGCTGAGATTGTGCTACTGCACTCCAGCCTGGGTGACAGAGCGAGACCACATCAAATGAAAAAAAAAGACCTTAGGTCACAGACCTAAGCCACTGATGTTGTCACTCATTTGTGCATAAAGTTAGCACAAATAAGACAAAGCCTTTTGTTTCTGTGTGTAATATATTGTCTAAAATCACTCCTTAGATCTGTTTGGCCTTTGTCTTTTGACTGACAGGACTCTGTAGGGGTGTGTGTGTGAGTGGAAAAACTCGAACCATGTTTCTCCTCTGCTCTCACACCACACAACAGTCAACACAGGAGACTTCTGTGACCGAATTTGGGGGGGGGCTTTCCTCACACACCAAGCAGCAGTTATCAGCTGGGTGTCCTTGAATTCAGTTCCGACACTGTCCACTGGGAGGTAGCCTCAGATCCTACAGGTGGAGGGCTGAGTCCCCAAGACTGTCCTCCTCCACCCGCACCCATCACAAGTGTAGGTCTCCAGAACTTCTGACCGACTGGCTTCAAGTTGAGGTTCCCACCATCGCTTTTTGGGTTTGATTAATTTGCTAGAGCAGTTCACAGGACTTGGGGAAACACTTACTTTTGTTTACCAGTTTATCACAAAGGATATGTTAACAGAAAAACCAGACTCTGTAAAATATCTTAAAGAGGTTTATTCCAAGCCAGTATGAGTGACCATGGCCCTGAGAAAGCACGAGCCCAAGAAGCTGTGAGTAAATGGCCCAAGGCGGTCAGATTACAATTTGGGTTGATACGGTTGCCGTTGTGTCTGGCTGGGGCCATCGTTGTGGGTGGTAAAGGCCAAGACAGCTGCAGGTAAAGAAAGCCAGATTTATTAGAGAATGTATGAAGATAATGTTGCAAGGGTGCAGTGGCCAGCACAGCAGAGAAGGGGCTGTCGGGCAAGAGACGGGGGCAGGAGGGAAGTTTTATGGGTCATGCTGCTAGGGCTATGAGCAGAATGAGGTGTTTGGAAACAGGATGTCATGCCAGCAGGTTGTCTGTGATGAGCCATTTCTCAGAACAATTGTTCTGCCCTACGTGGGACCCCTTCCGCATTGTTACTTATCAGGACTCCACATATACATTTTTATTATTATTATTTTTTGAAACAGAGTTTTGTTCTTGTCCCCCTGGAGTACAATGGTGGATTACAATCCACCTGGAGTACAAGGCTGGAGTACAACGGTTCGATCTCAGCTCACCACAACCTCCGCCTCCCTGGTTCAAGCTATTCTCCTGCCTCAGCCTCCCGAGTAGCTGGGATTACAGGCACGTGCCACCACGCCCGTCTAATTTTGTATTTTTAGTAGAGATGAGGTTTCTCCATGTTGGTCAGGCTGGTCTCAAACTTCCGACCTTAGATGATCCACCCGGCTCAGCCTCCCAAAGTGTTGGGATTACAGGCGTAAGCCACTGTGCCCGGCCCTCCACATAAACATTTTAAGGAGACAGGAGTTACAGGAGAAGAAATAACCCAATACATAGAAGCTCGGCCTGAAAGGGCGGGATATCTTGAACTGAGGGGCTTACAAGTCATAGGTGTGTTTCAGGATTCTTTAGTTGGCAATTGGTTGAGAGAGTTAAGTTTTGTCTAAAGACCGAAAGTCACTTCAAAGGAATGCTTAAGTTAAGATAAGGGGTCTGCTGTCTGCCATGTGATGCTATACCAGAGTCAGGTTAGAAAGTAAGCCACATTATACCGGGTTAATTAAACAAAAACAAAAACAATTTAACCAGATTTTATTGTTCGTAGGTGTGACTTAACACTCCTTTGCATGGCTTTAGGTCTTGTTTATAATTTGGTATCTTATTACCACAAAGAATCTGTTCTATCTGTCTTATAATCTCGGTTTTAATATTAATGCTGGTCAGTTTTGCCTAAACTCTACAAGGGAAGGGCTGTAATGATGCGTGTCCCACCTCCCTTCCTGCTACAGCCAAGAACTCGGTTTTTCAGGTTTCTCTGAAGTCCCTTTGGCCAAGAGGGGGCCTGTTCAGTAGGTTGGGGGCTTAGGATTTTGTTCTTAGTTTACAGATATTTCAAAGCGCAAGCGCACAAATGAAGAGATGCATAGGGTGAGGTGTGGGGGGAATCGGGGGTACAGAGCTTCTGTGCCCTCCGTGGGGGTGCTACCTTCCAGGAACCTCCACAGTGTTCAGCCTTCCAGAAGCTCCCTGGACCCTGCCCTTTTGCGTTTTTCAGGAGGCTGCTTTACATAGGCCTGTTTGGCTATGGTGATCAACTTAACCATTGGCTATTGGTGATCAACTTAACCTTCAGCCCCTCTTCCCTCCCTGAAGGTTGGGGGGTGGGGCTGAATGCCCTGACCCTTGTATCATGCCTGGGGCTCTGTGGTGAGCAGCCCCCATCCTGCAGCTACCTTGGGGCTGCTGGTCATCAGTCAACTCATTAGCCTGTAAAAAGACATCCTCAGGAGACTCCACGTATTTTAGGCGGTGTACACCAGGAAACTGGGATGAAGACCAGAGAAGTGTTTCAGAGTGTCACTGTGTGGATGTGGAATATGCCTGGGCAGGAGGGAAGGCTTCGGTTTGCTTTTGGCATTCCATGGAGGAGACCCCTTGGGACGACCATTGCTGTGCAGTTTATTTCCCTGTGCTTTGCAAGCTTGAATTAAGGAAACTGTTAATACCTTGACACTTTTCATGTCATCAGAAATACTGTTATTGTCCACATTTCTACATACCTTGGAGGGTCTTTCCAAGGGCACAGTGGCTCACACCTGTAATCCTAGCACTTTGGGCGGCCAAGGTGGGTGGATCACTGGAGACCAGGAGTTTGAGACCAGCCTGGGCAACATAGTGAGACCCCATCTCTACTAAAAATACCAAAAAAATTACCCCCGGCATGGTGGCGTGCACCCTTAATCTCAGCTACTTGGGAGGCTGAGGCAGGAGAATCACTTGAACCCGGGAGGCAGAGGTTGTGGTGAGCCGAGATTGTACCACTGCACTCCAGCCTGGGTGATGGAGCCAGACTGTCTTAAGAAAAAAAAAAAAAAAAGAAATGTGAACAATAACAAATGGCTTTTTTTTTTTTTTTTTGAGATGGAGTCTTACTCTTTCACCTGGGCTGGAGTGCAGTGGCGCGATCTCAGTTTACTGAAATCTCCAACTCCTAGGTTGAAGTGATTCTCCTGCCTCACCCTCCCGAGTAGCTGGGATTACAGGTGTGCACCACCATACCATGTCTGGCTGAATTTTTTTTTTTTTTTTTTTTTTTTTTTTAGGGGAGATGGGGTTTCACCATGTTGGCCAGGCTGGTCTCGAACTCCTGACCTCAGGTGATCTGCCCGATTCAGCCTCCCGAAATGCTGGGATTACAGATGTGAGCCACCGTGCCCAGCCAACAAATAGCATGTTTGATGACATAATATCTTACCACAGCTCTAGAAGCTGAGGCCTGGCATCCCTAGTTGCAGGCTCAGGGGTCTGTCATGGGTTTGGTGTGGGGTGATGCTTGTATCCCTGGAGAGGAATCCTGCATCCACTGGTTTGAGTGGGGCACGTTTTTGAAGAGCCCTTTCTCCTTCGGTTTTGTGCCCCATTACTTCTTTTGACTACTTCTTTCTAGAAATTCTTTGTTCCCTTTGCTTCTACTACATGGAACTTTCCAAATTCTTCTGTTTCTTTGAAATCACATTCTATTTTCTTCCTTGTTTCCTTTTTCTCTTCTTAGCCCCAAACTATTAGATGTTCTCCAACACTTTATCCACAGAATCTGTATTTATGTTGAAAAACTCAGCTCCCCTACCTGTCTCCTTTATGTGGGTGGTTCTTGAAGTCACATCTGAGCCTGCAAGTTCCCCCAGGCTATGGTTCCTCACCTCCAGCTACACCAAGCTGACATCCTTTGGGGCCTCAAATTAAGCGTGTTTGAAATGAAACCTGTCATTTTGTCTCGAGCCATCATTCCTATATGACTCGCCTCTTTCCCTTAACGTCACTTTCACTCTTCACGTGAAATTCACGTCCTCAATGGCTTCTTTCTCTTCCTTTGCCTCTCTTGTCTATTTGGCTTCTAGGTCTTTCTGCCTGATCCCTAGAGCTGTTCATTCCTTCCCATGTTCACTGCTAAGATTTGGGGCTCATGTCTTTGTGGTTTTATGCGCATGGCCAGGCTCTCCTCCTGCTTCCTTGGTGTCCTGTGTGCTTGTATTTTAGAAATCTGCCTGTTTAGAAATGTTTAGTGGTTTTCTGGTTTCCCAGAGGGCCAGCTCCAGAAGCTGGCGTTTTTGGAGTCATCCATATACGGACTGGACTTTTCTCTCGTGCTCCTATGCTCTGACCCATCTAGCATAGCCAATGTGATTTCTTCCCAGTCCTCAGTGTTCTCTGCTTCCTGATATGATCTAGAACATTCTCTTTGTAGCCTCCTCTTTCTGTTTCCAAGTCCTGTCTGTTCTCAAGGCCTGGCTTTGGTCCCCATTACCCTATAAAGAATATCTTGCTCCTGCCACATGGCACATGGTATGCTGCTGTGATAGCAGGTCAGGTGTTGTCCTAGGGTCTAGCTATTTAATCCGTGTACTCTTGTTTAATCTTTCACAAGTGCCTGTCTTCTCCTGGAACTCTGGGTATAAACAGAACCTGGCATGCAGTCCATGTTCTAGCGATGCTTGTTGGATTGGAGTTGTGGAATTGCCAGCACAGTCTTGGGTCAGAAGTTGTGCTCCTCTCATCAGCCTTGGATTCCGGGTTAACAATCTTGTTTGTGTGTGTGTATGTTTCAGCTGCAGATCCCTAGTGTGAAGGGCTTCGATTTTGCTAAGCAGCATCTGGGTCAGCACAATAAAGACGACATATTGATTATTCATGAGCCAGCGCCACTGCCAGGACCTCTGAAGGACCACACCACGCCCTCGGAAAATGGAGACGTGCCAAGCCCCAAGTCAAAGATCCCTTCCAAGAATGTTCGTCACAGAGGAAGGTTATTATTGGGCTTTCTGTATTATTCTTTGTTGCAGAGCATGCTTCTGTTATCAGGCTGTGAGTTTCTGATGTCACAGGGGCTGATGGTGAGCGCAGCCCTGCATGTGCAGCCCAGCAGACTGATGACTTGCCCAAAGTCACACAGGAGCCCAAGAGTGTTTCCGAGCCACTCTCACGGGCTGCCAAAGAAGGCTGTGTGATTTCTTTCCCCACACGGTTGAAGATCATGAATCACTATCTGTGATGGTTTAGGGGTCCCCATCAGACTTGATTAGAGATTGACCAGCTCATGTGTATATATCCTGAGGGGAGCATGCTAGGCCTCATGGAGATAATATCAGAAATAACATAGAAGGAGTGCACAGCACATGGTACACGCTCAGCCTGTGTGGACTGCTGTGTCCATGCCTGGGATGCCAGCAGCTGCTGTGACTTCATTGCTTTGCCTGCAGGTGACCTTCATCACATCCTCCTGCGTTTGCTTTGTTTTTCTCTGGCTGCTTATGTATGTCACCTTTGTCAGGATATCACACAAGACTCTTCACCGCCTCCTCCCTGCCTCGCTCCCCATTCCCCCTCTCAAAGTATAGCACATGGAGAATTGCCTATTAGTTTTCCAGGCTACCTGGAAGCCCCTTCTCACCCTCTGACCCTGTGAGAAGGGCTGTAGCTCTGTGAAAGAAGACAGAGTTCAGAATCGGGTTTATTAAGTTGACTTTCCATCATCGCACCGTCAGGCTTTGGCTACTGAAGCCTCCTGTTGTCAGCCTTTCTTTGAGCTTTGGAACGCCAAATCCTGATTTCCTGCTAAGAGCAAAAAAAAGTGTGTGATCATATCAACATTTGAAACGATGTCATGACTTCTGTCTTATCAGGAAACCTACCCCAGGGGTTCTGGCCTAGTTATAAGAGTGTAATAGATGTCAGAACATGATCTTTACAAAAGAAAATGAGTTATGTAGAGAGATGCTATTTGATTAATTATTTTGCAGGCTAAGAATAAATGGAATCATTGAAGATTATTTAATATGCAAGTAAAATTTTGCAAAGTATTTTTTTTTTCTTGCCTGGTAGCCTTGTCATTGACATTTAGTCATGATAGCTCAATGGTCTGCATGGTTAATACAATGTTTTAGCATCTTTCTGGGCACCAGAATGTCTTGGCATTCCACATTGTCATTGAAGCCAGGGAGCCAACTGATGAAGGAATTTTCCCTGGTGCAAGCTGGGTGCCACAGTACTCTTGCTTTTTATATAAAGAATCAGATCTCAGTGTAAGCACCTTCCAAAGATCTGGAGTTATTTGGGGTGACTGCATAGCTACTCTAGCATCCTGAGGATTCTGCAGACCTAGTTAATCGTGAACCCCAGGTCCTGTTTGATCCAACTCATGCTAAACCCAGACTGCTGGTCCAGAAAAGACTAGGGGCCAGGGGCTGGGCCTTGAGCCCTGGTAACTGTGGGACCTTCCTCCTATCTGGCACTTAATTGTCTAGCATTTGTTGAAATGCAGCCTGCTGAGCCATTTAGTAAGCCGTGTTAATCTGTCTTCAGGAGGTGACTGTGGTGTTAATGTGATCCTTGAAGACGCTGTGCTATGGAATAATTTTTTGGACCGTTTCATTTCTGCTGGTTTTGCCTGGAAGCCTGACTTCCACACACAAATTAATGGGACTTTTTCCTTTTCATTCTTTCTTGTTTCTAATGTTTGCAATTCATTTTGTGTCTGCAGAGTTTCTCCCTCAGATGCTGACTCTACGGTCAGTGAAGAGTCCAGCGAGAGGGACGCAGGAGATAAGACGCCGGGAGCCGTCAACGATGGCAGGTCCCACAGAGCTCCGCAGAGCGGTCTGTGACTCTTCTGGTTCTTCCCATTAAAAGTAGTCCCTATGAGAGTCCAAAGGCTGGGGCCTTACAGTATTTCAAATGCTAAACCCTTAAAAAAGAAATCTGGGAAATGGAAAATTCATCATTCCTGTGGTTTCTTAGCACCAGTTGTCACCATCTAACGTGGTATTGGTGTCTGCTTTGGGGCCAGGGATTCACTGGGGTACGTCTTAAGGTTAATAGCCTCGCTTCACTCTAGTTAAGAGTCCTCACGATTTGCCTGCCCAGAGGTCAAGGAGGAAGCACACTGAAACCAGAGTCTCAAAAACTGCCCCCAGGATTCAATAGCTTTCTTAGGAACCAATTCCAGGATTCACAACTGTCAGTCAGAAAGTTGTTTGTTTATCATAGGCCCAAGTCAATTATGTTAAGTTCTGTTCCTAGATCTTTCTTCCACCAGGTGGTTTAGTGTGATCAGATGGTTTAGCATGTTTACTTTGGGAGTCACAGACAGCTTCACAGGCCAGGTATAAAATGAACTTCACTCCTGTTCTAAAGGGTATGACTGTTAAGGCTGATGCACTGTAATAAAGTGAGACCCACAAGTCTTTAGACTTGGGAGCATTTTTTTGGAGTGATAGCAAGGTAGCTTGTTTTTAGTGTAACAGGTTGTATTAAATAGATGTGCTACTGCAGCTGTTGTATTTGCTGGAGGTTTATTTTTATTTAAGGATTGAATTTCAGTAATGCAAAGATCATTGGGAGGCCTCAGAATATTATTATTACTATTTTTTTTTGAGACAGGGTCTTGCTCTATCACTGAGGCTGGAGTGCAGTGGCACAGTCCCGGCTCACTGCAGCCTCGACCTCTCAGGCTCAGGCGATCCTCCCACCTCAGTCTCCTTAGTAGCTGGGATTACAGGCCTCTGCCATCACACCTGGCTAATTTTTGTATATTCTTGTAGAGACAAGGTTTCACCGTGTTGCTCAGGCTGGTCTTGAACTCCTTGACTCAAGCGATCCATCCGCCTCGCCTTCCCAAAGTGCTGGGATTATAGGCATGAGCCACCACGCCCGGCCAGGATATTATTTTTAATAGGAATTTTTATACTTACAGTTTTTAATCATAAATTTCTCTGTATGGAAATGCAGTGCAGAGTGAACTGTATTCTAGAAATGAACAGACTGGACAGAAGCCCAGGGGCCTCTCCTCTCACTGACACGCTTGTGGCCTCGCGGGTGGCTCAGCCTTTGAGGCTCCTGTGGGGCTGCCCTAGCCTGTCCTTGTCTCCTCTCACTGACACGCTTGTGGCCTCGCGGGTTGCTCAGCCTTCAAGGCTCCTGTGGGGCTGCACTAGCTGGTCCTTGAAGTTCCTTCCAGCTCCTTCCACTTGGTTCTTTTGTAATGTTAAGGACATCCCCTTAGAAAAAGGGAAGAGTTTTTTCTTTGGATGTGGTTTTTCAAAATCTTAAAAATTATTTAGCACCATGGTAACCGATACTGTTTCAGATAGACAGGATTAGAATCTCGTTTTGATCCTTGGAAAGAAATATTTGGGGGGGCGTGGAAAGAGCTCTGGATTTTTCCAAGTTCTGTTCATTGCTTATCTGAGAAAACCTTACTTTCAGTGCCTGCATTTAATGCCTTCTGATGGTATTACAGCCAGTATATTCTATAAGAATAACAAAAATCAAACACCACTCTCAACATAGGCTCAGAATCCAGGTAGTAAGCATCACAGCTCTGGGACCGAGAGCTTGAATGTGAAGGAAAGAAGCGAATTAGATGATTTTGTGAATATTAGAAGCTCAGATGCTGCTGTTACAATTTGAAGAGATAGCAGAATCTGTACATTATTTTCATGTTGTAGAAAGATAGTTTTCTCACTATAAATATCAATTTACTTTTAGAACTTTACTTCTTGAAAGGTGCCATTAGATAGCTTTAATGCTGCTGTGTAGGTATTTTATTGCTTGCATAGAAAATTAAATATCCTATTTTAAAATATTCTGAGTTTTTCTCCTAGCTTTCAGTTATTTTATTTTTTAAAATTTTTTGCTTTTTGAGACAGAGTCTCTTCCTGTTGCCTAGGCTGTAGGGCAGTGGTGCTATCTTGGCTCACTGCAACCTCTGCCTCCCAGGCTCAAACGATTCTCATGACTCAGCCTCCCGAGTAGCTGGGATTACAGACGTATACCACCACACCTGGCCAATTTTTGTATTTTTAGTAGAAATGGGGTTTTGCCATGTTGGCCAGGCTGGTCTTGAACTCCTGGCCTTATGTGATCTGCCCACCTCGGCCTCCCAAAGTGCTGGGATTACAGGCGTGAGCCACCATGTTCGGCCTGTTTTATAATTCACATAAAAATATTTCTTTTGTTGAAAGTCGTAATGAAGTAAAAATTAATGGAGGTGGGGAGCGGGGAGGGAGGCTGCTTGAGATCCATTATGGAGCCCTCTTCCATGTTGCCATGGGACCAGCGTTCCCTCTCACTCCTGCGGGTGGTACAGCTACCGGCTCTCTTTAGGCTTCTTGGCAAGGCTGTTGACGACTGTCCCAGGTCATGTGGCATATTAAGGACCCACCTTGCAATGGAAGCTGAGAGAACACTGTTGTTTCAGTTTTGGTAAATTGGAGGTTGTGCTTTATTCCTTTTCCAGCTGACTGTTTTTGGAAGGTGACTAGGCCCTGACACATACCCTCATGGCCATCCATGAACCCTTAAGAGATTATTTACTCAGATGTCACTGTGTTCCCAGCTATTCTAGCTTTAAAATAACTCAAATCATAACCACTGGATCCCCTTAGTGAAGATGTGAAGGGAGAGATGAGGCAGGAGATGGGCTGCCATTGCTGCGTCTGTGCATAATTGTAGTTTTTCTCTCGCTCCCCTTTATCATCAGGAATATACCAAGTAGGTAAGGATTGCAAAATACTCAGCATTCTTTTATGCTCTCCTTAGATTGCATGTGTGCAAGTGTGTGATTTTTAAGTAGTTAAAACTTCATTTGAATTCCACAAATTCCAAATTCTAGAATTTCATGTGCAAACCAAGCTGACACTGACTTTTGCATGTGCTAAGGAGCTTGCAGTGCTCGCTTCAGCAGCATATAGACTAAAATTGAAAGGCAACAAAGAAGATGAGCGTGGCCCCTGTGCAAGGATGACATGCATATTGGGGAAGCATTCCATATTTTAAAAAAATTAAAAGAGTTTGCAAAATAGTTTAAATGAGATTGAGTACATATAACAATGAAGTTTTTCAAGTAATTTTGGAGTACTGTACCATTTATAAAATGATTGAGATCATAAAGTAGAATTCTTATCTTTTCATGAAGGCAGATTCCTAGAGACCTTTTCAAGGTAAAATTTTATAAACATAGTGGAGATGACTGTAGTCATTGAGTCATCCGTTTAGCAAATGCTTGCTAAGTGCCTGTGGTCAGGTGCTGGTGATATACAATGAAGATGAGATAAATGTGATTGCTGTCTCACAGGATGTTAACGTGGGTTGCGCACATTAGTAAAGATGTGGTTTTCCAGCCTGGGCTACGTAGCGAGACTCTGACTCTACAAAAAAAAAAACAGAAAAAATTAGCCAGGCCTGGTGGTGTGTGCCTGTGGTCCCAGCTACTGAAGAGGCTGAGGTGGGAGGATCGCTTGAGCCTGGGAGGTCGAGGCTGCAGTGATCTGTGATTGCATCACCACACTCCAGTCTGGGTGACAGAGCGAGACCCTGTCTCGGGGGACAAAAAAAGTGGTTTGACTGTGTTTACTTGTAGATAATGAAATAATATTTCTTTAAAAATGCTCTCTTGCTTTGTCATTTTAGTAATTCAGGCTGAACTATTCTCTTTCATTCTGCTTTGTTGACATTATCCTGTTCTATACAATCCCATATGCTGTAATTTTTTATTTTTTATTTTTTTGCTTACCCAGTCTCGAGTGCAGTGGCACAATCACAGCTCACTGCAGCCTTGACCTCCTGGGCTCAAGCAGTCCTCTCACCTCAGCCTCCTGAGTAGCTGGGACTACAGGAGCATACCACGCCCAGCTAACTTTTTATTTACTTTTTGTAGAGACGAGGTCTTGCCATGTTGCCCAGGCTGGTTTTGAACTCCTGGGCTCAAGCGATCCTCCTGCCTTAGCCTTCCAAAGTGCTGGGATTATAGGCATGAGCCACTATGCCCAGCGTTTTTCTTTCTTTTTAAGATTTTTATTTGTATTTTAACTGATGGTAAGAAAACATATAAATTTATGGTGTACAACATGATGTGTTTTTTGCTTTTATTATTTTTAGTTGATACATAATACTTGCAAATATTTATGGGGGACATTGTGATATTTCCATGTATGAATATACTGTGTGATGATCAAATCAGGGTAATTAGCATATCTGTCACCACAGACAAAGTTATCATTACTTTGCCTTGGGAACATTCAAAATATGCTCTTCAAGCTAATTGAAAATATGCAATAAATTATTAGAGTTACCCTACAGTGCCTACAGGTGCTCAACCCATTCCTCCTCTCTAGCTGTGCACTTTTATTTTTATTTTTTTGAGACACGGTCTCACTCTGTTGCCCAGGCTGGGGTGCAGTGGTGCAGTCATGGCTCACTGCAGCCTTGACCTTCCAGGCACAGGTGATCATCTCTTCTCAGCCTCCCGAGTAGCTGGGCCTACAGGTGTACACCACCACGCCGGGTTATTTTTTGTAGAGATGGGGTTACGCCATGTTGCCTAGGCTGGTCTAGAACTCCTGGGCTCAAGTTACCCTCCCGCCTCAGCCTATCAAAGTGCTGGGATTACAGGCGAGAGCCACCATGTCCAGCCTCTAGTTGTGCTTTTGTATCTGTTAACCAGCTTTTGTCTATGTCCCTCCTCTTCCCTTCCCAGCCTCAAGTAACCTCTAGTCTACTCTCCACTTCTAGATCAACTTTCCAGCTTCCACATATGAGTGAGAACAGTGCAGTGTTTATCCTTCTGTGCCTGGCCTATTTTACTTAATGTCATCCAAGCTCAGCCATATTGCTGCAAATGGCAGGATTTCCTTCTTTCTTGTGGCTAAATGATGATGTTTTGATATGTGTATGCATTGTGAAATGGCTAAATCAAGCTATTTAACATATACATTACCTCACATACTTATTTTTTGTGATAACACTTAAAATCTACTCTCTTACCTGTTTTCAAGTATACAATATATTGTTATTGATTATAGTTACCATGAGGTACAATAGGTATCTTGACTCTATAGTAAAATTTATATCATTACTTTTAAAAAATAATTGAAGAGAAAGGGGTTTTAATCCCAAGTTCCTACTAGCCTTAAGGCAGGATTCACACAGCATTAATCTCTGTGTGTCCATTGTGCTTTGTACTAATCATTATTACCCAGGGAGCTTTTTTAGAAAAATTGTGCAATGCATAGCAAACAATAATATATATTATATAATTATATTTATTAATATATGATATAGAAGTATGTAATATATAATTACTAATAGTAATATATTACTAATTACTAATTATATATTACATATACAGTTCTATAAACAAAAATATATACTAATATATAATATGTGTGATATAATTATATAATATATATGTGTGATATATATTATATGTATATGTAAAAAAATTTAAAGCCCCTCTTTTCAGCCATGTTGAAGGACTGGCTTCTGGGCAGTATGGAAGCTGGAAGATTTTCTGCACCTCTTATTTCCTCTCCTCCGCTTGGTCCCTCAGCTCTGTAGAGTGGCCCAGGGTTTGTGCATCCCCTCCTCTGGTTGCAGTCTGTGAACAGTTCAGCGAGGGTGAAGCAAGGGCCGTGACTACAGTGGGAGGGGGTGAGCCGGGCTCTGGACAGGAGCCCAGTCTTAGGCTGCTGCTCCAGTGGTACCCAGGCAGGGCTGACAGCCCAGTAGGGAGGGGCCTTTTTTTTTTTTTTTTTTTAATGCCTGTCACCTTTGTCTCCCAGCAACCCAGAAGTCTCTGCCACCCTGGAGGAAAGTGATCCCACTTCTAGGTATCAGTAGCTTAATGGGCTACCCTCTGTGACATTTATTGTTACTCTATAAGTCTGGGTTAAGCAGGGCTAGCCTGTCTGGAGAAGCTCATGATCTCCTTTTAGGCATTATGCCTGCAACTTGAGTAGCTGCCACCGATGAATGGTGGTGCCTGGCTGTGCTTCCATTGCACAAATGCACAAATAGTCAGGTTCCTTCTAGGTATGGGGCCAAGAAAGAAAGCTTGAGCATAGCTGGAGTCCAGACAATGGTGTCCTCTGGCTCAGACAGACATCATTCATTCAGAATCAGCCAAATGACTTCTGATTGCTTGGGATAATGAATGTAATTCAAATTGAGAGAAAATACAGATTTACATAGCAATGCTGTGCTTTCCTTATATGAAACATCAACTACTGCTTCTTACTGCTTTGCTCATCTATGTTTTTTACACCGAGGAGAGACCTTTGTGTTTTTCACTTATGCTTTGAAGTTTCAAATGTTAGGCTTTTGTTTAGAAGCACTTTCTGCATGTGCGTATTCCCTCTGTCAGCCTGCTGGCCATTTATTTGAAAGCAACATCCAGAAGTGACTGGCTGATTAGAAGAAGGGCATCAGTTGATCTTTTTTTGGCGGGGGTTGGGGGACAGGGTCTCACTCTGTCACCCAGGCTGGAATGTAGAGACATGATCTCGGCTCACTGCACCCTCTACCTCCTGGGCTTAAGGGATCCTCCCACCTCAGCCTTCTGAGTGACTAGGACTACAGGCATGTGCCACCACGCCCAACTAATTAAAAAAAATTGTAGAGACAAGGTCTTAACTATGTTGCCCAGGCTGGTCTCAAACTCCTGGGCTCAAGCAATCCTCTTGCCTCAGCCTCTCAAAGTGCTGGGATGACAGGCATGAGCCATTGTGCCTGGCCAGTTGATCTTCTTAAGTGTGAGTAACTAGCTCTTTCTACTCAGCCCGTCTTCATTTTTCTCTTTCTCTTTTTTCAAAATTAAAGTGTATTGGGATTATCTCTACTGTAAAAATAATACTTATTACAGAAAATCCTCATTATCAAAAATAAAAGACATGGGGAAAAATCACCCATCATGTGAAGATTCAGTCTCTGTTAATATTTTTAAGTGTTTCTTTTCTGTCTTTTTTTTTGTGCATTTGAATTTCTTTTTTTTTTTTTTCACAGTTCTGATTAGTTTTTAAGAAAATTATTGTGGTTGAATATACATGGCCTAAAATTTGCCATGTAACCATTTATACATGTACTCTTCAACTGTTTTTAAAGTAGGAACTAGCGCCGGGCCCGGTGGCTCCTGCCTGTAATCCCAGCACTTTGGGAGGCCGAGGCAGGTGGATCACTTGAGGTCAGGAGTTCAAGACCAACTTGGACAATATCGTGAAACCTTGTCTCTACTAAAAGTATTAATACAAAAGTTAGCTAGGCATGGTGGCATGCTCCTGTAATTCCAGCTACTCAGGAGGCTGAGGCAGGAGAATCACTATCCAGCCTAGGCGAGAGAGTGAGACTCCGTCTCAAAAAAATAAAAAATAAATTAAAAAAATAAATAAAGTAGGAACTAATTCCCTGCAAGCAACAGGTTTTTTCTTCTCATGTGTCTTCAACTTCGTTTTCTTTCCACATCAGAACTGAAAAGTCAGAAGTGTGGTCACTGTTAACTGGTACCTGCCTGCACGTACTGGTCTTCTGTTTTCTCTGTAGTACGACATTGCCTTGGCAGCTGAATTTGTATCACTCCAGCGAGCTCCCTGCCAGATGGTAGCAATAGTTCAGAGCCGCTATAAATGTGTTTTCTGAGAGTTCTGTGAATGGCTTATTGACTACTGAGCAACTTCAGGCTCCTTCTGTCCTATATTCTTTCTGAATGAAGATTTTGAACCACAGACAAAACAGTGCAGTTTTTCACACAGTATCATAATGATTTCCTCACGTCTCTTCTTAGGGTACTTGTAATTTTTAATGAAGTTAGAGGATACAGTATATAGCCCAGACTATTTAAGCTCAGAGAGTGAAATTGTAAACACTCTGCTACTGCAGTGGGGATGTATTTTTGGTCAGAGGCCCATCCAAAGATTCTTTAAAGAATAATTCACAATTTTGATTAGTTGCTGTTTCTTTAGATGACTTCGTGTATGTGTTTTGCTTTTCCTTCTGTTCCAGGGCCACCACTGCCCAGTTCGGGAAATGAGCAGCACTCATCAGCCTCCATCTTCGAGCACGTGGACAGGATCTCCCGCCCCCCGGAGGCTAGCCGGCGGGTCCCCAGTAAGATCCAGCTTATCGCCATGCAGCCGATCCCGGCACCTCCCGTCCAGCGCCCCTCCCCAGCCGACCGAGTGGCGGAAAGCAATAAAATCAACAAAGAGGTATTTGCTTTTATTTAAAAGTCTGTTACTTAAAAAACTCGGCTAAGCCCGGTGGCTTATGCCTGTAATCCCAGCACTTGGGGGGGCCAAGGCAGGCAGATCGCCTGAGGTCGGGAGTTTGAGACCAGCCTGGCCAACATGGTGAAACGCCATCTCTACTAAAAATACAAAATTAGCTGGGCGTGGTGGCGGGTTCCTGTAATCCCAGCTGCTCAGGAGGCTGAGGCAGGAGAATCACTTGAACCCGGGAGGGGGAGTTTGCACTGAGCCGGGATCTCGCCACTGCACTCCAGCCTGGTTGACAGAGTGAGACTCCATCTCAAAACAAAAACAAAAACAAAAAAAACTCACACACTTATTGGGTCTGTGTTTGAAAATGAGTGCAAGGTACAGTGTCAACTAGTTACTGAAGGCATAAGCTGCTGACAAGGATTCTTAATGTAAAACATCACGCTTGTTGGAGATCAGATACTGTGCATGGACACTCTGGGGCGCATTGGCAGACATGCAGAAAAGTGTTAGTGCGGCCGACCAGGGGCTGCCCTCCTCAGAAAGAGCCACTTCAGCTTCTGATCCTCCTCACGCTTCAACGCAGTTCAGGTTTCCGTCTTTGGGGATACCACTCTGGGGGCAGGGGGTCTCATGTCAGGTAACTTGTTTTGGTGACACTAGGTAATTATCCTCTTTATATCTGTCAGTCCTATTTATTAAAGATCTCTAAAGGAGGAAAATATTCTTTTCTGGTTATCAGATGTCTCTTTAAAGTTGTCATTGGCCGATTTCCAAGGTTCGAGTGACTTTTTTTCCCTGCTTTGGGGGATGGTGACAAGACTCCAGTGCACCACACAGTGCTTGAGGGTAAAGCTCGTGGGATGGCAGGGTCTCTGCTCCTCCCTGGTCTGTGCCTGTCGCTCTCTCGGTGACTCCGTGGAGCTTACAGACAGCAAGTTAAGTGTGGGCCAGAGGAGAGGAGCATAGCAGGAAGGCGCTCCTAGAAGGCTTTGCTGGCTGGGCATGGTGGCTCACACCTGTAATCCCAGCACTTTGGGAGCTTGATGTGGGCGTATCATTTCAGGTCAGGAGTTCGAGACCAGCCTGGCCAACATAGAGAAACCCCATCTCTACTAAAAGTACAAAAAATGAACTGGGCATGATGGTGCGTGTCTGTAATCCCAGCTACTCGGCAGGCTGAGACAGGAGAATCACTTGAACCCGGGAAGTGGAGGTTGCAGCGAGCTGAGATCATGCCATTGCACTCCAGCCTGGGCAACAGAGTGAGACTCTGTCTCAAATAAATAAATAAACATAAAAATAAATAAAGACTTTGCGAAGTGTGTGTCCCAGAAGCTTCCCGGGACCTCTATGGCTGTCTTTCTCTCCCTCACCCTTCCTCAGATTCAGACCGCGCTGCGGCACAAGTCTGAGATCGAGCACCATCGCAACAAGATCCGCCTGCGCGCCAAGCGCCGCGGGCACTACGAGTTCCCGGTGGTAGACGACCTGTCCTCGGGCGACACTAAGGAGCGACACCGGGTGTACCGCAGGGCACAGATGCAGATCGACAAGATCCTGGACCCCACGGCCAGCGTGCCCTCCGTGTTCATAGAGCCCAGGAAGAGGTGGGCTGGGGCTCTGCGCTAGGCGGTGGGGCGGGCGCGCAGAGGTGCTGCGGGGGGCACAGGAGCAGGACAGGAGCCCCTCTGCTACTGCAGGGCCTGTGACAGAAGGACCCCATCCGTGTTCACGTGGAGGTCTCTGAAGACAGTTGAAGGGGCTCATGCACAGAAGGATGTGGAGGCCACTCGGAAGGCTTACCCTGGCTGAGGGTCACCTTAGTGTGGGAGGCGTTGGCTTTGTTCTCAACTCTGCCCCTCTGCCTGCCTCGGGGCATTTCCTGGGGCTTAATCTGTCTCTTCCAATTCAGCCTGTCTAAAACTGCACTCACCCTTTCCTTCCCACACTGGCTCCTTCTGTGGTGTCCTTGGCTCTTCCTCACCTCCCACTCTGTCACCTCCAATATTTTCATCTCCCGGAGCCACCCAGGCTGGCACCCAGCAGATCTTCGTTGGTTTTCTCACAGCTGCCTGCAGGGTCTGGGGTCTTACCTTCCCCTGGTCTCCCAGACTCCCGTCCCCGACATAGATGCGTTTTCCTTAAACACGGCTCTCATGTATGTCTTTCTCTACTCAAAACCTGAGGTGGCTCTTATTGCCTGCCAGGTGGGTCCTGTGCTCCCGTCGCAGGCCGGCCCTGCCCCTCCACTCCAGCTCTTTTTCACGGGTCAGCCACACGGACAGAACTGCCACCCAGGAGACGGCCTGGTAGCCCCTGAACATTCACCTGCCTGCCGTTTCTGCCCCTGGCACCTGCTTCCCACATCCTCCCTGGCTTCAGGTCCCATTCACTCTTCAAGACCTAGTTCTGGGCCAGGCGTGGTGGCTCACGCCTATAATTCCAGCACTTTGGGAGGCCAAGGCAGGCGGATCACGAGGTCAGGAGTTAGAAGTTCAACACCAGCCTGGCCAATATGGTGAAACCCCGTCTCTACTAAAGATACAAAAATTAATTGGGCGTGGTGGCAGGCGCCTGTAATCCCAGCTACTCAGGAGGCTGAGGCAGGAGAATTGTTTCAACCTGGGAAGTGGAGGTTGCAGTGAGCCGAGATCACGCCATTGCACTCCACCCTGGGCGACGGTATGAGACTACATCTCAAAAAAAGAATAATAAAATAAAAAAGACCTAGTTCTAGCCCCATGGGACTAATAGCTCCCACTGACTTCTTTTCTGAATGTCATGATTACAAATGGCTTTATATCATTCTGTGTTGCTTCATGTGGGTTAATAGGTCTGTTTAGGTATGCTCTGAGCTTCCTTAGAGCAGAGACTGTCTCGTACATGGCGTTTATATCCTATGGGGTGTTTCCAGGGGTAGCACATCCTAGGTACTCAGGGTACTTAGTGTTTAGTTGGTAAGTCAGTGGCAAAAAGGGTGATTTCCTACGAAGATAATTTCTCTTTTTCCTGGCAGCTCACGGATAAAACGTTCTCCCAAGCCTCGCCGGAAACACCAGGTCAACGGCTGTCCTGCCGACGCTGAGAAGGACCGGCTCATCACCACAGACAGCGATGGCACCTACAGGAGGCCCCCCGGCGTCCACAACTCAGCCTACATCGGATGCCCAGTGCGTGCCACCGACTCCAGTTTCTGGAACTCGGGTGGGGCGGCTCCTAGAAAGATGCGCTGAAAGGGGAGGAGAAGCAGCAGCACTGGCTGCCGCCCTGTGTGGTATCAGTGCCTGATGCCTGATGGCTGATGCACCAGGGCCCTCTAGGTCATGAAGTGGGTGGGGTGGGGTGCCACCCCTTCTGAGGGGAGACTTGAGTGCTGTCAGCCAGGGTGCTGCCGAGTGCCACCTCTGGAAACACACTCCGTGTTTTTCCTCTCTATACGTAAGCCCCGTTCTCTCAGACTTCACAGTGGGACTTTTTTCGAGGTTAACTGGAAAACAGAGAGAGAGAGAAATATCCTCAAGGTTTTTTTCCTTCTCCCTAGTCAGAGGGTTATTTGGTTTTGTTGTTTATTTTTATTATTTTTTTTTTTTGGGACAGGGTCTTACTCTGTTGCCCAGGCTGGAGTGCAGTGGTGTGATCCAGGCTCACTGTAGCCTCAGCCTCCTGGGCTCAAGTAATTTTCCCACCTCAGTCTGCTGAGTAGCTAGGACCATAGGCATATGCCACCATGCCCAGCTAATTTTAAAAATTTTTGTAGAGATGGGGTCTCAGCATGTTGCCCAGGCTGGTCTCAAACTCCTGACCTCAAGTGATCCTCCCGCCTTGGCCTCCCACAGTGCTAGGATTACAGGTATGAGGGCATGACCCTGTGATCAAGAGTCTCATACTCTACTGACTGAGCTAGCCTGGCTGGGTTTCCTAATGAGAGGAGGGATATTTAGGGTTTTATTTCCCTGTACTGTCCTTGGAGTGCTAAGAAGATAGCGTATTTGCTTATATATATTTTGCTTTTATGGGAGAAAGAGGTTAATGGAAATTAAGAAATAATGAGTGGTGGCTCAGACCTGTAATGCCAGCACTTTGGGAGGCTGAGGTGGATGGATCGCTTGAGCCCAGGTGTTGGAGACCAGCCTGGGCAATATAGCGAAACCCCGTCTCTCCAAAAAATACAGAAATTAGCCAGGCGTGGTGGTGCATGCCTGTAATCCCAGCTACTTGGGAGGCTGAGGTGGGAGAATCGCTTCAGCCCAGGAGGTCGAGGCTGCAGTGAGCTTTGATCGCACCACTGCACTCCAGCCTGGGTGACAGAGCAAAACCCTGTCTCTAAATAAATAAATAAGGGATTATTTTTTTCCAAAGTAAAAGAGGTCCAGACAGATTTGCTTGAAGTGTTAAAGGCAGTTATTGATAGCGTAAGATGCATACACACAGACTGCATTGAGTAGGGGAGAGAGAACCAGCCTCACTTAACCCATGAGAAATACAGACACAAAGATACCCGAAGACAGAGAGGGCGAGCCAGGTGCCGCTAACTCCGGCAGCACTGGGAAACACAGGGCGTCCTAAACTCCATACCAGGAGAGCCCTGCCTTGCTGCAGCAGGCCCCTTTCACCTCCTGGAGGCACTCACAGAGCCAGCCTGGTTTAGAGACACGTTAGCAAAAAGCACAGCCTTTGAGAAGGGATTTGCGATGGATGTGATCGCTTTAGATAGACCTTATGCAACCAGCCATTTCTTAGTTGAGGTTTGTATTTTTCTCCTAAATTATATAAATAACAAGCACTTAAATAGGCTAAATATAATTACACAAATGTGCAAACATTATACTGGGATGGGGCCTAAATACAACTGAATTATGATCATCTGAAAGAATGAGACTTTTCCTTAGGAACTTACGGTATTTCTAGGGTCTTAAAGACCGACCTTCTTGATCTACTCATGGGGATCAGTGCGATTTCAGAGTTAGGCTGTCTGTAAATGAAACTACTGTCTTCCTCAGTACGAGGAATTGAGTAGTTCCTGTTACTTTCTAAATGTGGTGCATGGCTGCTCTTACAGTAGGTGGTGCTCTTGTGCTGTGTTGGGTTCTGGGGGTATTTGGGCATCTGTGGGGTTTGGCTTGATCTGGGGAGGGCTCCCCAGGGTTGTCACCCGGAGCTTTTGTAAACTGTGCCAAGTGGAGACTTGCTGTGGTGTGAAACAGATAGAAGGGGCAGCATCCCTTCTTGTCCCTTCACTTCTCCAGCCAACCTGGGCTCCTCTCTCAAAGGAATTTGTGGGGAACCCTCTCAGTCCCCCTCTCTTTGATTTTTTTAAATGATTGAGTTTTGTATGGGGAGGAACCTGTCTTCTCCTGGCTGTCTTCATTTGCCTGCTTCAGTGACTCTAGATCAGCCTTCTTTTGCGGTAGCTTTGCAGCATCGTTTTCTTCCTTTTTTCCTTAGCAGAGAGTGCAGGGATTCCTCCTCCTGTGGGTGCAGAGCAGCCTCTTCCTGGAAGACACCACCCCAGAGGCTGCTTGCCTTCAGTGGCTCCTTTTTTAAAAGATTGCCCCAAAATAAAAATCTTCCTCAGATTTTGAATTCTGAAACACTTTAAAAGATAATGCCTGTCTCAGAACTCATCTTTTCTTAGGTAGTTTATCTTTTTTTCCCTCAACTTGTATTTTAGAATCAGTGGTACATGTACAGGGTTTTTTTTTTTCATCTTCAAGCCTATACTAGGGAAGTACTATGTGTTTTTGAATTACCTTGAATTTTCCACTTTCCCCTCAAAAATATCTTCTCCTTGAGCGGTGTGTTCTCCTAAGGCCAAGAGAAATATTCCTTGGTTCCTTGTAATAAGGGTGACCATTATAATTCAGGCCTTGGTAGAAATCCAGCCAGCTGCTTGTTCTTGTAAGTAACTTTTTTTTTTTGAGACACTCCAGCTCTGTTGCCCAGGCTGGAGTGCAGTGGTGCAATCACGGCTCACTGCAGCTTCAACCTCCCCAAGCTCAGGTGATCCTCCCACCTAAGCCTCCCAAGTAGCTGGGATTACAGGCACATGCCACCTTGCCTGGCTAATTTTTGTATTTTTAGTAGAGATGGGCTTTCACCTTGTTGCCTAGGCTGGTCTCAGACTCCTGGGCTCAGCGATCCTCCTGCCTTGGCCTCCCACATTTCTGGGATTATAGACATGAGCCACCAAACCTGGCCTAAATAGAGTTTTATTGCAACACAACCGCACCCATTTGTTGGCTTGATATCAATGACTGTTTTTGCTGCAAGGCAGAGTTGAGTGGTTGTGACAGACTATATGACTCATAAAACCTAAAGTCTTTACTGTCTGGCCCTTTACAGAAAAAGTTTGATGTAATTTGTCATCCAATCCAGACACTTTTGGAAGTGTAAGGGGGTGTTCTATTAATAATGACCGTGGGACAACAGGCATAAACTGAGGTTGTCCTGGACAACCAGGCTGTCTGGTCACCCTCTTGCAACACCCACAAAGGACTGCTAAATAGGCACCAAAATCCGTAAACAGTGAAAAGATGTACATTTATTTCTGAAGACTGATAAACTGTATCTGAACACATCTATGTGTGAAACATCTATAGTCTAAATATAGATGGTAGAATATAGGAAATTGAGTAAATCCTCTTCTTGGCCTGCAAGTTCTGATAGTCTCGCCTGCAAAATGAGGAGAAAACAAGAAGGTGAAGGACAGGAAGAGGAAGTGTCCTGGCCCAGGAGCTCCTGGCCTTCTGGCAGGATTCACGGGGGCCATTGGGAATCCAAGGGGACTGTCCTTCCCATCTGCAGATCATCTCTCTCGGTATAGAAGTTTAGCCTTCTCTGAAATTCTGGCCACTGAGAATGAGATTGGCAGTGGTTATAGCCGCTGGGGACTCTGCTCAAATGTCTGAGATCGTTTCCCACAGTGGAATCTCAGTTTGTGCCTGCAGTTTTTTGTGTCACCACACTACTTGCTTCCTTGCAGTAGAGTCACATACGCAGCCACCGGAATCACCGCCAGGAACATCGCTTCTGTTTCTGGAGAAACCCTTTTACCAGTGGGCTGTTCTTCCAGACACACCCTCCCTTCTTTCCACCCGTGAGCTCTAGGTTGGTGGTACACTGCCGACCAGGCTTCCTCATCTGCTCCTCAAGAAAATCAAGAATTGGAGAAGGGCATGACTGTGGACCTTTATCCACCTCACAAGGAAAGGAGCACAGGTTCCTTCCAAGGTGACATCATCAACTAGAGGCCACCTTGGGGCCCCAGATTCTCAATTAGGATTCCTCAGTGACAAATCTCATTTAGTAGAACCTCCAGTGGGATGTTGCAGTTGGGAGAAATGGACTCATAAGCCCAAGAGTGTCATGTGCAAGAGAGGGAGGTCGCCAGTGGGGACTGCCGTGGAGAGAAGAGCACCTACCCCATCCCACGAGGGCAGTCGCTGCTTCACGGCAGTTGGTGGTTTCTGTGTTGCGTGAGGGCCTGGTCATGCCAGAGCTTCAGACTCTGCCAAGAGAACCCAGAAATCTGAGTGTTACTATGAAATTTTCAGATGTTTAAAATAATGGCTATCAATTAAAAGAGTGTGTAGGCCAAGCAAAACCTGTCCGTGGGTTGACTGTGGGGTTACTAGTTTTGTATGGTCCTCTCTCAGTTTGGAGTTAAGAACCTACTGCCCTTCACGCTGGCAGGAATAATAACTGATCACCCGTTAGAAGCATTTTTCAGATAGGGGGCTAAGTTTAAGGATGTGTCTGTAGAGTAGTTTGTCTTTGTAATAGACTCACTGATCCAGATGGGTAACGGAATGTCTTCGTTGGCCCCTTTAAGTATGGTGATCCAACTAGCTGGGCTAAACTGCAGGCACGTGGCAAGTGAAGCATTCTAGATAGAAGCCGCCCACCCTTCCTCACAGAGGGTATGGGGTCCCCAGCCCCTCGGGCAGAACCTTTTCTCTCTTCACTGTGTCTGCTGCAGTCACCATGCTGTTTGGGCTCATGGAGCCTGTAAGACCAGAAAGGATGACTCTTCTTCGTTGGTTCCTGGTTTTGTCTCTTAACAGTTTACCTGGTGTATATTATGACCGTGTTTTGCTCATAACAGTATTGGGAAATGAGATTTAAAAAATCTTTATTGTTACTTATATTTCTACCTCTTAAGCAGTAGGTATAGAACACAATTTGAACCTTTGCGTTTTTTTTTCTTTTTCTTTTGAGATAGAGTTTCACTCTTGTCACCCAGGCTGGAGTGCAAGAGTGCAATCTCAGTTCACTGCAACCTCTGCCTCCTGGGTTCAAGCGATTCTCCTGCTTCAGCCTCCTGAGTGGCTGAGATTACAGGCGTGCACACTACGCCCAGCTAATTTTTATATTTTTAGTAGAGACAAGGTTTCACCATGTTGGCCACGCTGGTCTCGAACTCCTGACCTCAGGTGATCCACCCATCTCGGCCTCCCAAAGTGCTGGGATTACAGGCGTGAGCCACTGTGTCTGGCCAATTTAAACCTTAATGACTCTTGTGATCCAGAGATACCTTCATTTTAAAGACAAATGGTTCTGAATAGTTTTCATAAAATAGATATTGTAATTGCTTGCACACATACGTAGGCTTTTTTTTTTTCTTTTTCTTTTTTTTTTTTTTAAGAGTCTAGGTCTCTCTGTTACCCAGGCTAGGGTGCAGTGGGGCAGTCATAGCTCACTGCAACCTCGACCTCCTGGGCTTAGGAGATTCTCCTGACTCAGCCTTGTGAGTAGCTGGCACTGCAGGTGCTCACCACCACCCTCAGCTAACTTTTAAGCAATTTTTTGTAAAGATGGGGGTCTTGCTATGTTGCCTAGGTTAGTCTCAAATTCCTGGCCTCTCTGGAAATGATCTTCCTGCCTTGGTCTCCCAAGTTGCTGGGATTACAGGTGTGAGCCACTGCACCCAGCCCACATGCATAGTTTTAATATGTATAGTTTTTAAAAGTTTTGATCTTTTAAGGGTATGTCAGACTATTTTCTAATAGTCAATAGACTACTTTACTTATTGACTTCTAGCTAGGGAAAATTTACTAGTTTTTTTCAATACATAAACTTTGAAATATGATTTTTGGCTGTTTAGGGGCTTTCAGTAGAAATGTTCACTTCCAGGTACTGAAATGCCTTGTAAATAGTTGAGTGTTGCTGAAAAAATGATTGTTGAATTTTGGCAGTTTTTTTCTGGTTCAAGCCTCCCCTCTCCTTCGCATGAAATGTAACGCACATTCCTCAGCTGTCATTTTTTTATTTTTTTGAGACAAGGTCTCACTCTGTCATCCAGGCTGGAGTACAATGATGCGATTATAGCTTACTGAAAGCTCAAATTCCTGGGCTCAAGCTATCCTTCCACCTCAGCCTCCCAAGTAACTGGGACTACAGGTGCACACCACCACACCTGGCTAATTTCTTTTTTTTTTTCTTTTTTTTTTTTTTTAGAGATGGGGGGGGTCTCACTTTGTTGCCCAGGCTGGTCTCGAACTCCTGGCCTCAAGTGCTTCTCCACCTCAGCCTCCCCAAATCCTGGAATTAAAGGTGTGAGCCACTGTGCACAGCCTCAACTGTCATTTTTTAATTCTTATGATAGAACTTTTCCTCAATGTCAGGAAAACTGTTTAGGGTTGCCACAAAAACTCATGTGTGATTCTTCCTTTGCCATTTCTCATTGTAGTCGGATCCTGACCTCCCAGCCGATGTGCAGACACCATCCTCGGTGGAACTGGGGAGGTATCCAGCCCTTCCCTTCCCGGCCTCCCAGTACATCCCACCCCAGCCGTCCATCGAGGAGGCACGCCAGACCATGCACTCCCTCCTGGACGACGCCTTTGCCCTCGTGGCCCCCAGCAGCCAGCCTGCCAGCACCGCAGGTGTAGGCCCCGGAGTCCCACCCGGCCTGCCCGCAAACAGCACCCCTTCCCAGGAAGAGAGGCGAGCCACCCAGTGGGGGTCCTTCTACAGCCCAGCCCAGACGGCCAACAATCCCTGCAGTGTAAGTACTGGCCTTCTAGAATTCTCTGATGGGCAAGATGTTGAAGCTTTGTTGCCTGACTGCCTGACTTTCAGGCTCCGCACAAAACCGTGGTTGCATTTGATAAGAATTAAAACTCGGGTGATGGGTCTTAGTTTTTATCTTCTACTAAATTAATTCTTAATGTTGGAGGTATCCGTTTATGTGGGTTTACAGGCTCATGCCTGTAATCCCCGCAATTTAGGAGGCCAAGGCAGGAGGACTTTTGCTTTGTGGAGGAACGGAGGGGGATTTTATGGAAGCATCTTCCTGGGTTCAAAACAGTGTCACGGAATGGAGGTGGGGTAACCGTCAAATGTATTCTTGTTGATGTCTCCAGAAAAGTTTCAGTTTAGAATGTATCCAAGTTGTTGAGTTTCTTGTATGGTCACCTGGTACTGGAGAGACCCCTGAGGTTCTGAGGTTGTAGGCAGCCAGTCCCCACGTGGACAGTGACAACCACTTTCAAATGTCAGCTTTCCATCTTGGAGGTTGACATTTCAGCATTTCATCTGCCTTTGTTATCATTTATGTTTTTCTTAGTCCTTTCAAATTTACCTTCCTGAGAGATGGAGAAGAAGTAAAACTCAAGGAAGTAAAGCTACCATTATTTTCTGCTAATTTCATATGAAATGATTGGACTAAGGTTTGACTCTGGAGAGAAGCTAATAGGTCACAATATGAATTTATTAGGGAGTGTTTATACTGGGTCCACCTTGTTACATGAAATTGGGTGGCAATAGACATATGGTAAAATACTTTTTTATCTCTGAAATGGGTTTGAATTTTCAAAGTAAGAGCCTTCAGCAAGAGATTGTCTCCTTCAGGGCATGGGAGGCCGAGAGCCTCCAGTATGGGGAACTGCTATCATGTGGGGTGGGGTGGGAGTACCATTCAATCTAATCATTACTGTTTTTAATTTTAAAATATAGCTTGTTCCAACAACTATCTTCAAAATTACAACTGGTGGTTTATAATATTTCAGGAAATGCATGGTACAGAACAAACCTTGGTAGTAAAATAAATGTGGAAACAGCTGCCATCGGGTCACTTTAAAGTTTTCTCATTTGCTTATTCATTCACATATATTTACAAAGCACCTGCTGTGTCGCAGGCACTCTGCTTAGGTGCTGGAGGCAGAGTAGTGCACAGTACAGGATGGATTTTTCTGGACAAAATAGCATCTCTGTGGAAGTCTAAAGGATAATTAGTGGTTGTCAGTTGAAGAAGGATGTTCCTGGTGGTGGGAAGTACAGCAGAGGCACAGAAATTAAAGTGTATGGGACAGGCTTCAGATGGAGGAACAGAGGCTGGGTTTACCTTCCTTCCTGAAACAACTGAAAACACTGGAAGGAGTATCTGGGTGGCTTGACATTAGACTTTAGGTAAGAAAGGACAGGGGTCAATGAGAAGTGAACTGAGTCCTCCAGTTGCCCCAGGTTGCATCTGGAGTTTCTAGTCATGGTGCAGCAGGTGGGACCCCAGGCAGAGCTCTGTGGTCTCCCTGAGTTGAAGAAATGGAGTTTGGAAGTCTGGGGAGGAAAAGGCAGCTGGAGTTCATGAGGGAGCGTGCAGGAGAGCAGAGAGATACCCTGAGCAGGATGCTAGGCATCTGCAGAGAATCTTTGTTTGAGTACTGATCAGTTTATGGGTACACAGAAACTACCCAAAAGAGCCCCTCAAAAAGATTAGCAGGAACAACCCTCAAAATTCACACAGGCCTGGGAATAAGCTCTTGCTATGGATTGAACTGTGTCCTCCCCAAAATCACATGTTGAAGCCATAACCCCCCAACATGACTGTGTTGGAGATAAGGGCCTTTAGGGAGGTAATTAAGAGTAAATGAGGCTGGAAGGGTAGAGTCCCGATTCAATAGAACTGCTCCCTCTAGAAAATGAGGAAGAGACTCCAGAGATCTCTCTCTGGCCAGGTTAAGACACAGAGAGCAGGCAACTGTCTGCAAGCCAGGAAGAAAGCCCCACCTGAAACTGAACACTGCCAGATGTTGATGTAAGACTTTCCAGCCTCCATAACTACGAGAAAATTATGAGAAAATCAGTTTCTGTTCGTGTGTGTGTGTGTGTGTGTGTGTGTGTGTGTGTGTGTGTGTGTTTTGAGATGGAGTCTCGCTCTGTCACCCAGGCTGGAGTGCAGTGGCACAATGTCGGCTCACTGCAAGCTCCACCTCCCGGGTTCACGCCATTCTCCTGCCTCAGCCTCCCGAGTAGCTGGGATTATAGGCACCTGCCACCTCGCCTGGCTAATTTTTTGTATTTTTAGTAGAGATAGGGTTTCACCATGTAGCCAGGATGGTCTCGATCTCCTGACCTCGTGATCTGCCTGCCTCGGCCTCCCAAAGTGCTGGAGTTTCTGTTGTTTTAGGCCACCATTTCTAAGGTATTTTGTTTTGGCAGCCTGAGCAGAGGGATATGGTTCCTTTTCCAACAGTTGGTGGAAACTGCATAATTCATGCAACATCAGTTAGAGTATTTGGAAGAGTTTTGCCTCAGTAATGGGGCAAAATTAGCCCCAACTTAAAGCTGCTCTGGTTCTACCTAACAAACCACAAAACCATAACATCTAAACCCAAGCAAAGCTCAAGAATATAGAAACACAAAAATATGCAGCATTCAATAAGGTAAAATTAATAATGTCTGCATCAAATCAAACTAAACAGACAAGCAAAGAAGGAAGAAAATGATACAGATGATAGAATTAGTAGACAAGCTGTATGTGGTGGCTCACACCTGTAATCCCAGCACCTTGGGAGGCTGAGGCAGGAGGATTGATTGAGCCTAGGAGTTTGAGACCAACCTGGGCAACACAGTGAGACTCTGTCTCTACAAAAAATATAAAAATTAGCTGGGCATTACTTAGGAGGCTAAGGTGGGAGGATCACTTGACCCTGGGAGGCTGAGGCTACAGTGAGCCATGATTGCACCACTGCACTCCAGCCTGGGCAAAAGAGTGAGACTCTGTCTCAAAAAAAAAAAGAAGGCAGACAAGGAAATGAAAAGCAATAAAGCACAGATGGGGAAAATTAGAAACAGATACCAAAAGCACAGATGGGGAAAACTGAAAACAGATACCAAGATGGTTGACTTAAATCCAGCCTTATCAATAATCACATTAAATGTGAATGGTCTAAACACCCCTATTAAAGGGCAGAGCTTGTCAGTTTGGATAAAAAGCAAGATCCAAGTATATGCTGCCTACAAGAACCCTTCATTAAATACAAAGATACAAGTAAGTGAAAAGGAAAAGTATGGAGAAAAGTTTGGAGGAAGATATGCCATACTAACACTAATCATAGAAAGCTGGAATGGCTATGTTAATATTAGCCAAAATAGATCTCATAGTAAAGAGTATTATTAAAGATTAAGAGGATCATTTCATAATAAAGCATTCAGTTTATCTGGAAGACATAAAGTCTTACGTGTTTATGTGCATAGTATTAGAGCTTCAAAATACATTAAGCAAAAACTGATAAAACTGCATGTGGAAATAAATCTACAATTATGGTGATGAGAATGTAAACAACTGGAAGTCTCATGAACTGCTGGTGGGAATGTAAAATAGCACAACCACTTTGAAAAACAGTTTGGCAGTCTCTTTAAAAAGTTAAACATATATCCTACCGTATGAACCAGGATTCTATTGCTAAGTATTTATCCAGGAGAAACAAAGCATATTTTCATACAAAGACTTGTACATCATGGCAGATTTATTTATAATAGACCCAAAGAAAACAGCAGCACATAATAGCACTCCATTTACGAATATACCACATTTGTTTATCCATTCATATGTAGGGTCTATTATTTAAAATAATCAGGGTTCTCCAGAGAAGCAGAACTAGTAGTGTGTGTGTATGTGGGTGGGTGGGTGTGTCTGTATGCATATGTGTTTGTATGGAGAGAGTGAGGGGGAGAGAAATTTACTTATTATGAGGAGTCGGCTCATGTAATTATGGAGGCTGAGAATCCCATGATCTGCTTTCTGCAAACCGGAAACCCACAGAAGCCAGTGGTGTAGTTTGAAGGCCTGAGCGATGGTTTCCAGTCTGAATCTGGAAGCTTGAAAACCAGGTGCTTCAAGGATGGGAGAAGATTCATGTCCCAGCTCATGCAGTCAGTCAGAGGAAGCCCAAATCCAGCCTTCCTCTGTCTTTTTCTTCTGTTCAGGCTTTCAACAGATTGGAAGATGCCTGCCCATATTGGGGAGGGCTGCCTTACTGTCCACCAATTCAAATGCTACCCTCTTCTGGAAACACCCTCACAGACACACCCAGAAATAATGTTTAACCAGACATTGGGGTGTCCTGTGGCACAGTCAGGTTGATACATAAAATTAACTATTACAGTATGTTCTAAGCAGTTAAGTGAGTTCTGGCTGAGTAGTAACAGAGCGGGCACTAAAAGTGGTTAGACATGAGGCAGGAGAGGAAAAGCAAGAAGCCGATGGTTATGGAGCCTACATGTCATCCTGAGGGTGATGGCTGCACATGGAAGGGTCTTGAGCAGGTGGAGACATAATTAGGTAAGCCTTTTGAAAGATTAGTCCCATTTTAGAGTGAAGAATGGTTGTCAGAAACAGAGAGACTAATAGAAAGCTGTTGTAGTATTCTTGGTGAGAGAGTTGGTGACTCCAGCTAGTGCAATGCAGTGGATAAATTCAAGAGGAAGAATCAGCGAGCCTTCAACGTGTTTAATGGCGGATGGTGCTGAGCCAGTGCGGAAGAAGAGTCTGACAATTCACAAAAGGGGATGAGATGAATCTGGATTACCAGTGGAAGAGCTCTCTTTAGAAATGAGGGGATATGTGGGAGGCCGATGTGGGTGGATCACGAGGTCAGGAGATCGAGACCATCCTGGCTAACATGGTGAAACCCCGTCTCTACTAAAGATACAAAAAAAAAAAAATTCGCTGGGCGTGGTGGCGGGCACCTGTAGTCCCAGCTACTCGGGAGGCTGAGACAGGAGAATGGCGTGAACCCGGGAGGCGGAGCTTGCAGTGAGCTGAGATAGTGCCACTGCAGTCCGGCCTGGGTGGAAGAGTGAGACTCTGTCTCAAAAAAAAAAAAATAAAATAAATAATAAAAAAAGAAATGAGGGGATATGCTTCTTCTAATTTAATGGGAAGGAGGAGGGCAAGATTGGGCACAGATAAAATCAGGTTGTAGTTGGCTGGTAGAAGGTTGAGGAACCAGTCATCTCATGGTTTTTATCCTCAGAGCAGAGAAGGCAGAGTCATCATCCATTGAGAATAACAGAAGAAATGTGGCAGGGCAGGAGGTGTGAGGGAGAGGAGAGATTTGAAAGACCTATTATGGAGAATGAGACAACACAGATTAGGGACACAGGAATTATTTCTTAGCCTTCAGGGTGGTTGAGATTGACTATCATGAAATTGAAGTGGCTCTAATTAATGTTCTCGAGTTTCATTGATGAATATTCAGTACCCAAGTATATGCATTGGGATTGATGAAGACTAGGGCTTTGTCAGGCACCTGCGATGTGCAGGTGAGAGGGAGCAGTTGAAATGATAGACCAGGTGCTGCAAAGGAAAGGTATGGAAAGCTGGAGTCATTTAAACATGCCAGAACTTTGCTGATTCTTCCTCTTAAATCCATCCACACCATGACATCAGTTGGAGCCACCGTCATCTCTCACCAACACCTTCTTAATTGTCTCCCTGCCTCTGGTCTTGAATATACGATGTTAGGGTGGAGCAGTTCTGATGCTGAACACAGCATGGCAGCTGATAGGTAAAATGTGGTTCACTGGTGTTGAGTAAGCCAAGTTGCTGAAGGTCCAACGCCTTGGATGCATCTCAGGGTGACAGGAGGACTGGAAAAGAGGAGGAAGACCTACCACGAGCCTCTTAGCTTAGCTTGTCTTGCGTTTTCCAAAGGGAAAGGCTCATCTGATGAGCTGACCTGAACTTGTTCACTGCTGGTCTCTGATTGTTACTTCTCTCTGCTTCCAGGCTTTTCCTGATTCCCCCTCCCTCCCCTTCACCCTGACTGCCAGTGCACCCCTCAGTGTACTCTCTCTAAGTGGCAATGTAATGCTGAGCATTCTGGGGATGGGCTTAGGAGCCACATCGTGCTGCCAGAATCTTCGTTTTGTTTGTTTGTTTCCCCCTTGACCACTGCTTTTCTCAGTGTGTAGCGTGATTCTGCTCCTTTCCTTATTTGGTTTCTGCTGATGAATTTTTAGCAGTAATTTTTGGCAGGTTCGTGTTGTTATTTCTCTTATTTGTTCATTGTTCATAGGTGTTGCAGATCCAGGATTCCCTGATAATGCCTTATAAATTCAAGCCCATAGTAAGATTTTTTTAATAAACACCATTATTCAATGGTTTTCTCATTGTGGACTTTTGATGTTACCCTGATGTAGTTGGATGAGAATGGTAGCAGCTTAATCTAGTGGAAAACCAGAATCATTGGCTTTATCTGTGCATATCTAATATAATTTCAACATGTTTGTAAATGGATTGTAAAGTTAATGTTGCCAAGGGGAGCCTGATCACTCTCTTATTTGCTGCTATTTGCTTTTTTTTGGTTAAAAAAAAAGAAAAACCACAGGAATGTGGATTTCAAGGTGCCTTCAGTTACCGCATGAGCCTTTATTTGCCACCTGATGACATTATTACTCCTTTTTTGCGAGGGTAGGAGTGTTATGTATCAGTGAGTCAGGCCACGTGATAGTTGGTATTGCTGCTTCCTTGAGAAGGTAAGCTCTCTATGGACTAGTCCTTTGAGTAGCAAGTACAAATCCCTGGGCTGAGACACTTCACAAGCAGACCTTACTGTCTGGTTGCTTTACCTCGGGCCTATCCCAGACTCTACCAACCATCTAACTTGCCTTCCTCACTCTGTCGGCCTGTGTTTTATACTGAATAGAAAAAAGGGATGCATTAAAGTGGGATTTTTATATACCTAGCTGATTGAAACCTTCAAATGCAATTTTGTTTCCCAAACTTTTATGTAGGTGTGATCCATCCTGCAACAGAATCAGAGAAATTCTGTCTGTCATTTTTTTTTAAACCTTTTCATCAGGGCATGTAGTCCCTAGAAATATGACATTCTTTTTCTGATGAGAATAGAGTTGAAATCCTCACACTACAAAGATACAACAGATAATAAGCGGACAGCTATTTTTCATTGTTTTTCTCTTAATATGCCACTAAGAACTCCTGAGACTTTGGTAGGTAAACTGGTAAGCATTGACTTTTTTTTAGATTTTGCATATGAATATGCTTTAAAAACCCATACTGTGCCGAAAGCACCAGCACTGTGAATAATCTCTATGTAGTCTCAGATTTCCCTTTAATTATTTGGAAAAGGAATGGAAGCTTCTTTTCCTTCTCTTTCTCCCTTCCTCCATAACCCTCTTTCCCTTGTTTTGCCTCAGTTGGGGAACTCCACAAGGTTCCACATGACAGCCAAGGGGATGGAAGCAGAGAGAGTCAGAAGGTGAAGTAATCTGACCACGGTTTCATATTTAATAATCCCCTTAGAACTCTGTGAATGTGGAGATCGTTATATTCTCTTGGCATAAAGGAATAGGCCCAGGGATGTTAAGCCAGTCTGTGTGACTCCAAAGCCTCTACTTTTTCCCCTCACAAAATAGATATTTGTTCACAGGAGAGTGTCTTGTTTTGGAAACCATGGGCAGTGCAGGGGGATTGGTGAGAAGCATGGTCTTTGGAGTCCAAAAGACATTAGGAAGAAATCACCTAATTTCTTTGTGAGTTGGTTTCATTTATAAAACAGAGGCAGTGAGTACTTTTTAGTGATGTTGTGGGCCTAGGTTAATGCTCATACAATGCTTAACTCAAAATACTAATTCAGTAAATGACAGCTTGTAAAAAGAAAGATGTTATATTAGAGCAACTTCAGAAGCAAGGCTGACTTAGACCTAACTTAGACAAACCATTGGTTCCAACTGACTGCCGCTGGACAGACTCTGCCCATAGTTACTGTTCTTCTGAAATATCTAATTCCAAAAGGAACAATTCACAGTTATTGAAAAGAAATGTTGAAATAAGAGTCCCATGTATATTAGGGTTAGGATATATTGATTTCACCAGGAATACAACAGATCTCTTAGATGTATGTTTCCTTAAATCATGTGGCATATTGTTTTAGTCAAAGAACATTTGGCTAGTTCAGGTTAGCTCAAGTAAAAAGAGTTGATTGAAGGATACGGGGGCACCTTATGGAACTTAAGGGCAGAAAATATAGCCGGGTCTCCTGGGGACCAGTAAACGGTCAGAAACAGAACGTGCTGCCTTCGTCTTGTAGAGTCTCTCTAGTTTCTGGTTTTCTTTTTTTGCAGCATTCTGCAACATGAGACAGCATTTGATACTTGAGTTGCTTGAGGTATTTGAATAGGTACTGGGCAGCCACTGGGTCTCGCTGACCTTTGTGGCTCATGTGGTTGGAGTCACTTGTGCTAATTGTGGGCATTCAGGCCTGCCTTTTAGCAAAAGATATGAGGCCTTTTAGCAGAAGATACAGGTTTGCAGCAGAAGATACAGATGGATCTGTGGGGAAGAGCAGGCACAGCAAGCCTGTCAGCTATTCATATTTATAGTTGTAATATACAAAAGAAGGAAAGATCTAGAAATGAGTTGTGTGTTTTCTAAAGTCTGGTAGTGCAGGTCCTCGAACCGAAACTTGTAGCATCACTTGGTGGCAGAGTGCCCGGTAACATGCTAAGTTTTAATGAGAAAATAATTCTCTTGAAAGTTGATCCTGTAAAGCTGAATTTATAAGTTTGCTGTTGTCACTTTATAATAAGTATTGAATATTAATCTTCATGTTCTTTTGTATGTCTTCCAGAGATACGAAGACTATGGAATGACTCCCCCGACGGGTCCATTGCCAAGGTAAGGTTTTCAAAACAAAATGTATTATCACTTTCTCACATAGGCTGTTTTTAAAAACTTTATAAACTCACTAATTTTAGCTAATATGAGCAGATGTAAAACTCTGCGTTGTATATTCTCTTGATCTAACCAGAAGAGGAGGGAAAAATAGTTGGAATTTAAGTTCTGTTCCAGTAATGACAGGCTAGGTAATTTGGACCAACTCTCCTGCTGAGGACAACTGGAAAAGCTGAACAAGATATTAACATTAAAAACCCCACAGAGTTAACAGGGCAGTGAAGCGGTATGAGACCAAGATCCAGGAAATCCAGAGGCATGAGCCCTGCTTCTTGGGCCACTTTTTCCCCAGGGACACCTGCGGATTCCAGAAGAAGCACCTAGGAAGCCAGGCAAAGCCTTTGACAGACTCATGGGGCTGGGAGCACGAGGGGAGACCCTGGTAAACATCCAGAGGTTTTGAGTTTGGAGGTTATGCTCTAGGAGTAAGGGTGAATCATAAGTAGATCAGTCCCTGCAGGAAGTAAAGCTCAGCTTTGAAAGTTGATTAGGGTTGCTCCCTGGCAGAAACAAATGAACATCCCTTTTAGAAGAAGATTACATCACTCTTGGCCTTATATTATTGCTACAGTAGCCCCCCTTCCACACACACCCCCACACCCACCCCCAGGCATATGAGAAGAAAAGAAAATACAGGTTTTTTTTTAATTAGAAAGAAATAGACAATAGAAGCAGAACTACAGGGGATCCAGATATTGGAGTTATCAGACACAGATTCTAAAATAATTATGCTTAATATGGAGATAAGGTCCATTGTCCAGGAAGATGTAAAAGTGCTACTTTATGTTAGACTGTTATAAGTGAAGGATTCTAGTGTAGTTCTAGGCTCACTAAAGAATGCTTAAATATAAAATAATAAGGAAGAGCAAAATAACTTAAAGATAATCCAAAAGAAGGTAGGAAATAGGAGAAAAAAGAACTTAGAATTTACAGGACATGCAGAAAGAAAACTTAAGATGGTAGATATCTAAATTCAGATCTATAATGAATTACATTAAATGTTAATAACTAGGTATTTCAATTAAAAGACAAAGATTATTAGATTTGATTTTTAAAAAATGTATTTGGCTTATGAGCAACACATCAAAAAATGTAAAGATACAGAAAGGATATAGAAGATTGGAACAACATGATTAATCAATTTGACCTAATTGACATATATAGAACCCTGGACTCAACTGTAAAATACAGCTTCCTTTAAAATACATTTTAAAAATTTACCATATGCTGGACCATAACAAATCTTAAAAAATTTCAAGAAGTGAAATCACTCAGAGTATATTTGCTAATCCTAGTAGAATTAAGTTAGAAACCAAAAATAAAAGATAAAACCCAAAACTATAAAAACCTTGGAAGACATCCTAGGCAATAGCATTCTGGACATAGGAGTGAGCAAAGATTTCATGATGAAGACGCCAAAAGCAATCACAACAAAAGCAAAAATTGACATATGGGATCTAATTAAACTTCAGAGCTTCTGCACAGCAAAAGCTCTAGTTTGCAAATATTTTCTCCTATTCTGTAGGCTGTCTGTCCTATAGAATGGGAGAAAATATTTGCAAATTATGCATCTGACCGAGGTTTAATATCCAGCATCTATAAGGAACTTAACAAGAAAAAGAACAAACAACCTCATTAAAAAGTGGGCAAAGGACACAGACAGTTTTCAAAAGGAGACTTACATGCAGCCAATGAGCATATGAAAAAAGCTCAATATCACTGATTATTAGAGAAATGCAAATCAAAATTACAATGAGATACCATCTCATACCAGTCAGAATGGCTATTATTAAAAGGTCGAAAATAACAGATGCTGGTGAGGTTGTGGAGCAAAGGGAATGCTTGTTGGTGAGAGTGTCAATTAGTTCAACTGTTGTGGAAGGCAGTGTGGCGATTCCTCAAAGACATAAAAACAGAACTACCAACTGGTGTCAGAAAACAGCAGCACAGAGTGGATCCAGCACAGACCAGACTGTCACAGAAAAGATGCTTCATAAAATGTGTTTTGATTAGTATATTTAAATAAATATAATTTAATTGATGTTAAAAAAACAAAACTACTGTTTGACTCAGCAATTCCATTAATGGGTATATACACAAAGGAATATAAATTGTTCGGCTGTGAAGAAACATGCATGCAAATGTTCACTGAAGCACTGGTCACCAAAGCAGAGACATGGAATCAACCTAAATGCCCATCAGTGACAAATCGGATAAAAAAAAAGTGGTACGCATACACAATGGAATACTATGCAGCCATAAAAAAGAGCGAAATCATGTCTTTTGCAGGAACATGGATGGAGCCAGAGGCCGTTATCCTTAGCAAACTAATGCAGGAACAGAAAACCAAATACTACATGTTCTCACTTATAAGTGGGGGCTAAATGATGAGAACTCATGGACACAGAGAGGAACAACAGACATTGGGGCCCACTTGAGGGTAGAGGGTGGGAAGAGGGAGAGGAGCAGAAAAAATAACTATTGGGTACTAGGCTTAGTACCTAGGAGATGATGAAATAATCTGTACCACAAACCCCTGTGACTTGAGTTTACCTATATAACAAACCTGCACATGTACCCCTGAACCTAAAATAAAAGTTAAAAAAAAAAAAGAAAATTTCTATGTGTTTGCAAATTAATTAGTACTCTTGTAAGTAACCTGCAGTACCCTGAAGAAATCAAAATGGAAATCAAAACATCCTAAAATGAATAATAATGAAAATATAACATGTCAAATGTTGTGAGGTGCAGCTATAGCAGTGTTTAGGGGGGAAGTTTTGCCTTAAATGCATATATTGGAAAGCAAAGTGGCTGAAAAATCAGTGATCTAAGCATTGACCTCAAGATGTAAAAAAAGATGATCCAATTAAATGTAAAGGAAGTAGATGGAAGGAAATATTAAAAATAATAATATAAATTAATGAAATAGAAAATAAATACCACATTAAGAGAGGATCAATAAAACCAAAAATTTGTTCTTAGAAAACTAATAAAATTGATAGACTCGCACAAGCTTGATCAAATAATCTGTGCAACAAATTATCAATAAGAAGAATGAAAAGGACCCATTAATCCAGATCTTACAGACATTAAAAAGGAGATTTTATGAACCCATTTTTGTTAATAAATTTGGGGCTGGATGCAGTGGTGCATGGTTGTAATCCCAGCTACTCTGGAGGCTGAGATGGGATGATTGCTTAAGCTCAGGCGTTTGAAACTACCCCAGGCAACATAGTGAGACCCTGTCTCAAAAAATTTTTTTTCTGTAATGGAAAAATTCCTAGAAAGAGAAAACTTGAATAGTCATGTAACTATGTTTAAAGTGGAAATCATAATTACAGTTCTTCCCACAAACAAAACTCCAGGCCCAGGGGACTTCAGCAGTGAATTCTGCCAAACACTGAAGGAGGGAAAGGTACCAGTATTATACAAACTCTTCTAAAAAAATAGAAAAAGAACACTTCTCCGTTCATTTTATGAAGCCAACATCACCTTGATACGAGGGACAAGGGCAAGAAGGACAAGGACATTGCAGGAAAAGAAATTGAGGGCCAGTTTCTCATGAACATAGATATAAAAAAATTGAAACTAAATATCAGTGAGCATAACCAGCAGTAGACACAAAAGGATCTCATATTACAACCACATTGGATTTCTTTCCAGCAGTGTAAGGATGATTTAGCATTTAAAAACCAAGCAGTGTAAGTTACCACTTTAAGGAGAATAAAGGAGGAAAATCTTGTCATTTCAATAGATACAGCAGGTGGTAAAATTCAACATCCCATCATGGTAAAAATCTTAGCAAACAAAGAATAGAAGTGAACTTCTCAATTCTGATAAAAGGTATCTTGGCAAATATTACTCAATGGTGAAATGTTAAAAAGCCTTCCCTCTGAGAGCTGGAACAAGACAGAAATGCCTGCTCACATGACTTCTATTCAAAATTGCTCTGTAACAAGGCAAGAAAAACACAAAAAGAGTAAAGAATTCAAAGAAAGGAGTAATACTGTTATTATTCACAGATGATGTAATTCTGTAGTAGCAAATCCTAAAATGTCAACACACAAATTGTTAGAATTTAGGGAATTTAGCAAAATTGCTAAATAGCAAGCCAACTAAATTTCAAAATAACGATGTAAAATCAGTATACAAAAATCTGTTTTATTTCTGCATATAAGCAACAAACAGAAAAGAAAAAAATTTCAAAGATGTCATTTAAAATAACACTTAGAATATAAAACACCTCAGAATAAATCTAACCAAAGACTTTTAAGCCCTCTAAAGAAAGATGTTCACAGATTGGACAACTCAGTATTTTAAAAATGTCATTTCTCCCCATGTGATTTGTAGATTCAATGCAATCCCATTCAGAATCCCAGTAATTCCTTTTTAATATGTGGAAACCGACAGATGGATTCTAAAATTTATCTGGAAATGCAAAGGGCCAAGAATAGCCCAGACACTTTGAGAAAGAAGAAGGAGGTGTTAGGACCATTCTAAATATTGTGCATTACTGTCAAGTGATTAAGATGGTACAGCATTGCTGTGAGGCTAGAGAAATAGACCAGTCGACAAGCTATGTGTGGACACTGGTTTATTACAAAGCTGGCATTGCAATAAAACAGAGTGAATCTCAGAAACCAAACCCAGCCATCCCTTCAGTGACCAGAAGTCACACCCAAGTAGGAATGTTATCTGCTTCCTACTTATTTTTCTATTTTTTAAACCATCATCATTTTCAGAGGGGTTTGCTTTGCTTTTCTCCGCCCTTCCTCCCCTACCACACAGCTTTGTGATCCAAAAGCAGCAAAGGTAAAACTGGCGAGGTGAGCTTAGGTGATACAGGGCAGAAGTTAGAGATGGGGGACCATGACTGGTCCAGTTACCCAAGTTAGTCCCATTATTAATAGCTTTTACCCTCAGAAGTGTTGTGGTGTGGATGATAAATTGTATAATCACCCACTTTAAAGGATTTTAGAGTGTTGGATTGCAAAACATGTTAAGAATAGAGGGATGGAAATGTTGGCAAAAGGTGGGGGAAAGTAGGGAGAATTAAGTGAATGGCAAGAGCTAGTTTGTGGGTGGATGGTCCAGAGACTGTGATTAGGTGAGGTGTGGGCTCCGGTTTACAGTTCTTGAAGGAGGAGCATGCCTCACGGAAGGCTCTTAGATCTATAAAGTCAGGGATGTCACACATCCCTCTCTGAGGCCAATCTAAAACAACAGCAGTTATTTAAAGAGAGTTACATAGGTAGCCTGGGTTTCAGTTTATGAGATATACTCTAGAAATAACACTGGAGAATAAGTGCAAGTCAGCCTACATTCTCACCAAACTGGTTACATCTGTGAATTAGTGGTTCAGTGTCATTTGCAAAGAACTGTAGCAGACTATTATCTTTTTTTTCTTGAATTTCTTCAGAAGAGTGGTTCTCAAGGTGAAGTTCTCAGACTCCTGGAGGGTGCTTGAGACCCTTTTGGGGGAGGGCGTGTCTGTGAGATCAAAACAACTTTCATAATATTACTAAGATATTATTTCCCTTTTTTCCATTGTATTGACATTTGTACAGAAGTGCAAAAGCAATGGTGGGTGAAACTGCTAGTCGTCGTCTTTTTTTTTTTTTTTTTTTTTTTTGAGATGGAGTCTTGCTCCATCACCCAGGCTGGAGTGCAGTGGCATGATCTCCGCTCACCGCAACCTCCACCTCCCAGGTTCAAGCGATTCTCATGCCTCAGCCTCCTGAGTATCTGGATTACTTGTGCGCGCCACCACGCCTGGCTAATTTTTGTATTTTTGGTAGAGATGGCGTTTCACCATGTTGGCCAGGCTGGTCTTGAACTCCTGACCTCAGGTGATCTGCCCGCCTTGGCCTCCCAAAGTGCTGGGATTACAGGCATGAGCCACCGCACCCGGCCAAAACTGCTCGTCTTTAGCATGCATCCAGGCAGTGCCACCAAATTGTATGAGTAGTCATCATATTCTTCACTGCCCTGTAATCACAGTTTTAAAAATGTGATTTATTAATTAAAAATTTATGTTAGCATGTCCTTGGTGAGGCAGTCAAAATCATAAATCTTATTAAACCTGGACCCTTAAGTCTTTAGTAGTCTGTGTGACAAAAGAGGAAATATATAGAAAGCATTTCTGTGGAATATGGAATTTTGAAGAAAAGCCCTTGCTCCCATTGTTTGAGTGGAGACTGAACTGAACCAACTGCTTTTGTGCTTTTTACTTGAACAAACAGCTGGCAGAAGTGGTTATTCAGACTCGGGTGTTTGGCAGACACTGTCTTGAAAATGAATGAAGTGAGCCTGTCACTTCAAGAAAAACAACTGCCAGTATTTGTTGCTAATGATAAAATGAGCTTTCAAGTGAAAATTTGAATTTTGGGAACTTGTCTGCCTGCCACTGTGAACTTGACAACTTCCTAGCACCGAGAGACTTTTCTGGATGAGTTTGATGATGAGATTAATGAATGGGATTTTTCGATACTGCAAAATGAGAGGTAACAATATCGAGAAGGTTGCATAACTCAGTGAACTATGTTCCAAATGACAGATGTCATAAAATCAGGCATGAGTTAGAGATCCCTTCAAAGTGCAAGATGGAGCTATGGGTTTTAGCGTAACAGAGTACGAAAAGTTCACCAGTATCATTTCAGATTCCATATTGCAACTGACCCCTGAGGAACTACCACTTGTGGAATTTTTGTGTGGTAGCAAGAAGAATGCCTGCAATATTTTTTTAAGATGATCTAAAAGGGCTATTAAAATACTCCTTCCTTTTCCAACTATGTATTCTCTGAAGCCAGATTTTCTTCCTAACATCCAGCAACTGACAGGATGCAAACTCTATGAGAATCCTTCTGTTAAGGACATTTGAACAATATAGCACTACTCTTCTCACTACTTTTTTTTGAGGGAGGATTGATGAATAGTTAATTTCATGAAAAGTATTATGTTAATATATGTTTAATTGTCATTTGTAAATAAATTTTTAAAATAAATACTTACTTTTTTTCCATTTTAATTTCTAATCTGGTAAATAGCGATACAATCCACAGAAACAAAAGCTCTTGGGAGTCCTCAATAATTTTTATGAGTCAAAAGAGGTCTGGAGATAAAAAAAAGTTTGCGATCCGCTGCTTTAGAACACTGGTTTTCAGCCTTGATGGACAGCAGGATCGTCTGTAATTTTAAAAGTTACCACTGTGGAGCTTGCAGTGAGCCAAGATTGCGCCACTGCACTCCAGCCTGGGGGACAGAGCGAGACTCTGTCTCAAAAAAAAAAAAATTACCGCTGTGTTGGTCTCGCCCCTAGTGTTTCTGTTTCAATTCGTCTGGGGTGCAGTGTGAGCGTCGTGATTTTTTCGGGCCCGCCAGGTGATGCAGACGTGTAGCCAGGGGTAGGAAGCACAGGACGAGGCAGATGCTGGAGATGAGCAGGCCCTGGCTTTTGTCAGCATCAACTGTATTGCAGGCGCTGTTCTAGTGCTGGAGGTAGGGCAGTGAACAAATAGAAAAGTCCCTTCCCTCAGGGAGCAGGAGAAACATCTCTTCCCCTTCCAGGAGAGGAGATGGCTAAGCAGGTAGACAAATAAGTGTTACCTTCTGTAAGGTTGGGGGTGGACCTCATGGAATACCAAGGCCAGGGTGCAGTGGAGTCCTGATGTGCTGGTTTGCTTTGCCTTCAGACCAGGTTTTGGCCCCGGTTTGCTGCAGTCTACAGAGCTGGTGCCCCCTGACCCTCAGCAGCCACAGGCCTCCGCCGAAGCCCCATTTGCTGCCAGAGGGATCTACTCGGAGGAGATGCCGTCGGTGGCCCGGCCTCGGCCTGTCGGGGGTACCACAGGTATATGTGGCTGTTTAGCTTCCATTTCTGAGCTACGGGACATTTACTTGAAAGAAACTTTATTTTAGGTGTCTCAGAGTGTCAGTGTGCAGAGGCCTCTGCCACTGCTGTTTCAGGGCTGTTTCCCCTCATATCCTGACCGAGATGGAGGCGGAGAGAGAGGCGGAGCTCCCAAAGCTGCTGTCTGCTGATTGGCTCTGGAACCAGGCCCTTCATGTGAAATTCACGGCACGCTTCCTCCAGGAAAAACGTTTCCAAATCCTTACTGTAAATGGAAAGATCTAGGTCTGAGCACTTTGGATGGCATGAAAACAAGAGTTAGTTTTCAAGAAGGTGCTTTTTTCAGCTTGTAACGAACGACTCTCAAAGTCTGGGTGACAGAGCAAAACTCTTATCTCAAAACAAAACAAAAGCAAGTAGTTTAAGCCAATTCCAAATTTGCAATAATTGGTGGATATTTTTTCATTATGGTTTTTCTAGGAAATTCTTTTATTTTGCATTGTCTATTACTCAGCAAAAAAATAGTGTGTCCTGGAATCCTGTAGGTTTTCCTGAACTTTACAGGTGCTTTGCTTTGCAGTGAATCTTGATTCCCCTGCTAATTTTAGGTATTTGAACCTCCCTACATGGCATGCGTACTAAGCAAAATTCAGATGTATTAATTTTTAGTTTAAAATCTGAACGAATATAGAAATTATACATGTTTGATAACATTCAAAAGGAAATTATTTTTAAATTTCTATTAGGTGAAATTATGTAAAAACATATAATGGAAAATGTTAAGATCTATTAGAAGGATTACCTTTTTAACTATAGAAAATTATGAAGCATGTATTTGTCTGAAAATTGCCAGTTATTTTCAAAAAAAGAAAATAGTACCTAGGAGAAATTTACAGCACCTCACGATCAAGAAGTATTTTTATTGTAGAAGATACCTCATATAAATTAAGTGGGCCAACCTGAAAAGATCAGTGGGAGGAGGAAAAAGGTCCAGTTTTTAAATTATTTTAAAATTGCAAATTAACACCATAATGCACCATTTCAATCATGAAATTATTTTTATAATAATGTGGCATGGTAAAGTTAGCATCCAGTTTCTTCATCTATATGTACTGGGAATATTCGTACTTACCTCCTTGGTTGTTTAGCTGATAAAAGAAGATGACAGAAGTGCTCAAAATAGTGCCTAGCATAGCATAAACTTTCAATAAATATTAGCTGCCATGACCATTGTCACTATTATTTTCAGTGGTGGCATAAATTATTAAATTTTTGGAAGGCAGTTTGGCGGTAGGACTTACAGAGCCTTTGATTTGGTAATTCCAGTTCTGGAAATCCAGGCTCACTCTCCTAAAATCCAAAATATTGGGGGAAAATGACGTGCCAAGATATTTATCACGGCATTATTTGCATAATAGCAAAGAATTGTTAGTTTCCCCAGATACTCAGTAGTAAGGGCATCCTTGAGTAAATCCTGCAGCTACTTAAGATGAAGAGGTCATAAAAAGCCAGAAAAGGGGGATTTGAGATTTACCAGTTGCCTCCTATGTGTTTGATGCTTCATCTGTTTTATGTCTTTTAATCCTTGAAATAACCCTCTGAGGTAGATTTTTTTTTTTTTTTGAGACAGAGTTTTTGTTCTGTCGCCCAGGCTGGAGTGCAGTGGCACAGTCTCGGCGCACTGCAACCTCCGCCTCCTGTGTTCAAGCGATTCTCCTGCCTCAACCTCCCAAGTAGCTATGATTAGGATTACAGGTGCCCGCCACTGCGTCCGGCTAATTTTTGTATTTTTGGAAGAGACAGGGTTTCACCATGTTGGCTAGGCTGGTCGTGAACTCCTGACCTCAGGTGATCCGCCCGCCTCAGCCTCCCAAAGTACTGGGATTACAGGCGTGAGCCGCTGCACCCAGCTGAGGTAGATTTTTTATTCCTGCTGGAGAAGTGAGGAATCAAGGCTCAGCGGTAGCCATAGCCCGTTGCTCAGGGTCACATGGCTTGTCGATGGCTGAGCTGGAATGCAAACCCCGGCTTGCTGGGCTCAATGCTGACTCATGGGGGAAGCCTGTGCTGTATAGTTAAGTGAACAACACAGGATACAAAATCCTACCGAATGATGATTTCAGCTACTGGAGTGGCTTTACACAGAAGGTGTGCTTTTCTCCCTGTGCAGTTGGTTGAGCCTTTGGAAACAGGGAACACCGCGCTGCTCTTGCAGCATTTTGCAAGATTTGCTCAAACAACGTCTGTTGGGCAAGGAGTGCTGGTAGTCCTGATCATTTTAATACTGTTAGGATTTTTCAGTAACTGACCTGGTGCTCCAGTAGAGTGCATTGCTCTGCCCAGAGCCAGGACAGCTTTTCCTGACTTTTAGTTATCATTAAATATCCGAATAAAACCATCGAGGAGTTCTTTTTTTTTTTTTTTAAATGTGGTTGATTAATTGAGGTTGTCGGTCAGGTACGATAGCTCACAGCTATAATCCCATCATGTTGGGAGGCCAAAGTGGGAGGATCAGTTGAGGCTAGGAAGAGTTCAAGACCAGCCTGGCCAACATAGTGAGACCCCATCTCTTAAAATAAAGAATTGAGAGAATGGAGGTTATTAATTAGACAACTAGAGTAGGAATAGACTTAAAGACGGAGGAGGTGCCTCCTTTAGATATGGACGCTTGGAGCCTTTGTGGTTCCAGTCTGAGCATCACTGGTGAATTTGATGAAATTTCCAAATTTAGAAATAAGTATTCTATTTCACAGTGCTTAAGGATCACTTTGTTCGCCCTTAATTTGCAATATAGGTATATTTCCATACGACAGAAGTTGGTGAGGGAGAAAAACATTGTGTATTACCTGGCTTCCATAGCCACAGGAGGCTGCAGATGTCTGGGTATAGGGGGGTAATTAGCTCTAGAGAGTCCTCTGGCTCTGCCATCAGCTCACCGCACCAGTGAGGCTGGGGGAGTGGTTTTAATTGTCTTGTGGCTACATTACAGACACAATATGGGTTATAATGAAAATATACTTCAATATGCTGAATTTAAATAGATACGTATTCTGCCTTTTAAGGGGAAAAAAATAAGCATATTGTATAACCAGCTCCTTGTGAATCTCGAAGCCACAAGCAAGAAAGAGCCAGGCTTCAGCTTCATGGTGGCTCCCAAACCTGTCACCCCTTTCTTAATAAATGAGCTGCTCCTTGTTGGTAACTGCCACAGAGATGAATGGAAGTACCTTCTGTGGTACCGTTTATCCCCAGTCCTAATGTCTAGCCACGAAAATAAGGGCATCACTGTCAGCCTCTGAATTAAAAGAAAATCAGAGTCCAGGAACCAAGAAGCTTATGGTCTGTTGCTCTTAGGAAATGCCATTTCTGGAGATAGAACTGGTACCAAGTCATGATCCCTTGTCCTTAAGGAGTGCAGTGATCAGAGCTGACAGTGTCTTCTGACAGGGTGTTTCCAAAACAGTTGCATCAGGGGTGGGATTGTGGTTCCACTGGGGCTGTTGTGGTGCTCACAGGGAGGAGGGGTCACCCTCACACAGTGTTTCAGGAGAGGAGCCCGTGGGCTTTCTGATGGGCTGGTAGAAGTGCGCAGGAAAGAGGAGTGGCGCATAGGGTGTAGGTTTTTAGATCTGAGCAAGTAGGGCTGCACAGCCCTGGGTGGAAATGGGGAGGGCGAAATGGGGGACAGACTTAGGCTTAGGGATGAATGTCACGGGGTCAAGAATTCTGTTTCAGACTTTTTTTGCAATGGGATTTTCTTCTTTTATTTGTTTATTTTTATTGCTTGGTCCACGGTGCTTCGTGGTACATTTTCCTACCGCTTCGTGGTGCATTTCCTTACCTATGGGACCCTCAGGAAATGCTGACAGTATGGCAGTTGAGGTGAGATTTCTGGAGATAGAACTGGTACCAAGTCCTGATCCCTTGTCATTAAGGAGTGTAGTGGTCAGAGTTGACAGTGTCTTCCTCGGCAGCCATCCTCAGCAGCCATACTCTCCTATAAATGTTGACCAGGCCACTCCACCATGTTCCTTCCAGGCTCCCAGATCCAGCACCTGACACAGGTGGGGATTGCCAGCAGAATTGGAGCTCAGCCAGTGGAAATCCCGCCAAGCAGAGGCAGCCAGTATGGGGGGCCAGGCTGGCCTTCGTACGGGGAGGACGAAGCGGGGCGAAGAGAGGCCGTGAGTATCTCCTGTTTGGGTCATCATTTAAAATTTAGACATAGGCCAGGTGCGGTGGCTCACACCTGTAATCCCAGCACTTTGGGAGGCCGAGGCGGGCGGATCACGAAGTCAGGAGTTTGAGACCAGCCTGGCCAATGTAGTGAAATCCCGTCTCTACTAAAAATACAAAAAAAAATTAGCCAGGCGTGGTGACGGGTGCTGGTAGTCCCAGCTACTTGGGAGGCTGAGGCAAGAGAATCACTTGAACCCGGGAGATGGAGGTTGCACTAAGCCGAGATCGTGCCACTGCACTCCAGCCTGGGTGACAGAGTGAGACTGTCTCAAAAAAAAAAAAAAAAAAAAAAAAAAAAAGACATAATCCCTCAATTTAGCAGCTTCTGCTTTGGGGGGGGTCCCTTTTTAAAACCTACATTTAAAAAAGTTTTAATCTCTCTCACATTTTCCTGCCTCCTGGTGTTTTGGCTTACAGTTTTTAGCATCTAGCTTTTAGGAAGTATATAATTTTTCTTGAGGCAGAGTTCAAGCTTTCAGTAGTAAATTCGAATCTATAGGTGACAACTCTGGAGTTCATGTTTGGCGGGATTGCTGTATAAATATTCATGCTCTTCCACAGCATTTGTGTTTCACTGTGGGTTTGTTAATGTCATTTGTATTATGACCATGTGTAGGTAATTTTGTAATAAGCACACAGTTGGGGACATTTTAAGGCACAGGTTTTCTTTTTGAGACTTCTGTTCACTCAATATGAGCATCGGTAATTCCTACAAGTGCTTTCATTTGCTTTTCTCAAGAACTGTATATCTTGGGGGGATAAATTCATGAAGTTTGAAAATAACCACCCAGAATATTACTTTTTGTTTTCTCCTTATCGTTATGCTACAGTGTCTGTTGCATTTCTGTGCCTTCCCAACAGACACACTCAATTCCTTTCATGGCTGGATGCTCTTACCTAGTAAAAAGACATTAACTTTAGAATAAGGTGCTTCCCTAAAAGAGACATTGTTATACTTAGAGTCTCAGGTATCTGCTTTAAGTTTGCTGCCATTTCTCTTTTTTTGCCTTCATTTTGCCCAGCTTAGCTTCATGAGGTGTTTGGGGTTGGTTTTGGTGTTTTGTTTTTTTGAAAAAATGGAGGCAAGGTCTCACTATGTTGGCCAGGCTGGTCTTGAACTCCTGGCCTCAAGCAATCCTCTCTCCTTGGCCTCCCAAAGGATTGGGGTTACAAGTATGAGACACCGTGCCTGGCATGGTGTGTTAAGGTTTTCCTGTCACATCCACTTTGGAACACTGCTCGGTCACTATTTGGAGAAGTGAAACGTAGAAAGAACCTAGAGCTGGAATGTCATGTTTGGCTCACAAATAACTTAGCCCTAACATGGTTTTTAGTACGCAGATTTAAGTACTCTTACATATAAATGCAAAGAGACATTTATTTCCACTGGGAGAGAAATAAACATGAAAAAAAAATCTGAAAAGTGTAATAATTCTTGTGAAACTCCTGCCAAATTAATCTCTATGCGGCAAATATCAGCAAAACTATTTTATGCTTTAGTGCAGATAAGTTTTTAAAGACAAGGCTCTACAGAGCCCTCAGTAGACACACACTCACGCAGAGACAGGAGACAGACAGCAGCTAGATAAAGCAGAAGATGGTTGCGTAGGCTCCAGTCCAGGGCAGAGGCACCTGTTCCCCTTGTCAGCCTGGCATGGATCCGCTTAACCTCCTTCAGCTCTCAGATATCACCCGACCTTTCACATCATGGGGCACTCCAGCCTCCCTCCCTTCTGTTCTCCCCAGCCCCCTGGTGTCTTCACGCCTCACCTGCAGCATAGGCAGCAGGGCCCTGTTAGAGGGCTGAGTTGGTGGATGGACGTGGGCAGTCCTGGGAACCTTCCTAAAGCCAGTTTGCATTTGATGTTTCGGCTTATTCTTCGTAGGAAGTACAGTGACGTTTGCCATGTTTTTCAGACACACATGCTCGGACATCAAGAGTATTCTTCTTCACCGCTATTTCAGGTGCCAAGGACTTCAGGCAGGGAGCCCTCAGCTCCTTCCGGGAACCTCCCCCACCGGGGACTGCAGGGCCCTGGGCTGGGTTACCCCACCAGCTCCACGGAAGACCTCCAGCCTGGCCACTCCTCGGCCTCTCTCATCAAAGCAATCCGCGAGGAGCTCCTCCGGCTCTCCCAGAAACAGAGCACCGTGCAGAACTTCCACAGCTGATCGGCCTCGCCTCGCAGATTTGCCAAGTATCCGCTTCCTGTGGAAGCAAGACCAAAAGGAAATCAACTGAGTGGGTGTTTGGAAGAGGAAGGAGCAACTCTCGGGCAGCCTGCCCAAGGGAGGGAGCAAGTTGCAATTTAGAAGATGCCATACGTCGTGTGACAGCTCATGAGCCTTTCACTGGGCTGGCAATTGTCTGAACACTTGGGTTCAGTTGAAATATATGTATTTTGGCCAAAAGCCAGCAGCACTTCACAAAAACAAAACACAAACCTAAGCTAACAAAATGACTGCATTCGTCTCTTTTTTAAAGGTAGAGATTAAACTGTATAGACAGCATAGGGATGAAAGGAACCAAGCGTTTCTGTGGGATTGAGACTGGTACGTGTACGATGAACCTGCTGCTTTGTTTTCTGAGAAGAGGTTTGAAGACATTTTATTAACAGCTTAATTTTTCTCTTTTACTCCATAGGAACTTATTTTAATAGTAACATTAACAACAAGAATACTAAGACTGTTTGGGAATTTTAAAAAGCTACTAGTGAGAAACCAAATGATAGGTTGTAGAGCCTGATGACTCCAAACAAAGCCATCACCCGCATTCTTCCTCCTTCTTCTGGTGCTACAGCTCCAAGGGCCCTTCACCTTCATGTCTGAAATGGAACTTTGGCTTTTTCAGTGGAAGAATATGTTGAAGGTTTCATTTTGTTCTAGAAAAAAAAAATCCCTCCCAAAGTGGGGCAAAAAGCTTTATATTTATTTGATTATCCAAAATACAGATCAAAGTTTAGATCTACATTCTTCATTGTATTTGCTGTTTCTTAATTGGGCACACACAACTCCTGGTCATGTCCCAGTTCAGCACCGATCGCTAAGGCCGATCCTGTAGAATGCGGCTTTCAAGAGGTCCTAACTGATCCTTTCTTCCACTTTGCTGTTGATTTGTTCACAAATTATGTCTGAATGAGAAATCTTCTGTAAGCAGAAGTTATTTAATAATTCCCAGCACCACGAAATTGTTATACATACATCCCTACCAGTCACATTCCCTGTGTTCAGAGCCTGGAAATGAAATTGAGTTCAGTTCAGCCTCTCTGTAATGAATCAAGAAATGTAAAAGAGCTTTGAGACCCCAAGGGAAAGGAGAGAGTTGCTTCTCATTTCTGATTTTATTGTGCTGTTACTCTGTCGAGTGGCTATTAAAATTGTCTTATGCTCTTTGGGCTAAGAGGGGATCATCTCGCTTAAGATGTACTCCTGATGTAAACATTTCCCCCACTTTCCAAATAATGGTAAAGAAAACAGTGGCAAGGGCTGTTCTGTTTTCTGGTACCTGAGTGAAACTCAGAAGAAAAGCAGGCTTAGCTAAGAGATTTTCACTATTAACCTGTTTTTATTAGATCAGCGAAGACAGTCATGCATCGCTTAATGATGGGGATGCATTCTGAGAAATGTGTCATTAGGCTGTTTTGTTGCTGTGCCAACATCCTAGATTGTACTTACACAACCTACATGGTATAGCCTACTACACACCTGGGCTGTGTGGCATGGCCTATTCCTCTTAGGCTACAAACCTGTACAGCATGTTACTGTACTGAACACAATGGTAAGTATTTGTGTATCTAAACATAGCTAAACATAGAAAAGGTATGGTAAAAATACAATTTTATAATCTTATGGGACTACCATCAATATGTAGACCGTCATTGACCAAAACATCCTGATGTGTGCATGACTGTACTTTTCATTAAATAACAGATAAGGGGCTATAGAATTTGGGGCTCTGACTGATCAAAACCTGTGTATCTGTGTCAAGTTTTAAGACCCCTGAAACAGCTAAAACAGGTTTCCAAAGTGTAATCACTGGATTTCAAAACCATGTTTTAGCCCTTCATTAATGAAGCCTGTTGTACAGATTTAGAGTCTTACAATATGAGGGAAGTTGGTTCTGGGAAGGTAAGATGTAGCCAGTTTTCATCTGGGCACCTCTGAAAGAGAAGGAGTGCAGGAGAGTAAGTCTCTCAAGGACGTTCAACAAAGGACCAGCAGCATCTTATCAGGCGATCCTCAGAGGCTCCAAGGAGCATTGGAGAGAATGCCCCTTTCTGGGCTTGATGTCTTGGTTTTGGTTTAATACCAAATTTCTCTTGGTCTTGGTTTAATACCCGACTCCTCCCAAATTGAACGATTATCTTTGTATGTCACTCAAAAATACCAGGTTTCCTGAATATGTTATTAAGAATTTCAGATATCCAAGCAGAATTTTATTATGGACACCTTGTAATGAATTCAAATCGTGTGACAGCAAACGGGATAAATGGCCCCTTCTCACCCAGTTCCGCTCAGGGCCATACAGGCTTGCACATAGAGTGTGCTAAAAATGGTAACCTCCTTTGAGCATTGCAGAAAGAGGGTTCTGTTTCAAATTGGGCTGACCGTAAAAGCAATTTTGATGTCTTTCAAACTACCATAAAGGGATTTTAACTGTATTTTTATTCTTAGAAACAATACACCTTTAAACAGATGTCAAGACCAAAGATGATGTATAATAAACAGCCGGTGGTTATGGTGTGGTGTGAGCAGGCCCCCGGATCACCAGCCCTCTGCTGGTGGTCATAAAGCACACACAGTTTGTACTTGCTTCCTCTCGACGCCTGCCACAACAGTTTTGCCAGTCACCAAACTCAGAAAAAACTAGCTGTGTGAGCAGCACCGTACCCTAGCGGTCTTCAGACATTAAGTTCACGTCATCCACTGAAAGGAAGGGTCCTTGCGTTGACAGCGTGTGGCTTTGGAGTCCGTTTATGGAAGCACTCTACAATGAACAGTTGAATTTTATGTCTATTCTTTTTTCCTATTTTAAAAGTTCTAGTGGTAACACAAACTGTAAATTTGAGTCAGAATGTTTGGAGAAATGTTGTTTTTTTTTTTTTCAGAGACTACTTTGTCACTCACTGACCATGTCTGGTTCCTTCTCTGAACTTCATTCTCCCCATAAGCCAAACAAGAACAGACCTCCCCCGCCACCTCCCAGGCACCGTAGTTGTGAGAATCAGATGTGATCATGTGTGCAGATGTCCTGTGAGGAGGGAGCATAAAGCACTGTGAAAATGTAGCATGCTGTCTATGTGGACGCCCTAGGATGAGTGATGTGAAACGCTGCACTACTGCGGTGAATGGGTTCACACATGGGTAATGAGCAAAACCGAAAGCTCGGTGTGACTCAGTTTCCTCACTCCCATTTTGCTTTAATTTCACTTCCTTCACCAATTTTCCGATTGCATTTATTAAGCATCTTTCTGCTCCCGACTTTCTGGTGTCTCTGGCACCAAATAACCCAGCAGACATGAGCCTTGCCTTCTGAGATTTTAGAATCTAAGATAGCACGAGTGGGTATAGAAGATGGAAGATACCGATAAATAACATGGTTTAAGTGTCAATAAAATTCATTCGAAGAGATCAGGCGCGGTGGCTCACGCCTGTAATCCCAGCATTTTGGGAGGCTGAGGCAGGTGGATCACTTGAGATCAAGAGCTTAAAACCAGCCCAGGCAACATGGCAAAACCCCGTCTCTACAAAAAAATACAAAAACTAGCTGGGTGTGGTGGCGCATGCCTGTAGTCCCAGCTGAGGCACGATAATTGCTTGAACCCGGGGGGTGGAGGTTGCAGTGAGCTGAGATTGCACCACTGTACTCCAACCTGGGCGACAGAGCAAGACTGTGTCTCAAAAAGAAAAAAATTTGTTCAAAAGACATAAATGAATTAGGCACCCAGAAGAAGTTGCATGTTTGGAAATGCAATATCTTGGGGAGACGTCAACTTCTGAAGTGACTTTGAAGGCAGGGCAGCTACCCAGGCAAATGGCGTGGAAGGAAGAGCTGAGAGTGGGCCTGGGAAAGGCTGTAGGGAAGGAGTGAAGCTGTCACTGAAATGAACTTGATCTTGATCTGCTTTGATATGGGGACAGAATCCCCGACTGCACTATTGAGGGAGTTTCAGAAGAGAAGGAAGAGGTGCTGGAAGGATGCTTTTGCAGTCATGCAGCAAGGAAACGACCAGGGCTGTGAAGATCTACAGAGGAAGTACTCCAGTGTGGGGGAGGCAAGGGAAGAGGACGAAAATGATGAGAATGACACTGAGGTCATTGTTTAGAGCAGATCTCAAGCAGCCGTTTGGCCACGCCATATCCTTTGTGGAGCATAGTGGGTTATCTATCTGTCTGTCTGTCTATGTATCTGTCTATCTATCTATATATATATTCAGCTTCTTTACTGCTACCTACACATTTTTCTCCAAATTTTATTAATTTCATAGTGTTTTGATTTGGGTGGCAGATGACTTTTAAGCAGTGGGTGTTTGCCGGCCAGATCTTTCCTGGCATGCGGACTGTGAGGCAAAGCACGGGTGAAGGTAGGCGCTAAAGGCTTTGGGCTAAAGCCAGCACGCGGTTCTGTGCTATAGGAGTCTCCCGTTTCCCGTGGACAGGTTCAGCGTTCCTTCTTTCGCACAACTTTTTTCTAAGTGTTCCAGTGACCAAGCCAGTCATTCGGACACTGATTTGCAGTGCATTGGCAGTAATTCACAAATTAGTTGTTATATAAGTCTCTCTCATCCCTTTCACACTAGATTCTCAGACATGAATGAATTTGTCGTTTGGAAGGAAAGCTGGGTAACGTTTTGGGCACAGGGGAAGGAGGACTCCGGTCTTAACTCCCACGCTAACTTTAGCTCAAGTGGAGTTTTCACCGTGGTCATTTCTACCTCCGGAGCAAGGTGCCAGCGCCAGTACTAGAGCCTGCTTATCCACATTTGCCCTGGACAGGAGCAGGAGGAAGTCCACTTCTGTACCGGCAGACAGAGCATGTGAACACAAAACACATTTCTATGGCATAGTCAACTGAACTTCATTTTTACATTTAATCTAACATGTTAACACGTTCTAACAGGGTTTCTATGAGCAGCTGCTGTAACATACTCATCAACTATGATAGACTTAACACTTGTTACCTAATGAACAAGGAGGATGTGCATTTCGGGTTTCTTTTGATATTCGTGGAGGTGATTGTCAGTGTTTAAACAGGACTACTTTCTCCACTATGAAGATGACTTGGAAATCGCAACATCATGGTACATTGCTAAGTCCATGCTTGTGTGTGTGACAGTAGGCTTGATAATTTATCTTAAAACACAGCAGCATTGAAATTTAGGAAAAGAATATTAAATGCCTTTGGAAACATGAAACAAAGTTAGGAGCCAGTAAGAAAGTGACAGAAGCAATGAATGTCTTAATGCAGTATAGTTAAAATGGCTTCCCACAGGGTAGATAATTATCCAGGATCCTTCCTTTTCCTTCTTCCTCCAGGTTTTTCAGGGGTCACTTCACATTTCTAAAGAAAGAGTGAATAGGCTGGGCATGGTGGCTCAAGCCTCTAATCTCAACGCTTTGGGAGGCTGAGGCAGGAGGATCGCTTGAGGCCAGGAGTTTGAGACCACCTTGGGCAACATAACGAGACCCCGTCTCTACAAAAAAAATTTAAAAATTAGCTGAGCATGGTGGCATGTGCCAGTAGTCCCAGCTACTCGAAAGGCTAAGACTGGAGGATCGCTTGAGCCAATGAGTTGGAGGCTGCAGTGAGCTATAATCACGCCACTGCACTCCAGCCTGGGCTGCAGGGTGAGGTCCTGTCTCTGGAAAAAAAAAAAAAAAAAAAAGGAATAGGTAAAAGGGACAGAGGTGAAATTTTGAGTGACTTGAGTCTCTTGCAGTCCCTGATTACACAGAACCTTTCTGGGCTACTTGGAGCATCACGAATAGTCTTTCCTGTACTTACCAGATTTCAAGTATTCATAACTTGACTCCCTAAGTGTACAAGTTGGGAATAGTACAGGGCCAAGTTCAAGTCGCATATGCTGTACTGTTCCTCCTGCAAATGTGGGGAAAGAAGAGGGAGATACTAGAGGAACTGAGGCTCCACCCATTCATTCAGTTGCTCTAAGCACCAGAGGACTTGTTTCAGAAAAGGGGAGTGGGAACGCCCTCGACTTTGCCCTCCTCCGGAGCATCTCTGGGACGCAGGGAGTCTGGCTAGCGTTAATAGGAAAGGTTGCTCGGCAGAGCTGCCCTGGAGTACTGACTTGTCTCTCCCTCCTTTGTCAAGGTCCATGTTTTTCTGGCTCTTCCTGCACACTCATCCCTAGATTATGAGCGTTAATGTACGAAATGTGCAGAGCAAATTGAGGCCAACTGTGGCATCAATACTGCAACTTAAACTTGACAATCATGGTTTGCTGGTCCTCAAACAGGCACTGAAATCTCAGTATGGGTATACGATTTAATAATCGGCCCCTCCCTTCTATTTGTCGGTTTTATGTTTCTATCCTTCAATAGCTGCACTGTTTTCTAATGTGCTGTAGAGTTTTTGAAATAATTTATGCAAGTATTTGGTTTCCATGTTTACAATTTATACAGCTTTCCTAGCATTTTAAATGGAAATGTCAATAAATGCTATGAATTGGTGTCAAAGTGATATTTTCTGTTGATTTCCTTTGCAACATGATAGTTTTCTCGTTTGTAAAACATGAAACATTGGATGAGATGATCTTTCTGTTCTCTAATTTTGTGTCTCTGGTGAGAACACCCAGTACTTTTGTTACTGGTGGAGGGTGTCCAGGTTCTTGGCGTCTTGAACAAAGAGTTGGACAAAACACACAAAGCAAGGAAAGAATGAAGGAATTTATTGAAAATGAAAATACACTCCACAGTGTGGGAGCAGGCCTGAGCATAGGGGCTCAAGGGCCCGGTTACAGAATTTGTGGGGGTTTAAATACCCTCTAGGGGTTTCCATTGGTTACTTGGTGTACGCCCTATGTAAATGAAGAGGTTTAAGTAAAGTCACACAGTCATTTACTCGACGTACACCCTATGGAGAGGATGTTTCCTGTCATAGCTGAACTGTGGCTCGGCCTTATGTCCCCTACTCCAGACCCCATTTTCCTGCCTCACTTTCATTGTCCAAGAAATTAAGTTGAAGGTATTCTATTCAGTGTGTGGAATTTGCAGACTTGTTTTCACTCGTTTTTGCCTGTGCCAATCCTTTCTACTCAGTGTAGTTTGACTGCTACCCACTTAGCAAATGGATGAATCCACTAAGAGCAAATTCAGTTTGGAATTAAAAGATTAGTGCCTCACAATTTAGAAAGATGAGAAGACCAAAGTCCACACAGTCTTGAAAGGTAATAGGATAACCCTGGAGTTGTTTACACAACCCAAGAAAACAAGATCCCCTTGAAACTTAGAAAAGGGGATGGGCGCTGTTTCTCACGCCTTAATTCCAGCACTTTGGGAGGCCGAGGTGGGTGGATCACTTGAGGCCAGGAGTTCAAGACCAGCCTGGCCAACATGGCAAAACCCCATCTCTAATAAAAATACCAAAAAAAAATCAGCCAGGCATGGTGGCGGGCGCCTGTAATCCCAGCTACTCGGGAGGCTGAGGCAGGAGAATTGCTTTAACCCAGGAGGCAGAAGTTGCAGTGAGCCGAGATCGCGCCACTGCACTCCAGCCTGGGTGACAAAGTGCAACTCTGTCTCAAAAAAACAAAAACAAAACTTGGAAAAGGAACTCAAAACACAGTGGAATATAACAGCTAAATGACACAGAATCCTGGATAGGATCTTGGAATGACAGCAACAACAAAAGAGAATATAGTGGGAAAACGTGAAATCCAAATCAAGTCTATAGTTAACAGTATTGTACAAAGATTAACGTACTGGTTTTGCTAACTTTATTATGGTTATTGAGATTTTAATATTAGAGGAAGCTATGTAAAAGGTATCCTGAAACCCTCTAAATCATTTTTGCATCTTTTTATCTTTTTTCTAAATCTAAAAGTATTTAAAAATATAAACACGAATCTGGCACAGGTAAAGCCCACAGACCTTCTGCAGAGGCTCATATAATCCTGTCCTGTGCATCCACAACCCAGGGGCTCTGGTACTTCTCAGGGCGAGCTGCTAGCTTTGAAACCACAGTTAACAATTGCAAGTCTTGGCAGAAAATAAACCTTCAAGAAGGAGGGCTGGTGGGGTCAACCAAAAGGAGAATTTAAACCTAAAAATCCAAGAAAATAGGCCAGTATGAAAGAGATAAATAATACGTTAGATGTTTAAAGAGGTTAAAAAGAACTAAGAACAGGATATTATGTAAAAGTCTAAGCAAATTTGCCGAAACCAAAAATAAGTTCTCAAAAGGGATTTATTTTATTTTATTTATTTATTTATTTTGAGACAGAGTCTCGCTCTGTCCCTGAGGCTGGAGTGCAGTGACGCAATCTCAGCTCACTGTAACCTTTGCCTCCCAGCTTCAAGCGATTCTCATGCCTCAGCCTCCAGAGTAGATGGGACTATAGGCGTACTCCACCACGCCTGGCTAATTTTTCTATTTTTAGTAGAGGTAGTGTTTCACCATGTTGGCGGGCTGGTCTCGATCTCCTGGCCTCAGGGTGATCCACCCGCATTGGCCTCCCGAAGTGTTGGGATTACAGGTGTGATCCACACTGCACCCGGCCAGAAAAGAAATCTTTAAAAAAGACAATATACACACAACGGTCAGATATTTAATATTTTACACATAACTGAAGAAATAACTATAACAGTTTTAATAATTTTATGTTTTAATCTAACTTTAGATGGAAAACAACAAAAATAGTGGAAACTAACTGGTAGAACTCATTACAAGATTTTATATGCTCTGAATGTAAATAGGTTTGAAATGACAGAAGAGCAGGGAGTTACTAGAAACAGCTAAGACTTACAAGAAAGGGCAGGCTGATCCCACGCTCAGAGCCTGAACCCCCAGTTCAAATGAATATAACCAGGCGCGGTGGCTCACACCTGTAATCCCAGCACTTTGGAAGGACGAGGCAGGCGGATCACGTGAGTTCGGGAGTTCGAGACCAGCCTGACCAACATGGAGAAACCCGTCTCTACTAAAAAATACAAAATTAGCCGGGTTTGGTGGCACGCGCCTGTAATCCCAGCTACTCAGGAGGCTGAGGCAGGAGAGTCGCTTGAACCCAGGAGGTGGAGGTTGCAGTGAGCCGAGATCATGCCATTGCACTTCAGCCTGGGTGACAAGAATGAAACTCTGTCTCAAAAATAAATAAATGAATAGGGATTTGAGTCATAATTGGCATTTCTTGTCCCTCTGTCCTCTTCCTCTCTGCACCTGCCAAGCAGAGCTTAAGGTAAGAAGAAAAGAATAACAAGAACAGAGATCCTTTTGTTCAGTTTCTAAGTTAGATTATTAATGAAAAGTTCTCATCGGATAGTGCCCTATTAAGTAACTTTCTCCCTCTACAGAACTCGGTACTTTCCTTGCCACACCCTTCTGCACATCCTGGAATAAATGGGGGTGGGTGAGTTTGATTTCTCTACTGCTGAAGACTTGAAAAATTGTAGCCACAAATCTAGGTAAACCACATTTGTGTAGCTGAACTATTATTTGTTGTATTTGTGCCAAAGTATAGCATTACAGAAGTGTAAGACACAGAACCTATCTGGAAAACTCATAAAGCTGTTTCTGAGTGCCTGATTGGTAGCTGGTTCCATCAGTATCTTGAAAATATGCGTTAGTTTAAGTACAGGTATACCCTGGAGATACTGGAAATTCGGTTCCAGACCACTGCAGTAAAGCAGGTCACGAACTTTGTGATTTCCCACTGTATACAGAAGCTATGTGTAGCTATACTGTAGCCTATTAGGTATGCAACAGCATTCTGTTTTTTTAAAAAAGCATACATGCCCTGATTTAAAAATACTTTGTTGTTAAAAAAATGTTAACAATTATTTGAGCCTTCAGTGAGTCCTAATGTTTTTGCTGGTGGAGGGTCTTGCCTCCATGTTGATGGCTGCTGACTGATCAGGGTGGTGGTTGGTGAAGGTTTGGGTGGCTGTGATAATTTCTTTTAAAATAGAACAACAATGAAGTTTGCCACTTCCGTGGACACTTTCTTTGACGGAAGATGTCTCTGCAGCATGTAATGCTGTTTGATAGCATTTGACCCACAGTAAAACTTCCTCCAAAATTGAAGTTAATCCTCCCAAACTCTGTCACTTCTTTATCAACTAGGCTTATGGGATAGTCTACGTCCTCTGTTGTCATTTCACTGATGTTCACAGCATCTTCATCAGGCCTAGATTCCATCTCAAAAAACCACTGTCTTTATTCATCCATAAGAAACAACTCCTCAACTGTTTAGGTTTGACCATGAGACTGCAGCAGTTCAGTCACATCTGTAGGCTCCACTGCTAGTGCCCTTGCTATTTCCACTCCATCTGCAGTGACTTCCTCCACCAAAGTCTTGAACTCCTCATCCGTGAGGATTGGAATCACTTCTTCCAAAGCCCTATAAATGTTGATATTTTAACCTCCTCCCATGAATTACGAACGTTCTTTTTTTTTTTTTTTTTTTTTGAGAGGGAGTTTCACTCTTGTTGCCCAGGCTGGAGTGCAGTGGCGCGATCTTGGCTCACTACAACCTCTGCCTCCTGGGTTCAAGCAATTCTCCTGCCTCAGCCTCCTGAGTAACTGGAATTACAGGCATGAGCCACCACGCCTGCCCGGCTAATTTTGTATTTTTAGGAGAGATGGGGTTTCTCCATGTTGGCCAGTCTGGTCTCTAATGCCCGACCTCAGGTGATCCGCCCACCTCGTCCTCCCAAAGTGCTGGGATTACAGGTGTGAACCATGGCGCCTGGCTAATTATGAATGTCCTTAATGGCATCTAGAGTGAGGAATCATTTCCAGAAGGGTTTCGATTGACTTTGCCCGGATCCATCAGGGGAGTCACTATCTATGGCAGCTATAGCCTATAGCCTTATGAATTTTTTTTTTTTTTTTTTTAGACAGGGTCTCATTCTGTCACCCAGGCTGGAGTGCAGTGGTACGATTGCTGCTTACTGCAACCTCCACCTCCCAGGCTCAAGCGATCCTCCCACCTCAGTCTTCCCAGTAGCTGGGACTATAGGAGCGTGCAACCATACCCAGCTAATTTTTTTTTTTGTATTTTTTGTAGAAACAGGGTTTTGCCATGTTGCCCAGACTGGTCTCGAACTCCTGACCTCAAGCAATCCGACTGCCTCAGCTTCCCAAAGTGTTGGGATTACAGGCATGAGCCACTATGCCTGGCCTGAAATGTATTTCTTAATAAGACTTGAAAGTCGAAATTACTCCTTGATTGATGGGCTGCAGAATGGATATTGTGTTACATATGAAAACAACATTAATCTCTTTGTACATCTCCATCAGAGCTCTTGGGTGACTAGTTGCACCGTCAATGAGCAGTAATAGTTTGAAAGGGATCTTTTTTCTTAAACAGCAGGTCTCAACAGTAGGCTTAAAATATTCTTTAAACCATGCTATAACAGATGTGCTGTCATCCAGGTTTTGTTGTTCCATGTATGGAGCACAGGCAGAGTAGATTTAGCATAATTCTTAAGGGCCATAGGATTTTCAGAATGCTCAATGATCATTGGCTTCAACTTTAACTCACCAGCTGCATTCGCCCTAACAAGAGAGTCAGCCTGTCCTTTGAAGCTTTGAAGCCAGGCATTGACTTCTCCTTCTCCTCTCTTGCTATGAAAGTCCTAGATGGCATCTTCTTCAATAGAAGGCTATTTATCTACACTGAAAATCGGTTTTTTGTTTGTTTTTTTTTTTTGACACGGAGTCTCGCTGTGTCACCCAGGCTGGAGTGCAGTGACAATCTTGGCTCACTGCAACCTCCACCTCCCAGGTTCAAGCGATTCCCCTGTCTCAGCCTCCTGAGTAGCTGGGATTACAGGCATGCGCCACCATGCCTGACTAATTTTTTGTATTTTTAGTAGAGCCGGGGTTTCATCATGTTGGCCAGGCTGGTCTCGAACTCCTGACCTCAGGTGATCCACCCGCCTCAGCCTCCCAAAGTGCAGACATTACAGGCATGAGGCACCATGCCCAGCCTGAAAATCTGTTCTCTACTGTAGCCACCTTCGTCAGTTATCTTAGTTAGATCTTACGGTTAACTTGCTGCAGCTTCTAAGTCAGCACTTGCTGCTTTACTTTTTTATGTTATAGAGATGGCTTCTTCCCTTAAACCTCATGAACCAACCTCTGCTGGCTTCAAACCTTTCTTCAGCTTCCTCACCTCTCTCAGCCTTCATAGAATTAGAGAGCACCTTGCTCTGTATTAGACTTTGGCTGAAGGGAATGTTGTGGCCAGACTGATCTTCTATCCAGACCACTCAAACTTTCTCCATATGAGCAATAAGGCTGTTTCGCTTTCTTCTCCTTTGTGTGTTCACTACGGTAGCACTTTTCATTTCTTTTAAGAAGAACTTTTCCTTTGCGTTCACAACTTGGCTGTTTGGCACAAGAGGTTTAAACCGTGTCAGCTTTCAACGTGGCTTCCTCACCAGGCTTAATCACGTCTAGTTTATTTAAAGTGAGTGACGTGCACCTCTTTCTTTCACTTGAACACTTCAGAGGCCATCGCAGGGTCAGTAATTGGCCTAATTTCAATACTGTTGTGTCTCAGGGAATAGGGAGGCCTGGGGAGAGGCAGAGTGCGAGGGAACAGGTGGTTGGTGGAGCAGTCAGAACACACACAACATTTATTGTTCTTAAGTTCGTGGTGTTCTATGGGCATGGTTCATGGTGCCCCCAAACAGTAGTAACATCAAAGATCAAAGATCACGGGTCACCATAACAGATGATTAAAGAGTTTGAAATATTGCAAGAAGTACCAAAATGTGACTCAGAGACCTGAAGTGAGCAGATGCTGTTGGAAAAATAGCACCAAGCTAGTCATGGTGGCTCACGCCTATAATCCCAACACTTTGGGAGGCCAAGGTAGGAGGATCACTTGATCCCAGAAGATTGAGACCAGCCTGGGCAACATAGTGGGACCTGTCTCTAAAAATATTAAAAAATTAGCCAGGTGTGGTGACCCACGCCTGTAGTCCCAGCTACTCGGGGTGGCTGAGGAAGGAGGGATTGCTTGAGCCCAGGAGATCAAGGCTGCAGTGAGTCAAGATTGCACCACTGCACTCCAGCCTAGCTGACAGAGTGAGACCCTATCTCAAAAAAAAAAAAAAAAAAAAAAAAGACAGAAAAATAGCACGAATAAACTTGCTTAGAGTTGCCACAAATCTTTGATTTGTAAAAAACACAATATCTGTAAATCACAATGAAGTGAAGCACAATCAAACGAGGTATGTCTGTATATGGATTTTCATTCTGGGATATAGTATTAGAATATACCCCAGATCAGTAGTTCCTTTCATTAAGCATTTTAAAATTCTGAGATTGTTTCAAAGAAAATGTTAGTGCAAGAAGTTAGGAGAAAAACAGGGCTTAAAAGGTAAAATGGGGCCGGGCGTGGTTAATCCCAGCACTTTGAGAGGCTGAGGTGGTTGGATCACCTGAGGTCAGGAGTTTGAGAGCAGCCTGGCCAACATGGTGAAACCCCGTCTCTACTAAAAATACAAAAATTAGCTGGGCATGGTGGAGGGCACCTGTAATCCCAGTTACTTGGGAGGCTGAGGCAGGAGAATCGCTTGAACCCAGGAGGCAGATGTTGCAGTGAGCTGAGATTGTGCCATTGCACTCCAGCCTGGGCAACAGCAGCAAAACTCTATCTCAAAAAAAAAAAAAAAAAAAAAGTCAAACAGGGTTCCTGCATTTCAGAACAAATGAGTGTTGGTCTTTTTTTCCAACAGTAGCTCTGCACTGTGGCTGCTTTTGAAGAGCAGCAGGGATGTTCTATATTTAGCAGAATCCAGAAGTAGCTATTCCCCTTGGATCCTCCCAAAGCTGTAAATGAGAGACAAGAGTGATCGCTACCTAGATTGGAAGTCCGAGAACCAGTGTGTGCTTGGGTCTTGGTATTACTTTTCCCAGATATTGTTCTTTCTGGGTTCCTAGTGAGACAAGTTTAATATACAAATTAGGAGTAAAGTTAAATTTTTTAAAAATTTTGGAAAGATATAATTAGGCCAAATTTAAATTAGAACATCACTAATTTAAATGTGGCCTAATTATATCTTTTTTTTTTTTTTTTTTTTTTGAGACAGAGTCTCACTCTGTCACCTAGGCTGGAGAACAGTGATGTGATCTCAGCTCACTGCAACCTCTGCCTCCTGGGTTCAAGTGATTCTCCTGCCTCAGCCTCCTGAGTAGCTGGGACTACAGGCACCCACCACCATGCCCAGCTAATTTTTGTATTTTTAGTAGAGATGGAGTTTCACCATGTTGGCCAGGCTGGTCTCAAACTCCTGACCTCAGGTGATCCACCCGCCTCGGCCTCCCAAAGTACTGGGATCACAGGTGCAAGCCACCGGGCCCAGCCGAATTATGTCTTTTTAAAGCCTATTCACTTAACTTTTTTTGTTCTTCCTTTCCTGGTCAAAATGTGAATTAGCAAAAATAAAAGAAATAAAAACCTGTATAACTCTACCACCAGAGACACTGGCATCAAAATTTTGGTAAATTTTGGTCTTTTTAAAATAATAAATAAATAAATAAATAAATAAATAAATAAATAAATAAATAATCCCAGCATTTTGAGAGGCCGAGGCGGGTGGATTGCTTGAGCCCAGGAGTTCGAGACCAACCTGGGCAACATGGCGAGACCATATCTCTACTAAAAAATATATAAAAAATTAGCCAGGTGTGTTGGTGCACATCTGTGGTCCCAGCTACTTGGGAGGCTAAGATAGGCTGAGAATTGCTTGAGCCTGGGAAGTGGAGGCTGCAATGAGCCAGAATTACATCACTGCACTTCAGCCTGGACAACAGAGCAAGACCCTGTCTCAAAAAAAGTTAAAGGCTGGGTGCCGTGGATCATGCCTGTAATCCTGGCACTTTGGGAGGCAGAGGCAGGCAGATCACTTGGGCCCAGGAGTTTGAGACCAGCCTGGGCAACGTAGCGAAAACCCATCTCTACAAAAAATACAAAAATTAGCTGAGTGTGGTGGTGCACGTCTGTAGTCCGAGCTACTCAGGAGGCTGAGGTGGGAGGATCACTTAAACCAGGGAGACAGAGGTTGTAGTGAGCTGAGATCATGCCACTGTAATCCAGCCTGGGCAACAGAGTGAGACCCTGTCTCAAAAACAAAAAAATTTTTAAATAACAAATAAATCTAAGCCAACTTAATGTTGTTTGGCGATCGGGACGGATGGGGATGATTTTCTTTCTAATTGACCTTCTGGTAAGCTATTGGTTTGGATTCCAGAGTACACAAGGGCAGAGGGTGGCAATAAAAGGATAAGAATTTGTGTGAGATGCAATCCGGAAAGAAAGATCAGAAGATATTCTGGGGCTCTCCAGCAGCCATTTTTCTAACTGCTGGAGGGAAATGGCACCCAGCAGCTAGAGCATCCTAGGGAGTCCCACCCTTTTGTGCCTATCCTGTGCTCTAGTTGACAGGCAATGCCCCACTGACCTCCTGATACAGTTCATGGAATTTTGCAGAGGTTTCCCAGGTTTGTGGCTGAGATGAGAACTTCGTGACTAGGCAAGCCGGGTCCAGAAAGTGACCCTTGGTTTTGAGCCTTTGTCTTTAATGCTGGACAACGGTGAGACTTAGCTCACAAGCTGCATTTTTAGGGACCCTTGTGAAAAACATCTGTATCGATGTCTTTTCCTTGACTGCAGGACTCTCTTTAACTGCTATCCAGGTGAACCTATCAACTCCTCATAAGGCATTTCCTGCCACGGCTGGTGTCCCGCTGTGACTCCCCCAGCCACCGATCAGACAGGAATGAACCAGAAGTAGCTTACCAACTATGAGGTTGGTGCAAAAGTAATTGCGGTGTCATCATTACTTTTAGTGGCAAAAACTGCAATTACTTGGCACCAGTCTAATATTTCTGTGTTGGGGCTCAGGAAACAATACCCCAAAATATGGCACTCTGACATGCTGACCTGAAGAAGAGGTCTCGAGTTCTCTCTGACCCCGCTGCCTCCTGTCTCTCCATCCTCTGTCTCTCCCGAAATACAGGATGAAGTTGTTCTCTGAGGTTCCCTTATCTGCCTAACATCTGGACTTACAAAAAAGAGAAAAGTGACCTCTGGTCCCTTCCCTGAGGTCTTGTTAACTGAACTCATATCGCAGGAAGAAAGACTAAGTCTGTCAATGCAACTGGACAGACTTTTGTCACAAATCATTGTCTGCTCCGCAGGCACAACAGACTTTGTCTCAGGTCATTGTATGTTCTTCAAGCCCATTGAATTCCCTTACAAATCATTTACTATCCCCCAAAATGGCCCGCGCTTCCCCGTCTCCCTTTCCTCTAAGAAGAAGGGTCTAGAACCATTTGTACCCATCGTGTGGTGTGGCAATCACTGAGTAATTTTCCTCCCCCGTGCATGCTAATCAGTTTGTGCGCCATTACCCTTAATAATCTGCATTTTGTCCGTTGATTTTTCAGTGAACCATCAGAGGGCAAAGGGTAAGTTTCCGCTTGACCCAGACATGTGCAAGGCCGAAAGTATGCTTTCGCCTGTGACAAAGTCCTCCACACTTCAATCCCTATCAGGATAATTAAGGTTTCACCTTCTGATGTAACTGGCCCCTGAACCTCAGAAGCTGGGGTAAGTATCTGCATACTTGTCACATCTTTGTGTTCAGAGTTAACTGAATTTTCAGATGTCTCACAATTTTAGAAAGATTGTGATGGATGGCAAAATCAGAATTCAAAATGGTATTGACAGGCTAAAACACAGAGCCAAAAATCAAGAAAATTTTATTTAATCCTATTAAAGTTCTAGGTTAAAAAAAAAATCTGGGGCATGGCGTGGTGGCTCACGCCTGTAATTCCAACACTTTGGGAAGCCAAGGCGGGCAGATCACGAGGTCAGGAGTTTGAGACCAGCCTGACCAACATGGTGAAACCCTGTCTCTACTAAAAATACAAAAATTAACTGGGCATGGTGGAGGGCACCTGTAATCCCAGCTACTTGGGAGGCTGAGGCAGGAGAATGGCTTGAACCTGGGAGGCGGAGGTTGCAGTGAGCTGAGATCGTGCCACTGCTCTCCAGCCTGGGCGACAGAGCGAGACTCCATCTCAAAAAAAAAAAAAAAAAAAAAAAAATTCTGGCTAGGCACAGTGGCTCAGGCCTGTAATACCAGCACCGTGGGAGGCCGAGGCGGGTAGATTGGCTGAGGTCAGGAGTTCGAGACCAGCCTGGCCAACATGGCAAAACCCCGTCTCTACTAAAAATACAAAAATTAGTCAGGCTTGATGGTGGGTGCCTGTAATCCCAGCTACTCGGGAGGCTGAGGCAGGAGAATCACTTGAATCCAGGAGGTGGAGGTTGCAGTGAGCTGAGATTGTGCTACTGCAGTCCAGCCTGGGCGACACAGAGTGACTCCATCTCAAAAAAAAAAAAAAAAAAAGAGAGAGAGAGCTCCCAGAATTGTATGTGCTAATGGGAGTGATCCATGGAGTGGGGGAGGTTATGGATAATGCAAAAGACAAAGGAGAAAGTGAGAGGAATTGGGATTCAGAGCATAGTGGGGGAACTCGCCTTCAGATGGGGAAACAGGCCTTCAGAAGAACAAGAGTATTTCTCTATTGTGCAAAGGAGGGAAAGCATAGGACACAGGCCAAGATTCAGGTCACTCTGTTGATGTGCAAAAATTGGCAACCTTTTTGGTTCTGGAAAAAAATAGTTCCCAGTGAATATGTTACCATTTCTTTAGATTTATAAGCCTTGGGATTTTTTTAGTAGGTAGCAGAAACATTATTTCACAGCAAATTGTTTAATTTTGTGCTTTTTAAGAGATAACTCTGTTTCATTTTCCATGGCAAATAAGATACATTCAGAGTAATGGTGTCTGTTATTTGGTGTAACATAATGATTGAGTAACATGGTATTATTTATTCTTTTAAATTTGTTAGCGTATGTTTTATGGCCTAGAATATGGTCTGTCTTATGAATTTTCCATGTGAGCCTGAGAATCATGGGTATTCTGCTGTTGCTGGATAAAGTGTTTCATAAATGTCAATTAGATCCAGTTGATTGATGGTGCTGTTCAGTCCAACTATGTCCTTACTGATTTTCTGCCTGTGGATCTGTCAGTTAATGAAAGCGCAGTGTTGAAGTCTGCAGCTCTAATAGTGGATTAGTCTATTTCTCCTTGCAGTTTTATCAGTTTTTGCCTCACACATTTTGATGTTCCGTTGTTAGTTGCATGCACATTAAGGATTGTTATGTCTTCTTGGAGAACTGGTCTCTTTATCATTATATAATGGCTGTCTTCATCCTTGATAAATTTCCTTGCTCTGAAGTCTGCTGGTCTGAAATGAATATAGCTACTCCAGTTTTCTTTTGGTTAGTGTTAGCATGGTATATCTTTTCGTCATCCTTTACTTTTAAGCTATCTGTCTTTATAGTTAAAGTATGTTTCTTGTAGACAACATATAGTTGTCTTGTTTTTTTTTTGGTCACTCATATAGTTTCTGTCTTTTAATTGATATATTTATACCATACAAATTTAAAGTGATTATTTATTTGGTTGAATTAATGTCTGCTATATTTGTTATTATTTTCTATTCGTTATCTTGTCCTTTGTTTCTCTTTTTGGGGGATCCTCACTTTTCTGCTTTCTCTGGTTTATCGGCATTTTATTTATTTTTATTTATTTATTTATTTTTGAGACAGAGTCTTGCTTTGTCACCCAGGCTGGAGTGCAGTGGCACAATCTTGGCTCGCAGCAACCTCTGCCTCCTGGGTTCAAGAGATTCTCCAGCCTTAGCCTTCCAAATAGCTGGGATTATAGGAGCGCGCCACCACGCCCGGCTACTTTTTGTATAGTTTTTTAGTGGAGATGGGGTTTCACCATGTTGGCCAGGCTGGTTTCGACCTCCTGTCCTCAAGTGATCCTCCAGCCTTGGCCTCCCAAAGTGCTGGGATTGCAGGCATGAGCCACTGTGCCCAGCCTTGAGCATTTTATATCATACTATTTCCTCCTCTCTCTTCGCATATCAATTATACTTTTTTAAAACTTTTTTCTGCACTAAAGTTTGCAATGAACGTTTATGACTAATCTAAGTCTAATTGCAAATGACACTAGACTGCTTTATGGGCATCCAAGCCCTTTACACATCAGATGGAAACCCAGAAGACATGGTGATGTTTAATTCACAATTAACCCCACCCCAAACACACATGTGCCGACCCAGACATAGAGCTTCCCCGCTAGTGTCGCCCAAAGTTACTATGCAACTTACTCAAACTAATGGGTTGTGCAACCTAAATGCTTTGTAACTGAAAACACCCCTCTACCAGGGTCAAAGATGAAGAGTCCATTAAAAACAAAAAATTAGAAAGAAATAAAATTGAGTGGTGTGGTTTTGCTAGAATGTTTTAAAAGTAATTGCTAGAATGTAATATGATGTGGCATACCCTAATAATCACCATCATCATTGTAGTAGAAGCAGTAATGGTAAAACTAATAACGTATAGGATAGGAACATAAACTTTGCAGTCACAGCACTGAAAACACATTTGCCTGTGCTTACTATATACATGACTTTGGGTAATGAGATTTGATTAAAAACGAAAACATATTGAGAAATAAAATTGAGTAAGTGGCTTTGTTAGAATGGTTTTTAAATAATTGGTAAAATATATTACAACATGTTACATCCTAATAATAATAGTAATAGTGTTAGCAGTAGTAGTAGTAGTGGTAGTAATAGGAGTAATTGTAATAATAATAAAGTACATAACAGAAGAATCGGGTATTAATGTAGTGTAGTCACTATGCCAGAATTTGGGTTCACCTTTGCTTCTTTCTATATACGTGACCTTGGGTAAGTTATTTAACCTCTTTCAACTTCCATTGCTGTAACTGGTGGATGGTTCTTAGGACTCCTGGGGACTTTTTTTTTTTTTTTTGAGACGGAGTCACGCTCTGTCACCCAGGCTAGAGTGCAGTGGCACGATCTCGGCTCACTGCCAGCTCCGCCTCCCGGGTTCACACCATTCTCCTGCCTCAGCCTCCCGAGTAGTTGGGACTACAGGCACCCGCCACCATGCCCAGCTAATTTTTTTGTATTTTTAGGGAGACGGGGTTTCACCGTGTTAGCCAGGATGGTTTCGATCTCCTGGCCTCGTGATCCCCCCGCCTCAGCCACCCAAAGTGCTGGGATTACAGGCATGAGTCACTGCACCTGGCCTCCTGGCGACTTTTATGAGCAAGAATGATCTCTCAGAAGCAGGTGTTTTACTTTCTGAGGTCTTAGAATATCCCAGAAGGTCATTAATTTTCTGCTATATTTTATTTTTTAATATAGTTTTATTATGGGCTGGGTGCGGTGGCTCATGCCTGTCATCCCAGCCCTTTGGGAGGCCAAGGTGGGCAGATCGCCTGAGGTCCAGAGTTCAAGACCAGCCTGACCAACATGGCGAAACCCTGTCTCTACTAAAAATACAAAACTTAGCCAGGCATGGTGGTGCACACCTGTAATCCCAGCTACTTGGGAGGCTGAGGCAGGAGAATTGCTTGAGCCCAGGAGGTGGAGGTTGCAGTAAGCCGAGATTGCCCCACTTCACTCCAGCCTGGGCGACAAAGTGAGACCCTGTCAAAAAAAAAGAAAAAGAAAAAGAAAAAGAAACCCTGTTTTATTATGAAATGATAATTTTTCCAAGAGATTTTTGGAAAGTAAATTCAAGTACAGAAAAGAAAAAATCTCTTTAACTATGAAAGTCCTAAATGGCATCTCCTCCCAACAAAAGACTGTTTTGATCTACATTGAAAATCTCTTTTGAGTGTCGCCACCTTCATCAATGGTCAGAGCCAGAGCTCCTGGACACTTTGCTGCAGCTCCCACATCTGCTGCTTCACCTTGCACTTTTATGTTACAGAGACGGTTTCTTTCCTAAAACCTCATGAACCACCCTCTGTTAGCTTCAGATTTTTCTTCTGCAGTTCCTCACCTCTCTCAGCCTTCACAGAATTGAAGTGAGTCAGGGCCTTGCCCTGGATTGGGCTTTGGCTTAAGGGACTGTTGTGGCCAGATTGGTCTTCTATCCAGACCACTCAAACTTTCTCCATATGAACAATAAGGCTGTTTCACTTTCTAATCCTTTGTGTGTTCACTGGGGTAGCACTTTTCATTTGGTTCAAGAACTTCTTCTCTACATTCACAACTTGGCCATCTATTTGGCAAAAGAGGCCTAGCTTTGGGCCTATCTCAGCTTGTGCCATGTCTTCCTCACCAAGCTTAATCATTTCTAGCTTTTGATTTAGAATGAGGGACATAGGGGGGCCAGGCGCGGTGGCTCATGCCTGTAATCCCAGCACTTTGGGAGGCCGAGGCGGGTGGATCACGAGGTCAGGAGATCGAGACCATCCTGGCTAACATGGTGAAACCCCAGCTCTACTAAAAATACAAAAAATTAGCCGGGCGTGGTGGCAGGCACCTGTAGTCCCAGCTACTCAGGAGGCTGAGGCAGGAGAATGGCATGAACCTGGGAGGCGGAGCTTACAGTGAGCCAAGATCGCGCCACTGCACTCCAGCCTGGGCAACAGAGCAAGACTCCGTTTCAAAAAAAAAAAAGAATGAGGGACATAGGGCTCTTCCTTTCACGTGAGCACTTAGAGGCCATTTTAGGGTTATTAAATGGCCTAATTTCAATATTGTTGTGTCTCAGGAATAGGGAGGCCCCAAAAGAGGGAGAGAGATGGGGGAATGGCCAGTTAGTGGAGCAGTGAGAACACACATAACATTTATTGATTGAGCTCATTGTCTTATATGGGTGAGGTTGGTGGTACTACAAAACAAATACAGTAGTAACATCAAAGATCACTCATAATAGATCACCATGACAGATATAATAATAATGAAAAAGTGGGAAAGGTTGCAAGAATTACCAAAATGTGACACAGAGACCCAGGAGCACATGCTGTTGGAAAAATGGTGCCAATGTGCTCTACACAGCGTTGCCACAAATCTTCAATTTGTAAAAAAAATGTAGGATCAGTCCACAAATCTTCAATTTGTAGGAAAATACAATATCTGTGAAGTGTATTAAAGCAAAGTGCAGTAGAATGAGGCATGCTTATGTGTACCTATAGATATAGATTTATATCATTTTTTCTGCATAACATTTTCTTGAATGGATCTATCAGAATTTAGTCATTCCCCTCATGTTAAACATATGGTTGTTTTTAATGTTTTGCTATTATAAATAATGGTGTGCAGTTTCTGTATCTGTATAAATTGTCTAGGTGTCATATTGTTTCTTTAGAATCAGTTCCTGGAGGTAAAATTACTGAGGCAAATGACCTGAATAGACTGAAAGGATTTTATTCCAAAATATCAATTATATTTCAGAAATCCTGGTCAAATGTATATCCCTAAAAAAAAGTATACCCCTAATGTCCATGTTTGATGATACCTCTAACTGTATCTTCACCAGCATTAGGACTACATGTACATACTTTTTAGTATTTTGTAACTTGGCCAAGTAAAAAATTCTAATGAGTTTTCATAGTTATCATTTATAGCTATATAATATCTCATAGTAATACTATTTTGCCATTACCTTATTATTTGATATTTAATTTCTTTTCCCAATATGTTACATTATCTAGAATAGCAATTATTAGAAACAGCTATTATTTTTCCAGATTATCTTCCTAGCTTTTAGCTTTTTTTCCTTTGAATTATTTTTCTATTAGGCAAATTATTAGAATTACGTCATAAGATGTAGACATTTTCAGTATATAGGATTTAAGAGACTCCTTCTTAATGTGTTGAACATCATTCACTGGTTACCAAACAGAGACAGATCATCTTTCTTGAGGCATGACTAAATGGATGTGTGTGTGTGTGTGTGTGTGTGTGTGTGTATGTGTGTGTGTGTAAGAGAGAGAGAGAGGATGGAACTTGGCTTCTAATGTTACTTTCAACTCAGATTCTATAACTCACTATATGGTCCCAGTATCTAAAGCAGTCTTGCTGATGAGGGTTTAAAGCAGAGAATTTTTAGCCTGGAGAGGATCAGCTACTTTAAAAAATATCCATGCTGAGCTACTTAACCTGATGTGACTTTGGCCAACTCACATTAACTCTTTGGGTTTCATGGAAAGCCACAGATGCAAGTAAAAAATAAATTATGTGAACAACATGAAATGTTCAGCTGAACATCTCTGGGTAAAAAATGAGAATGTCTTCACCCTTAGATAATCATTAAGTTCTGATTTGCCTTACATGCAAATTCCTCCCATCACACATCTTATGCAGATGACCCCTGGCCAGCACCCCTCACCTACATCCCCACCCCAGTGCTTTTCAAAGGGGGTCGCCTGCCCTCACCCTCAGGAAGTTGGGAGGTGAGAGGTTTGTTTGCTTCTGTTGATGTAGCTGCATTTCGTGTGGTCTTCATCCAGAGATGGCTTGGAAAGCTGCCATCCCTGAAAGCAAACTGGAGATGCTGGGGAGATGATGGGAGGTTCTATTTGTCTCCAGGAAAATTTAGCTCTTGCAGTGATATATCAAGTCTATGAAAACTATTTTTAAATGTTAAAAGTCATTTTAAAATTATTAAAACTCCTGCCTACCTGGCATGTACATTCTAGTGTCTTATAGAATAAGAATGGTTCAAAATTCCCCCAGTCTCAGCCTTCTGAGGCACAATGCTGGAGGTTTTTCTCATTAGCGTGGTGTGTGACACAGCTATCTTCTACCCTCCTAACCTGGTTGCGTTGTTTGTTCACACTGCTAGGACAGACTTTCAGAATGGAGTGATAGTATCTGCATCTTAGTTCATTTCTGGGAAAAACACACTGTGGTTTCATAAAGAGTTCCAAAAAAGTCAACAGAGTTGCCTTCTTGAACACATTTTCTTCCTTTGTATCTCCCCAAATCTGGCATGACTCCAGCCTATTTGATGGTGAAAATTTATTTTTAATTTTAATAACCTGGCCTCAGGTGTGAAGGTGAGAAATCTACGCATAGGTATATAGTAAGAGGGAGGAGATTTTATTGTTTAATTCAGCTAAAATGCACACTCCCTAGAATTTTATTCATAACCATCTTCTTAAAAACCATGTTAGGCTGGGTGCAGTGGCCCATGCCTGTAATCCCAGCACTTTGGGAGGCTGAGGTGGGCGGATCACCTGAGGCCAGGAGTTCGAGATCAGCCTGGCCAACATGGCAAAACCCCGTCTCTACTAAAAAATAAATAAATAAATAAATATACAAAAAGTAGCCAAGTGTGGTGGTGCGTGCCTGTAATCCCAGCTACTTGGGAGGCTGAGGCAGGAGAATCACTTGAACCCGGGAGGTGGAGGTTGCAGTGAGCTGAGATCCTTCCACTGCACTCCAGCCTGGGCGACAGAGGAAGACTCCATCTCAAAAAAAAAAAAGTTAAAAATAATATGCTAACTATGATACAAACTGATAGCAATATTGTCTTTAGATTCAAAATAAAATAGGATTCAATAAATTGAATTTAATATCTAACAGTGGGAATACCGTGCATATTATTCTTAGGTGAGGCATAAACATGACTGTTGTCTATCATGATATAGGAAGACAGAAACAATGAAAAGTCAATTTCAATTTCTGGCTCAACTGAATGAAATATCCTTATGTCAATTTGAGAAGCAGGTCATCCCATAGTACCAAGTTTAATTAAAGTGTTTCTGCTGTGACTTAGTGACACTGCATCTGGCAATATTTTCCAGGAAAATACAATCACAGGCCCATGAATGAGCAGGTGTGCTATGAAGTGGGACTTGGAGGCAGCCTATGAGTCGGTCTACCAGAGAACAGAGAAATGAATTGTGGTGGGCTCACATGATAGAATCCTCTGCAGCCGCTGGAAGCTCTGGACCATAGGCACATAGCGGCCTAAGTAGGTCTTGGAAATATTACTACTGAGTGAAAAAACTAAGCAGCAGCATGAGTACTAATGTAAATGCAAACACCTGAACTTATAATAACACTTCACATTTCACAAGAGCGCATACAGGGGCTCATATGGTTGCCTTAGGGAAATAGCCATAGGAGAATGAGAGAGGGGGATGGGAATAAAAGGGATTAGAGAGTGAAATAAGGCTGGGTATGGTGGCTCACCCCTGTAATCCCAGCACTTTGGGAGGCCGAGGTGGGTGGATTGCTTGAGGGTGGGAGTTCGACACTAGCCTGGCCAACATGGTGAAACCCCGTCTTCACTAAAAATACAAAACTTAGCCAGGCGTGGTGGCAGGTGCCTGTAATCCCAGCTACTCAGGAGGCTGAGGCAGGAGAATCCCTTGAACCCAGGAGGCAGAGGTTGCAGTGAGTCGAGATTGCACCACTGTACTGGTCTCAGCCTAGGCAACAGAGCGAGATTCCATCTCAAAAAAAAAAAAAGTGAAATGAGGGGACCTTGCAGAGGCCAGTGGTGACAGAGTGACATGAACTAAGAGGAATGACAAACTAGACTGTCTGCACAGACATCAGAAAGCTGGGGTTAGATGAATAAAACTTCATATGAAGAAGAGCTGGGCCTACATTGGCTGTATGTCATATATTTTTCCAGAATAGATGAGAATAGCTTTCTGAAGAGTAAATGAGCCACTTCTGATTGATTCAGTCATTCTAAGAATGGACTTGATAAATAAATTTAGGTGTTAAAATTTGCTCTTCTTCTGCACAGCAAAAGAAACTACCATCAGAGTGAACAGGCAACCTACAGAATGGGAGAAAATTTTTACAATCTACCCATCTGACAAAGGGCTAATATCCAGAATCTACAAAGAACTCAAACAAATTTACAAGAAAAAAACAACCCCATCAAAAAGTGGGTGAAGGATATGAGCAGACACTTCTCAAAAGAAGACATTTATGCAGCCAAAAGACACATGAAAAAATGCTCATCATCACTGGCCATCAGAGAAATGCAAATCAAAACCACAATGAGATACCATCTCACACCAGTTAGAATGGCGATCATTAAAAAGTCAGGACACAACAGGTGCTGGAGAGGATGTGGAGAAATAGGAACACTTTTACACTGTTGTTGTGACTGTAAACTAGTTCAACCATTGTGGAAGTCACTGTAGCGATTCCTCAGGGATCTAGAACTAGAAATACCATTTGACCCAGCCATCCCATTACTGGGTATATACCCAAAGGATTATAAATCATGCTACTATAAAGACACATGCACACGTATGTTTATTGTGGCACTATTCACAATAGCAAAGACTTGAACCAACCCAAATGTCCATCAATGATAGACTGGATTAAGAAAATGTGGCACATATACACCATGGAATACTATGCAGCCATAAAAAAGGATGAGTTCATGTCCTTTGTAGGGACATGGATGAAGCTGGAAACCATCATTCTCAGCAAACTATCACAAGGACAAAAAACCAAACACCACATGTTCTCACTCATAGGTGGGAATTGAACAATGAGAACACATGGACACAGGAAGGGGAATATCACACACCTGGGCCTGTTGTGGGGTGAGGGGAGGGGGAAGAGATGGCATTAGGAGATATACCTAATGCTAAATGACGAGTTAATGGGTGCAGCACGCCAACATGGCACATGTATACATATGTAACTAACCTGCACGTTGTGCACATGTACCCTAAAATTTAAAGTATAATAAATATATATATATATATAAAAAATCCTTCCAACCTAAAAAAATAGAAAATAAAAAAATTTTAAAAAAGTAAAAATAAAGTTTGCTCTTAGTACGTAAGATACGGAAGTTATCCTTCTACCAGTACTTTTTTTGTTGTTATTGAAGATTTTAAATTTAAGGGATTTTAAATTTAAGGGATTAAATATTACCCTTCTCTGGAGTGGGTACTAATACTCTCTGAGAGATGCTCTTAGCTCAGTTTTTTTAAAAAAATAAACTATATTTTAGAGCAGTTTTAGGTTCACAGCAAAACTGAGCAGAAAGTTCAGAGTTCTCATATATCCCCTGCTCCCCAGTGCACAGCTACCCCCATTATCAACACCCCCCACCAGCCTGGTACGTTTGTTACAGCTGATGAGCCTGCATTGACACATCAGTATCATCCAGAGTCCAGAGTTTGCATTAGAGTTCACTCTTGGTGTTGTACATTCTGTGGGTTTGGACAAATGTATAATGACATGTACCCACCATTATAATTCCGACTAGTTCTGCTGCCCTAAAAATCCTCTGTGCTCTGCTTATTCATTCCCCGCTCCCCACAAACCCCTGGCAGCCACTGATCTTTTTACTGCTTCCATAGTTTTGCCTTTTCCAGGATGTCATATAGTTGGAATCATTCAGTATATAGCCTTTTCAGATTGGCTTTTCTTCACTCAGTAATAGGCATATCCTCCATGTCTTGTCTTTTCTTTTTTTGAGACTGAGTCTCACTCTGTTACCCGCGCTGGAGTGCAGGGGTAGAAACATGGCTCATTGCAGCCTCAAACTCCTAGGCTCAAGGGATCCTCCTGTCTCAGCCTCCTGAATAGCTGGGACTACAAGCATGTGCCACTACGCCTGGCTGATTTTTAAAATTTTTTTAGAGATGGGGATCTTGCTACGTTGCCTAGGCTGGTCTCGAATTCCTGGGGTCAGGGAATCTTCCCACCTCGGCTTCCCAAAGTGCTGGGATTACAGGTGTGAGCCACTGAGCTCGGCTCTCTGTGTCTTTTCATGACTTGATAATTTAATTATTCTCTGTACTTTATATATTGTTTATAACAATACAAACTTAGGAAAGAAACCACTTGCTCAACCAATGAAAAGGAGAGAAATTTGCTTGTTTTTAAACGACGATTTTGGTCCTTATTCCTCCTTGATAGAAAAGAACATGTCATGAAAGAAACATGATAATTGCACCTTGGTCCTGTCTGTGTTAGTAGGAAAGAGAAATGTGCTTCTATGTGCACTGGAATTGCACATAGAAGTGCAATTTCACATCAGTTGCACTCAGGATGGGAAACTGAAATGCCACATTTGCGGCCTGTGGAAGGAAATTGCCATCCTCACTAGGCTCCTTGATCAATGGCTCTTGATCAGTCTGGCCATGAGATTGATTAGGGCTTGGAATCAATTTTTTTTTAACTTTAGCCTTTTTTTTTTTAATTACAATTTGAACAACACATATGCAAATATGCCGTGTAGCAGGTGTGTTTTGTAGCAGTCAAGCATGTAATGGAAGCCAAGTGTTAGATCTTATGTGCAGTTCCCTTTTTCCATGGGTTTTAGCAGCCCTTCGGAACTGCTATGCACATTTTAAAGGGTGCCTATTCCTCAAGGAAACTGAGTGTGTGAGGAACAACCTGGGCTTCTGCTGGAGGGCTTTCTGGATCCCAGCAGGCAGCAGCGTGGTTGCCATGTGTGCTTGAGTTTTACACTCACATGGGCCCTGGAGCCCAGTACACCCAGCCAGCCCCTCAAACACTTGCCATTGCACTCCCTGCTGCCATTCTGAGTCAGGCAGGGGTGGAATTGGCTGTGGACTGTGGGCAGGGGAGGGAAGTGAGCTCAGGGATCCCCAGAGCACGTCCAGGACAAAGCACTGGGGTATATGTGTATGTGTGCATGTGCAGTGTGGGTTTGTTAGAGGGGTTTACTGGAAGGGGGCTTCTGGCTGCCCCAGGACTTGGATAAGAGTCCTGAATTCCCCACCCCTGCCACGCCCAGCTCTCACATAGGTTAGCTCTGTTTGGATGGGAACAGCACCTTTGTGCCGTGCATATGATGTGCCTGGGACCCGGCCTGGCATCACTCACCTCCAGCTGCATCTCCCAGGCAGAGTCTCGACCTCCTGCTCATCCTAGGGGTGCAGCCTGGAGCTGTTAGAGGCTGTGTTAGTATTTGGTCAAGTCTTTACATGTGAGGGGAAGAGACTGGATGAAATCATTTATGCTGAGAGTCTGTAGTTTTTATAAGCCAAGGTTAAGGTCTAGTCAAGAAGAGGGCTCAAAAAAACGCCTGGCTAGAGTTTGGTCAAGGAAGGTGTGTGTGTGTGTGTGTGTGTGTGTGTGTGTGTGTGTCCATCCAGGGAGGAAGAGGCAACTTGACTTGGAAGACCAATCTCAGTAAACCAAAATCCAACTGGGAGTGGGGGGCCGGGGAGGATGAGGGGAAGCAAGGGCAGGCCCAGGTTTATGGGGCCTTAAATGTAGACAATTAAGGGGAGGTTGCCTTTAGAAAAAAAAAAAGGATAGAAAAATTAGGAATACAGTGTTAGACTCAGGGACTCGGAGGGGCCCATTCAAGTAAGGAGGCCTGGAGTGTAAGCTTCTCTTGGTTCACAGCAGATCTTCCTCTGGGGAAGGGTACGTACGTTCCAGGCCATGTGAACAGCAAAAATGAAGGCCAGGAGGATAGAGTGTTTAGGGAATGGGAATCATTTCAAACCCTGTTTGCATGAAGGATATGCAAGAGATAAAGCTAGAGAAATGTCTGGAGATCCAATTACAGAGCTCTTTTGGCTCACCCTGAGTAAAAATCCTGTTCCCTCAGCTGTGCAGAGCCACAGAAGGATTTTGGAAGGGGGTGATTTGATCACTTATTTATGTATTAGACAGATCACTCTGGAAGAAGTGAGGAGGAGGGGCTGGAGCCAGGTAAGGCTGGAAGTAGGTGGCAGGCAGAGGGTGTATACAAGGCACTCCTACCACATGGCAAGGAAGATCCCCTATAGATGACTTCAAAATGGATGCTGGAGTTCAGACAGAGCAGTTTCTTCATCAGAAACATCTAGATTAATATTTCTCCAAGTTTAAAAATATGCTTCTATATATTTTTGTGGAAATGAGGCCTCCCATAGACTGAACATTTGTGTCCCCCTAAAATTGATGTTGAATCCTAGTGCCCAAGGTGATGGCATTTGGAGGTGGGGCCTTTAGGAGGTGATTAGGTCATAAGGGTGGAGCCCTCACGATTGGGATTAGTGCCCTTGTAAAAGGGGCTCCAGAGATCTCCTTTGCCCTCTTTCCACCACATGAGGATGCAATGAGAGGATGGCTGTCCATGAACCAAGAAGTGGACCCTCCCCAGAAACCAGCCATGCTGGCACCCTGATCTCAGACTTCCAGCCTCCAGAGGAATAAATATCTGTTGTTTAGAAGCTCCCCAGTCTATGATAATTTGTTATAGCGGTCCAAACTGACTAAGACAAGGCCCAAGCTATCCTAAGACTTGTTTTTGATTAATTTTTTGTTTTGCTTTGTTTCATTTTAGAGACAATGTCTTGCTGTGTCACCCAGGCTAGAGTGCAGTGGCTATTCACAGGCACGATCATTGGGCATTACACCCTCAAAGCAATTAATTACTGGGCCCGAGTCATCCTCCCTCCTCAGATTCCACAGCAGCTGGGACTACAGATGTGGACCACCAGGTCCAGCTGATTAATCTTACATGCTGTAACATTTATTTGTTAATAAAAAATTGTATATTTGTTTTGTTTGCATTAGGTGTCATGCATATAAAAAGGAATATATTTGAAATGGAGTTTTGCTCTTGTTGCCTAGGCTGGAGTGCAATGGCTCACCGCAACCTCTGCCTCCCAGGTTCAAGCGATTCTCCTGTCTCAGCCTCCCAAGTAGCTGGAATTACAATCATGTGCCACCATGCCAGCTAATTTTGTGTTTTTAGTAGAGACAGTGTTTCTCCATGTTGGTCAGGCTGGTCTCGAACTCCCGACCTCAGGTGATCCACCCACCTCAGACACCCGAAGTGCTGGGATTACAGGCATTAGCCACTGCACCTGGCCAGGAATAGATTTTTAAATGATGATTTTTATTTAATTTAATTAACTTATTTGTTTGAGACAGAGTGTCGTTCTGTCACCCAGGCTGGAGTGCAGTGGCCCGATCTCGGCTCACTGCAACCTCTGCCTCCCAGGTTCAAGCAATTCTTCTGCCCCAGTCCCCCAAGTAGCTGGGATTACAGGCACCCACCATCACACCCGGCTAATTTTTTGTATTTTTAGTAGAGACAAGGTTTCACTGTGTTGGCCACGCTGGTCTCAAACTCCTGACCTCAGGTGATCTGCCCGCCTTGGCCTCCCAAAGTGCTGGGATTACAGGCGTGAGCCACCATGCCCGGCCACTAAATGATGATTTTTAAAGTCAGATAATTATGCCACACCTTAATATTTAATACTTTATTTCTACATATGACATTTTGATACAGACATGCCCCATATAATATGGACTCTGTGTTACATAAACTGTAGCTGTGTTGAGGACAGTGTCCACTGCTAGAGGCAAAGTTTTAAAATGAAAAGTCCAAAAGTTAGGTAAGTTCTGTTGCTTTAAGTTAGGAAGTTATTAGATCCCTGGAAGTTGATGCCTGCTTTCCCTTTCAGATTTTCTTTTCTTTATTTTTTTCTTTTTGAGGCAAGGTCTCACTCTGTCACCCAGGCTGGAGTGCAGTGGCAAGATCATAGCTCACTGCAGCCTCAACCTCCTGGGCTCAAATGATCTTCCCACCTCAGCCTCCCGAGTAGCTGGGACCACAGGCATGCGCCACCAGTCCCAAATAATTTTTTTGTATTTTTTTGTAGAGGTGGGGTTTCGCCATGTTGCCCAGGCTGGTCTCAAATTCCTGGGCTCAAGCAATCCTCCTGTCTTGGCCTCCCGAAGTGCTGGAATTACAGGAGTGAGCCACCACATCCAGCCCAGATTATCTTTTTTAACTTATTGACAGATAAAGATCTGGTCTGCTGTAATCAAAAAATTTTCTGTTGAGAATAAATCTGAGAGGTAGCATCTGGGAAGTAGAACCATCAAACTATAGAACCATTTTCTTTGCAGTCTCAAGGAAAAGAGTGGTTGTATTGATTCGTTCTCTCCTTCCTCTTGTGCAGATGAAAGAAAAGCAATTGACAAAATGCCTACATTTTAATGTGAGATGGCAGACTGCACATACTTCAGTTCAAAGTAGTCTAAGCATCTACGGGGTTCCCCAGACTGGAGGGCATCTCAGACACCAACTGGTGCCCTGACCCTTCACTTATTAAAGCAGAAAAAAAAAAAAATCCTACCACAAGGTTTAAAGACACAAGAGCCATGCGGCTCAGGTTGAAAGAACAACGGGCCTCATGCCTACCCCGATTCCATGAAGCGACTGAAATGGTTCCATGAACTTTTGCAACTCAGCTTGAAACTGCTGATTTGGTCCAATTCTTCTATTTTCCACGTGTAAAATTGGTGCTCAGTGAGATAAAGTGACTTATTTCTGTTCACATTGGCCAGAAATAAATCTTAATTTCCCTTTTTAAAAAAAGATAGTACTCTCACTGCTACGTCACACACTGTTATATTTTTTAAATGTTTGCAGATGTTAAATCAAAGCATGCACCTTAATGAATCTTTTCATCTCTTGGGAAATAAACCGTCACATATTGTGGAAACGCTTCCTTTGAATTTCTGAAAACATGGAACACATACTCATATTGTATATCCACAAAATGCACCAGGAATTATGCAGACGCTTTTTTTTTTTTTTTTTCCAGACAGGGTCTCACTTTGTTGCCCAGGCTGGAGTGCAGTGGCACAAACATGGCTCACTGCAGCTTTGAACTCTCTAGCTCAAGTGATCCGCCTCCCTCAGCCTCCTGAGTAGCTGGGACTATCAGTGTGCACCACCACGCCTGGCTAATCTTTTTTTTTTTTTTGTAGAGACAGGGTCTCATTATGTTGCTCAGGCTCAGACTCTTTTATGTATGTGATCATTTAACACTTAGGAACAAGAAATCCATCCCGTTGCACTGATTCAACATCTGAGATTCAGAAATTATCTGCTGTTTTGGAAGACTACAAGATGAACCAGGCAATCTCTTCAGTTTCTGTTGTCAGGGAACTTTACTTAGATTTTCTGAAAGAGCCACTGAGCAGTTTTGAGTCATTTGCCTCTTCAAGAGATTGTTCCTATTTCAGAGGTCTTTCATTTTTCCTTTTTGTATTTTGACTAGAGTTTATCTGATCTAAATACATGTTTTCTCACAGAAGGCACAAAATGCTTCATAAGGAGTCATTTTGTCCTTTCTTTCTTCTGATGAACCTGCCCTCTCCTCCTCTGCAAGGTTTCACAGTGATGTGCAACGTCCACTCTCCATGCTAAGTGACAGTGACTGTAATTTGCTGAGAGAGCAGTGACCAAACCATTGGCTCCTTCAGAGGCTGGTTATTTCAACCATCTGGAGAAAAATGGAGGCTCCTAATGCAGAGTGAGGACCTTAAGTTGTCTAGGGCAAAGACTCATTTGTTCATTCATTCATTAATTCACCCATGCACTCATTGGACAAACTTGAATAGGGTACTATGCCCCAGGGGTGTGAGGAAGGATAAACTATGGAGTGGCCCATTCACAACAACTGCACATCAGGGCAGAGCAGAAGTGCTCTAACAGCACCAGCTCCAGGTCACCCAAGGATGACCAGGAAGGCTCCAGGCAGATCAAGCATTCGAGCTGGGCTTGGAGGAATATCCTTGATTCTGGAGGTGGAGTTGGGAAGCAGCCATCCCAGCAAAGAACATGGCAGCAGAGAAGCTGAAGACACCAGGATGAGGAGTGGACCAGTCGGAATCCTTACTCCTGGATGTGCTGGGGGACAGATGGACTCCTCCAAAGAGCTGAATGCTGGGCTGAACAGTTTTAGTCCTTAGGAGCTACTGACTGTTGTCAACAGAAGGTGACAGCGCCTACCCTGGCAGCTGCCCATGGGGAGTGATGAGCCGGGGAGGAAGATCCTCAAGACAGTGAGGACAGAATGCAATATCCCTGGCGTGTTCTAGGGGAAGGCAGTGAAGGCTAAAACTTGGGCACCGGCAGGGAGAATAGGTGGGACAGGAGAGCCGTGGAAGACAGGATGAAGCCAGAAGGAGAGCTGGAGAAGGACCTGAGGTGGGGGTGAAGATGGTGGGAGTGTCAAGGGGATTCTCACATTTTTATTTTTAACTTTAAAAAGTTTTTAAACAGAAACAAGGTCTTGCCATCTTGCCCAGGCTGGTCTCGAATTCCTGGGCTAAAGTGATCCTCCTGTCTCAGTCTCTCAAAGTGCTGGGATTACAGGCATGAGCCACCATGCCCACCTGATCCTCACATTCTTTTTTTTTTTTTTTTTTCTGATACAGAGTCTTGCTCTGCCGCCCAGGCTGGAGTGCAGTGGCATGATCTTGGCTCACTGCAACCTCCGCCTCCGAGGTTCAAGAGATTCTCCTGCCTCGGCCTCCCAAGTAGCTGGGATTACAGGTGTGCACCACCACACCTGGCTAATTTTTGTATTTTTAGTAGAGACAGGGTTTCACCATGTTGGCCAGGCTGATCTGGAACTCCTGACCTTGAGTGATCTGCCCACCTCTGCCTCCCAAAGTGCTGGGATTACAGGCATGAGCCACCATACCTGACTGATTCTCAGATTCTGAAATGACAGTTAAGCCCAGGACTCAAGCCAGGGACAGAAGCAGATAACCTGGTTTTGGTGAGAAGGTTATGCACTTGCTTCTGAAAATGTTGATGATGAGACTAAGTCTTATAGTTTCTTGTGCACCTCCCTTGGTGCCTAGAAGAAAGGTTAAAACAGGATACATTACAGAGGGACTATCTTGAGAGAGGAGTTACCTGGGCACAGCCCAGGGGCCCTTGGGAGTGACATGCAAGGGCAGCACTGGCTTGCCTTATTTGGTTCTCCCGCTCTTTCTTCTTTCCCTTGTAAAAGTAACTGAAGCTTAAAGGTGAAAATGACTTAAATAATAGAAACCATGTTAGCCTTACTCCCCTTCCCCATTAGCCACAAATTGGTGGCGATCACCATTTTGTGCACCGAGCCTGGGTCTCACGCTTGCAAGTCCTTGGGCTCATCTGGAGTCAGCTTCATCAGTTTGTCCACACAGAGCAGGATGAGGGTGAGGAACCAGAGGCTCCAGCCAACAGCTGCCGCGATCCAGCCGTACTCGTCCACTCCTGTGCGGCAGCACCGGGCTGCTTGTGGGCAGAAGTCCACGTCTGGTGGGGAAGGGACAGCAAGGACGACGGCATGCACCACCAGCCCTGCCCAGGCTTCTCTACCATTAATATTAACAGAACAATCACAGCACGGTAGCTGACACTGATGAGGCCTACTACGTGCCATGCACTGTGCTGCGTGCTTTTACACGTTAGCTTATGCCTTCCTCACAAAGCGACAGGTGCGACTTTTATTCCCATTTTACATGAAGAAACTGAGGCTGTAATTTGCCCAAGATCACAAGATGGCAGAAGAACTCAAACGCAAGTCTGCAGGACTCTGAAGCCATACTCTTAACCTCTATGTATTATTCCCTAATACCCCTTCCTTTTTTTTTTTTTTCTTTTTGAGACAGAGTCTCACTCTGTTGCCCAGGCTGGAGTGCAATGGCATGATCTCAGCTCACTGCAACTTCTGCCTTCTGGGTTCAAGCAATTCTCCTGCCTCAGCCTCCCAAGTAGCTGGGATTACAGGCACGCACCACCACACCCAGCTAATGTTTTGTATTTTTAGTAGAGACTGGGTTTTGCCATGTTGGCCAGGCTGGTCTTGAACTCCTGGCCTCAAGTGATCCACCCACCTGGGCCTCCCAAAGTGCTGGTATTACAGGCATGAGCCACCACGCCCAGCCTATCCTTCGTTTTAAGTGCCTAAGTTAATGCATTCGGTCATTCAATGAGGGCAGGATAAAGGGAACCAGACAAAATAAAGTGGAACTTTCTCTTTTTTTTTTGAGAGGGAGTCTCACTGTGTTGCCCAGGCTGGAGTGCAGTGGTGCAATTTCGGCTCACAGCAACCTCTGCCTCCCAGGTTCAAGCAATTCTCCTGTCTCAGCCTCCCTAGTAGCTGGCACTACAGGCGCATGCCACCACATCCAGCTAATTTTTTTCTATTTTTAATAGAGACAGGGTTTCACCATATTGGTCAGGCTGGTCTCAAACTCCTGACCTTAGGTGATCCACCTGCTTCATCTTCCGAAAATGCTGGGATTACAGGCATGAGCCACTGCGCCCAGCTGCAAAACTTTCTATTAGCTAGACATGCATAATAGTGGTTGCTCTATGAATTACTGAGCGCCTTGTGGCTAGAAGTAGGCAAGAAGAGGAAAAACGTGCATAGAAGAAGAAGAAATATGTATGCCAAGGACGCCAAAACCAAGCTGTTGCATTGGGTGGAAGTTGGACTAGATGATTTCTTATGGCCTTTCCACCTCCAAACTTCTTCAAGCATTTGAACCTAGGGCATTGTTAGCTGCTGACCTGGGATGGGTCATTAAAGCAATCTGTGTCAAAGATTGTGCACCTAGATGGGGATCAGAGCCAAGAAAGCCTTTCAGACCTGCTCTGCAAATAGTTCTGGGACAAACCACACTGGTGCACAGGAAGGCCAGGCAGGCCCTTGCCCACTTGACACCAATCAACGGAAAGCGGGGAGGCCTTTGTTTCCCTCCCAGGCTGAGGGCCAGTTCTGGGGTTAGAGCAGTTGGCAGGAGAAGCTTACTGAGGCACTGCTCCAGGGTCCCAGGGTCTGGGTGGTGAGCGGTCAAGCTTGAGCTGTTGCTGCTGCTTGCTTCTGGAAGAAAAGATAGGAGATAGTCTGAGGCACTGGCAAAAGCTATTCCCAGGCATAGATTTTGAAATGTTTTTTGTAAATCAGTAGTGAGTATTATGAAAGTATTATAGAAGCTCCCGCATGGGCATATTGAGGCTTTCTGCAACAAAGCTAACTCCCTGTTATGGACCGAATTATGTTCCCCTCTCCCAAGTTTCATATATTGAAGTCCTAACCCCAATGTGATTGTATTTGGAGATGGGACATTCGAAGAGGCAGTTAAGCTTAAATGAGGTCCTATGGGTGGGCCCTAATCCAATATGGCGGGGTCCTTATAAGATGAGGAAGAGGCCAGGTGCAGTGGTTCACACCTGTAATCCCAGCATTTTGGGAGGCCGAGGTGGGCAGATCACCTGAGGTCAGGAGTTCAAGAACAGCCTGGCCAACATGATGAAACCCTGTCTCTACTAAAAATACAAAAGCAGCCGGGCGTGGTGGTGCATGCCTGTAATCCCAGCTACTTGGGAGGCTGGGGCAGCAGAATTGCTTGAACCCAGGAGGCGGAGGTTCAGTGAGCTGAGATCACACCATTGCACTCCAGCCTGGGTGACGAGTGAAACTCCGTCTAAAAAAAAAAAAAAAAGAAGAAGAAGAAGAAGAAGAAGAAGAAACATCAGCAACACACATGCACAGAGAAAAGTCCACGTGAGAACCCAGTGAGAAGGCGTCTATTTGCAACCCAAGGAGGGAGGCCTCAGGAGAAATCAAACCATCAACACCTTGATCTTGGACTTCCAGCCTCCAGAATGATGGCTGTCAAAAAAAATTAAACATCATAGAAGCAAGCCCAGAGACTGCCAGAATACGCAGCACATAGATTGATTCATGAGCAAGGAGTGGAAAGATAAAAAGGACTTTAGCATGAATTGTTAAAGTCCTGTTGTCTTGAGGTGTGGGATTGGGTTAGGGATCTGAGGCATCCAGGTTCCTGTCCATAACTGACAATAAGAAGAGAGATGACCTCTAAGTCCATACTGTTCAATACGGCAGCCACTAGCCACCTGTGGTTGTTTAAATTTATTAAAATCAAATTCAGTAAAAAAAACTCAGCTTCTTGTTTACATTAGACCCATGCCAAGGGTTCCATTGCCGCGTGTGACTAGTGGCTACCATATTGGAAGCACCACTCAGACATGGGACATTTCCACCCTCAGTGCAAGTTCTATTATTAGACAGTGCTCATGCTGACCTAGGTAGATGGAAACCAAGAGATGGATTGGAAGAACCTTCCTAGAAATTATATTGCTGTTCGTTCTGCTTCTTGGGGAATGCAAAAAGGAAAAAAAAAAAAGTGGTGGGCATGGAAACTCTCAAGGTTCCCCTGGCTGTGGGTCAGTGTGTCCTTCAAGGGAGCTTGTTGTCACAGCAGGACGAGTTCAGAAGAAACCTGCTGTTTAGCTAAAGCCATGAAGTTGCTGCTGAGACTAATTTTATGCCACCCAACCCCCAAGCCACTCCAATGTCCTGCTTAAAGTATAGTAATTGCCTCGATGCAATCTGTTACTGTAAATTATTTACAGCTAAATGGCTTAGAGCCTGGTCTTTATTTGTTTTGGAGAAACTGATTCCTCACTATTCTAATTTTCCTTATGACTCAAATAACTTCCTTGGCCCTGACTTTCATTTCACCTCTACACCTAGAATGGAAGTTGTCCTCTTCCAAAGTGAGTGGAAAAAAACCCTAGTTGGCTGAATGCTAGGGTTAGGTTCGAGCTTATGAAATTGCCATTGTTATAGGTGAAAATTGTTCAATATCAGCAATTTTCTGTGGTTCAAATGGAATAGCCCCGGTGAAAATTCCTAAGAATTTAAACATCGCCCTCCTCCCTTATAAGCAGAGCCAGAAGCGAGGGAGGGACTGGCCCTACTTGGGGCTATTCCACAAGAAAAGCTGCTGGGAAGACCCAACGATTCAGTGCAGTTAAACTTGTCTTCTGATTCTGAGCTCCCATCATAAGCAAGGCACTGTCGGGGTAAGTAGAAAGAAACTCAGCACTCTTATTTGGGGAGGGGTGAAGTTGGAAAATAAAATGAATGTGCTTACCATAATTGCTGACATTCACTGTGTGTGTTCTATGGGCTATTTCTAAGTTCTTTACATGAAATTACATCAATTCGTCTTGACAAGCACTATGATTGTCCCCATGAGATAAAGGAGGAAACTTGGCATAGAGAGGTAAAGTCATTTGCTCGAGGTCGCATAGCTAGTGAGTCATGGAAGCTGGACCTGGGTTCAGGCTCAGCGGCTCAAGAGTGCACGTCTTGAACCTCAACACCAACACCCCTGGCAGTGGCTACAGAAGAGAGTCTGAGGATGAGAGGGGCAGACACAGGACTTTGGGGGCAGGGTTGGTTTTGGGAGCAGGAGTGTTGCAGGGCATAGAGAGTGTGGTGGTGTTCTGAGGTGGCTGAGAACAAGATCAAAGCCAGGAGCAGAAGATGGTAACCAAGGTCCCTCTGCCGTGAGTTGCAGAACCCGGCCTGGCAGGGCAAGGCAGGGGATGTAGATCAGCCTTCCAGCCTCCACAGGAAAATGGGGAGATAACCCAGCATTTCCAGTGCCCGGGGAGGCAGGAGGGTGGGAGACAGTGAATGGCAGCCCTCCTGGCAGTCAGGTTTTGTGAAAGTCGCAGAGAAAGTACAAGGGGCAGGGAGGGATGGAGGACTTAGGAAAGGGAAGGTCAGACACAAATGTGCACAGGGAGGATTGCAAAGCACGACAGCCCAGTGGGGCTGAGAAGGAGCCTTCAGGACACAGCGGACCAAGAGATATCATTTTGGTCCCCTGATGGGTGAGACTCCAGCAAATAACTTTTTCCTTTCTTTGTGGCAAAGGCCAAGAGAGGTGGCTGCTCCTGCCTTAGCTGAGGAATTGAGTATCTGATCTCCGTCTCAGGCCAACCTAAGACCCCCCCTGCCCCAGCCCCACCTCCCACCCCCTGCCTAATCCTTCAGATGAGAAAGTTCTGTTTCCTCCTTCCTTTGCGCAGGACCAACCCTGGCCAAAGAATCTTCCCCCTCCTCCTTCTTTCCCTCCCACCTCTCTTCCCTCCTTCCCTCCCCCTTCCCAGCCTGGCCATGAATAAAGCTCATAACGCTACCTGCCGAGCAAGCCGAGTGGAGGGAGGCAAAGGCCAGGCTGAGGATCAGGGTGGCCCGGGTGGCAGCGGGGAGGCGCTGCATGCTGGAGGCTGTGCTGAGTGCCCGGTGCAGGTGAGCCGGTCCTGCGGAGTTGTGCCGAGTGCCTGCTGCAGGTGAGTCGACTCCCACCTGCAGGAGCTGGAAAGCAACTCTGCCAGAGGTGAACTTATGCTGGGTGTTTGGGGGAAACACCATGGGGTGGAGCAAAGGAAACTTGGCCTGTCACACCTTCTCTCACCTCTCTAGAAGGGAAGCCAAACCGTTGGCTGAGGAAGGAAGGGAGGGGCAAGCTGTGCCCTTCTCCCCTGAGCGCAAATATTGTCCTTATTGAGAAACAAGGGGAGGACAAGAGAGATCTGTGTCATGCTGGTTCCTGGGACATGAGTTTGCTGCCTCTCCCATCTGCAGGTGTAGCATGGATGCTCAATTCCATTTGGGCCAATATTCACTGAGCACCCACTATGCTGAAGTTGGGAGATACCTGCTGTCGAAGTGCGTTAATTACAAACACGCATCATTCAACCCCAGAACCGTGTTTGAGGAATGGCTTGGGAGGATAAAGCACTGTGGGTTTCAACAGTGGAGGCCACATCTGCTGATGGGATGCTTCAAGAAGAAAATGGCATTTGAGGTTGGGCATGGGGGCTCACCCTGTAGTCCCAGCACTCTGGGAGGCTGAGGCAGGTGGATCACTTGAAGTCAGGAGTTCAAGACCAGCCTGGCCAAAATGGTGAAACCCCATCTCTAATAAAAATACAAAAATTAGCCAGGTGTGGTGGTGCATGCCTGTAGTCCCAGCCACTTGGGAAGCTGAGGCAGGAAAATCGCTTGAACCCGGAAGACAGAGGTTGCAGTAAGCTGAGATGCTCCTGACCCTGCATTCCAGCTTGGCCGACAGAGGGAGACTCCATCTCCAAAAAAAAAAAAAAAAAAAAAAAGAAAATGGCATTTGGCCTGGGCCTTGAAGGATGGCTAGAATTTTGACAGGGGGAGAGGGGAAGATGGCATTATAGGTAGAGGGACAGATGAGCAAAGGTCCAGAGGTAAGGAAGTGTCAGAGGGTGGCTGTACCAGCAGCACCCAGAAGCGCAGGTGAGCCAAGGCATGTGAGGTGGGGAGGCAAGAGGAGAGCTGTGGGCTAAGCTTCTGCGTGCCTGGTAGAGGAATTTGAAACAAAGTCAGGAAGCAAAGGGGAAGGTTCTGTAGAGATTTTGAGCTGAGGAGTAACTTGACTAGAGCTCTGCATTCCGTCTAAAACATTTATTGAAGACCCACATGTATATAAAAGGTCTCATCCTAGGCACTGGAGACTGAGATGACTGAGACACGCCTCTTCCCCTTGAGAGCACAGTGCAGCAGGGAACCAAACCCGGAAGAAAGAAATTTGATGCAACCTGGCAAGACTCAAATAGGGGTACCTTCCACTGTGATGGGAATAAAAAGGAGGATGGGATGAACTCTGCCTGAGAGGTATAGGGGAAGGATTCACAGAGAAAGTGACATTTGGGCTGGGTGCTGAAGTTTGTATGTGCAGATTAGAGTTGATGGGCTTTTCAAGTCAAAGGAATAGCACCTATAAAGGCGAGGGAATCGTCTGTGTGCACACAGCCTGCCATGTGTGGAAGTGTTCCTGCGCATGAATGGGCCTGGTAAGGGTGAGGGGTGGACTCCAGCTCTGTGGAAAGACATAGAAGGCGTGAGTAAGCCCCAAGGAAAGATTTCCTAGTGGAGTGTAACAGCCCAGGGGAGGCACTTTTTTCTAATTGGCTCTAAGATATAAAATAGTGGTGGCCTATGTTCCTGGATTTGGGGATAGGGCCAACGTGCCCTAGGAAGGGTGATTTTCAGTCAGTGCACAGAAGTCCAGTTTAGGCATTACCACTAGTTGAACATTAAACAGTTGCATGCCAGGCCAGGCTCTCGGTGTGGGGACCTGGGGGTGAGAAAGACCACACAGCCCTTGTGCTCAAGGAACTCAAGGTCCCCACAGAGAGGACGCTGCTTAGTAGAACAAATGCTGTCCTCGATGTTTTCCTCACAAGTAAACCCTGCAGTGGGCTTCACAGGGCAGGACTGATTTATCCAATGGGTACTAGGGATAACAGCGGTACGTGGAATCCCCAAGATTTCCAAGGATCTCAAAAATGTTTGAGACCTGAGAAAATATTCTCAGATCCAAAATTTGAAGAACAGACCAGGCATATTGGCACACGCCTGTCATCCCAACACTTTGGGAGGCCGAGGTGGGAAGATCACTTGAGCCAGGGAGTTCAAGACCAGCCTGCACAACATAGTAAGACCCTGCCTCCGCAAAACAAACAAAAAAAAACACAAAAAAATTACTTGGGTATGGTAGTGTGCACCTGTAGTCTCAGCTACTCAGGAGGCTGAGGTGGGAGGATCACTTGAGCCCAGGAGGTTGAGGCTGCAGTGAGCTGAGATGGCACCACTGCACTCCAGCCTGGGTGACACAGTGAGACCCTGTCCCCAAACAAACAAACAAAAATTTGAACAATCAAAAACTGGGCAAAATAAATGATTGTTTCAAAAGCAAAGTTATACAGTTCACTTGAAATGTTTAAACGGAAACGATTTAATGTGGGACGCTGGGTGCATTTTAATGTGTTTGACGTGAGCAGAGCCTGTCCCTCCTATGGAATCGGAACCTGAGGTATGCAAACATGTAAGATGGCCTGCCTGGGGTTATTGTAGTGGTGGATTGAACAGCATCTGCAGCCTAAGCTGAGACCATCCTATCAAGTCGTATCAGGGAAAGCTTTTCTGGCAAGCAGTGGATGTGGAGGAGGGGGATAATGTGTTGGCCCTCCCTCCCTATTTTATCATTGTTATGTGATGTCGGACTGTTTTAGATGAGCTGTTTGTAGGACAAACATTCTCCTATCTACAGATGGAAGAACTTTGTTATTCGAAAATAGTATAGGCTGGGCCAGGCACGGTGGCTCAGGCCTGTAATCCCAGCACTTTGGGAAACTGAGGCAGGTGGCTCATTTGAGGTCAGGAGTTCGAGACCAGCCTGGCTAACATGGTGAAATCCCATCTCTACTAAAAAAATTCAGAAATATTAGCCAGGCGTGGTGGTGCATGCCTGTAATCCCGGCTACTTGGGAGGCTGAGGCAGGAGAATCACTTGAACTGGGGAGGTGGAGGTTATAGTGAACCGTGATTGTGCCACTGCACTCCAGCCTGGGCAACAGAGTGAGACTCTGTCTCAAAAAAAAAAAAAAAAAATAGGGTGGGCTGGACTGGCCAATGATAACTATTAACCCCAAAGAAAGGGCTGTGTGTGTGTGGCCACTTTTTACTTTACGAGTGTCACCAGTATTTGCTGTTTGTAGCAGGTCTACAACTAACAACTCCATGTGGCCCATTTCCTCACTCATACATTTTGCATCAGGTTTACTTTGGAGCGCATATCAGGAAGTTGCCTTACTCAAAGCTAGACTTTCTCAAGACTTTTTTTTTTTTTAAATGGGTGAGATAGGTATTTGGTTACACACACTATTTTAAAAGTTCAGGCTGAAATGTCTGTGGCTAGGCACCATGGTGGTGGTTGGAGAGAGGAGTAGCCAAGAGAGTGGGATTCCAGGGCTCTTACTGCTTCCAATTTCACCTGTTATCCCTGATAAGATTTCATGTGAAAAAGAAAAGAAGTAGGCAGAGAGTTTCCAGGGCTAAAAGATGGAAAACCTGCAGTCTGTGGCCTGGAACGGCCCAGGGAAGAATATTTCATGTTAATGAAGCTTCTCTTGTGATTCTGATAGGCCCCGTTGCCACCTGTCCATCTCGGGGAAAAGACCTCTCACCTTGAACTTGGGTTTTTCATCTCCAGTTAACCCAAAATCTATTCAGAGGAGAATTGTGGCCCTAACCAAGCCTGTGCCTGCCAAGCCCCAGCTCCCTCACAGAGATGGGGTTGATGGCTCTTCTTGCTCCTGGCTCTGTCAGGATCTGTTTTTACAAAATAATGTCAGGCTCTGGGTGGTTGTGGGACCGAAACATCTAGATGTGGACCTGAGCAGCACTTAGTTTGTGGAGGAGTTAACCTCACTCCCTGCCCTTCAGTGATGGGTCTGTAATTTGGAGAGAACAAGAGGTTCCCTTTTAGGAAACCTTGAGAACTACAGCTGTTAAGATCATGCCATAGAGTTAGTTGATCAAAGTAAGAAAGTCAGCAAGGAAGTCCTGGAGTCCACCATTTGGAATAATTTTTGAACACTTCCCAGGATGACTAATTTAGCTTGTTCAAAATTGCACTGGGAGGCGGTGCAGCTATGGTCCAGACACGCGGAGGTTAACACAAAGGAGGTCCTTCCTCTTGGCGAAAACAACCTTCCACCTAGGTCCTGTATCTTATTCCCTCCCATCTTCTCTGAAGTATATTTCTTAATTTCCAAACATACGGAGGTTTTCTAGTTATCTTTTTGTTATTGATTTGTAGCTTAGTTGCACTGTGACCTGCGAATATACTTTGATGATTTCTATTTTTTGATGTTAGTTAAAAGACACCATATGACCAATTTTTGTGGCTCTTGAATGTGTCATGCAGTTGTGGGGTCAGTGCTCCGGGTAAGTCCATTAGATCAAGAGTGCTAATTGTGTGGTTCAGAACATCCATATTTTTCCTGTCTTTTAAAATTTGGTCTAATTATTCTGTTGAATACAGAGATGATTGCGGGTTTCTTTCTTCCCTGTAGTTTTGTCAACTTTTGCATTCAATATTTGAGGCTGTAATTGAGGTACAAACAAATACGGAATTTTGACAACTTCCTGGCAAATTGAACCTTCTTTTAAAAAATCATTGTGTAATATCCCTCATCTCTTTTATATTTTTGAGATGGAGTCTCTCTCTGTCGCCCAGGCTGGAATGCAGTGGCACGATCTCGGCTCACTGCAACTTCCACCTCCCGGGTCCAAGCGATTCTTCTTCCTCAGTCTCCTGAGTAGCTGGGATTACAGGCGTGTGCCACCACCCCCGGGTAATTTTTGTATTTTTGGTAGAAACAGGGGTTTCACCATGTTGGCCAGGCTGGTCTTGAAATCCTGACCTCAGGTGAGACTCCCGTCTCAGCCTCCCAAAGTGCTGGGATTACAGGTGTGAGCCACTGCGCCCAGCCTTCTTTATCTCTAGTAATGTTTTTTTGCCATAAACTTTACTTTGTCTGATATTGCTGTAGCTATAACAGGTTTCTTTTGTTTTGTTTGGCATGCTAAATCATTTTCCCATCATATTACTTTCAACTTTTCTAAAACCCTGTTCAAGATGGGAGGATTTCTTGAGCCCAGGACTGTGAGACCAGCCTGGGCAACATAGTGAAACTCTGTTGCTACAAAAAAAAAAACAAAACAACAAAAAAAAAAACAAACCTGAGTTTGGTGATGCAAGCCTGTGGTCCCAGCTACTCAGGAGGCTGAGATAGGAGGATTGCTTGAGCCCAGGAGATCCGAGATGGCAGGGAGCCATGATGGAGTCACTACACTCCAGACTGGGTGACAGAGTGAGACCCTGTCTCTAAAATTTAAAAACAAACAAATCAATCTATCAGCTTACCAAGTGCTCTCTACTCTTCCCATCTAGCTTATGTTCCTTTTCTCTTTCTTCTCACTACTTTTGGATTGAGTTGTTGGGTTATTCCATTTTGTAGAGATTACGACATGCATTCCTTTTTTGTTGCTTTTTAAGATTATTTTATTCTGCAACCCAGGAGCATAGATCCAAGTTACCCTGAATATATGTTCTCACAAGTGCATTCTTAACATATCAAAGTCTAATATTAATTGACACTTTCACCACTTTCATAGATAATATGAAGACCTCAGAACTTTAACTCCATTTACCCACTCGCCCAGGCTGGAGTGCAGTGGCGCTATCTCGGCTCACTGCAAGCTGCCTCCTGGGTTCACGCCATTCTCCTGCCTCAGCCTCCCGAGTAGCTGGGACTACAGGTGCCCGCCACCACGCCCAGCTAAGTTTTTGTATTTTTAGTAGAGATGGGGTTTCACCGTGTTAGCCAGGATGGTCTCGATCTCCTGACCTCGTGATCTGCCCACCTCGGCCTCCCAAAGTGCTGGGATTACAGGCGTGAGCCACCACACCTGGCCTATCCACTCCTGATTTTTATACCATTGTAGTCATGTATGTTAGTTATACACATAGTTTTTAACTCAATAAGTCATTATTATTATTATTTTCCAAGTGAATATATGAGTGAAATTTATTAAATTTATTTACATGTTTACCGGTTTATTGTTCTTAATTTATTTCTGCATGTCTGGTCTTCCATCTGTGATCATTTTCCTTCTCTTTGAAGAATACCATTTAGTATTCCCTCAGTGGAGTGATTAACATGTTACTTTGTTTGTCTGGATATGTTTTTATTCTTCCTTCATTCTTGGAAATCACCTTCATTGGGTACAAAATGTAAGGTTGGCAGATATTTTCTTTCAGTGCTTTAAAGATAACATTTCATTTCTTTTGGCTACCATTGTTTCTGTTGAGAACTGTCCACCTCACTGGGGCTTCATTGCAGATAATTTGCCTCTTTTATTTTTTGGCTGTTTTTAAATTTTTCTTTGCCTTTGGTTTTCAGCAGTTTTACTCTGATGTGCTGAAGTATGGATTCCTTTTTTGTCCTCTTTGGAGTTTGTAGGCAATTGGATATGGAGCTTGATGTTATTAATAAGTTTTGAAAACTTCTCAGCCATCAAATACTACTTGTGAACCATTCTCTCCTCTCTTTTTGTGACTGATTACACATAGGTTAGATCTTTCCACTCCATCCTGTAATTCTCTTACCTTCTTCTTTATTCTTTATCTTTTTGTTTTCCTGTGTTTTACTCTGGATATTGCCTTTTGCCCAGTCTTTTATGAAATCTCTTGTCATCTGTGTCTAATCCTCTTTTATAACTACCCATTGGGTTCTTAATTTCGATTATCTTAGTTTTAGTTCCAGAATTTCCATTCTGTTCTTTTTTATATTTTTTTTTCTGCCAAACTATTCAGTCCTGTTTTTCATCTTCATAAACAGAGGGGATATAATTCCTTTAAAATCCGTGTCTGATAACCTCAGTCTTCGCCATTCTTTTCCCATTCGTTTATTTCCATTGTCTATTATTTCTGCTGTTTTCATTCATATGATCATGTTTCTTTGCATACCTGGTTATTTTTTATTGTGGGCAAAATTGCAATTACATACTATTGTTTATAGAAATAACTTGAGACCCAGGATAATGCTTTCTTCCTGTAGACATGATTTTTGTTGTTGTTGCTTTAATCGAGTGCTTGGGGGCAACACAAATCTGCTATCATGTCATTCCGGTCTCAGGAATTGAGACGATGTGTGTCAGTTTATTTTGGATACCTTTCCTTCTATGGTGTAGCCCTTTAGAAATTTCATCCCCAAGGAAATAACCAAAGATGAGCACAAAAATGCATATCCAAAGTTCTCCATCTCAATATTACAATGTTTGTAAAAGTGAAAGCTTGGAAGCAGTTTATAATGAAATAAAGGGTAGCTATTAAAACCGTTTTTGGGACTGGGTATGGTGGCTCACACCTAAAATCCCAGCATTTTGGAAGGCCAAGGTGGGCTGATCACCTGAGGTCAGGAGTTTGAGACCAGCCTGGCCAACATGGCAAAACCCCATCTCTACTAAAAATACAAAAATTAGCCAGTCCTGGTGGTATGTGCCTGTAATCCCAGCTACTCAGGAGACTGGAGGCAAGAGAATCGCTTGAACCCAAGAGGCAGAGGTTGCAGTGAGCCAAGATCATGCCACTACTCTCCAGCCTGGGTTACAGAGCAAGACTCTATCTCAAAAAAACAACAGCAACAGCAGCAACAAAAAACATTCTTGGGTACCATTTAATCACTTGGGAAAACATTTGCCATAGTATACAAAACAGAAAAGCAGGATATAAATCTTTATGTCAATATAATTCCAGTTTTGTAATATATACACATATACAATGAAAAATGTTTGGAATGAATCCTCTCAAAATGTTAGTAGTAGTCATATCTAGGATGTACAGTTTTGGGTGGTTTTAATTTTGTTTTTAATACTTTTTTGTGTTTCCATTTTAAAATAATGAATGTGTATATTATTTTTATGATCAAGAAATAAAATCAAGTTAATACTTTTTTTTTTTTTTTTTTTTTTGAGACAGAGTCTTGCTCTGTCACCCAGGCTGGAGTGCAGTTGTGCAATCTAGGCTCACTGCAACATCTGCCTCCCGGGTTCAAGTGATTCTAGTGTCTCAGCCTCCCGAGTAGCTGGGATTACAGGCATGTACCACCATGCCCAGCTAATTTTGTATTTTTAGTAGAGACAGAGTTCTCCATGTTGGTCAGGCTGGTCTCAAACTCCCAACCTCAGGTGATCCACCTGCCTCAGCCTCTCAAAGTGCTGGGATTACAGGCGTGAGCCACTGCACCTGGCCTAAGTTAATACATTCTTAAAGATTATTTCACAGGAAAGCAATACAGTCACAATGAAGCAGACAGATTTTACATATCTGTCCCATTACCTGGGAAAAATGTTCAATATCAGGGAATCTTCTTTTCCATTAAAAAAACAAGCTGGCCAGGCATGGTGGCTCACGCCTGTAATCCTAGCACTTTGGGAGGCTGAGGTGGGTGGATCACTTGAGGTCAGGAGTTCAAGACCAGCCTGGCCAATATGGTAAAACCCCATCTCTACTAAAAATACAAAAACTAGGCAGGCGTGATGGTGGGCACCTGTAATCCCAGCTACTCGGGAGGGTGAGGCAGAAGAATTGCTTGAACCCAGGAGGCAGAGTTTGCAGTGAGCCGAGATTGCACCACTGCACTCCAGCCTGGGCAACAGAGCGAGACTCTGTCTCAAAAAGAAAAAAAGACAAAAACAACAACAACAACAAAAAAAAACCCCCCAAAAAACCTTAACCTTTAAGTTTCACATGGTGCAGATTACTGCCTATCATAGCCTCAGCTCTTGGAGTGCTCGTGGTCACAATGGAATGTACAGACATATCCACGGATGGTCAGGACACAAAGAAGACTAGAAAGAAGACACAGATATAACATCGGATTACAATTAGAATCTCAGTGTTGGAAAAGGACCTCAGAGACCATCCGGGCCAATCTTTAACCTTGGAAGAATGCCCTCTGAATTAATCTGTTCTCACGCTGCTAATAAAGACATATCCAAGGCTGGGTAATTTGTAAAGAAAAGAGGTTTACTGAACTCACAGTTCCACATGGCTGGGGAGGACTCACAATCATGGCAGAAGGCAAAGGAGAAGCAAAGGCACATCTTACATGGTGGCAGGCAAGAAAGCGTGTGAAGGGGAACTCCCATTTATAAAACCATCAGATCTTGTGAGACTCATTTCCTATCATGAGAACAGCACAGGAAAGACCTGCCCCCATGATTCAATTACCTCCCACTGAGTCCCTCCCACAACAAGTGGGAATTATGGGAGCTACAGTTCAAGATGAGATTTGGGTGGGGACACAGCCAAACCATATGACTTTCCTATAAGGAAAGTAGGATATTATAGAGTTTGGTATAGCTGCATTTGACCTGTCCTGCTTCTTAAGGTTGTTAGTTGGACTTCTGCTTAAATGCCTCAAGGGATTGGTTTCTTACTAATTTTTAAGACAGCCAGCTCTTCTGTGGGTTAGCTCGGGTAGAAAAGTTTGTGAGTTACTGTCATCAAACAAGTAAGGGCATTTTAAGGTGAAGTTAATAAACAGTTGGAAGGAGGGCTTTTCAGCTCTCAACTCTATGATTGGCAATTTCTGGTTCCCTACAATTACTCTTATCATTTGTGCAAAATATTTCTGTTGGCACAACAATCTGAGCATGTGGTCAGATTCATCTTTTGTTTAATAAACAGAGAGATTTGTTCTCAAAGAGTAACTTTAAGCTAAAGTTTTTGGAAATAAGCTGCAGGTTTGTAATAAATATTCCGCCAATTTTTCTTCTCCAGTTTTGTTCACATAAAACCGAAGCGAACCAGATAGTCAAGTCAATGATTGTTTGGACCTGTCTTCCCAACATCCAAAGACCCCTCTCTCACTGTGTTTTCTGGCCTTTTCTATAACTTCCCTTCATTCTCTTTCTCTTTTTTTCTTTTTCCGTTTTTAAGACAGAATCTCACTCTATTGCCCAGGGTGGAGTGCAGTGGTGCAATCACAACTCACTGTAGCCTCCACCTCCTAGGGCTCAAGCCATCCTCCTGCCTCAGCCTCCTGAGTAGCTGGGACTACAGGCATGTACCACCACACCCAGCTAATATTTTTTATTTTTAGTAGAGTTGAGGTCTTGCTCTGTTACCGAGGCTAGTCTCAAACTCCTGGGCTCAAGCGATCCTTCCGCCTCAGTCTCTGGAAATGCTGGGATTACAGGTGTGAGTCACTGCTCCTGGCCTCTTTTTTCTTTTTTGAAAATGCTTTGTCCATATGTTTCATTTTATTTATGTATTTATTTAGAGACAGGGTGTTGCCTAGGTTGGAGTACAGTGGCTATTCGCAGGTGCAATCACAGTGTATTACAGCCTCGAACTCCTGGGCTCCAGTGATCCTCCCACCTCAGCCTCCTTAGTAGCTCGGGCTACAGGTATGCACCACCATGCCTAGCTCCTCATCTTCTCTTGTCCAAGCTGCCTCTAGGTTTGTTGGTTGGGAACACAAGAATCCTGAGTCAAGAGTCCTGGATTCCAGTTTTCATGTTGTCACTTGGAGTGTGACCTTGGAGGAGTCATGTAACCTTGGTGTCGATGCGACTTTCTAGAAGGGGAACACGAGGGGAAAAATCTGGGGGAATTATGCCTTCCATCCTTTGTGGGGAGAATTTTCTCTGGGGTCCGCAGGACTCTGCAGAGGGGATACGTGATGCCCAGAAAGGGTTTTGCTATGTATACTTCCTAACACAAAGGGGTGTTAAGTCCTGTGAGAAACAACTGGAAAGCTACCGTGATGGCATGAAAAGACCCTGAAGTGCAGAGCCCTGGGTTCTGCTTCCAGCTCTGCCGCCAATTACCTGCAGGACCTTGAGCAAATTGCATCTGCTCCCTGGAGTTCTGTTTTCTCATCTCTAAAGTAAGGAGACTGAATCAGGTGATCTCGAAGTTTCTTCCAGTGATAGATTTCTATGACTCTGTAGTCAATGCAGGATATTAAATGGAGAAAGAAGAGAAACAAGATAGTACATTTAAATTCTTTTTTTTTCTTTTTTAGAAAGTGGAGGTGGAAATCATGATAAGAAACTTACTTGTGTAATTGGGAGTAAATATTATTATAGAAAAGGCAGATAACTAGGGAGGTGCTCCCAAGTGAAAAACTTAGGCTAGCGCCGGGTGTGGTGGCTCATGCCTGTAATCCCAGCATTTTGGGAGGCTGAGGTGGGAGGGCTGCTTGAGCCCAGGACTTTGAGACCAGCCTGGGCAACATAGGGAGAATCTCTCTCTCTCAATCTGTCTCTCTCTCTCTCCTTAGGCTATAGGTAAAAAAATCCATCCATGATAAACTTCAGGGCATTCTGTTGTCTCTCTTTTTTTTTTTTCCTGAGACAAGGTCTCACTCTGTCACCCAGGCTGGAGTGCAGTGGTGCAATCTTCGTTCACTGCAGCGTCGACCTCCCTGGCTCAAGCGATCCTCCCACCTCAGCCTCCTGAGTAGCTGGGACTAGAGATGCATGCCACGAAGGCCAGCTAAGTTTATTTTGTGTAGAGACAGAGGCTTGCTATGTTGCCCAGGATGGTTTCAGACTCCTGGGCTCAAGCAATCCTCCCACCTCGGCCTCCCACAGTGTTGGGATTATAGGCATGAGCCATTGTGCCCAGCCCATTCTGTTCTCTTTATGATAAAACTTCATTTTCCTAAGTCTCATTTCCAGTTCCTCCATGACGTGGCAAGTGAAGACAGGAATGAAAGGAATGTAAAGCAGCTTTTCTCTGAAGAGAAGAAGAGAGAGAGACACAGCCAAGGTACGCTGAGGTGGAGAAGAGGGAAGCTGGAGGGCTCCGTGGTGGAGGAGGATCTTCTCCTAAGGAATGAGGTGGTCGTGTGCTGAGGGGTGTGGGGAGGAGTGGAGAGTAGAGGAGAGTGGAGCTGTCTGAGAGCCACTGGGAGGGCTCAGTGTCCTAGGACGTGATCTAGAGGACAGAAAGTGGTAGAACAGCAGGGAGTGCCCCACTGGCGTTGGATGGCAGCAGTGAGCACTGAGACACATTCCTGGAAAAAGTCGTGGCCAGGAGGAAGTGGAAATGTGCATGGCAGGGATGATCCTGGTTCCAGCATCCGTAGATTTGATCTCAGTGTGCTGATTCATGAACTCTTGGACCTTACTATCAATGAATTGCATTCAGTTGCACATGGGTGTGTTTGTGTGTGTGTGTGTGCGTGTGTGTGCATACAATGGAGGAAGTTGAATTCATTCTCTCTTTTTTTTAGCAACCTCAAATCATTCTTTTCTGTCTCAAACACTTTGTTTATGAGTGCATATTGTAAAGGGTGGTGGGTGGCAGAGTCAGTGCCTGGCCAACAGTGAAGAAGTATTCAGCTTGGCTGGGTGCAGTGGCTCATGCCTATTATAATCCCAGTACTTTGGAAGGCCGAGGCAGGTGGATTGCTTGAGGTCAGGGGTTCAAGACCAGCCTGGCCAACATGGTGAAACCCTGTCTCCACTAAAAATACAAAAAATTAACCGGGCGTGGTGGTGCACACCTGTAGTCCTAGCTACTCAAGAGGCTGAGGCAGGAGAATCACTTGAATCCAGGAGGTGGAGGTTGCAGTGAGCTGAGATCACGACACTACACTCCAGACTGGGCGACAGAGCAAGACTCCACTCAAAAAAAAAAAAAAAAGAAAAAAGAAAGTGAGAAGTATTCAGTTTGAGTGGATGATAAAATCAGTTATTTGAATGAAGGCTATCTGGAGGGAATTCAGTTCAGAAAAATCAGATGCTCTTTTTAGAAAAGTCAGATTGTTACTTTTCCAGCTAGATTATTATTTTTGGATTAAATTCCTTGCAAACATTTTAGCTGGCTCTGTATTTATCCTTTGTCATTTTCTAAATTACAATGATCTCCTCCTGTAAATTGATCTTGTACACTGAACATGTGATTGTGTGCAATATTTTCCTAATCCTGGGTACAAGGATATGAGAACACAGGAAGCCCTGTGTTAAAGGAATGCCCGTTTTAAAGGCACGTAAGTGGAATGCTCATCTCTTCACCCTCAAGAGCCATTCTGTAGAAAGTCCTCAGGGCATGAAAGTGCTTTGCCGGGGACCTTTGAGGCTAAGTGTAAAGCTTTTGGAACTGGCAGTGTGCCCCAGACTTGTCTAAAGAATGGGAACAGTGGCCTGAAACACCAAATGTCAAAAGCAATGTTTGTTTGGATAATATAGAGGATTGATTCTGCCCTAAGAAAGTTGTTTCTCTCAAGACCGAATGCTGAATTTAAATATTATTTTCCTTCAAAGTTTTGAGTTGACTTTGAGAGTATATAAAAATATTATGTTTAGGCCAGGCGCAGTGGCTCACGCCTATAATCCCAGCACTTTGGGAGGCTGAGGAGGGTGGATCATGAGGTCAGGAGATCGAGACCACCCTGGCTAACACGGTGAAACACCATCTCTACTAAAAATACAAAAAACTAGCTGGGTGTGGTGGTGGGTGTCTGTAGTCCCAGCTACTCGGGAGGCTGAGTCAGGAGAATGGCGTGAACCCAGGAGACGGAGCTTGCAGTGAGCCAAGATTGCGCCACTGCACCCCAGCCTATGTGACAGAGTGAGACTCCATCTCAAAAAAAAAAAAAATACATATATATATATGTGTGTGTGTGTGTGTGTATATATATGTATATATATATATGTATATATATATATGTATATATATATATATACGTATATATATATATATATATAATGTTTAAGGATTCATAGGTGGATTAGTTTCTTTTTAAAAAATTCAATGGCACAAATAATTAGAGAAATAAGGCTGTATTATCTGGCTTTGGGCAAGTCACTTAGCCTCACTGTGCCTTACTTTTCTGCAAGAGTGGATTGGACTAGATCATCTATATCTTACCTGCCAATGGGCACCCTTTTGGGGGCTAGAGCTGTGTTTGGTTCTTCTCTCCTCCTTTCCTTCTTCCTTTACTCTTGAGGTTCACAGTAGGGAACTTAGAAAATTTACTCTGATTTTGGACAAATTGGACTGTGTTTGCTAATGCTTGGCCTGTTTCAACTTTCCAAGAATCAGCAATGCTATGAAATGTTGCACATAAAAAAATTGAGCTCAGACAGGAAACTTCTAGAGAAATGTCAAAGATGTCATGGTTCAAAGAGATTGTCTCAGATATACATCATGGGTAAGAAAAAGTAGGAGTTCCCATTTTAAAAGTTATTTTTTTGAGACAGGGTCTTACTCTTGTCACCTTGGCTGGAGTGCAGTGGTACAATCATGGCTCACTGTGGCCTTGCACTCCCGAGCTCAAGTGATTCTCCCACCTCAGCCTCCTGAGTAGCTGGGACTACAAGTGTGCACCACTCTGCCTGGCTAATTTTTAAATTTTTCGTAGAGATGATTTCTCACTATGCTGCCCATGCTGGTCTGAAACTCCTGGGCTCAAGCGATCCTCCTGCTTCAGCCTCCTAAAGTGATGGAATTCAGACATGAGCCATGTGCCTGGCCTCATTTTTAAAATTTTTAATTAAAAAAATTTTTTTTAAATAGAGACAGGGTCTTGCTATGTTGCCCAGACTGGTCTTGATCTCCTGGCCTCAAGCAATACTCCCACCTCGGTCCCCCATAGTGCTGAGGTTATAGGTGTGAGCCACCGTACGCAGCCATGGTTCCCATTTTCTAGATGTATCTCCCAACTAGAACTCACAGAATTTGGGGAGGGGAAGTTATCAACTGTCTCTTCTCCTGAAAATAAATAAATAAAACCCTCTCCTGGTGCTCCATTTCCTCTTTAGCTGCTGCCCTGCTCCCTCCTTTCTCTTCACAGTTGGTGTTTTTAAAAGAAAGCTGTAGTTGATTTCTGTGCCCATCTTTTTTTTGGAATGGAGTCTTGCTCTGTCCCCCAGGCTGCAGTGCAGTGGTGCAATCTCGGCTCACTGCAACCTCCGCCTCTCGGGTTCAAGCAATTCTCCTTCCTCAGCCTCCCGAGTAGCTGGGATTACAGGCATCTGCTACCACGCCCAGCTAATTTTTGTATTTTTAGTAGAGAAGGGGTTTCACTATGTTGGCCAGACTGGTCTTGAACTCCTGACCTCAGGCGATCCAACTGCCTCGGCCTCCCAAAATGCTGGGATTACAGGTGTGAGCCACCATGCCCAGCCAATTTCCATGCCCATCTTTTCTTCACCAGCCACTGACTTTCTCTGAGTCCCCAGAATCCTGCCCATTTCACTCCATTGAAGTGGATCCACGGGGTCCCCAGTAACCTCCAGATCTTTCTCAGCCCTCCCCTTCATGAACACTCCATGATTCTCAAGACATTTTCTTCTTTTGAGTTCTCATTCTTCTGATTATCCTCCTCCCTCTGTTTCTTGTTTGTCTCCTCTGTGCAGCCTTGAAATCCTGGAATTTCTCTGTATTCAGGCTTGGACCTCCACTGCCTCTCCCTCATTATGGGTTGAAGTGTGCTGCCCCATTCCATTCATATGTTGTAGTTCTAATCCGGAGGATCTGAGAATGTGGCTGTATTTGGAAACAGGGTCTTTGCCGAGATAATTAATTAAGATGAGTTTATAGCAGAGTGGGGTGGGCCCCTAATCCAATATGATTGGTGTCCTTATAAAAAGGGATTTGGACACAGACACACACATGTGAATGTGAAGGCATAGATTGGAGTGATGCTTCTCCAAGCCAAGGAATGCCAAAGATTGCCAGCAACCACCAGCAGCCAAGTAAGAGACCTGGAAGATTCTTCCTCACAGCCTTCAGAGGGAACCAGCCTTGCGTGGCATCTTGATTTCAGACTTCTAACTTTCAGGGCTGAGATAATACATTTCTGTTGGTTAAGCCACCCAGTTTATGGCACTCTGGTACCACAGTCCTAGGAAACTCATACACCCAATTCTGCGGTCCCCAGGCTAGTGGTTGTCCAATGTTTTTGTCTCAGGTCCTCTTTACACTGTTAAGAATTATTGGGGTCCAGGTGCAGTGGCTCATACCTGTAATCCCAGCACTTTGGGAGGCCAAGGTGGGAGAATTGCTTGAGGCCAGGAGTTTGAGACAAGCCTTGGCAACACTGTGAGACCCAAACTCTACAAAAAAAAAAAAAAAGAGAGAGAGAGACAGAGAAAAATTTCTTTAAAAAAAATTGCTGAGAAGATTAGGAACAAGGCAAGGACATTGTTCCTCACCACTCCATTTCACATCATACTGGAGTCCTAACTAATGCCATAAGAAAAAGAAATGAAAACCATACTGATTAGGAAGGAAGACATAAAATTTTATTCACAGATGACTTCATTGCCTGTATAGAAAATCTGAAAGAGGCTGGGCGCGGTGGCTCACACCTGTAATCCCAGCACTTTGGGAGGCCAGGGTGGGTGGATCACGAGGTTAGGAGTTCAAGACCAGCCTGGCCAAGATGGTGAAACCCCGTGTCTACTAAAAGTACAAAATAATTAGCCAGGCATGGTGGCAGGTGCTTGTAATCCCAGCTACTTGGGAGGCTGAGGCAGAGAATTGTTTGAACCCAGGAGGTGGAGGCTGCAGCGAGCCAAGATTGCACCACTGCACTCCAGCCTTGGTGATAAGAGCAAGACTCGTCTACAAAAAAAGAAAAAGAAAAAAAAAAAGAAAATCTGAAAGAATCAACCAAAAAAAGCTTTCCTGGAATTAAGTTTTTGTATAACAAATCCCTTTTTCTCCATACCTGTTCATAAGGACCAGCAGGAGCAGGGTGCTTTTAGCTGGCAAGGCCAGCAGTACACCTTCACGGTCCTACCTCAGGGGAATATCAACTCTCTAGCCTTGTGTCATAATTTAGTTTGCAAGGATCTTAATCATCTCTCCTGTCTATAAAATATCACAGTGGTCTATTACACTGATGACAATATACTGATTGGACCTAGTGAGCAAGAATAACAACTATTGTAGACTTATTGATAAGACATTTGGATGTCAGAGGGTGGGAAATAAATCAGACAAAAATTTAGGGGCCTTCTCTCTCAGTGAAATTTCTTTTTTTTAATTTTTTTTTTATTTTTTCTTTTTGAGGCAAAGTCTGGCTCTTTCACCCAGGCTGGAGTGCAGAGGCATGATCTCGGATCATAGCAGTCTCAACCTCCTGGGATCAAGTGATCCTCTCACCTCAGCTTTCAAGTAGCTGGAAGCACAGGCATGCACCACCACGCCCAGCTAATTTTTGTTTATTTTTCATAGAGATGAGGCCTCACTATGTTGCCCAGGTTGGTCTCAAACTCTCTTTCCCCAGCCATCCCTGACATTGCCTAATGGGCTCATGAACAAAGTGGCTATGGTGGCAGGGATGGAGGTTGTGCGTGGGCTCAGCAACATGGACTTCCACTCACCAAGGCCAACCTGGCTGTTGCCACTGCTGAGTGCCCAATCTGCCAGCAGCAGAGATCAACACTGAGCCCTCAAGATGGCACTATTCCCTGGGGTGATCCGCCAGCTATGGTACTGGGGGGTCCATAGACTGGTACCAGTCCATGGCCTGTTAGGAACTGGGCCACATAGCTGGAGGGGAGTAGGCATTTCCACCTGAGCCTCCACCTCCTGTCGTGTCAGCAGCACCATTAGATCCTCAGAGGAGCATGAACCCTACTGTGAACTGTGCATGAGAAGAATCTAGGTTGTGTGTTCCTTACAAATCTGATGCCTGGTGATCTGAGATGGAACAGTTTCATGCCCAAACCATCTCCCAACCTCCATTCGTGGAAAAACTGTCTTCCACAAAACAGGTCTCTGATGCCAAAAAGGTTGGGGATTGCTGCTTTACTGCATCTCTTAATATGACCCTGCTCTATAATTAGGGTCAATGGGAAACTGCAACAACACAACCCAGGCAGAACTACAAATGGCCCACACTCTTCAGGAATGAAAATTTGGGTCACTCCACCAGGTAAAGAACCACAACCAGCTGAGGTGCTTGCTGAAGGTAAAGGGAACATAGAACAGGTATTCTGTAGTGTAGGTAGTTATAAATACTGGATACAACCACATCACCAGCTCCAGAAACAAGGACTATCATTGTCAATCAGTATCTTTTCCTTTATTTTTTATGAACACACTTGTGCATATATATACTCATATTAAGCAAATATCTGTTTTCTCTCTTTTCCTTTTATCATGAGACATAAAATGTATTGATTTTATATCAGTATTTAACTATTGTTAATTTTACATCATAGTAATGAAGTTATGGGGTATCAGGAGAAGAGTATACACCACTCAAGCAGTTTACCTCCTCTTCTGGGGAAGAGATTAGTGCATTTTCAGTCGTATCATGTTGGGTAGAATTATGACCCTGTCATTGTCTTTATTTGGAGATTAAGTGTGGTTTAAGAGTTGCACATAGGTGCCAAGTTGACAAGGGTTGGACTTGGAAAGGTTAATTTTATGGTCAACTTGAGTGAGCCAAGTGATGTCCACATAGCTGGTAAAACATTGTTTCTGGATGTACCTGTGGGGGTATTTCTTGAATAGATTAGCATTTGAATGGGTAGACTGAGTAAAGAAGACAGATATTCCATCTATATGTCTATCCTTCCACCAATATTACAATCTTTTATTTATTTATTTTTTTTTAAGATAGGGTCTCACTTTGTCACCCAGGCTGGAGTGCAGTGGCATGATCATGGCTCACTGCAGCCTCGACCTCCCCAGGCTCAGGTCATCCTCCCAAGTCGGCCTCCCAAGTAGCTGGGATCACAGGCACACACCACAAACCTGGCTAATATTTTTATTATTATTATTTGTAGAGATGATAGTCTCACTGTGTTGCCCAGGCTGGTCTGAAACTCCTGGGCTCAAGCAATCCACCTGTCTTGGCCTCCCAAAATGCTGGGATTATAGGCTCAAGCCATCGCTCCTGGCCCAATACCACAGTCTTGATTACTGGTGCTGTACAGTAAGTCTTGAAGTTGGGTAGAGCGTTTCTCCCACTTCATTCTTCTATTCACGAGATCTCTGCTGCTACCACCGGGGCTGGAGGAGCAGAGATGCCTCATTACTGCTCTGCATGTGATCTTCACCATCAATGATCGGGGGAGGGGAGCTTATTACCAATGGATGGGGGTAAAAGTTCTGATTAGGTTTCTTCTGACACCCCCAACAGGGGCAAACAAGGGAGCCTTGTTACCACAGAGTGGGGCTGAATTCAGACTCCCCACTCGGCCTGGAAGTCTAGGCTCCCCACTTGGGCTTTGCTGGCAATGGGGTGGGGGGCAGGGCCATAGTTTTTTCTGTGGCGTTTAACTGGATTCGCGTGATTATTGTCTGAAAGTTTTCTTTCTTGGCAGACTGCCCCTTTCCTGGTCCTTTTGCTAGAGCGAGCAGGCTTTCTTTGGAACTTTTCTGCTGCACATGTACTGGCTTCTGCCGCACTGAGTCCGGAATATACAGATTGATTATCTGTCCCTTATCTGAAATGCTCAGACCAGAAGTGTTTTAGATTTCAGACTTTTTCAGATTTTGGAATATTTGCATATATATATATATATATATAAAATGAGATGTCTTGGGGATGGGACCCAAGTCTAAACACAAAAGTCATGCATGATTTTTTTTTTGTTTTTGAGACAGTCTCACTCTGTTGCCCAGGCTGGAGTGCAGTGGCGCGATCTTGGCTCACTGCAACCTTTGCGATTCTCCTGCCTCAGCCTCTTGTGTAGCTGGGACTACAGGCACCCACCACCACGCCCCGCTAATTTTTTTGTATTTTTAGTAAAGATGGTGTTTCACCACGTTGGCCAGGCTTGTCTCGAATTCCTGACCTCAAGTAATCTGCCTGCCTTGGCCTCCCAAAGTGCTGGGATTACAGGCATGACCCACCGTGCCCAGCCTCATGTATGTTCATATATACCTTACACACATAGCATGAAGGTAATTTTATTTTTCCCTTGAGGACTCTGAATGAAATATGTGTTGTGTGCCTGAGTTTTGATTGCGACCTGTCACATGAAGTCAGCGAAATTTTCCACTTGTGGTGTCATGTTGGTGCTCGGAGTTTGGGATTTTGGAGTATTTCCGATTTTGAATTTTCAGATTAGGGATACTCAACCTGTAGGAAGTAACAAGAAAACCCAGAGAACTCACCTCTGTGTTGTTTCTTGCATCTTCTGATTCTCAGAGGGTCTATCTTCTGTCCAGCTTTCACAGTCTGCTTATGTTTGCTGTATATATACTGTACAGGGTTTTTATTTTTACTGGTTGGGAAGAAAAAGTATTTCTACTCCCTTTTTCCAGATGCAGAAGCCAAAGTAATATATATGTGTGTGTGTGTGTGTGTGTGTGTGTGTGTATTTTTTTTTTTTTTTTTGAGACGGAGTTTCCCTCTCTTTGCCCAGGCTGGGGTGCAATGGCACGATCTTGGCTCTCCACAACCTCCTCCTTCCGGGTTCAGCTATTCTCCTGCCTCAGCCTCTTGAGTAGCTGGGATTACAGGCATGCGCCACCAAGCCCAGCTAATTTTTTGTATTTTTAGTAGAGATGGGGTTTCACCATGTTGGCCAGGCTGGTCTTGAACTCCTGACCTCAGGTGATCCACCCACCTCAGCCTCCCAAAGTGCTGGGATGACAGGCGTGAGCCACCGCGCCCGGCCATAATATTTTTAAAAATGTGAACCAGGTCATGCCATTTCCCTGCTTAAAATTTCCCAAGGGCTTCCCAATGCTATTAGAATAAAATTCAAATTCCTTATTGGCCCAGCAGACTTGGGGCATGGCTTGGCCCCTGCCTCCTACTCTGACATACCATACACATACTTTTTTTGTTGTTTTTTTTTTGAGACGGAGTCTCGCTGTGTCTTTTAGGCTGGAGTGCTGTGGTGCGATCTCGGCTCACTGCAACCTCCACTTCCCGGGTTCAAGCGATTCTCGTGCCTCAGCCTCCTGAGTAGCTGGGATTACAGGCACACGCCACCACACCTGGCTAAATTTGTATTATTAGTGGAGAGGGGAGTTTTCACCATGTTGGCCAGGCTGGTCTCGAACTCCTGGCCTCAAAGTGATCCTCCTGCCTCAGGCTCCCAAACTGCTGGGATTACAGGCGTGAGCCACCGCGTCCAGCCTATACTTCCACTTTCTAAGTAAGCCTCTTCTGTTTTTCAGATAAGGTCACTGAGGCCCTGAGGTTAAATAGCTTTCCCAAGGTCACGCATGGTAAATGGCAGAGCTGGGATCCTGACTCCAGTAGTTGGGCTGGAGCCTCTGCTCTTAACCATTAGGTACGTGTACTCTTTTCTCCACATGTTCCTGAGTGGTTTCTGAGCACCCAGACGTTTGAAAACTATGGCCCCACCCGCTGACTGGGAGACAAAGCAAACACCTGCCTTGGGGAAGAGCAAGATGAGAGGTAGGAGGGTGAAGTGGAGAGTGGAGGGAGGCACGAATTGAGGCCAGGGCTCCTAGTGCCTCTGGAGCTCATATGAAGGGAGAGGTAGAATCAACACAGTTCTTATCTTCCTGCTCTTCTTTGCAAATCTTGAGTTCAGCCTTTGGAACTTCATCCAGGTGTCTGGATTCTTGGACAGATCTGCCCTGGCAGGATGGGTGGGTGCAGCTGAGCTCCGCCTCTCAAGAAACGCAAGCAACTCCTTTCCTCCAGGGTACAGAGCAGGTGCTCTCTCAGAGGGCTGGGCCTCCACTGCCCCAGGTTCACAATCGCTGCCTCAGCTTAGCTGATTTTCCCAAACCGCCTACAGCTCCTCCCTGCTGCTTCCCAGCCTAAAGTTTGATTTCTCACCCTGTGTTCTCTAAACAATCGTTCTAATTTGATCATGCACAAGTATCACCTGAGGAGCTTATTAAAAATGCAAGTCTTGGCCAGGCATGGTGGTTCATACCTGTAATCCCAGCACTTTGGGAAGCAGAGGTGGGAGGATTACTTGTAGGCTAGGAGTTGGAGGCCAGCCTGGGCAACATAGTGATACCCTGTCTTTATGTTGTCATATTTTATAAAAATTAAAATAAAAAAATCAGCCAATGGCTGAGCACGGTGGCTCACGCCTGTAATCCCAGCACTTTGGGAGGCTGAGGCAGGTGGATCACAAGGTCAGGAGATCGAGACCATCCTGGCTAACCCGGTGAAACCCCGTCTCTACTAAAAATACAAAAAATTAGCTGGGCGTGGTGGCGGGCGCCTATAGTCCCAGCTACTTGGGAGGCTGAGGCAGGAGAATGGCGTGAACCCAGGAGGCAGAGCTTGCAGTGAGCCGAGATCGCGCCACTGCACTCCAGCCTGGGCGACAGAGCGAGAGACTGTCTCAAAAAAAAAAAAAAAAAAAAAAAATCAGCCCAATCATAGTGATGCACACCTGTAGTCCTAGCTACTCAGGAGGCTGAGGTGGGAGGATCACTTGAGCCCAGGAGGTTGAGGCTGCAGTGAGCTGTGTTTGCGCCACCACACTCCAGCCTGGACAACAGAGCAAGACCCTGCCTCTTAAAAAAAAATGCAAATCACAGACAATCTAGGAAACTTGAATCCTAGAATTAAGGCAAATTTAAGAATTATTGAATTTTAGGAGTGACTGGTATTTTATGTGTGTTTGTGTGTGTATATGTGCGTATAAAAGAATCCTTATCTTTTAGAGATACCTGCTGGAATATTTTGAAAGAAATAATATGATGTATGGGATTTGCTTCCAAATAATCAGAGGTGGGGAGGGGAAGTGGGTGGGGTGTGGATGATAGAACATTCATGAACTGGTGTGGCCAAGTAATGTGTACGTAGGGGTTCCCTGTACTATTTGCTGTACTTTTGCAGAAAAGTACAGAAAAGTTAAAAAAAAGCACCCCCCTCACTCATTCTGGGGTACCTTCTAAGGCCACTGGTGGGGAGAGTCCCTGTGGGGGATCTGTGCACCACCCTGGAGAAGCAAAGCTCATTCAAACAAACGCAGGTGGCTGTTGCAGCCCCGCACCCCTGGGCAAGAGAAATGCACCTAATTGGCTTGTTCTGCCCCTCGCACCCTCTGTCAAAGAAATAGGAAAAGACAAGACCCCTCCAAAGGAAAAGGGCACATATCACATATGCTTCTGTCTCTTTTTACCTGGGCCACAGCGGAAGCTGAATTTCAGCCATTGGGCATTTCATAAGGAGTCTTCTATTTTCCTTTGAAAGTAGAGTGTTTTGGTTAATAGTTGATAGGATGGTGAGTGTGATATTTTTTATTTTCCAAAACTATTTTAATTTTTTCATTTATATATGTATATACACACATATATACACACGTATATACATATGTGTATATACTATATATAATGTATATAATATATAATATATAATGTATATAATATATATAATGTATATAATATATTATATATATAGATATATATATTTATTTATTTATTTTTGAGATGGAGTCTGGCTCTGTTGCCCAGGCTGGAGTGCAGTGGCGTGATCTAGGCTCACTGCAACCTCTGCTTCCTGGGTTCAAGCGATTCTCCTGCCTCAGCCTCCTGAGTAGCTGGGATTACAGGCACCCGCCACCACACTCTGCTCATTTTTTCGTATTTTTAGTAGAGACAGGATTTCACCATGTTGGCCAGGCTAGTCTCAAACTCCTGACCTCAAATGATCCGCCCACCTCAGCCTCCCAAAGTGCTGGAATTACCGGCGTGAGCCACGGCGCCCGGCCCCCAAAATTATTTTTCAAAGTTATTTTGTTTTTACAAGTTCAAGGGATGTTTTGGTTTACTGGGGTCCTTCTAAGGCCTCCAGGAATCTTGTCCTCAACCTTCAGCTCCCTGAGGGGCAAGTTACTTTCATTAGAAAATAAATGAATGCTTCCTGCTGGGAACTTAAGGTCATGGCAGAGGGCACAGGTGGGGCGGGGGCTGAGCAGGCTGGCCGGTGGGGCAGGTTTGTCTTCACCCACAACAGGCCAGTGTTGATACAACAGAGCTGCCTCCTGGCTCTTTGGGAGCCTGGGAGGAGAAGGAGCCGGGAGGGGCGCTGCGGGGAAGCCACCTGCGGATTCACTGGCTGCTGCTCCGCCCAGGACTGCTAGCAAGCACGGAGGGCTGCCAGACCTGGGGCTCCCTGCTCCGTGCGTCAGGTTGGGGAAACCACCGTCTGCCCCAGACCCTGACCCAGGACCCGCCTGGAGGAAGCTGGGGTAAGAAGGGTGTTGATGCTGTGCTTTTGATCTGCATAAAGTGAATGCCTTGGGTCTCTGGTCTATGTTCACTTGGCTGTAGTTACTAGACAGGGCAGTAGGAGAGCTTTGAATTCATCTTGGTGTCAAAAGGCACAAATGTGGGCCCAGACCATGTGCACTTCCTGAGGGATGATGTTTATCCTCTGGTCTATACATGGGGTATTGCTTCTGGAGTACCCACTTTGTGGTGCTGTTGACCTAGACCGGTGTGGGAGTGGAAACAGGGAATGGTTCTAGCCTCGTGGACTTCACTGGTTTGTGTGTGGGGAATCCAGGCAGTTAAACAAGCGATTGCAAATGATTGCTCTTCTGGGGGCATGTAGGAGGGGGCTTAGCTCCTTGAGGGAGCTGGAGGTGTCAGGGAAGGCTTGTGGAGGAAGAAGATCCTTACATGGAGACTGGAGGAGTGACAGGGTCATGCGGGGCGTGGGATGGACGGTGGAGAGGAGGATATTGAGTTTCCAAACCCAGGGGAAAGCCTGGGCGAAGGGCCTGAAGGGGGTGGGAGCTGGGAGAAATGCAGGGTCCCTGGAGAGGCCAAAGCTGGAGGAGGACACAGAGGAGGCCAGGTCCTGCAGCCTTCGGCTGGCCAGCTCGAGGACTTTAGAGTTGGTCCTGTGTGAAACTGGGACAATGGGTAGGCCCAGTATCGAGCACACAGTAGATACTCTGTACGTGATAAAATTAAATCTACTCTGGAGGTGTGGAAATTCTTCCAGAAGGTTGACCTGGGGGGAAAAAGTGTGATTTGGCAGCAGTAGGGCCGTCGGGAGGATCTTTGGGAATAGCTTCTGTGCCCTCCTCCTCCCCTTGGCTCTCATGTGGCCTTCAACTTCACCATTGGAAAGAGCTTCACTTTCTTCCAACCCCTGGGAGGTGTCCTTCCCTGCCACCTGTTCTAAGTGACACTAAAGGCAGTCCAATGGGCAGCATGACTTGGATGGTCTATTAAGGAATGGAGAAATGTTCAGGAGTGACAAACTGCCCCACCCCAGAGTTTGGAATGCATTGATCGCTGCTGGGAGGCCTCTGATGACCAGGGCTCCGTTCCCTGGCTACGTATGCTGTGTGCGGGCTGGTGGCAATGGCTTCAAGATCATCCCCCAGTTTCACAGTTAAACTTTGGACATGCATCTGTTACAGTATGGTGGATGTTTTAATCTATTTCAGTCTAGATGTTTGAGATTCCCCTTTCAGGAGTGTGAGTCTTAGTCTTTCTTTAATCAGCAGTGTCAATACACACTTATGACTGTATGGTGGAACTGTGTCTTGCAGGTCAGTTTTGGCTAACCTAACTCGCACCATTCCCCTGCCCCACTCACCCGTGGGCATCCTTCTTCCATATACAGGACATACAGATTTATTTTATTCCTGCTGACTGCACAGGGCTCTGTTATATCACAGTTTATTTAATCATTCCCCTAATGATGGATATCTAGGTTACAGCCATTTACTATAATTATTACATACAATATTATAAGAAACATTCTTGTTCATCTGTTTCTCCATACATATCCAGGTCTATCTGGATAAATAGCAGTGGACATCTTGATTTGTGGGTATGAGGGATATAAGATTTGATAGACATTGATAAATTGCTCTCTGAAAAAGCTACAAAGAATTTACACGTTAACGTTGGATATACCCAATGGGCATATGGATTACCAAATCTCATTCTGATGACAAAAACTATTTTTCCTGACTAGGGAAATTGAAGACAAAGTATTCTGGAATCCAGAGTTGGTTGTGATACCCACAACTGAGTTCTAGAGTGACATTCGAGTGCATGAAAGGGCCTGTTTTCTCATACCCTCCACAACTTGAGTCTTTAGTCATATTTTAAAATATTTTGCCAGCTGAGAGCAGTGGCTCATGCCTGTAATCCCAGCACTTTGAGAGACCAGAGTGGGAGGATCACTTCAGTCCAGGAGTTCAATACCAGCCTGGGCAACACAGCAAGACTCTGTCTCAACAAAAAAATAAAACAACTAGCTGGGTGTGGTGGTGCACACCTGCAGTCCCAGCTACATAGGAGGCTGAGGCAGGAGGATCTCTTGAGCCCAGGAGGTTGAGGCTGCAGTGAGTCATGTTTGTGCCACTGCACTCCAGCCTGGGTGACAGAGCAAGACTCTGTCTCAAAAATAAAGTATAATATTTTGCCAATCTGATGGAGGGCATAAAGTGCTATCTTGTTTTTAGAATCAGGATAGCTGGGCATCCTGGTGCACACCTGTAGTCCCCGCTATTCAGGAGGCTGAGATGGGTGGATTACTTGAGCCTGGGAGGTTGAGGCTGCAGTAAGCCAGAATTGCACCACTGCATTCGAGCCCAGGCAACAGAGTGAGACCCTGTCTAAGAAAAAAAAAAAAAAAAAGTCTCCTAAAATCAGAAGTGATTCCTAATGGATTTTTTTTCCCTGTTAGATTTTAATTTAACTTAAAAATTTCACCCTAAGGTTTTCACACATTTATTACCTTAAATATTAATATCTTTTTCTTTTTCTCCTGTAGACCGAGGCTGGGCCAAGATGGTGTCTGTGTTTCGAAGCGAGGAGATGTGTTTGTCACAACTGTTTCTCCAGGTGGAAGCTGCATATTGCTGTGTGGCTGAGCTCGGAGAGCTCGGATTGGTTCAGTTCAAAGATGTAGGTACTGAGTTCTTTGGAGATAAGAGGAAGGCAGGGGTGGGAGTAGATAACTCTTGCACAACACTTCTTTATGGTGAACAATAACCATTTTGTAGGGAGAGGAGCCGTGAGCTGGAATCGATGAAATTCTGTAGTTTTAGTGCTTCTGGCTAGGATTTGTCATGACCAGGCAGGTCATTCAAGAGCGTGTTCTCCCTCCCTCCATGCCTGTCTCCTCTATAGGAATGTCTTGAAGCTCTAATGCAATCACTACTCATTAGATGTCATTGAATTTTTTTTCTCTTATGTAGCATCTTCAAACATTGTATATAGCCAATGGGCATGTAGATTACCAAACCTTATTCTGACCATAAAAACTATTTTTCCTGACTAGACAGGCTGAAGACAAAGTATTCTGGAGTCCAGAGTTGGTTGTCATACCCGGGATTGAGTTCCAGAGTGATATTCTAGAGTTAGACAGTCTTGAGTATGACATGGGGGTATCATTTCCCAGGGGCAGTTTAGACCCTCACCAAGTTCGTAGTCTAATTGAGAAAACCAGTCCTTCTTTACTTCTTCACTAAGGTCAAGGTCAGAGCTAAGCTCCTGCAGGGAAGAATCACATCTTGTTGTTCGCATCCCTAGTTCTTCACACAGGACCTCGTATGAGGCAGGTCCTCAATAACGTTTATTGAGCTGAGCTGAGAGTTGAAGTTTTGTTGATGACTGTGATACGTTACATGGAGCTGTGCAATCTTCAAGGTCTGGTCATTTTTATGACCCCATTGAGGATTTTGAGGCTCATTTGGATAGCCAAGGCAGAGAAATAAGGTAAACTTAGATGAGGACAGACTTCCTTTCCTTCCTTCCTTCCTTTCTTCCTTCCTTCCCCTCCCTCTCTTCCTTCCTTCCTTTTTTCTTTTCTTTTCCTTTCTTTTTACTTTACTTTTCTTTTTTCAGGCAGATATATGATTTTCTCCCATGCTGTGGGTTTTTTTCACTTCCTATTAAGAAAGTGAAAGGACACTGTTAAGTGTCCTTTGATGCACAAAAGTTTTAAATTTTGATTAAGTCCAATTTTTTTTGTTGTTGTTGTTTGAGACAGGGTCTTGCTCTGTAGCCCAGGCTGGAGTGCAGTGGCACAATCACGGCTCATTGTAGCCTTGACCTCCCAGGCTCAAGCCATCCTCCTACCTCAGCACACCACCACGCTCGGTTAATTTTGTAATTTTTTGTAGAGATGAGGTCTCATTATGTTGCCCAGGTTGGTCTCGAACTCCTGGGCTCAAGGGATCCACCAGCCTCGACCTCCCAAAGTGTTGGGATTACAGGCATGAGCAACTGCACCTGGCCAGGACTTTGTTTCTTTTAGAAACGAGAGGGTGAATGTTGAAGCATTTGGGGGATTGAATGTAAGAACACTAAGGTGTGTTTTGCCTGTAACTCACCTGTCTTGTGCATGGAAGTATCTGTTCCTAAGATAATTCCAGCAACATTCTCTAGTATTAAAAAGATAATAAAATGACCAAAAGGGGGCTTAGCGCAGTGCCTCACGCTTGTAATCCCAGCACTTTGAGAGGCTGAGGTGGGCGGATCACCTGAGGTCAGGAGCTTGAGGCCAGCCTGGCCAACATGGTGAAACCCCATCTCTACTACAAATACAAAAATTAGCCAGGCGTGGTGGTGGGTGCCTGTAATCCCAGTTACTTGGGAGGCTGAGGCAGAAGAATCACTTGAACCCAGGAGGTGGAGGTTACAGTGAGCTGAGATCGCGCCATTGCCCTCCAGTCTGGGTGACAAGATTAAAACTCAGTCTCAAAAAAAAAAAAAAAAAAAGAAAGAAATCTATTGGCAGCTGTTGCTACTAACATGTATCTTGTGATTTTCGCCCCCATAGTTAAATATGAATGTGAACAGCTTTCAAAGGAAATTTGTGAATGAAGTCAGAAGGTGTGAATCACTGGAGAGAATCCTCCGTAAGCCAATTTTTTTTTTTTTTTTCTTACTGTTCAAATGTGAACTGGCAAGGGGGTTAATAGTTTGCAGGACTTAATGAACAAATGTGTCCCTATTTGCAATACTTTTTGAGGTGGTCCCAGAGGCCCACCTGGAGGGAATGGGGGAGGTTGGGGGTGGGATCCAGGTGCTGTGGCAGCTCCTAGGACAATTCAGGTAGCTGAGCTGAGTGAAAGGCACATGTCTTGCTTGACCTCATTTCTTAGTTATGAGAAAACACAATCACCTTGGGGTTTCTGGTGGGTTTTCATTCTTCAGGTTTTCTGGAAGACGAGATGCAAAATGAGATTGTAGTTCAGTTGCTCGAGAAAAGCCCACTGACCCCGCTCCCACGGGAAATGATTACCCTGGAGGTAAGTTCTCCACTTTGCTGGCCTCCCCAGGTAAGGACAGTCATGAAGCCTGTCTCCTTGAAGGCCCTGAGAGCCACTTGCAGATTCCGTACCTGTTTGCTTGAAGGCAGGGAGGCAGGCCTGCATGGTCGTCTCCCTCTCAGGGTTACAGCCCCAGGAAAATCCCAGTGTGCGGTTTTTAGAGCCACACCTGCTGATCTGGAGACAGCTGTTTTCCTTTCTCAGCATAGCCCTCGGGAAGCTTAGCCCACTTTGAGGAGTTGATTGCTTTTGTGGGTGTTTGATTCTTACAGGCAGTGTGGTCTTGTCTGCTGGGTGCCACTGAATGGGCTGAGTGTGGGCATAATGGGATGTTTTCTAATTCTCTGGTGGGAAGCAGCTGATGAGTTGGACTCACTCCAGATGGAAGCTGCTTCTCTGACTGGCTTCTGTAGGTCAACTGGGAGAAGACTGCAGTTTTCAAGGACATTTCAGCTGGTGGGGCTCTCCCTCTTTCCTTTCCTTGTCTATTTCCTTCCCCTTCAGTCTTTTATAAAACACTGAATACCAGCTGGGCGCAGTGGCTCACCCCTGTAATCCCACCACTTTGGGAGGCCGAGGCAGGCGGATCACGAAGTCAGGAATTCGAGACCAGCCTGGCCAACATGGTGAAACCCTGTCTCTACTAAATATACAAAAATTAGCCGGGGGTGGTGGTAGGTGCCTGTAATCCCAGCTACTTGGGAGGCTGAGGCACGAGAATCGCTTGAATCCGGGACGCAGAGGTTGCATTGAGCTGAGATTGTGCCACTGCACTCCAGCCTGGGCGACAGAGCAAGACTCCATCTCAAAAACAAACAAACAAACAAACAAAAAAACCACTGAATACCTGCCACGTGCAAGGTAGCTTAGAAATAAACATGACTGTGCCCTCCAAGGGCTTATAGAGCAGATGGTGGGGACAGGGATGAGGGGCAGGGCTGGGAGAGGAAGTGAAGAGGTAGGCAGAGCCAGATCATGGAGGACCCTGGGGGACTTAACTGAAAAAGCAGGTATTTTATCCTCGGCAGTGGAACAGCTCATTCAGGGCGTGGGCAGGTAGGCAAGGCTTCACCTAGCTGAGCCTTTTCTCTGGCTGGGTTTTTTTTTTTTTTTTGAAGATAACTTCAAATTCTTGAAAATTTCAAAGCCATGAGTAGTATAAATCTTGATACTCACATAGAAATATTAGATTGTCAAATCTTCTAGAAAATATTTTGGACCTTATCATATTTTTTTGAGATGGAGTCTTGCTCTGTTGCCCAGGCTGGAGTGCAGTGGTGTGATCTCGGCTCACTGCAACCTCTGCCTCCCAGGCTCAAGCGATTCTCCTGCCTTAGCCTCCCAAGTAGCTGGGATTACAGGCATGCGCCACCACGCCCAGCTAATTTTTGTATTTTTAGTAGAGACAGGGTTTCACCATGTTGTCCAGGCTGGTCTCGAACTCCTGACCTCAGGTGATCCGCCCACCTTGGCCTCCCAAAGTGCTGGGATTACAGGCGTGAGCCACCTCGCCTGGCCTGTTTATTGATTTTTGACTGTATTACAAATTAAAATGGAAAAGTATGTAAAATATTTATGTATTAATTCACTTGAAAATAACAATAATGTCTCATTACATGGTAACATTTTTTAAGTGAAAAATGACTGTCTTTTCCAAGACAAAAACACTTTCATGAGAAGGATGGCATTGTTTGTGAATTTTTAAAGTGCTTGGCTAATAGAAACAGCTGGTTTCTCACACCTGCTTCTACTTTAAATCTGTTGGTGATGTGCTGTTTTTATTGAAGGAGAGGAAGATAATCCAGCCTTACACAGATAAGCAGTGGGAAAAGGGAGGAATATTTTAATAGCCTTTTCAAATAATTATGGATATTCTTCTTTGATATTACACTGAAACTTGACCAGCATAGAGCCTGTCTTGATTTTGTTAAACAGGTAACATGTGCTGCTTTTGTTTTCAAACTGAGTTGGCTGTAGTACCTTAATAAAGGAATTCATCCAACTGGGTTTAGTTTTGGCTGACTTCAACCATGCCAAGGCACACACATTTTCAAGTTTAACCATTTTAAGTTTAAAAGATTCAATCTTGACTGATATTAATAAGCTTTTCTGGGTGGGGGGAGCTAAAATTTGAGTGGATAGCCCTTTTTATTTTTGGGGGAAATTTATTGTTTTGGGCTATATCGTTTATCTTTTATCTCTTTGGTAAGGGTGTCTCTTAGATGGATTAAAAAAAAAATGTCTAGCATGATAGGCCAGGCGCAGTGGCTTACGCCTGTAATCCCAGCACTTTGGGAAGCCAAGGCGGGTGTATTGCTTGAGGTCAGGAGTTCGAGACCAGCCTGACTAACATGGTGAAACCCCATCTCTACTGAAAATACAAAAATATTAGCCAGGCGTGGGTGGCGCATGCCTGTAATCCCAGCTACTCTAGAAGCTGAGGCAGGAGAATTGTTTGACCCCAGGAGAGGGAGGTTGCAGGGAACCGAGATCGCACTACTGCACTCCAGCGTGGGTGACAGAGCAAGACTGTGTTTCCAAAAAAAAAAAAAAAATAATAATAACATGATATTTTAAGGTGTTAAAGCTCTACATTCATACATTTGTAGGAATAGATAAGGGGCAATCAGATGTGTGCACAAGTCCTTCCTTAGAGTTTTTCTTCTGAATGTTATTTGCTGTAAAAATGAAATTAAAACAGCACCAGGGCTGGCCATGGTGGCTCATGCCTGTAATCCCAGCACTTTGGGAGGCCAAGGCAGGAGGATTGCTTGAGCTCAGGGGTTTGAGACCAGTCTGCCCAACATAATGAGACTCTGTCTCTACAAGAAAATAAAAATAATCAGCTGGGTGTGGTGGTGTGCACCTGTGGTCCCAGCTACTTGGGAGGCTAAGGCAGGAGAGTGGCTACCAGAAGGTGGAGGCTGTGGTAAGCTGTGTTCACACCACTGCACCCTAGCCTGGGCAACAGAGTGAGACCTTCTCTCAAAAACAAAAACAAAAACAAAAACAAAAACAAAAACCACCAGCATAAAAGTAGGAGAGTAATATCTTTTACCATTCATTGCTCACTGGAATTGATTTGTTGATTGATTGATTTGACTAATCCTGCAGTTAGCTGTGTTCCCCCAACATTGCTAGAGAGTTGAATCCTTTGGCAAGAGTACACCAATGGCTCTGGGCCCCTGCCTTGTCGAGTTTCTAAAGAGGCTTTTATAACAGTCCTAGAGGAAATACTAATTCAGGGGGGAGGGAAAAAACCACCATCCCCTCAGAAACTGCCCTGGCTTTTCCTTGTTTTCAGGCTTTATTCTCATGCAGCTATACTTTTACATAATTATATATCCATTGTGTATAGTAATAGCAGCATTATTTTTATGGCATCCTTAAGTGGATAGAGGAAATGATTGGGAAATGAAGATTTACTTTTCCCCCCAACTTTGTGTCATTATATTCAGTGTTCAAAATTCAGGGTAATGGCTTTCTCTGAGACGGGAGGTAATGGAGTGGAACTGAAGCTGGATGATGGGCGGATAGGATTCACGCTGCTTGTGTGTGTTTGAAATTTTCCATAGTAATTCAATTTTGTCTAATACTAAGCATTTCAGGGAGAGCTAACATTTACAGGATTATCATTTTTTATTGTTTAAAAAAAATCTCTTTGTGCCAGGCGCAGTGGCTCACGGCTGTAATCCCAGCACTTTGGGAGGCCGAGGTGGGTGGATCACTTGAGGTCAGGAGTTTGAGACTAGCCTGGCCAACATGGTGAAACCCCATCTCTACTAAAAATACAAAAAAATTAGCCGGGCCTGGTGGCACACGCCTGTAATCCCAGCTACTTGGGAGGCTGAGGCAAGAGAATCACTTGAACCCGAGAGGTGGAGTTTGCAGTGAGCCAAGATCATGCCACTGCACTCCAGCCTGGGCGACAGAGTGAGACTTTGTCTTAAAAACAAAAACAAAAACAAAAACTCTGTTAACAGTGTCTTTTAGATGGATTAAAAACTAGCATGATAATCTCTTCTTTAATAGGTGACCTTAATCCATTTCCGTTTATTGTGATTTCTGATTCACTGGCTTTTTCAGTTATTATTCCTTTTGTTTTTTACTTCCCTTCCCTTTCCTGTCTTTCTGTAATACCTGCCAACCCTTCCCCACTACTGATTGGTGTGCAAGCTACAGATGACAGTTACACTTAACACTTCAAGGCACATATTCACTAAATTTTTCTCATAATATTTGCTACTGGTTCAATTATCACCCCTTTGTGGATATATGTCCTTTTTTTCCCTGATAGCCTTTAAAGTTTTATCTTTGTTCTATAGTTTCACTCCTGTCTGTTTCAGTGTGGATTTGTTATTGTTTTTGTTAAACATTAAATTGCATTAGTAGAATTTTTATAAAACATGTAAGGTATAAAAAGTAAGGATCAGCACACACCATGTGTCTGTCGCCCTGTGTAAGATAACGGTACCCACAGGGGCATTCAAAAAACCTGTGTGCCCCTCCTCACCCCTCCTCCATCTCCTTTCCCCTCTTCCCTTCGAGATCATCATTATCCTAACTTCTGTATTTTTCTTTATTTTTTCATAGTTTTATTACATATTTATTTTTCTAAATAACATATGGTATAGCTTTACATGTTAAAAAATTTTCTCTAAATGGAACTATATTGTTTATTCTTCTGCAACTTGCTATTTCATCAATTTCATATATATTATATACATATACATATATACATACGTGTGTGTGTGTATATATATACATATATATATATATATATTTTTTTTTTGAGACAGAGTCTGAAAAAAAGCTTTGTCTCCCAGGTGGGAGTGCAGTGGTGCGACCTCTGCTCACTGTAACCTCTGCCTCCCGGATTCAAGCGAATCTCCTGCCTCAGCCTCCAGAGTTTTGCCCGGCTAATTTCTGTATTTTTAGTAGAAACAGGGTTTCACCATGTTGGCCAGGCTGGTCTTGAACTCCTGACTTCAAGTGATCCACTTGCCTCAGCCTCCCAAAGTGCTGGGATTACAGGATGAGCCACCGTGCCTGGCCCATCATTTTCTATTTTAAGACTCCATATTGTTTAATGTTTCTGAAGTTATTTTTATTGTTATTTATTTATTTTTTTGAAATGGAGTCTTGCTCTGTCGCCCAGGCTAGAGTGCAGTGGCACGATCTCGGCTCACCACAGCTTCTGCCTCCCGGGTTCAAATAACTCTCCTGCCTCGGCCTCCTGGGTAGCTGGGATTACAGGTGTGTGCCACCATTCCTGGCTAATTTTTCTATTTTTAGTAGAGATGGGGTTTCACCACATTAACCAGGCTGGTCTTGAACGCTTGACCTCAAGTGATCTGCACATCTCGGCCTCCCAAAGTGCTGGGATTACAGGCATGAGCCACCGCACCCAGCCTGGCCTAGTGTTTTAAACGAGAGGAGGCATGATTTGCCAAAATGTCTTAACTTCTCCATGAAGTGGCCATCCACTCCTCCAAGTACTTCCTAATCCTCTCGTTTGGTGATGGAACTCTTAAGAGAGCATGCACGTGTGTGTGTGTGTGTGTGTGTGTGTCTGTGTGTGTCTGTGTGTGTCTGTGTGTATGTGTATTAGGGTCTGCAATCATGTTATGTGCTGATTCCTTTGATTTTTTTTAGTCATCTGTTGTGGGTAATGTATTTCAGGAATGTCATAGCACTTTCTGTTGGCTTACCTTCTTTTTCCTTCCTGCATAGACTGTTCTAGAAAAACTGGAAGGAGAGTTACAGGAAGCCAACCAGAACCAGCAGGCCTTGAAACAAAGCTTCCTAGAACTGACAGAACTGAAATACCTCCTGAAGAAAACCCAAGACTTCTTTGAGGTGGTCACGTGGGGATGAGTTACTAAAGGGCCCGTTCCTCAGAACCTCAAATTTCCATTTTGGAAACTGGCTGGCCTGGGATCTGAGTAAATCACTCTGTTTCTGTTCCATGGCTAGGCCATTGGTGAGGGCGGGGGAGTATTTTGGGTGGAATAATTGTAGTGCTGGTTGGATTGAAGGGAAAAATATTATGGTGCTCAGTAAAATGTATGTGCTGAAAATGGCTCAGGCAGAAAGAGAAGTCAGAACCAAGCACAGCAGTTGGTTTGAGAAGTTTTAGGGTTTTGGTAGGAAAAGACCAGGGAAGCTTTTTGATCTGGCCAGGAGCACTCTGTTTTCTGACTTCTGTTAACTTTTTGTGGAAAATTAAAGCTTCACTAAAACCAGAGAAAATCTTGAGGTGTAGGTGCCTTTTGAGTTTCCCTAAATATATTTAAATGAAAATCATAGTGCTTTGACTTTCAGACGGAAACCAATTTAGCTGATGATTTCTTTACTGAGGACACTTCTGGCCTCCTGGAGTTGAAAGCAGTGCCTGCATATATGACCGGAAAGTTGGGGTTAGTGTAATTCTTGTGTGTAGATGGGTCCCTGGTCCTGGCGAGTGATTTCTGAGTGAGTGAATGAACGGGTGAACAAATAGCCATTGGAATGGGGACTGTTTCCCATGGATGCAAAGCCTCTGCCAAGCGATAGACCCATATGTAACTTACTAGGTTGGTGGAGTCGGAAGTGGTGTCAGCTTCTTGTTAGTGGCGATGCTGACCTCCTTGAGCCTGAAGACTGCAATGTTTATATTGCTCCCCCATTGGAAGCTGTGGGGATCATTGTTCAGATGGGTTATCACAACTCTTCCCTGGCGTTGGAACAAGGCTATGGGGACTTATGTTTTTCCTTTCTCTTTAAAATACTATTTTGGGAGCCGGGCGTGGTGGCTCACACCTGTAATCCCAGTACTTTGGGAGGCTGAGGTGGGTGGATCACTTGAGGTCAGGAGTTTGAAACCAGCCTGGGCAACATAGTGAAACCCCAATCTCTACTAAAAATACAAAATTAGTCAGGCATGGTCGCACGTGCCTGTAATACCAGTTACTTAGGAAGTTGAGGCAGGAGAATCGCTTGAACCCTGGAGGTAGAGGTTGCAGTGAGCCAAGATCGTGCCACTGCACTCTAGCCTGGGCGACAGAGCAAGACTCCAGCTCAAGAAAATAAAATAAAATATTACTTTGATAATAAAATGCATTTGGAGTTTGAATTTTTTTTTTTTTTGAAACAGAGTCTTGCTCTGTCGTCCAGGCTGGAGTGCAGTGGCCTGATCTCGACTTACTGCAAACTCCGCCTCCCAGGTTCACGCCATTCTCCTGCCTCAGCCGAGTAGCTGGGACTACAGGCGTCTGCCACCACACCCGGCTAATTTTTTTGTGTTTTTGGTAGAGACGGGGTTTCACCGTGTTAGGCAGGATGGTCTCGATCTCCTGACCTCGTGATCCGCCTGCCTTGGCCTCCCAAAGTGTTGGGATTACAGGTGTGATCCACCGCACCTGGCCTGAATTTGTGTGTTTTTTTTTGACACGGGCTCTCACTCTGTTGCCCAGGCTGGAGTGCAGAGGTGCAATCATAGCTCACTGCAGCCTTGACCTCTCAGGCTCAAGTGATCTTCCTACCTCTGCCTCGCGAGTAGCTGGACCACAGGCACAATGCCAGGCTAATTTTTAAAAAATTTTTTAGTAGAGACAAGGCCTCACTGTGTTGCCCGGGATACATTTTTAAATGTAATTAGAAATGGGGGTCAGATGTGGTGGCTTATGCCTATAATCCCAGCACTTTGGGAAGCTGAGGCAGGAGGATCACTTGAGGCCAGGAGTTTGAGATCAGCCTGAGCAACATAGCAAGACTCTGTGTCTACAAAAAAAAAAATTTTAATAAAAAAAAGAAATGGGATAGTTATGCAATCAAGTTATTTCCAAGAAGCAGTGATATGATGTGTCGTAGCCATGAAAATAATGTGGTGATTCAAAATGGTAGGATTTTGTTCAGTGCCTAAGTGAAATTGAGGCATTTTAAAGCATTTCTGAAAATTGTGAGTTTGGGATTTATGATTTTTTATTCAATAAATATTTGAGGGCCTGATATTTGAGGCACTAGGCATTGAATTTGAAATGAAAATAAAAATATTTATTGGAAATATTTGATCAGAAAGTAATACAGGATCAATGAACATTTAAAGTAATAAGCCAGTGAAAGTCACTGGCTAACATGAGAAGTTTGGGTCAGCAGTTATCTACATGCTTGGATAATGGAAAAAACAGATATATATAGACATCAATGTATTTTTCCCTCTTAGTATTAAAATATTTTTGGAAAAATGCATAGAGACTACTGTTGAATATTTGCTATCATTAGCTACAATGCATGATGAATGGTCTATCATATTCTTTTTTTTTTTTTTTTTTTTGAGACAGAGTTTCACCCTTCTCTGCCCAGGCTGGAGTGCAATGGCACATTCTTGGCTCACTGCAACCTCCGCCTCCCAGGTTCAAGTGATTTTCCTACCTCAGCCTCCTGAGTAGCTGGGACTATAGGTGCACGCCACCAGGTGTGGCTAATTTTGTATTTTTAGTAGAGATGGGGTTTCAGCATGTTGGCCAGGCTGGTCTCGAACTCCTGACCTCAGGTGATCCGCCCGCCTCAGCCTCCCAAAGTGCTGGGATTACAGGTGTGAGCCACGGCGCCTGGCCATTCTATCATATTCTTAATTGCAATTAGTGACGATATAGTATTGGAATGATTAAGGATATTTCAAGATACCAAAGAAAACAGAAGGTCAAAGGGACTTGGGGCAAGTCAGGGCTGGATGCGGGGTGGCCTTGGGACTCATGTCGGTAGAGCTGTGTCGGGGTCCCTCCTGCTCACAGAGTGAATGGCCCTTCCTTTCATGGTGTGTCTTCACGTCCTACAGGGCCTTCTCTCTGCATCCCAATCCCTGTGCCTTAAGGAATGTCTTCCCTTCTGGCTGCCTAGGTTCATAGCCGGTGTGATCAACAGGGAGAGGATGGCTTCCTTTGAGCGGTTACTGTGGCGAATCTGCCGAGGAAACGTGTACTTGAAGTTCAGTGAGATGGACGCCCCTCTGGAGGATCCTGTGACGGTGGGAACCTTGGGCTGCAAAAACTTTCTCTGAGACTTCCCATAGCCCTCAGCAGAAGCGCTTCGTTCTCCCAAAACATGGGGGATCTTTAGTTTGATGAGACTAATATCTATTTCCTTTTTTTCTCCTTTTTTTCCTTCCCTTTTACTTTGTTCCTTTTTAAAAATATATATTTGAAAGGTCAGTTCAAGGACTGATTCTTGTCAACACCTCATAACTGGTTTATTCTTCCCAGAGACATAGCTATACTTTTCTCTAGAACTTAGTTATACTAGTACTATCCTAGGCGGCAGCTGTGTCTTAAAGAACTGAGAACTGATTGAGGTCAGCTTCTCAAGCTTCAATGTGCACGCGAGCATAGAGGTCACCCGGGGATCTTGTTAAAATGCAAATTCCAGGCCAGGCATGGTGGCTTATGCCTGTAATCTCAGCGCTTTGGGAGCCCAAGGTGGGAGGATCGTTTGAGGTCAGGGGATTGAGACCAGCCTGGGCAACATAGCAAGAAAACATCTCTACAAAAAAAAGTTAACCAAGTGTGGTGGCACACACCGGTAGTCCCAGCTACTTAGGAGGCTGAGGTGGGAGGACAACTTGAGCCCAGGAGGTCAAGGCTGCAGTGAGCTATGATCACACCACTGCACTCCAGCCTAGGGAACAGAGTGAGACCCTATCTCAAAAAAAAAAAAAAAAAAAAAAAAATAGGCTGGGCATGGTGGCTCATGCCTGTAATCCCAGCACTTTGGGAGGCCGAGGTGGGCGGATCACCTGAGGTCAGGAATTTGAGACCATCCTGGCCAACATGGTGAAACTCTGTCTCTACTAAAAATAAAAAAATTAGCCAGGAGTGGTGGCGCACACCTGTAGTGCCAGCTACTTGCGAGGCTGAGGCAGGAGAATCACTGGTACCCAAGAGGCGGAGGTTGCAGTGAGCTGAGATTGTGCCACTGCACTCCAGCCTGGGTGACAGAGCAAGACTCCCTCAAAAAAAAAAAAAAAAAAAAAAAAAAAAAAATTCTGAGTCAGTGGGTCTGAGTGGGGCCTGAGATTCCGCAGTTCTTACAACTCCCAGAGAATGCTGATGATGTATTTGCCAATAGATCCCACACTTCAAACAACAAGGCTTCAAGGGGGCTCAGCCCTTAGTGCCATACAGTTGTTGCTGTGAATTCTGTCGGATGTTGCTGTCTCACCTTCCAGTTTGTATTTAATCCACTTACCCTTTAATTCCCAGAAGCTAGGCTTATTTCTGAGCGTCTATAATCTTTTTCAGATTAGAGGCTAAAAAAATTAATTTTAATGAAAAAACAACAAAATTCATTTTGATGAAAAACAACTTTAAAATAAGTGAAATTTAAAATAAGAAAGATTATGAAAAAAATGAGAAACCCCATCACTCTAATGTCTTCATTTGTATTTTGCCTCTTGTACTATTTCTCTCTATAGCCGTAGACAGGTATAATTTTATATGATTGTAGTATACATGGAAATAATTTTTTTCTTTTCTTTGTTTTACCTAATATGAGATCCCTCCCCATATTACTGTGCATCCTTCGTAAAGATCATTTTTAAATTTGACATTAAATCATCACTTTTTATAATCCTGTTTTGACATATGACAGTCATAGTGGGAGAGAAAGTAAAAGCATCTGGAAAAAGATGAGCGTGGACGCCGAAGGTCACCAAAGGGAAGTCATGAGATTAGAGCAGATTCCTGATTCTGGTGGATCAGGAGAAAAGAAAATTTAAGAGACTCAGAAAAGGACCAGGGTAGACTCCACGGGTAGAGAAACCTTTTGGAAATAATGTAACGCAGCAGCTCTGAAAATCCTAAAACACCGCCACTTGCTCCCGTAAGGAAATGCCAAAGACAGGATTCATTTTGATAGTATTTTTAAGGAATATCTATTGTGTCCACTGAGTTGACGTGACGTTGACTATCTATTTTGGACACTTTATTTCTAATTTTTCTCCAGAATGTAGACACCATGATGAGCATCTTTATGCATGTGGATTTTTATTTGCTTTTGAATTACTTTCATAATAAACAAGTTCAAGAAAAATAGGATTGCTGGCTTAAAGGGTGCGGGCATTTTAATGACACCCGATAGGTCCCGACAAATGGCCTTTCAGTGACTTTTCTGATTCCAGTGCCTCGAGTAGTATGTGATGAGTCTATTGGATTTGTCATAACTTTTCCAACAATAGTTTTTGTTTTTGTTTTTTGGGGTTTTTTTTTGAGACAGGGTCTCACTCTGCCACCCAGGCTGGAGTGCAGTAGTATGATCATGACTCACTGCAGCCTCGACTTCCTGGGCTCAAACAATCCTCCCACCTCAGCCTTCCTGGTAGCTGGGACCACAGGTGAGCACCACCACACTCAGCTAATTCTTGTATTTTTTGTAGAGATGGGGTTTTACCATGTTGCCCAGGCTGGTCTTGAACCCCTGGGCTCAAGCCATCCACCCGCCTTAGCCTCCCAAAGTGCTGGGATTACAGGTGTGAGCTACTGCACCCGGTCTGGGTTTTGTCATTTTACCTTTACCCCCTCAAACTAAATAAGATTGGAAGAATGCATTGTTTCAGCTCATATTTCTTTGCTTACAGTAAGAGTTAAACATTTGCATGTCTGCTTGTGGAACACATCTTCCTTTCTTGTGAATTGTCCAACTTGGACTTGACAAGTGTGATTTAAGCAGCAGTCTTATGGCACACAAGCAACTGTGAGTCAAAAAATCTGAGCAACTGTATGTATGAGTCAAAAATTGGGCATGGCTTTACCTTTGTTAAATATAAAACACCTACTCATCCCCAAAATGTCGGTGTTGTGTGTTAATTAACTCTGGTGAGCCAGTTTATCAGCCAGCTGTCTTCGTTTTAAGCCTTGCAATATTCTCTTCTGAATGGTTTCTTGTTTATTATCATATCTCTTAAATGTGGGGCTTAGAGCTGAATATAAGGTCTGGCTGTGGTCC